>NC_000007.14:35240242-35865242 GCF_000001405.40 Homo sapiens | reverse complement strand
AGTTTTATCTTGCATATCTAAATTCATAAATACCTAAATTAAGGTATTCCTAATAGATACCCAAATTAAGAAAGTTCAAAGTTCATTTTCTTGCTTAGGATTAAAATTTCCAATATTTATCACAAAATAAATAAGCATGTAGGAACAAGTTTTTAGAGCATAATTTTGCAGGTAATTTTAAATCTCAAGCCCTATAAAGGTTACCAAAAAAAAAAAAAATCCTAAAATAGAAACATTGAGAAGGAGAAATAAGAAATTCACTTCACAAAATTACTCCTTTGGGATCTAGTTACTAAACTGCATCTTATAGTTTGATATATGAGTTACTGCCCAGAATATACAGACTGTCCCTCCATCCTGTGCACTGGGATGATCACTACCACTTCTTCAAATCCAGCTAAAAGCATCACTGCCTGAATGAAGCCAACTCCAGCCAGAACTGTTCACTTGCCTCCTCTCTGCTCATGTCCTATATATCACATAAGCAGAGCTCACCAACAATATTTTTAATCAACAGTTTAGAGCAGTGCTGACAAACAAAAATACCATATCAATCATATAATTTATAATTTTCTTAGCCACTTTTAAAATAGGAAAAAGGTGAAATCAATCAATTTTATTTAACCTGATACATCCAAAATATTATCACTGCAGTATACAATCAATATAAAAAATTATTGAGATTTTTTTTTCCATGCTCAGTCTTAGACATCTGTGGTATATTTTATATTTGCAGAACATCACAATTCAGACCACCTACATTTCAAAGATTAATAGCCACATGTGGCTACAGGCTGCTGTACTATTTAATAAAAAGTACATATCTAGAATCTAGCCCCTTGCTCTATAAAGTGTGATCTACCATCCAGCAGCATCAGCATCACCTGTGATCTTGTTAGAAATGTAGAAATTGCAGCCCATCTCAGACCTACTAGAAGAACTAAATTTAACAGGATACCGAGGATTGGAATGCATAGCAAAGACTGAGAACTAGTAAATCAGATCACATATACCTTGGGAGTCTTACAGAATCGCTATTGCCATTCAACTATGATATGGTATTATCCCACTGACTAATATAGAACACTATATTTAAATCACAATAGCTTTTCTATAAATCACGTTTTCTCTACACCATCTAATGCAATTTTCTGCAATGATGAAAATCTTCATATACGTGCTGCAAAAAATGGCAGCCACTTGCCACATGGGCTGTTGAGCACTTGAAATGTATCTGGAGCAAATGAGAAATTGCATTTTTAATTTAACTAATTTTAATTTATTTAAACATGTGGCAAATGACTACCATACTAGATAGCACAACTCCAGGGGAATTGGTTACTATGTCACAGTGTCATCTCTAGGAGAGTCCTCTAGACAAATTTGGGAAGTTCTAGCCAAGATAATTCTTCTGATGAACTGTACTTTTTTTTTTAAATTTTATGAAGTCATATTTACCATCATACACTGGCTAAGGACAAATTTGCATCTTACCTCTAAGGAAGCCTAATAAAAGTTACAACATGTGCTTTGTGTGTATTAATATTATTCCAGCTTATCAATTAACAATACTAATATCCATACCTGTACAGTCTTTTTAATTCTATGAGAAGGACCTGGATACTCTGGAGAATACAAATCTGTGAGGAATAATGAGTTGATTAATGTCGACTTTCCCAATCCAGATTCACCTAAAAGAAATAAGGGAAAATATCTGTTAAACTCACCCACTTTACGCAATCTTAAATATTCAACAGATGCTATAATCAAACTTGCCTTATGCAAGTACTTCTTGGTGAGACAATGAAATGACATTAGAAAATATGCTACAGAGAATAAGTATCTTGTCCTCAGTTGCTTAGCTATCAAATCAGACTCATGTTTCCAGGGATTCTTTTCAGTCTTCTAATTATACCACTTATATTCATTAAAAGTAATGTATCTAATAATCTACATTTTTAACAGTAATGTTATTCCCAAAGAAAAATGTCATTATTAAAAAATCCAAGTTGGATTATATGTCGCTGCTTGAGTGAAATAAAGTTTTTCTTTACTAATAGACAATAATGAATGATCAAAACAAGAAATCATGCAACTATAAAAAGCAAAAATCTGCTAATACAAAGAATTAATCACAATGAACATCTCCGTATAAAATTCTAAATCACAAAACATACTTTCTAATTCAGCCACCCATCAGCCTAAATATAAGGGTGCTTCTCCCAAACCAGAATCCAAAAAATCTTAGGTAATTACTTTTTATATTGCTTCTACTCGAGGTAGGAGGTAGACATGAAGGGAAGCTAGGGCATGATTTGTACTCTGATCACGTACTCTTTTTTGACTCTCCATGTCTAGTCTAACATACATAGTCTAGTATATAGTAACTATTACAAGTATATGAAAATATAAATGGCTTCAAGGTATATATAACCTAAGGTTAAAATAAATTATAAACCATATTATGACAACACGGCACAGAGTTAAAGTATTTATTGTTAATAATTCACTTAGAATAATAGGCATGCTTAGCCTAAGTAACTGATGTCACAATATTTTTATGTCTAGGAGGAATTCTTTTTATATTAGCTCTCAAAAGAGGTAAGATCCTTTCCACGTGGTCTGGGCTTACCCCTTTGACTGAGAGCGTGCCAATTTTTACTAGATGTAAAAATGCAAAAATGTCTAAGTCACAGGAAAGTAACATGGGTTGGCCACACTCGATTCTTTCTTAACTCTTATACCTTGAAAGCAGAAAGATTAGAATAAAACCCAAGCATTTGGATGTTATCAGAAATATCTACAATATTTCTTTTTGGAAATATAAATGATAATTTTAGTATATACAATAATGTTTTGGGAAATTAAAAACAAAAGTATGCTAATTAAAAAATTAACACTGTACTCAATAAATTGTGTTTAGAGGTTTTTTTTAGTTTTTTACCCCTTTTTATTTGTGGTGAGGAGTGGGGGAACAAGATGACAGAGGACAAAGGGAAAAGAGAGAGGAAGAAAAATAGAAGTCTGAAAGGTAACACACCAAAATGTAAATAGTGGCTACTCTGTGGATAGTACAATACGGATGATTTTTCTTAGTTTGTTATACTTCTGGGTGCTGTAAACTTCCTTCAATATGATTCTGCTATTTTCATAATTTAAAAAGTATTATTGAGTGGCATCAGCAAAACGGCAAACTAAAAAGCTCAAAGCCTCATTCCCTCACAGAAACACCAAAAACAACCAGAAATTAGTTGAATTAACCTTACAGGACCTGTGAAAAACAAAGGTCTACAGAATGAAGCAAATGCCCAATTAAGAAAAAAAATATGCAAAACTTTTGTGACATTTTTCTGTGATCTTGTCCCACCCCTTCTGCAGTTTATCTGGGTCTCAAGGAGGCAGCAAACCAATTCCCAATTCATTCCCTTCAAATGAGCGGCAAGAGTGCAGACCTAACTTGTAACATTTTAACCTCTCTGGTCTGCCAGAAGAACTGATTCCTGTTTTGCCTAACTGGGACCTCATTGGGTGAGAGAAGCAATGGGCACCATTTATGAAAGCTGCAAGGGGACACAATAGATGTTTGGGGCATAAGATTACAGTGGGTAGATACAATAGACCATCTGAGTATCCAGGTGAGACTCTTTGGGAAATTAAGACATTCAAAAGCAGCCATGCATACAGGAGGAATTGAGAAAGCGACCCACAGGCCTAGGCAACACAAATGCTCAGAAAAGAAGACCTTAAGCTTTCACCTTAGGGTGATCACTACGTTAAGGGCATGCTCAACTAATCAGCAGAGAAATGCCCCAGTAGTACACAGCCAGTGTGCAACTGAAGAGAGGTGACTCTTTCAAATACTCAGTTTTCAAAAAACATCACAAGGCATGCAACAAGGTATAGGAAAACATAGCCCATTCCAAGGAACAAAAATTTCCAGAAACCATTCCTGAAGAAATACAGATATTAGATTTATTAGACAGACTTTAAAGCAGCTGTCTGAACTATGCCCAAAGAGCTAAAGAAAAAAGTGAAGGGAAATCAGGAAAATAATGAGCAAAATGAGAATATCAATAAAGAGAAATTATAAAAACAAACTGTAGAGCTGAAAAATACAATAATTGAAAATTTCACTATATAGGTTCAATAGCAGAACTGAGTAGGCAAAAGAAAAAACTCAGCAAATCTGAAGACAACAGAAATTATCAAATCTGAGCAGAAAGAAAAAAGAAAGAAGAAAATTAAACAGAGCCCAAGAGATTATGAAATAAATCAATTGGACCAATATATACTCAATGGATGTTTCAGAGGAAGAGAAATGAACAGAGATTACATGAAGGAAAAAACTTCCCAAAGGTGATGTAACTGATGAATCTACAAATCCAAGGATCTCAACAAACTCCAAATAAGAAAAACTCACAACCAATACCAACACGATTACAATCAAACTGTCAAAAGCCAAGACAGAATCTTGAAAGTGGCAAAAGAGAAGCAACTCACTGCATAGACAGAATCCTCAAATAAGACTATAAGCCAACTTTTTGGCAGAAACCTTGGAGGCCTGAAGGCAGTGCAATGATACATTTAAAGTGCTACAAGAAAATAAATGTCAAATGCAACTTCTGTATCTGGCAAAACTGACCATTAAAAACAAGGTAGAAATAAAGACATTCCCCAGTAAACAAAACCTGAGGGAGGTTCATTATCACTACACATGTACTACAAGAAATACTGAAGGTAGTCCTTCAGGTTGAAATAGAAGGACTCTAGACAGTAACTCAAAGCAATATAAAGATATAAAGATCCCGTAAAGGTAAATGCAAGGGCAAATATAAAAACCAGTATTATTATAATTTTGGTTTGCAAGTTCACCTTATATTTTCTATGAGTTTTTAAAGGCGAATGCATTAAAAAATCATGAATCTGTGTTAATAGGTACATAATGTATAATAATGTAATTTACGACATCAATAACATAAAAGAGGGACAGAGCAGTGGACGTGTAGTTGTTCAATGTGATTTAAGTTAGATTGGTATAAAAAATTGAGACTGTAATAACTTTAGGATATTATATATTATCCCTATAATAACCAAAGAAAATTTCTATAAAATATACCAAAAAAAAAAAGAGAAGGGAATCAAATTGTGTCACTACAAAAAATCAAGTAAACACAAACAAAGGCAGTAATGGAAGAAATGAAGGACAAAACAGCTAAAAGACATACAGAAAACAAAATGGCAAGTTAGTTCTTCCTTATAAGTATTTATATGTAAATTGATTAAACTCTCCCAATTAAAGGCACAGAATGTCATAATAGATAAAATGACATGACCCAACTGCGTATCTGTAAAAGACACATTGTAGATCTAAGAAAACACATAGGTTCAAAGTAAAAGGTTGGAAAAAGATACTTCATGCAAATAGTAACCAGAAAGGTAGAGAAGCCACACTAATATCAGACAAAATAGTCTCAAGTCAAAAACTATCATCAAAGACAAAGGACTTCAAATGTTGATAAATGGGTCACTTTGCCAAGATGATGTAACAATTAAAAACATACACCAAACATCAGAACTTTAAATTATGTAACGCAAAGATTGGTAGAATTAATGGGAGAAACAGACAGTTCTATAATAATAGTTGGAGACTTCAATACTCCAGTTTCAATAACGGACGGAACAACTAGACGGAAAATAAACAAGGAAATACAGGATATGAAGAAAACTGTAAATCAACTGAAGCTAACAGACATAGACAAAACACTGCATCCAACAACAGCAGTCTACACACTTTTCTCAAGGACATGTAAAACATTTTTCAGGAATGACTAAAAGAAACAAGTCTTAATAAATTTTAAAGAAGTGAAATCAAACAAAGCATTTTTTCCCATTATAATAAAACAAAACTAAAAATCAGTAATGGAGGGAAACTAGGAAAACTGACAAATATTTGGAAATCTAACAACATATTCTTATCAACCAATGAATCAAAGAAATCACAAGGGAAATTAGAATACACCCTGAGACAAAATAAAAATAAAAACCCAACATGCCGAAACTTACGGAATACAGAAAAAGCAGTGCTGAGAAGGAAATTTATAGTTGTAAACACTTATATAAAAATGAAGATTTTAAAAAAACAACCTATGTTTACACCATAAGGAACTAGAAAAAGAAGAGCAAACTAAACTCAAAGCTAGCAAAAACAAGAAAAAACAAAGATTAGAGCGGAGATAAATAAAAGAGATTTTAAGAATAGAAACGGCAGGGTGTGGTGGCTCACGCCTGTAATCCCAGCATTTTGGGAGGCTGAGGAGGGTAGATCACCTGAGGTCAGGAGTTCAAGACCAGCCTGACCAACATGGTAAAACCCCGTCTCTACTAAAAATACAAAATTAGCTGGGTGTGGTGGCGCATGCCTGTAATCTCAGCTACTTGGGAGGCTGAGGCAGGAGAATCGCTTGAACCCAGGAGGCGGAGGTTGCAGTGAGCCGAGATCGTGCATTGGCACTCCAGCCTGGGCAACAAGAGCGAAACTCTGTCTCAAAAAAAAAAAAAAAAGAAAAAGAAAACCAAAAGAATAGAAATCGGCCAGGTGCGGTGGCTCATGCCTGTAATCCCAGCACTTTGGGAAGCTGAGGTGGGCAGATCATGAGGTCAGGAGATTGAGATAATCCTGGCCAACAATGTGAAACCACGTCTCTACTAAAAATACAAAAATTAGTTGGGCGTGGCAGGGCATGCCTGTAATCCCAGCTACTCAGGAGGCTTAGGCAGGAGAATTGCTTGAATCTGGGAGGCGG
Organism: Homo sapiens; assembly: GCF_000001405.40. Lineage (NCBI taxonomy): Eukaryota > Metazoa > Chordata > Mammalia > Primates > Hominidae > Homo > Homo sapiens. Next base: position 35,858,439 of record NC_000007.14, on the reverse strand, counting down.
AGGTTGCAGTGAGCCAAGATCGCACTACTGCACGCCAGCCTGGCGACAGAGCTAGACTCTGTCTCAAAAAAAGAACAGAAATCAGCAAAACCAATTGTTGGTTCTTCAAAAGAATAAACAAAACTGACAAACCATAAACTAGATTGAGAATAAAAGAGAGAGACTCAAATTACTAAAATCAGAAATAAAAGTGGGGGTTGGGCGTGGTGGCTAATGCCTGTAATCTCAGAATTTTGGGAGGCCGAGGCGGAGGGATCACTTCAGCTCAGGAGTTCAAGACAGGCCTGGGCAACATGGCAAAACCCTGTCTCTATTAAAAATACAAAAACATTACCCTGTCCCGGTGGCACATGCCTGGTAATCCCATCTACTCAGGAGGCTGAAGCAAGAGAACTGCCTGAACCAGGAGGAAGAGGCTGCAGTGAGCTGAGATGACACCACTGCACTCCAGCCAGGGTGACAGAGCAAGACTCTGTCCCAAAAAAAAAGAAATAAAAGTGGTTCATGGTTTTCCTAGTTAAGGACTAGACTATTTGCCACCACCCCACCCCCCTTTTTTTGAGTAACTTTCCTTTTTGGAAACAGTGATGAAGGTTTCTCCCTTTATTCTAAACAGTATGTACACCTCATACTACTATCTACTATCAAATTTCTAAATGGTTTCTGCTTTTTTAATACTCTTTAAAAATTAGCAAATACCTAATTATACTTTCAGTTAAGATAATACTTTTTCCCATTGGATTTTTTCTTTATCTTTTAAATTCTTAACATTGACTATGTGAAGCAATACGCTGTATACCCTGAACTCAGCTATGAGATATTTAACATATCAGGGGATACATAAATAATAAATTAACTTCCATCAATTCCTAGACTACTTAACACTGAAATTATGGACCAAAGCTTTCTAATTCAATTCCCAAGTGGCATTAAAACCAAGCTGTTTTGTATTTCAAGAAACTTTACCCATGGTTATGAAAGTTTAAAAACTTATCAAATGTGTGGGAAAACTGCAATTTAAAGATAAATGATTAGGTTTCCTTTTTTTTTAAGACCAATTACAATGTGAACCATAGCTACACTAACTGGGTGATCTCCATCAAAGTAAACACTGCAAATAAAGGGTATCATTTGGCCAAGAAAAAAATAATTTCTGATTCCAATTCAACATTGCTCCTGTGTAATGTGTTTCTCTAGTTCTCAACTCCACATTTATTCTTGAGTTATTTCTGTTAGTTGTAGTTTTCTTTTTAAGTTGGCTCTGGGCAAAGCAAATCTTTCTTAACAGATTGATAAGTGTTCAATTTCCTCAATTCTAAGACACAATTTTGCCCCCCCAATATTTCTAAAAACAAATGTCTCATAATCAAAATGTAATTGACTGTACTATTTACCTCCCTCAAATCAAATCTGATTATATGTTTCAGAGTAGATCTTATCTTAGAATCAAGGAAGGAGGAAAATCAAAACACTTCTTCCCCTAGAATCGAATTCAATTAGAAAAGCCAAATCAAAGAGACCTTAATTATTTTTTCCTATAATTGAGAACTTTATATTTAACTTTTAGAAGAATTTATTCTGAACTAAAGTGATTTCTATTTCCTTATAAATTGGAAGATCCCAAAGAAACAGAAAGCTTTAACACAAACCTCGATGAGAAATAAGGAAAGTAACCAAGACCATCTCCCCACCTTGAGGCTCATAAGGTGAAACAAAAGCTCCCCCTTGAGCTATATGCCACAGGGGAAATGATCCTCAAAGAGCCCAGTCTCATTCAGGGTAAGGAGGCAGAAAAAATGGGTACCAAAAAGTAGTTGAGAACTCAGTCTGCTTTTTCTGGTTCCATACATAAGGAGCTTGGAAGTCGCCACTCCATTCTAAGAAGTAAAAAGCTGAACAAATCTGATCTTTAAGAGCAGTGAGGACACAAGGCAATGATCCAGCAATTGCCCTTCTTGATGTTTACCCAGCTAAGTTAAAAACAAAGTCTTACACACAGGTATTTGCAGCAGCTTTATTTATAATTGCCAAGACGTGGAAGCAACCACAATGTCCTTCAGTAGTTGAATGGATAAATACACTGTGGTATATCCAGAAAATGGAATATCACTCAGCACCAAAAAGAAATCAGCTCCCAAACCATGAAAAGACAGAGACCAATGTACGCTGGTGAGCGAAAGAAGCCAATCTAAAAAGAATACATACTGTATAATTCCATTATTATAATTCTATAATTACAGTGAGCAAGATACTTGCATTTTCTGTTTTCTTACATATCAAATTAGTATAAGAGTATGAACTATGAGGACTAAATTAGGTAATATATGTGAAATCTAAGCACAGTGCCTGGTACACATTAAGTGCTCAATAAGTAGTTGTATTATTTCTGTGATTCATTTAAGGAAATTAGAAACACATGGAAGTTTGATATGACAGAAGAATATAAATAACAAAATGTTAAAAATACTTAAGGCAAAAACTTGGAAACAACAGCAAGTTAGCAAGTTCCACATTAAAAGACTAATAGGTCTTTTGGATATGGATAAATCAAGCGCTGAAAAAATAAAAATGATTTAAATAATATGCTTAATTGTCAAATATATATACACAAATTTCTACCCAGAGAATAAACACATTTTTGAAACCTATGGAATACTTAAATAAGCTAATCCTATGTAAGGCTACACAGAAAAATAAATCAATGCTGGAACCTACAGATCATATTCTCTGAATTCTCTGTAGTGAAATTAAAAATTAATAAAAAATAACACAATCCATCCACCTACTTAGATATCTCTCCTTAACTCTTCCTATGTGAAAATTACTCAAATACAAACAAAATGAGTATTACACATAAAAATCTAAGAGATCTGACTAAAGTATTTGGAGAAAAACTCATGCTTAAAATAAGCCTAAAGAAAGTAAGTCAACCATCAGGGGTGGTTCTTGGTGAAACTGTAAACTGCTACAGCTTTTCTGAAGAATAATTTGGTAATCTATCAAAATTTAAATCTACATGCCTTTTGACCCAGGATTTCACTTTCAGAAATGTACATTACAGAAGCATTTATATGTGTGCCTAGAAATCCAAGGAACCTAAGCACTGTTTGTAACTACGAACATCCATCTTCATTAATAGCTGACTGTATAAATCATGATAAAGATATTACAGAATACCACATAATTGCTAAGAATATACTGACAGGAATATTCAGTGTATATACACACACAGTATATTCAGTGATAGGGAAAACACATTCACAGAATAGTACTTATAGCATGGTACTGTTTACACACACAAAAAAAATTGACGTAGGAATGCCTGGTGTATATAAAAGTATAAAAAAATGCCAAAAGACTTGCACCAATTTAATGCTTATTTCTAGAGACAGGACTGGAAATGCAGGTGAGAGAAAAAAGGAAACTTGCTTTTTACTAAATATCTTTAGAATTTAGTTTTTAAAAAATAAAATGTATATTTTATAAGCTTTTCTTTCTTTGGGAAGCCAAGGGGAGGGTAATAATAAAAGTGAATATACCAACTTTGTAACAGTGTTTATTTCTAGATGGGAAAGGTTATGAAACATTTAAATTTTTCTTCTTTGTATATCAGTTTTTCTACAAGAACCATAAATTATATAATATTTAATTTTAACTTTTAATATTTAAAGGGGTTGATAATATGTTATACTACAAAGAAGTCAAGAATGCCTGAGAAGAGGCTACCTGCAAATATAGTGATTGGGAGTACTGGGATAAAAGTTAAGAGAAAAATGATTATTGAGTCCAGTAAGAGACTACAGAGTAAATGAGAGGCAGGCATCAGGCACAGGTTGCTGCAGATGCTGGCAACTACAGCTCCAGACAGCTGTACTACAGGAATTCTCAATCTTGGCACTACTGACATTTTGGGTTGGATAATTCTTTATTGTGAGGAGTGCCTTGTTCATTGAAGGATGCTTGGCAGCATCCCTGGCCTTTACCCATTAGAAGCCAGTTAGCATCCCTCCTCCCCAGCTGTGGCAACCAAAAATGCTTCCAGACGTTGAGAGATGTCCCCTGGGGGGCATTTTTCAAAATTTGAATCCCCAAATCCTCTAGCACTGATACCACTATGCATCAAAAATAATGACAGTGACAGCCAGTAAGTTATAAATTCTTCTGTGTGCCAGTATTTTACAAGCATTGACTTAGTTAACCTTTATAATACCATGAGATAGATGCTACAGGTTGTGTATCACTTATCCAAAATGCTTGGGACCAGAAGCGTGTTGGATTTGGGGCTTTTTCAAATTTTAGAATATTTGCATTGCTCATCAGTTCAGCATCCCTAATCTGAAAATCCAAAATCCAAAAACTGGTTCAATGAGCATTTCCTTTGAGCATCACGTCAGCACTCAAAGTTTCAAACTTTGGAGTATCTGAGATTTCAGATTTTTGGATTAGGGATACTCAATCTGCATCATTATCAATACCATTTTAAGGTGAAAAAACAGAAACAAAAGTGAAATAACTTACTAGTGCCAAAGAGTTAATAAGCAGTAATCAGTATTTGACACCAGGCAGTATGTTCTACTGCCTTTCTAAATACCCACTCTCATTTATCCATTAAAGACTCTGTGCCAAAATTCCCAACTACCTTCCAATCTGGTTAACCAGGTTGGACCATATCTGACATGGGATATTTTACCAGTATCTTCATTAACAATAACACTTAATATTTTTATTCAATAACTATAAGAAAGACATTGAGCTAGGCACTTTACATGCATTCAATGACTTCAATAATTACAAAACTCTACATAAGATTCTTTAAACAATTTTACAGCTAAGTAAATGAAACCTCTGAAAGTAACTTGCCAATGACAAATACCTCTACCAAGTAGCAGAGCTACAGCTCAATCTGAATGGCAAATCTCATGTCCTTAATCATACTATACTTCCCAGACTCTGAGCAGGCGAAAGGAACATGCTTCTTGACCTCTATGTCCTGACCCACTTCCCCCGCCCAGCCCCGAGGAGAGTCTCACTCTGTCGTGCAGGTTTAAGTGAGAGGCACAATCATGGCTTACTGCAATTTCTGCCTGCTGGGCTCAAGTGATCCTCCCACCTCAGCCTCCCGAGTAGCTGAGACTACAGGTGCATGCCACCACATCCAGCAAATATTTTTTTAAGAGATGAGGTCTCACTATGTTGCCCAGGCTGGTCTCAAACGCCTGGATTCAAGCAATCTTCCCACCTCGGCCTCCCAAAGGGCTGGGATTACATGCTTGAGCACCAGGGCCACTGCTTTTACTGCACTAACCACAATGAGCTTCAAATGGAAAAGTAAAGGATAAAGCAATTAAAAATTTAGAACAGGAAGAAGAGAGAAACTAAGTTCAACAGCCTTTAATCTTGTCATTAAAGGCTTGTCAAATCTTTAATTTGATACCCCTAGTATCAAATTCCACATCTGTCCTGAAACTAAATCATAACCTCTTTAGCAGGCTGAGAAAGATGGAAAAAAGAACATTTTACAAGATACAATAATAGATCTACGTCCTTTCAAGAATAACACTGATTCAGTGAATATTCTCCTAAAGTACTCAATCGAGTACCTCATACAAATGAGGTATTTGTAGGTTATTGTATTGACTCAAGTCAAGTACCTCATATAAATGAGGTATTTGTAGCTTATTGTATTGTCTTAATGATTCTATTATCGTGACACAGAGGTTACCAAAATGTCATTCAAATAAGCCTGATAAAATAGTTTATTTCCCATAAGCAAAGTCACCTTACTCAAATCATTGTGACTGGGAGCTCTAAAAACAAGCTATTTTGTAATGAGTGAGCAGTCCTTTTACTTGGTAGCAGAGTAAAATATAGCACCTGACAAATACAAAAATAGTTTGGTAATACTATTATTCTTCCCTGGAAATTTTTCCTAAGAAGTACCCTGAAGGTGTAAATTAAGTGTATTCCAAATTTTTCTGTGTTTCCTTAAGTATCACATACCCTTAATCCAAGTTATCTCATTTTTTTTTTTCAAAAGTACCAATAATTGTAAGAAAGTAGTTGTGTAACTTTGGAAAAGTCTAGGGGCAAAGGTTATAGTAGTCCATTAGAGCTTAAAATTTCCTTGAAATCTCTTATCTCAGTTCCATCAATAAACTTTTCTTGTGACCTTGGGCAAACCATACTTCTGTGTGTCAGTGCCCTCACCTATGAAATGCAGATAAAAGCAGTACCTACAACAACACAGAGTTGGTGTGAGGAATAAGTGATCTCATTAGAATCATACCTTGGCACAGTGGACACCTGAATATCAGTAATAGGTAGTTGCAATGAAATGTATTTTATTACTATTCACATTTTCTCACAGAAAAAGAAAGGACCCTAGTGCAACTACTAAGAATAAGGGTCAAAGGTGAAGTAGACAGCCTTAAGAAGGGAATAAACATTTGAAACAGGGATGCAGGGGGGTAAAGTAGAAGAGTAAGGTTGGCAATTTATTGACACTAAAGGGTACTGGCCTCAAAATAAGTAAAAAGGAATGTTGAAAGCAGTGAGGCTATGCCTGAGTTTGAACATTAATATTAATTTCTACTCACATTTAGTAGAGTAATATTTACTTCCATACCAAAATGTCAAGTGGCCTATAATTACAAGACAAAATATAGCAGCCTTGTCTAATAATCTCAAAGTGACTTATAACTACAATTGATCCTTGTTCATTGGCTTTACTAAAGGGAAGGAAGTAGTATCATTAATGCAAAACAATAGAGAACTATAATCAGTCCTATCAAATCAAACTCTACTTAAACACAAGATCTGTGGAAACAACCCAAATCAAGTGTACTTCTGCATTATTTAGAAAACATTTAAGAATAGAGTTCAGAATAATATATATACTGGCTTAAGAAAAAAATTACTCAAGATAAAAAGAATATCTGTAACATTTCATATTTCTTCAAACTAATATTTTAATAAATCCAAATAAATTTCTGAATGTTCCAAATTAATGCCTATTTTACATTTATTCTGACTTTGAAATGCATTATACATGTTTTGCAACAATGTCATTATCATTCCCTCATTTTACTGCAGTTTAAGGGGAAATAACTGGATTTTAAATTTTTTTGTCCTTATTAAAACAAAACATAATATTTACAATTTAAGGTGTTACTCTATGAAAATTAAGAAACAAGAGTAACTAGAGTCAGTAATACAACACATGTACTTCAACCTAATAAGCATGTTAAAATAACCCATGTCCTTCTTATCTTTGAGGACTTGTCCATGAAAGCCACATATTCTATCACTACTCAAGAATGTTAAATTTCAAGCCTAAAAATAAAACATTCATCACCTATTTGTTTATAAGGTTTTGAAGAAAGTCACAATAATATTTGTTTATAATAGCTAACGTCAGGTTTCTTCAGGTCTTTGGGATTGGGATCCCACAGTATTTATAATAAAAGAATCTGAGAAGTCCTGCTTTAAAGATGCTCGCTTATCTTTGTTTTACTCAGCATCTCAACTTCATATACATTTCTTATTAATCTCTAGATTTTCTGAGACTAAAGTAGTACCTGACATTTTATAAGTGATCATTAAATTTTTATCAAATAAATGAACGAGGAATGCAAAGATAAGATGTAGTCCTTGATCTTAAAAATCTTAGTATGCTACAAGAGGTAAGATATGCAAACAATGTACAAACAAGGCAGAATTTTATCAAAATCATGAATGAGATACCCCAAAGCGACAGAATTTCAGAAAACTGAGAAATCACACCAGCCTGGAAAGGAGGTCACATTTCAATGAGGCTTTGAAAGATGGAGTATCATTTCAATAAGCATTTCAACTTTCTGGGATATCTGTAGATTCAAGGAGCCACTTTTACCATTTTATAGCAATTGTATAGAAAAGAAAGCAAAGGATTTTTAGAAACAGAATCTTTAAGTCCTTTCAGAATGTTTTACCATGTTAGAGTAGAGGCAAGAGGAAAGCCTGAGAGGAGCTGGTGATCACACTGTGGAGCTTTTCTACCTTGTTCCTCTAACTCCTTCCTTCATTTTTCTCCTGGGTTTTGAAATCAATTTTGTTCAAATTCAAATCCTAGTTCAATCACCTACAAGTATATGACCTTGATCAAGATACCTACTTTATTAATTAAATGCACAGGGCTTGACATTTTAAAAAGCACCTCAAATGAAACCTATTAAGAGGTGAGACAGCAACAAACTATAGTTCTTAACCAAAATACATATTAGTGTCATCTCAGGAGGTATTTCAAAATAGATGATCATATTCCATCCTAGACCCAAAGCCCAGAATATCTAGGCAAGTGTTTCCAAGAATACTTTGAAGAAGCTTCCCAAATGATTTGAAAGGTAGATGAAATTAAGAAATTCTTATGTTCATGTTGTCCTGTCCCTAAAAAGAAAATTAAGAAATTCTAGTAAATAAGGATGACATAGGGCAATATGCCAGATTACATTAACATTTAAAGATGGCCCCACAGGAAAGGATCCTAATAAAGCAGGCTTCAACACAACCAGGTAAACCAGGAGGCAATATCACAAAAAGTGAGGAAGAGTTTCAAGGAAAAAATGGTCAGTAATGCCAAATAAGTTAAAGAAAAAGACAACCAGAAGGCCTTTTACTGATCTTTAATAAAAGTAGTTTTGTGTTAAGGAGAGAAGCCAAATGGTGAGAAATTAAGTACTGGATGGGAAATTTAAAAGTAGAGGTTTATTTTTTCTTTACATCTGGCTGTAAAATGAAGAAAAGATACCACACCAAGATGTTTTGCCAAGGGAGGGCGCTATTCTTTGTTTTACTTTTTAATAAACTTAATCTGGTAAAGATTTAATCTGTGAAGAACAATCTAGACCAGGCATCCCCAACCCACAGTCCGTGGCCTGTTAGGAACCAGGCCACACAGCAGGAGGTGAGTGGTAGTGAACACTACTGCCAGAGCTCCGCCTCCTGTCAGACCAGCGGCAGCATCAGATTCTCAAAGGAATGCAAGCCCTATTGCACACTGCACATGTGAGGGATCTAGGTTGCGTCCTCCTTATAAGAATATAATGCCTGATGATCAGTTTCATCCCGAAACCATCCTGCTCCCCTCCCACACACACACACCCTGGCAGAAAAATTGTCTTCCACGAAACCAGTCCCTGGTGCCAAAAAAACTGGGAGCCACTGGTCTAGACTACATTAGATACATTCCATACATATGTTGATCTGGAATTTACTATAAGACAATTCCATTTCCACAAAATCTATTAGGGTATCCTTTAACATACACACTGATGTACATGCTAATACTAAAAGGCAAGCTAAACAAGCTCTATATAACCTGGCCCTGCAATTATCTTAAAAGAAGTTTACTTATTCTAATTACTGTAATTACACCAGTACTAAGAACTAACAATTCTGCTGGATAGCTAGTAGCAAACATTCCAACCAGCTACTCAATAATTACCTCATTTGCCAATTCAAACAGCTTTCACTTGCTACACGTCTGAGGCTGGGAGGCGCTAAGAGGTATGTTAGGATCTTTCTTGCTATACTCAGAAATAGAAGCATTCTTTATACAACCCAGTTCAAGTGGACAATTACATTTTTAAATCATCATGTTACCAGAGAAATCCTTACTGCCTACTCAGAACATTTTCTTCATGATTATTTAGAAAATGATTATCCCAATTTTGTAGTAAAAGATACTGCCTGACCTAGGTTAGGTTAGGGTCTGCAAAGTTTCATAAGATATATACCAAATTTCTGTAAGTTCTTTTGCTAAACTGAAAACAGTTGAAATTGACGGTTTAAATACAGTCTATGAGCTGTCCCTCAATGCTCCTCTAAATTCTTCCCATTACCTGAAATTCTAATTGATCATTCAATACACATTCCTCCTTAAAAATGGGTGGATCACGAGGTCAGGAGATCAAGACCATCCTGGCTAACATGCTGAAACCCCGTCTCTACTAAAAAAAAACCAAAAAATTAGCTGGGCATGGTGGTGGGCGCCTGTGGTCCCAGCTACTCGGGAGGCTGAGGCAGGAGAATGGCGTGAACCCGGGAGGCGGAGCTTGCAGTGAGCCGAGATCACACCACTGTACTCCAGCCTGGGCGACAGAGCGAGACTCCATCTCAAAAAAAAAATCAAGTATTCTTGTGAATACTATTAGTCTTTCAGATCCTGGAATAAGACTTTCCCTCTAATTTCTATTTTGGGCCAGCATTAATTAAGAAAATAAGAGTTTTAATTTGGAAGAAAATAGAGCTAGTTTTGAGTTACACGAATCAGAAAAAGTAGATTTTGCAGAAACACAGCAAAGGGCTCTACAAAAGTAGAGGGCAACTTACAGCTGGCCACGTGGCATGCTGGAGTGTAAGTAAAGGAGAAATATCAGGAAAACAGATATTATTTTACCTGGATATCTAATGGATAGAAGACGGGAAGCAAGGTGTTGATTTATTCTTCATCAGGTAGCATGTTCTATACAGTGGTTCTAAGAAGTAGCTTTCAAAGCAGAAGTGGGTAGTTTTTAACTCTTTGAATTAGATAACCTATAGATTCTTTTAAGTTCTTACTTTTTATAAATCTCATATACCAAAACGTATCCCCTAAGGACCAGGGATGAAGTATTTGAATCATACCATGATTATGTGAATTATATCTCACTATATTTCTTTAAAAATAAAAGAGTACTGTACTCATTTATTTTTAAGTTACAACATTCACAAGAAATATAACAATGAAATTGTCATTAGTGGTGTGACTATACTTAATAAAAAGCTAGGCAAAAAAAGTTTCAAAAAGAAGACTTTTGACATTAAAAAAGTTGCAAGTACAAAATTTCCAAATAAAGAACAGTACTTTTTTAAAAATTTCAAATAAATAATCAAAGGCAAGTAAAATAAAATGTAAAACCTCTAATACCAAATTAGCAAATACCAAATTTGACATTTAAAAGAGATTTCCGAGCAGCTGTGGACCTCACCAAGACAATGCAGACTCCACTGACTATTCCTGTGCCTGTGTTCCAGTTACCCGGGGGCCCTGATGGCTTCAGCCATGGCATTGCCCCTGATGGATGCTGGGGCCCTTGAAGCCAGAGGTTCCTGAAATCCAAGAGTGGTCCCATAGTTCAAGAATCGCAGGAATCCCTGGAGCAGTGGGCTCGAGCTGCCCTTCGGGAATGTTACCTCTGCAGCATGCTGGCTACAGTGCGTCGACAGGTGAGCTTCACACTGCACGACTGTGTGCACAAGGCTGCCCACTTCGGAGCCACCAATCTGGACACGGCCAACTTCTATGTGTCACAGCTGCAGACTCCCGTAAGTGTGCAGAGACACTGCTCTAATGTAGTGACATTATTTCACATACCTTCAAGCCTGAGCAGCTGGAGCACTGGCATGGGAATAGTCAGTGGAATCTGCATGGTCTTGGCGAGGTCTGCAGCTGCTCAGAAATCTCCTTTAAATGTCAAATTTGGTATCTGCTAATAAAGATCTGTGTTCACCTTTCTGCTTGAGTCTAAGCCACAGTATCCCAGGCCTCCCAGTGTTCCCAAGCCAGGAACTCTGGGCCTCATGGAGTTATGGGCCCCCTTGGAATTCTGAGCCAAGCTCCAAGCAACTCTGGACTCCTGAGACCTCCTGGGTCTAATCAGTAGAATTTTGCAACTCTAGGAATTCTAGGTCCCATTGGAAGGAATGCTCTACCTCACAGAACTCTGAACTCTCCAGATACAGGCCTGATGCCATTTCCTAAAGTCTGAGGCTTGGGGGTGGGGTAATACAGGTGGGCAAATTACAGAGTGGGAAGTTATGGGAAGTTATTTATTGAAGACACTGCAAAGTTGAGCCATCCTGAAGACACTCTCAAATGCTTCCCTCGTGCTAAAGAACCAACTTCTCCAGGAAAATAAAAGAGATTTCCACTCAATATTGGCAAGGATGAGACACATATGAGCATTCACACACCTATAGAAACTGTATTAGTTGGTACGACATTTTCAGTTAACATCCTTTACCATGCCATTTACTTCTAGGAATGAAACACACAGAGAAAAACACTGCAATAATATTTTAACAATAAAAAAAGTGTGTGTGTGGTGGCAGAGGGAGACCTTCCAGGTCCAACAATGGGAGGCAGGCTAAGCGTATTATGATACACCTATAAAAATATTATTCAGCCATTGAAAATTAGCTTTTAAAAATCTGACATAGAGAAATGCTTGCCACAGCATTAGATGAAGAAAGTATACAAAATAAATATGGTATTACAGCTATGCCTAAGATGCAGAAAAATAACAAAATTTAACAATGGTGATGTCCTCTCTCTTAAAATGCCATATACTTCCTTCATATTACTTTTCTAATCAAAAACCATTTTGTAACAAGTCCTAGTTTTTATAGGAAGAAAATTTCAAGCCATATATCTGAATATCTGTTATATCAAAAAAAAAACAGGAGTTATCTAAATATCCAACCACATTTCAAACAAATATATAATTCATGTTGATTCAACAACAAAGGCAAACATCCACATATATAAAATCAGGTCCAAAATCTCAAAGTAAAACTTTTTTTAAAGTTTATTAACTTTAAAAAAAATCAATTCCTAAGAGTCTTCCTATCACTAACATTAAATACCTGACACAGTCCAGGGAAAACAAGATACTCGAAAGGTTTGCAAGGGGTAGCATTAATATTCAGCAACCATAAAGCAAGTGCACCCTTCAGACTAAATAGTCATATCACATAAAAAACTTGAGCACGATATTTACCTGCACAGAATAGACAGGTAAAAAGTCATATTGTGTTTTTAAGAATCTAAGCTACTCAGCTAAACCATGTTTTAAGAAGGAAAAGAATAAATTCTCAACCATCTTTTAAATCTGACTCTCACCAGAAAACAGCTTTGCCCAGCAATCTATACTGAATTACAAAGAGCACACATTTGCCCCGAATGTTTATAATCAAAAGAGTTCAACCAAAACAGAAGTACAAAGTAAGGATTAATCAAATATTTAGCTTATTAACTGCATATCATTGTCTACCATCCCTGCTTTCCCTTTTCTTCATTCCTCGTTTTGGATCTTAAAACTAAGTCATGAAAATGCACGAATAAAAATATGTTTAAAATTAACATTTATTCAATTTACAGATGTACTAGGTATTTTACATATATAATATATATATGTAGTACACTCATATACACAATTATCTCAAGCCCTCTGTGAGGCAGGGGTGGTCACTCACAGTACACAGCATTCCTGTGTAAGTATCTCCACTCTACCACCATCCTACACCCACAAGTTCTTAAGGAACCCTACCACAGCTCTTTTATTTTTATTTTTTATATTTTTTTAGAAATGGGGTCTCACTCTGTTGCCCAGGGTCGTCTCGAACCCCTAGGCTCAAGCAATCCTCCTACCTGGGCCTTCCAAAGTGCTGGGATTACACACATCAATGAGCCTGGCCTTCGTTTACTTTTTGTAATCACAACACAATGCTTGGATTAGAAAAGACAAGGTAAGGTTTGGAGCAATGGCTCATACCTGTAATCCCAGCTAAGGTGGGTGGATCACTTGTAGTCAGGAGTTGGAAATCAGCCTGGCCAACATGGTGAAATCCTGTCTTTACTAAAAATACAAAAATTAGCCTGGTGTGGTGGTGCACGCCTGTAGTCCCAGCTACTCGGGAGGCTGAGGCAGGAGAAGACTGCTTGAACCCAGGGGAACGGAGGTTGCAGTGAGCCGAGATCACGCCATTGCACTCTAGCCTGGGCAACAGAGTGAGACTCCGTCTCAAAAAAAAAAGACTAGGTAAATATTTGTTGTGAAAAGGAAAGTGAGATTCAAAGTGATCTGTCCAGGGTCATACAGCTTGTCTGTGACAGAAATTGAAGTTTTAAACTGGACTAAGTATGATATTCTTTTCAGTGTAACAGCTGCTGCACTTTTACAAAGTAGATATAAAGTTAAATACAGAAGGCTTATTTTCATGGTGTGACAAAAACATAAGTCAAAAACATGAATAAAATTTTACAAAATTGCCAAAATAAATTGTAAATTCCAAATTTAAACACAATAGTGAGTTACTAGTTTCAAGATTCTAATCGATCCTATCAGACTAATAAAGTTACCACATAAATCTAAATAAAAACTCCTGACTACATGGCACTTTAAATGTACATTACTATAACCTTTATTCAACTAAATGTAATTAGTAGTGTGCATTTCCCTGGAAATTCCTTTGAGGGTAGAAGTAATCATTTTCATTTTCATGTCATCCGCTTCATCAGTAATTCTTAGCACTTACACTGCTGATGTACATAAACTTAATTACTAATCATTCAATTAAAATTTACCCTCTGAACCAGGACAAGCATGCTATGAAAGAGCTCATCCTTTATGTTATTGCTGTAATTATTTCCATCTGTAACATAATAAACAATTTATAGCCTTTGATCATTAAAAACTTGAGTTAAGAATGAACTCTTCACAATCAAATCTTCACATTTGATTCTTTGATATGCATAATTACCTTGTATTTATCATCTGCTTACTTAGGGTTCTGGGCAGTACAAGAAACAGAAGCCCCAAAGTCTAAAACTTTCTTCCTTCTAAATATCAGCCTATTTGTTTCAACTGTTAGTAAATTTGGGGGACATGCTACTTTATCAAAATATATGTAAATATTATAACTCTGCAACACTTGTAGGCATATGCAGATAATTTTAATTTCCCAGCTAAATTTTTCCAGAGCTTTTTATCTCCACCATTTTTTTCTATGGCAGTCCAAAATAACAATTTTACTAATTTTTCTACATTTTTAGGCATCGAAAAAACTATTCTATTCACATACCAATTAATTCTATAATACAGTCAAATACTGGCTTTTGAACACTTCAAAATTATTTCAGCTCTATCTTTTCCATATTTCTTCCTAAAAATTCAGTCCAAAAGTCATTACGTGAGACTGACAGAGGTAGGTGTCCATGCTGGAGAGAAATCCACAGTGGCCCAGAACAGGGTATTAGGGTATTAGAGCCTACGGAATGAGGAAAAGTTTCTAATAGAGCATACGAATGGACTAGCATGAGATGTCTGAGTTAAATAGGATGAGGGGGCATCCACATGAGAAGAATGGCCTTGCATAAGACATCACAGCACAAGAGAGGTAAGCAGGGCCACTGCCTCCCCCTTAATTACACTAATCCCCCTGCAATTAACTAATCCATTACCTCCCTCTGGTTCTTCCCTAATATTTTTCAGAGAAGAAAGGGAAGAACCTGAAGGAGGTGATGGATTAATTACAGGGGGATTGATCAAATAAGTACACATATGGAAGATAATGGTATTTTCACCATCAGAGGACAATACAAATATGGGAGAGATGAAAATTAGGACCCCTACAGTGATGGAATGAAATTGGAGATTTAAGTGTGCACTTATATTTTTCAATACATACATACACACACACATATATATATAAATGTGTGTGTCTGTGTGTGTATAACATACACTTGTTACTTTCTGATTTTGATGGTATATTATGGCTATATAGCAGAATATCCTTGAGGAAGAGAGATATACTAAAGTATTTAGGGGGACAAAAGAGAAGCATCCATCTCAAATATCCTAGGAAAAAAGTTATGTACTGTACTTGTAACTTTTGTTTAGAATTGTTTCAAAATTTAAAATTAACACATTATTTTCAGCACAGTAATCATGTGCAGTAAATAATGACGTACACTTCTAATTATATAAAATACTTTGTACCTATAATTTTCAGTATTTTAGGTAGATGACCTTTTTGAGATTCTAAACATGCAATCTGTCTCCAGAATATAAAGACATGATAAAAATCTCAATTATATTTCAGAAAGTTTGGCAAGTCAGTGAACCCATTCAGCATTCCCCTTCCCTGCTAAAAATTTGATCCACAGCCTTCAGTACCTTAGCCACTGCTTTAAATGGCTATATACTCCTATATAGTAAAACAGACCAAAAAACCCCAAGACCTAGATATAAATACATGAAAATTATTACTTAAAATGAGGGTTTTTTTTTTTTCAAAAACAAAGTTTGAGTAAAATTAACAAGGTTGGCAAATTTACCACTACAAAGGTCTTTCATGGGAGACAGGTTATACCTTTCCAATCTTTAAAATAATTCTAAGGTTCTGTAGTTCAATAGTGAAACAAGTACAATATCCTGGCATAAAACTATCTTTCAGACAAAATCCACCTGCTGTGTATTAAAAAATGTAATACTTGAAAACTTCCTGCCTTGGGAGAGACTAAACCCGATTCATAATACAAAAAACACTCAATCTACAAATGCTTTCAACAGAAAGATGGACTAAATATAAAGGGGGAAATTCTGACCTCCTTTGGTGCTAGACTGTAGTCATAGCTAAGCAGAAGGTGATATTATTATCTCATATTTAAAATTACATTTCAGACTTATGTGATACAGTCACCTAAGAAAACGATGGACCCACCTGACCCACAATAGTATTTGGCCTCCATGACCTAGACTAGGAAAGATTTAGAAATTACCCATTATGGAGAAAGAAAGAGCAGTCTTCCTTGCCAAGATGAAAACTACATACTAAATGAGTCTTCTATGTGAGAATTACATTTCTATCTGTAAAGAAGTTACACTAACATGTGCTCCCTTCATGTCCTTGCCTTCCGTTCAGTACTGAGTTCTTTTAAAATACTGACAGACTATGCGGCCTTCATATTTCTGTCCCAACATCTAGCTAATTAAAATTAACAAATGTGATACCATTTTTACTTCAGTCCACCTATCCAATCAATCTTGAGTGTATTCAATACCAAGAGAACAGTTTCTCTAGGTCTGACAAACATGACCATCCTTAACTAATTCAGCCTATATACTATGAAGTTTATCTTAGGCCTCTCGGTCTGTCAAAAGAAAGGATAGCTGTGTTTTTCGACACTGGAGTTTCTTGTATTATTTTCAAAGACCATATTAGGATAGTATATGTATGAGAAGCAAAAACAGATTAAGAATCATAATTCAATGACTTGCTTATATTTTTAAAATCACACTGATGACTTTTTAAAAGACTGCTAAATGAAACTGGGATATTATCAAGATTACATTTCTTACATATGTCAATCCAGATAGTGCTCTTGTTACAGAACCACATTTTTTTTTTTACGTTTGAGACAGAATCTCACTCACTCTGTCGCCCAAGCTGAAGTGTAGTGGCACGATCTCGGCTCACTGCAACCCCTGCCTCCCGGGTTCAAGCAATTCTCCTGCCTCAGCCTCCTGAGTAGCTAGGATTACAGGTGCACACCGCTACATCTGGCTAATAGACTGCAATCTGTAAGACTGATTTTCCAAGTATTTTTCCTAACTACACTGTTCCATGATTAAGACACTGGATTTAAGCCATTAATTCAGATTAAGAATTAAGCAAACAAAACATGAATATACGAATTACTGAAAAAAAGTACCATTTTTTCTCAAGAATTAGTAAATGATTAAGATAATGGCATGCTTTTTAGCTGTAAAGTCTCCTTTCTCTAAACTTCCATAACATTTGGTTTACACATTTCTTATGCCACTTAACACATTATGATTCATGGTATAGTTATGTGTATACTGTTTTCCTCCTCTACTATTATAGTGTATTCATGTACCTTTAAAATCCCTCTCAAGCATCTAAAACAGTCATAACATCCATGGAATGAATAGCCTAACCTTCAAATACACCATAAATCTCTTCAAATTCAGAAAAAAAAAATTTCCTTTTTTCTTAATATATAATCTTTAGTAGCATAAACTTTTAAAAAACAATTTTGCTGGCCAGGCATGATGACTCACACCTGTAATCCCAGCACTCTAGGAAGCCAAGGAGAGAGGACTGCTTTAGGCCAGGAGTTCAAGGTTAGCCTGGGCAACACAGTGAGACCCCATCTCTACAAAACAAATTTTGTTTTATTTTTATTTTTTTAATTAGCTGGGCATAGTGGTGTGTGCCTGTAGTCCCAGGTACTTGGGAGGCTGAGGTGGGACGATCACTTGAGTCCAGGGGCTCAAGGCTGCAGGGAGCTCTGATTATACCACTGGGCTCCAGCTTGGGCACCAGAACAAGACCTTGTTTCAAAAAGAAAAGAAGAAAAGGGAAGGGGAAGGGGAAGGGGAGGGGAAAGGGGGGAAGGGGGGAGGGGAAAGGGGGGAGGGGGAAGGGGGAGGAGGAGGGGGAGGGAGGAGGAAGGATGGGGGAAGGGGGAAGGAGGAAGGGGGAAGGGGAAAAAGGGAAGGTAAAAAAAGAAAAAGGAAAAGGGAAAGAAAAGAAAGGAACAATTTGCCAGTATGTGCCAAGAGCCACAAAATGTTCAAATACTTTGATCTAATAATCCTACTTCAGGAATTATTAACAAATAAATAAAAATGATACTGCCCTCTGTCTGCCAACATACATATAACAAAACTCTGTGTGTTTAAAGATCTTCATTGCCATGCTATTTGTAACAAGGGTAGGGGTAAAAACAAACCTAGTGTCCATCAGTAAAAAAATAAATTACAGGTCAGGCGCAATGGCTCACGCCTGTAATCCCAGCATTTTGGGAGGCCGAGGCAAGTGGATCACAAGGTCAGGAGTTCAAGACCAGCCTGGCCAAGATGGTGAAACCCCATCTCTACTAAAAATACAAAAATTAGCTGAGCGTGATGGTGGCAGGCGCCTATAATCCCAGCTACTGGGGAGGCTGAGGCAGAGAATTGCTTGAACCTGGGAGGTGGAGGTTGCAGTGAGCCGAGATAGCGCACTGTACTCCAGCCTGGTCAACAGAGCAAGACTCTGTCTCAAAAATAACATAACATAACATAACATAACATAACATAACATAACATAAATTACAAAAATTATAGCATATTCCATCTCAGATTAGAATACACATATAGCCATTAAGCATTATCGTTAAAATGTTGACCAAAATTTCCATTCTGTAAAATTTTTATTGCAGCATTATTATGAGATTAAACAAAACAAATCATTCAAATGTCAAATGATGAAGCAATGGTAAAATATCAGATAGCCACAGCTGGAAACATTACACAGTGGTCAAAGTAAAATATGGAAGATAAACACAGCATATATTAATGATTATTATCTCTTGCTGCTAAGTCTTTATTTTCCTTTTTTTCTCTTTTTAGTATTTCCTAACTGTCATGTAATTCAGGAATTAGCATGAAAAAATATCCTTTTCAAAAAGGCAGGTCCTCCTTGATGACTCCAAATAAGTCTCACCATGTTTATTTCTTTCTAGAAAATAGCAGTTTGTAATCATTTGACTTACTGTTTGCCTATCTCCCTAAATTAACATAAACTCTGGTAATCTTCCTACATAAATCAACAACATAATTGCTGGAAATTTATAACTCCAAGAATGTAGTATTTATATAGGAAGACCAATGAACTAAACCAAAGGGTAAGAAAGAAAACAAACCAAGCATATACACTTTTAAAAATTAAGCTTGTAACAAACGGTTTTGGTAGGGCTACTCAACCATTTAAAAAATAAACATCAGATTCCTGCCTCACAACTTAGATCAAAAAACCATACGGATTTAAGATTTCAAAATAAAAAATTAGTCTTTAATTAGTCATTTAGTCTTTATATTTAATATGTAGTAAAACTTCTAATAACCTTGAATCAAGCAAGAAGACATTAAGTAAACCACAAAGAAAAAGACTGAGGTCGGGCATAATGGCTCACACCTGTAATCCTAGCACTTTGGGAGGCCAAGGCGGATGGATCGCTTGAGCCCAGGAGTTCAAGATTAGCCACGGGCAACATGGTGAAACATCACCTCTACAAAAAAAATACAAAAACAAAAAATTAGCTGGGCACGGTGGCACACAATTGTAGTCCCAGCTACTTGGGAGGCTGAGGGGAGAGGATGACTTGAACCCAGGAGGCAGAGACTGCAGTGAGCCAAGAGTGTGACACTACACTCCAGCCTGGGTGACAAAGCAAGACCCTGTAGGGAGGGAGGGAGGGAGGGAGGGAGGAGGGAGGGAGGGAGGGAGGGAGGGAGGGAGGGAGGGAGGGAGGGAGGGAGGGAGGGAGGGAAGGAAGGAAGGAAGGAAGGAAGGAAGGAAGGAAGGAAGGAAGGAAGGAAGGAAGGAAGGAAGGAAGTTTGGATAATATAAAAATCAAGCTAATAGAAAACACAACACACAAAAAATTCTGGAAAAAAATGTCAATGCCTACCAACAACAAAATAATAATAATGCCCTCAGAGTACCTACCTACCTAAACTTAAGAAAAAAAAAGTTTTTAAAAATAAACTGGAACACACCATTTATAAAAGAATATCAAAGATAAATAAACAATAACTTGCGACGGCCAGGTGTGGTGGCTCACACCTGTAATCCCAGTACTTTGGGAGGCCGAGGCAAGTGGATCACCTGAGGTCAATATAGGTGTTCAAGACCAGCCTGGCCAACATGGTGAAACCCTATCTCTACTAAAAATACACAATTAGCTGGGGGTGGTGGTGCACACCTGTAGTCCCAGGGAGGCTGAAGCAGGAGAACTGCCTGAACCTGGGAGGTGGAGGTTGCAGTGGACCAACACTGCACCACTGCACTCCAGCCTGGACAACAGAGCAAGACTCCATCTCAAAAAATAAATAAATAAAATAACTAGCAACAATAAAATACAGATGAAAATAAGATACCACGTTTTAGGAATCAGATTAATATCCAATGTTGGCAGTATTCAGGAAAAACAGTGCTGTCAACACTTGATGAGCATACAAAATGGTACACAACTTGTTTTAGAGCAATTTGGTATTATGTATCAAAACCCTTAAATCAATGCATCAATCTTAACAGCAATTCAAACTTCCAAAGCTTTATTATTCTAAGAAAATAAATAAAAATTGAAGCAAAGGTATAACTATAACGATGTTATTATAGTATTAATACTAGCTAGCAATTTTAACTATCCTGACAATATGACCAAGAATGATATATCTAACCTATACAGGCCATTAAAGTCTACAATTTGACCAATAGATAGGTTATGAAAGAACGTACGATATCACAAGATAATCACAATTTAACTACACATTTAAAAGGCAATCATAGAACATTACAGATACACATAAGAATACTAAATGTTCCTATACTTAAGAGTTATTATCAATAGGTGACAGATGACAATATTTATTTTCGTTTTGCTTTTCTGCATTTCCCAATTTCTGCAATGAAATATATTAACTTTATTTTTTAAGTGCTTTAAAGAATATTCAGATTTAACAGCTAGAAGGAATGTACAAAATTAAAATAGTGGACATGTGGAATTATGTGATTTTTTTCTTCTAAACTTTCTTTTTGAATTACTTTTTCTAAGATAAAATTCACCATTTTAAAGTGTATAATTCAATGGTTTTTAGTATATCCCCAATGTTGTGAAGTCATTATCAGTTAAGTTACTTCTATTAATAAAAGCAAAATAAAAATACAGAGCTCAAGGAAAAATCTTAAAATCATAACTCAAAACATTTCACGGAATTAACATATCTTAAAAATACCACAAAATGCTCAACAGCCTAGATACAAAATTTTGAGCCAATATTATCTTTCAATTTTTTCAAATAACCTGATAAACTGATATAGATGTTATTTTATCAATTCAAACATCAACAGGCAGTGGAGGAAAATGACAACTAGGATAGTCATCGTATATCCTATCACTAACTAAGTAACTCCTAAACTTTCTCTGATAAGGCATATACCAAAAAAAAATTAGGATAAACTCTGAATCCCAAAAAATGGCCAAACCAACATATTCTAAGCTCTCTCCCACTGGAAAAAAAAATAGAAGTGCCAATCTGCCACTAAACACATGTGGCATAGGTCAAATACATTATTGACATATCATTAAATGTTTAAAATTCTGTTATCACAAAAATTTTGCAAAGTTCAAGATTACAGAAATGACTGAATTTTGGATTCTATCTTCCTAGGATTCAGAATAATAGGTTTAATACTACCTGTTTTAAAAACTATTTCAAGTTAAATAAAGCAAACTACAGTTTTCTGAGTTCTGCCTCCTTGAAGAATTCTAGTAAAAACAGGATATTACAATTAAAAATTTATTCTCTATCACAGTTAAGTCTAATTAGGGAGCACACTAATGATAGTCAAGTTCCAAGCCAAACAGGTTAGACAACTTCACTGAATAGAGATCTACATGTCTTCATTATTTGATATGCCTAAATTTTTAAAGATTCAAAATCAAGAATTCTAATCTCCCCATCAAATTGTCAATCAGGGTCTCCAAAATCCTGGCTAGTCTACCTTTCCAGCTTAATTTTAATTGTAAAGTTACACCTTAGGGGTCAGATCCTAAAGTCAGTGTGCTGTGAAAAAAATCTTGAAAAATTCCTTATATCATCCATAAAGCACAATTACATACAAGCTAACAACCTATCTTCCTCCTCCACTAAAATAGGTAACTGTTTCTTTGAACACATAAAAAGTGACCAATTTGTACTTAGGTGCCCTGTTGTCCCTAGACTATAACATTCAGCAAAGTGAGGAGTTCACACTATCAAACTATGTGGAAGCTAATAATGACTAGGAGAATAGCAAATGCACCTCTCCCACTTCACACCCACTCTAGGCCAGATGCTCATTCCAGTGGAATAACAGGAAAAATTACTTGTACTATTTAAGTTCTCTAGTTCTCATTCTCATTCATTCTCTCTTTCACTGAATTCATCTAAGTTCAAGGCATATTGGATGTACTCTTATAAACACTGCACTATACCCAGTATCCCCAGATTAGCCTCTGCATGGTGGTTAAGAACATCCCAGACTAACTGAGCAGTAGACTGGGTTTGGTTCTGCCATCTCCTAGCAATGTAACCATGGGCAAGTAACCTAATCTCGCTATGCCTCAGTTTCTTCAGCTCCAAAATGGGATAACAATACCTACTTCATAGGGCTGTTGTAAGAATCGTAAGTTAGCAGATAATGCCCATAAAGTACTGAAAACATTACCTGGCACATAAAAAAGTTATGTAAATGATGGCTATTATTTCCGCCAACAGGACTGCTCCTTCAATCTTGGCCCCAATTCTATCCTTCAAAAATTTGTCCTAATGCCTCCCTTTTCAAAAGAAGGCAATAATAATCTCCAACTGAGGCAAACTGTCCTATACCCTTAAACTTCTATGGCTCTTAACTTTTGTATGATTCTACTGACTCATATTTCTATGTGGTTTATCTTGTCATATAAATCAGAAGCTCCTTTAAGACAGAAAATATGGGAATACACAGCATGCTTCTTTGATACAAATAAGTCACTCAAGCAAGTACTCAATAAACATTGCTTATGAAGCAAGATTATTAAAGGTTTTCCAACAAAGTACAAAGAGTTTAATAAAAAAAAAATCTGTTACAGATTCTCAGTTGATATCAATGTGTAAGTTGTAAATGAACTGTCGTAATGTGGGAGCCAAATTTATTCTGAGTTTAGATCCCAAAAATGAGGATTTAGCTCATAAGGAATAGCTGAAAGTTTTTAAGTCAAGAATATTAAAGCAAGGTTGGTTTCAGCTTTCTATGATTTGCAAATGATGCTGTTAGAGTCAGCCTAAAATCTGAAAAATAAATCAACATATTAGATACTAAGTGATTAGATACTTAGTAAGTGACTATGTATAAGGCACTACACCTATATAGATGAAAATATTTAATACCTGCACTCAATATATCTATTCAAATGTAGTTAATTAAACAATGTTCAAGGCTCAGTGGGAAAACAGAATAAGGATATTAACACTTGAAAGTAAGGATATTAACACCTATTTTTCTTTGGCCTCAGTTGAAGTCTTATCATTAGGAAGAGAAAAAAGAAAAGCTGCATTTCACAAAGGGATTAATTAGAAAAGCTAATAAGTAATATACATCTAGAGACTGAATATTTCCTCTAAAAATCAAAATCAGATGATTATTTGATTTTTTTCATTTGGAAAAATGCCACAGAGATTTTAAATCAACTCTCTGGCCTTGATCACCAGACATTATCCTACTAAGTATAGTTTAAAAAGTAATTCTTTAAACAAAAATTCTAAAGTCAAAGGAAATTTTTTTAATTGTTACAGTTCTCCTAATGGACCTAGGAGGTTTTCCCGTAAGTGAAAAAATTGTATTTGTCTACAGTTTGTCACTTGAGATTATTAATATTACATATGTAAAGGTAAGATACAGTGTTTCTTCATATAATGATGATGTTACCAACCTACCGAAGAAAAGGTATGCTCTGCATTATTTTATCCCTCTATCTAGACCCATCTCTACTCCACAGCAGCAGTTTGCAAGCTAGATATACCATACTTCTACTCAACAAGAGATACATAGACAAGGTAACCAATGCTATAAAGTATCAAATTTGCATATTCTGTACCTGTTTTAACTGTGAACTCTGACGATGTATACAACTTCCAAAGAGCCAAAAACTGACCAACAGGTAAAATATTGCAGTCAGTAGATAAAATATTCTACCTCCCAATAAAGGAGTATTTCACAGCTAGTTCAATTAACCTAATTCAGCACCAAAATAAAAATACTAGATGTTGAAACATAGTTAACAAAAATGTATACTACCTAAAAAGTCAAGCATCAACTCAACTTTCTTTGTTAAGGATAGCTAATCCACTACCCTGCAATTCACCTTCTTAAATAACAGAAATACAACAAAGTTACACTATACAATATTCGTAACTTAGGTTCTAAAGTCAGCCTATATGAGGTGAAAATACTGTATAGTCATTTAAGAGTAAGACTGTTATTGAAGATAACTAATCTTATAGATGGGAAAGACACAGTGTGTTTCTTCATATTTAATAATGATGCTACCAACCTACAGTCAAAATTATCCTTAACAGTATTTTCAAATGGACTATAGGCAGGGTAATGTGTTCATGGAATAACACACAAAAGAAAACTCAGACTGAATTAGAGAACCAGGAGAGTCATATTTTACTCATTCCAGTGCTTACATTCAATTAATGAATTCCAAGGGTAATCAACTACATTATTATGATCCTCTATCCTACCTTTCTTTTCAAAATTCAGAGCACATTAAGTTAAATGCTTATATGATACTCCACTATAGCATATAAGCCAGAAAACAAAACTATCCTGGAGTAGTAAGTAACCACCAGATGCTATTTTCTTTTGTAGCACTATGAATTGAAGATAACTTCTCTAGAGTTCCACTCCAACACTATCACCCACCATTTCTCAACTTGTAGTTTCTACCTTAAAATAAGAGGCAAGACATAAATCCCATTATGCCACTGAGTTAAATTTTAAAATGTATGCACATAAGAGAAAATACAACAAAGATATGATCACTGTAGATATCTGTGCCAGTGTTTTCTTAAATCTATTCAGAGTTGACTAACGTTTAAAACTTAAACCAAAGTTCCATTTTAGTAAGAAATCATATCTTACCCACTACCATAAGCGTGAATTCAAAACCTCTCTTCACCGATTTTCTGTATACTTGATTTGGGAGATTGGCAAATCCCACATAGCCTTCAAGGTTCTTCTGTTGCTGACAAAAGCAAAAAGGGCCAAGTTATTCATGTATCAACAGTACTATTCAATCACACTTTCAAATTCCCTTCATTAACCTATTTTAGAAAATTATACTATTATTCACAGCAAATCAAACTACTTTCATGGCATTATCAATAAAACTATCAATTCTTAAATGGACAAAATTATTTGAGCATGAGTTGACTGACAATATAATGGTTAATTATAAAAATCCAAGGGAATGAAATAAAAATTTAGAAAACCTGCCTCAGAGCAAAGATTTCAATTGACAGTAGTTAGTAACAAGATGATTGACCAACCAACTAAAAAAGCAAAATAACAAAGGATTCTTCACAATAAAAAAATTCAAATCCCCTTCATATCATATTAAGAATCCTTTTTAATTATCTCCTTTGATCACACTGACTAATTATACCACAGGCATGAGATTCTTGAAATTTGTCTTCTTATTCATGAAATGAAATCAAAATGTTGAATTTAAAGCAATTTTAAAAAATAAACTCTTGAAGGCTCTTGTGATCAGTGTCAACCAGCTACAGTATCATTCAAGCTGTTATGCCAGGTCCAATTTTGTCACTTCAAGGTTTCACATGATCCTACTGCCTTTATCTTCAGGTTTATCCAGGTTTTAAAGTAACTTATAACTTCATTTTCTATTGGTTTTTTATTCCTAGATGACCTCAACAATAGTTTCGTGAGTAACTGAAAGAAATCTACTTCCAAATTGGTGTAGTAAATAAGTCTGACTTCTAACTTACCCATGGGTGAGAAATGCTGTCCGTAGTTAAGACTATTTGAATAAGCAGAGTCTCATTGGTTAATTTTACTTTGGAGGCAGTCTTATCTCAACATTAAAAAATAGCAAAAAGAGGCACACATTCTCTTAAAAGTTTCTGCCACATTTAAATTCTCATTTAAAAAGCAATCATGGGATCAAAACATCAATTCAATACATTTGGATTTAACAAAGAACAGAAGTCTACAATGTTTACTAGTCATGTAGCTAAATATTCCATCCATAATCTTTGGCTCTTTTGTTCATTTCATAAAACTAATTCTTAAGCCAAATTTTAAAAACGAAGCCCATTAAAATGAAAAGCTAACTATAAACATAATAATTAGGAGACTAATCAGAATCTAACATTTTTAAGTCAAATATTTGAAAGTCTGCTATGAGTGGAGTTAGAAATATGCATTAAACCTAAGGTTTCCTTGGCTCATATTTCATCCAACTATAAATTAAATTTAAGTTAACTGAGACTGAAAAAAACTCTATAAATTATGTAGTATACTCACAGCTACTTTGTAAAGAACACATTTCCATCATTCCAGTGTTCCAGATTCCAACAGAAGAAATCCACAGAGGAACAGTAAACAAAGAATTCCAAGAATTGTAATGACATATTCAGTCCAAACAGGAGAGGCAAATCCATTGAAACACAGCAAGACAGAGGGGAAAAAAAAGTTACTTACATGTAACTCAACAAATTAGAGGTAAATTACAAAGAAATTAAAGGCAGACTTTTTTCTAAACATGTCAAAGTAATATATTTTTGTGTGGGATATAATGCCAGTGAGTTTAAACCCATTTTCAGCAACTGTCCTGCTGAAATATAGAAAATAAGGCCCATTATTGCACCCTGCAGTTGAGGTTTTACAGAAATGGTAGAAAAGATACAAAAGTATAAAGATCCAGGAAGGTATACAGGAACCAAGTTTTAAATTACAAGAAGAAAAAAAATGTAAATTTCATGCAATTTTGCTTTGTCAGTCACTGGATTAAGACAGCTCAGATCAGACAAATGCAAATGTTTTGGTTAAAACCTTTTTATACAATGCTGTATTTCAAGTTCTATTAATTAAACTGAAGTCCAGAATTTAAAGAAATGTAGACATTTAGATACAGGAAAAGGAAGGAAGCTAAAGATGATAAGCAGAAACAGATGGAAAGAGGAGACATATGTGAACTGTGAAAACTAAAAGGCAACTAATGAAGCACAGAAAATAAAATAGATAATCCTTGGCCAAACTGTGAAAAGTGTGCATTTTTATACTGATACAAATCTATGAGTTATATCACAACCCACTTCAAACAACTGGAGTCCGTTTTATAGTTAAGGTAATTAAATGTAATAAACAAAACCCCAGTTTTAAAGTTAATTACAAAATTATTCCATGACAAAATCATCCAATGACTTCCGAACTTCCTCAAAAGTAAAAGCCGAAGTCCCAATGATGGCCTACAGTGTTTCTCTACCTTAGCAGCATCTTAGAATCACTTGGGGGAGCTTTTATAAAATCCTAATGTCTCAGCTGCACCTCCAGATCAATTACATTAATCTCTGCAAGCGAAACCCATCCATCAGTATTTTTTAAAGCTCCTCAAGTAGTTCCAATGTGTACCAATGAAAGCCACTAGCCAACAAAGCCTAGCAAGATCTGGCTCTACTCTTACTTCTGGCCTCATCTCCTGCTACACTTCCTCCCCTTGCTCACTTCACTTTCCCCAACACTGAATCCCTAACTACCCCCCAAACATACAGTGCATACTATCACTTCATGGCTTTTGCACTTGTTGCTTTTTTTATTTGGAATAGTTTTTTTTTTTTTGAGACAGAATTTCACTGTGTTGCCCAGGCTGGGGGGCAGTGGCGCGATCTCGGCTCACTGCAACCTCTTTCCGAGGTTCAAGCAATTCCCTGCCTCAGCCTCCCAAGTAGCTGGGATTACAGGCATGTGCCACCACACCCGGCTAATTTTTGTATTTTTAGTAGAGATGGGGTTTCACCATCTTGGCCAGGCTGGTCTTGAACTCCTGACCTCATGATCCACCCGCCTTGGCCTCCCAAAGTGCTGGGATTACAGGCGTAAGCCACCGAGCCCAGCCACAGATTATTTTTATTACTCAAATGTCACCTTCAAAAAGGCCTGCCCTAATCACCTTATTTAAAATTACGACCCCACTCCTCACCTTAGCACTTTGCTGCCTGCTGTATGCTTCTTCTTAGCTCTTGCCATTATCCAACACACATTTTACCCAACTTGTTTACTGTGACCTCCACCCTGCCCGCAATGTAAGCTCCATCAACGCAGAGATTGAATGAATTACATAAATGGTACATCAAAAAAGGAAGCTACTGAGAGCAAGTTGCACCAGTAGTTTCAAAGAATACAGTATTTTAGACTGCACCTTGAAGGAACTCATCAGATAAGAGGTATAACAAAAATGACTCAGGGTCTGCCCTTGTCTCTTATTCACTGCTTTATCCTTAGCAACAAGAACAGTCTTTGGCACACAGTATTATTTTAAAATTGTGGAAAGCGGGAAACCATTCCAGGCAAAGGGGTAGGCCCTAAAGTGGGGATGAACTTGGTATTTCCAAGAGTAAAAAGAAAGCCGAGACAGGTGGATTGCCTGAGGTCAGGAGTTTGAGACCAGCCTGGGCAACATGGTGAAACCCCGTCTCTACTAAAAAATACAAAAAATTAGCCGGGACTGACAATGTGTGCCTGTAATCCCAGCCATTCGGGAGGCTGAGGCAGGAGAATGGCCTGAACCTGCCTAGGGGGTGGAAGCTGCAGTGAGCCGAGATCGTGCCATTGCACTCCTGCCTGGATGACAGAGCGAGACTCCGTCTCCAAAAAAAAAAAAAAAAAAAAAAAAGAAGGTCCATGAACTATAATGAAGTGAAGTAGTGGACAAGGGGATGAGTGATAGGAAATGAGGTCAGGGAGGCAAGCAGGGGCCTGATCATTTGGGACTCAGCCAAAGTAGGAAGTATATGGATGTTATTTTAGGCATGATAGGAAGACACTAGAGAGTTTTTCATAGGCAAGTGACCTGATTACTGTTTTAAAGATAGCTCTCAGCCATCCAGAGCGGTTCATGCTTGTAATTCCAAACTTTGGGAGGCCAAGGCGAGAGGATTGCTTTAGCCCAGGAGGTTGAGGCTTCAGTGAGCTGTGATCATGCCACTACACTCCAGCCTGGACAACAGAGTGAGAAATTTCATGGTTGGTTGGTGCTGAAAATATAGATTTAGGAATCATCGCCATGCAGATACTATTGAAACAGGATTGGATTCCCAAAGACAGACTATAGATAAACAGGAGGTCGGCAGGGCACGGTGGCTCATGCCTGTAATCCTAGCACTTTGGGAGACCAAGGCGGGTGGATCACAAGGTCAGGAGATCGAGAACATCTTGGCCAACATGGTGAAACCCCATCTCTACTAAAAATACAAAAATGGGCCGGACTTGGTGGCATGTGCCTGTAGCAGTCCCAGCTACTTGGGATGCTGAGGCACAAGAATCGCTTGAACCTGGGAGGCAGAGGTTGCAGTGAGCTGAGATCGTGCCACTGCACTCCAGCCTGGGCAACAAGAGAGAAACTCCAGTCTCAAAAAAAAGAAGAAGGGGGTCGAGGCAAAGCCCTGGAGCAGAGAAAGATCAGTCAGTGGAGACAGGAAGAAAACCAAGATCATCTCAGGGATGGAGGATTCACTTAACTATGCTGAATGCTACAGAGAAAGATACCATTACAGAAACAGACATACTGATAAAATTTGGAAATAAGGTCACTGGTAACTTAAAAAATAAGAGCAGTCTCAGTAACATGGTGACAAAGAAGAGTAACTAGGATGATTTACAGTAGACAATTATTTGCATGTAATTATTATAATAAATATTTTTTAAAATAAAATTATTTTAAACATTTTGTCAGTTCCCCCATATGACTGATTTCCCAGAGGGAGAGAACCATGTCATATTCATCTCTATGTTCTTAGCAAAGTGCTGACACACAGTAGATATTTTAAAAATCTGAATGACTACTCTTTCAGGAAAACATCTTCTGAGGAAGAAACTCTGTACAAAGATAAAACATGGGTTTGGCTAAAAACATATCATCCCAAAATTCGTATAGAAGTGTCCTATCAGATACAAAAATATGGCTCTGAAGCTACCTAGCACAAATACTATTTAGAAAATATACTAATAATTTGGCCAGGCATAATGGCTCCAGCCTGTAATCCTAGCATTTTGGGAGACCGAGGCAGGCAGGTCTCTTGAAGTCAGGAGTTCGAGACCTGCCTGGCCAACATGGTGAAACCCTGTCTCTACTAAAAATACATAAATTAGCTGGGCATAGTGGCGCACACCTGTAGTCCCAGCTACTCTGGAGGCTGAGGCAGGAGAATCACTTGAACCTGGGAGGCAAAGGTTGCAGTGAGTGGAGATCGCGCCACTGCACTCCAACCTGGATGACAGAGCAAGACTCTGTCTCAAAAAAAATAAAAAATTTAATACTGGTCGATTAAAACATATAGACTTGTCATATCTCATAAGAATTTTTCCATACCCTAAATTCTAAAATCAACCATAGTCTGTAATTCAAAAGACTTAACCACCCACTGATTCTTTTCCTGCACAAATGTTCACAGTGCCAGTGTGAAATATCTCGGGATAAGGAACATTATTTATAGATGTGAGTGAT
Source organism: Homo sapiens (assembly GCF_000001405.40). Taxonomy (NCBI): domain Eukaryota; kingdom Metazoa; phylum Chordata; class Mammalia; order Primates; family Hominidae; genus Homo; species Homo sapiens. Next base: position 35,827,298 of record NC_000007.14, on the reverse strand, counting down.
ACAATTGTGGCATTTATAAGTATGTATAAATAAAAGCATATTCACCCAAGCTTCTACAAAAATACCCCTAGGTCTTTAAAGTATTCCTTGATTTCAAACATTAGTCATTTAAGAAGAAACATTTATCAAATAATCTTTTCTAAAAGCGTATCTGCTAGATATGCTTTACAAAATCTTTTAGATGTTAAATCTGTATGTTAAAAGCATAGTTAAGAAAAATCAAACTACGGTAACTCCACTGTTTGATGGAAAAATCAACTTAAATACAATATCCGGTAACTTAGTTCTAACCTTCCTTCTAAGGTTACATTAGTTCAGCACAAATATATTCAAGTAACAGCACGCTTCAAACAAGTTCTAATAGATAGATTACTGAAATTCTTTAAGAATTCTTTACGTTCTCTTGCCATTTGTTCCTATTCCAAAGTTACCCAAATCTTGCTATCTAAAATGCCATTACCATTTTTAAAACTCTGAATACTAATTTTCAACAAATTTTCCAGTAGATAAAAATTTTCCAATAGGAAAAAGCAGCAACTTATTTTGAAAACTATTAAATATGCTTTTTAGTAACAAAAAATTGATCAAGGGGAGTTTGTAACAGAATGGATGCCTAATAAAAATCAGAATTTGAGAAAAACAACCCTAGAAGGAACTACAAACCTTCAACTTCCCAATATCATTACAAAATGAGATGTTTAATAAAAAACTAAAATGACTAGGGATTATAATGCGCACCTCAAATTACCTTAACACACCCAAATTCTATTTGCAGTTTAAACATCAAGCTACAAAAATCCAAGGTTTACATTAGTAACTTTGTATTTCAAAAATAGCCATTGATCTTTTCTAAATAACTCCAATCTGCCTCCCTTTGGATTTTAAAAAATATATATATATATAAATATACATATATATAGCATATTGTTTTACACACTGACGAAGTATGTTTCTCCTAAAGTGTAAGTAATTCTAAATATGAAAAACAACCACAGACTACAAAAGGAAAAGATATTAATGCAGAAGTTTACTTCTCAACTCCTTAGTATTCCTAACAAAAGCCTTATATCATACACAGATATGTGTCTGGTACTTGCTTAGTCAAATTCCTACCATCTCTCATACAGCCTAAGGGAAAAGTTAAAGAAATTCATTTGCCATTTAAATGTTTTAAATATTTTAAGTATAACTGGTCTAAAAATGCCTAGATTCTAGATTTAATATAATATGAAAACTAAAATATTACAAGATTACATAGGCATGTCCTAAATATCAGTTTTTATGTTCCTCATCCCTCAACTATTTTAAAGGTTCATAACCTATTTAGCATGCCCCCAGCTCTCCTCTTTTTACTGATATGAACAACTGGGTACTGACAGAACCAACTTTTATTTTCTTAATCCTATTCTGGATTCTCAGTTAATCTGTTAAAAAGATTCTAATATTTAACTCTATAAATACATACAAGAATGAGATAACTTAAAATTTAAATCAATTTTTCTTTGCTCTGAACTTAGAGTTCAGATCTTAACTTCCTAGACTTACCTCATTCCTTCACTCATTCATTCAACATACTTACAATATGCCAAGCATATATGTGTGTTCTAGTAAACAGGAATATAAAAGCTAATAAAAACAAGATCCCTGCTCAAGAAGCTAAGAATCTAATAGGGAGGTGAGATAAGCTAGAGGACAATTAAAATAATTCAGTGATAAATGCCCTGATACAGGAAAGCACAGAAGGATATATAAGAGCAAACAAGGAAGGGTGTTTCATCCTATCCTGGGATCAGATCCTTTAGATACTGAAGGACTGACTAGTAGACCTTAATTTGATGACAGATGAGGGTGGGAGCTGGAGAATATGGGTCTCAGTCAGTTGAGTTATTAACTGCAAAGGCCCAAAAGCAAGAAGAGCGTATGGTTCCTTATAGGAACTACAAACAGTTCAATACAACTCATTTTTAGGATCAAGGAACTATAGCTTAGGAAAGTTAAGCAAAAGTCAGATGAGGAAGGACTTTGTTGGCCATACTTAGGAACTTAGACTTCATCTTGAAAGCTTAGGAAGAACACTAAAGATACAAAGAGGAATGCACAATCACATGAATTCACATGCAGAGTCACATTCATACTTTAGAAAATTACTACTGACAAGAATATTGATGATGAACTGGAGGAGAAAATGGTAGTAATCCCCAAGAGCTGCTCCAGCTGCTCAGGGGAAAAATAAAGGCTTGAACCAAGATAGAGGTAGTAAGGATAAAGAGAAATATAGGTTAGAACTCTACTAGCCATTAAGGTAGCCACTAGCTACATGTGGCTACTGAGTACTCGAAATGTAGCTAGTCTGAATTAAGATGTGCTGTAAGTGTAAAATATCATATTTTAAAGACTTAGTATAAGAATCAAAAATATCTTATTAATAATTTTATACTGATTGCATGTTGAAATAAAATTTTAGATATCCCAATTACATAAAATATAAAACTAAAGTTAGTTTCACCTGTTTACTTTTTAAATGTGGTTATTATGAAAGCTTAATTACATATGTGGCTTGCATCAAATTGCTATTGGACAATGCTAGGTTAGATATTAAAGACATGAAATGACAGATCTCTGTAACTAACTTGTAGAAGGGTGATAAAATTCAGATTTCTTAATTTGGGCTTGAGCAATTAAGATGAATGGTGAGTACCAACTGTTAAAAGTAGAAATCATCTGAGTTAAGGTGGACTTTGGGAAGACAATGTCTAGTAGGCAGTTGTATATATAAAGGTTAGAAATGCTAGAAACATCTAGGTTAGACAGATAATGAATATCTTAAGTAATCAACATTTAAATGGTATCAAGGCCATGGATATGAATCCAAATACAGCATACAGAGTAGGAAGCAGGCCAAGAAGCAACACCAACATCCCATCATAATCACCTAAACAAACCTAGGAAAAGCTGAGAGAAAAGAAGAATCAAAGAGTTCCCAGAAGCATTTCAAAGGAGGTCAACTGTAGCAGCCCCCTCAAGAAGTGGTTAACTATACCAAATGCTCTGGATTGGTCAATCTAAGGATACAGAAAAATCTACTTATTGTCATTGGAAACCACTCTCAAAGCTGTATCAATGGAAAGATAGGGGAAGAAGGCAGACTGGAAATAAATAAGCAGAAAAAAAAACTACAGGAGGTGAGTATAAGCAATTTTTTTTAATGCTTATCTTTGAAGAGAAGAACAACAGGATAGCAGCCAGAAAATACAAGGTCAAGAGTTTTAAGCACTTAAAAAAAAAAAAAGGCAGATGGTTCTATTTGTGTGAATGCTAATAGAAAACACCAAGTAGCAGACAAAGTTAAGTAAGGACACAGATAACATTTATGGAATGAAGGACAGGATTTTCCCTAAGTACCAGATATAAAACAACTTGAAAATCCCAAAAAAAAAGAGAAGAGAAGTAGGGGATTTTAAGAAGTAAAGATGTGAAACAGCAACCATAAGAATAGAGAGAGAGACTAGGAATACGTAACAGCCATCCAAGCAATTTTGTCCACCTGGTTAAGGCTGAAGACCATAAATCTTTGACTGTATCCCTGAAGCCATGTGATCTTTTCCTCCAGTAGCAATCCATAACTTGAGTACAATAAAATTGGCTGTAGGAGTCATTTGAAACTTGCTTTGCAGGAAGGGTACACAAAAGTACAAGACCAAGAGAGATGACAAATACAGATGAAGTAATTCAGTGAATGAAAATGGAGAGGATCAAGGATGGAAGGCAGGAAGTAAAGAAGACAGTAAAAAAATAAGTTGCTGGGCACGGTGGCTCATGCCTGTAATCCCAGTACTTTGGGAGGCTGAGGCGGGCAGATCACCTGAGGTCAGGAGTTCAAGATCAGCCTGACCAACATAGAGAAACCCCATCTCTACTAAAAATACAAAATTAGCCAGGCGTGGTGATGCATGCCTGAAATCCCAGCTACTTGGGAGGCTGAAGCAGGAGAATCCCTTGAACCTGGGAGGTGGAGATTGCAGTGAGCCAAGATCACGCTATTGTACTCCAGCCTGGGCAACAAGAGCGAAACTCTGTCTCGAAAAAATAAATAAATACATGTAAGTTATGGTTAAAATGGACTATACAATTAAGATTTTAGAAGTGGAACATAAGTTGCAGATGATAGCCCCACAGGGTTATTATTTCTTTTTTTAATATTTTACTTTTAAATATTTTTTCTTCCCACCCATTCCTCCATAGGGCTATTAAAAGGATGGCTCTCAGATGAGACAGAGAGAGAAAAAAAAGGATGGCTCAAGCACAGTCAAGAAACTGAAGCTAACTTACTGAAAGTGTCTTACACATGGGCCAAAAATGTCCCAGAATGATGATGGAGCTTGGAGCAGAAAGAAAAATTGAGTGTTAGATGTCATCTTTAATATTAGAACAAAACAGGGGTGTGGTAGCTGAAAATTTTAAGAAGGGGTAGAAAACATTGCTGCTAAACAGTAAAACTGTAAGGAAGCAGGGTTCTTTTTGAAGGAGAATGGCCTAGAATCTAGACCAGTGTTGTATCATGGAAATATTAGGTAACCACATATGCAATTATAAATATCCCAGTAGAGGGGTCCCCAACTTCCAGGCCATGGACTGGTAGCGGTCTGTGGCCTGTTAGGAACTGGGCCGCACAAGAGGAGGTAAGTGGCGGGCAAGCAACTGAAGCTTTATCTGTATCTCCAGCCTCTCGTATTACCGCCTGAGCTCTGGCACCTGTCAGATCAGCGGCAGCATTAGATTCTCATTGGAGAGTGAACCCTATTGTGAACTGTTCATTCAAGGGATCTAGGTTGCGCAGTCCTTATGAGAATCTAATGCCTGATGATCTGTCACTGTCTCCCATCACCTCTAGATAGAACCTCATCTCTTAAAAAAAGAAAAAAATAAAATAAGTATTAGGCTGAGTGTGGTGGCTCACTCCTGTAATCCTAGCACTTTGGGAGTCCGAGGCGGGTGGACTGCCTGAGCTCAGGAGTTCAAGACCACCCTGGGCAACATGGTGAAATCCTGTCTCTACTAAAATACAAAAAATTAGCCAGGTAGTCCCAGCTCCTCAGGAAGCTGAGGCACGAGAATTGCTTGAACCTGGGAGGCAGAGGATGCAGTGAGCCAGGATGGTGCTACAGCACTCCAGCCTGGGCGACAGAGCGAGACTCTGTCTCCAAAAGTTAAAAAAATAAAATGAGGCCAGGTGTGGTGGCTCACGCCTGTAATCCCAGCACTTTGGGAGGCCAAGGCGGGTGGATCATCTGAGGTCGGTCAGGAGTTCGAGACCAGCCTTGCCAACATAGTGAAACCCCGTCTCTACTAAAAACACAAAAATTAGCCAGGCATGCACCTGTAATCGCAGCTACTCAGGAGGCTGAGGCAGGAGAATCATCTGAACCCCGGAGGTGGATGTTGCAGTGAGCTAAGATCGTGCCACTGCACTCCAGCCTGTATGACAGAGTGAGACTCCATTTCAAAATAAAAATAAAAATAATAAAGTGAGTACTAGTGCCCAGTACTGGGTGATGATGTGGAAAAAGAGACACTCTCCTACATGACTTTTGGAATATAAACTTAAACCACTTACTTAAAGGGCAATTTAACCATGTGGACCAAAAACTGAAGTTTTTATTGTCTTAAATTCAACAAATTCCACTTCCAGAAATGGATAGTCTTGAGAATCATACATGATTAAGATAAAAGAATATTCAACAAAGCACTGCTCATAATAGTAAAAAATTGTAACAATTTTTGATGAGTTCTAAAGACAAGTGAAACTAAAATTGTATTACAGTACCTCCATGTATTAAAATACCAGGCAGCCATTAAAAGTAAGGTTTTAGAAAAATATGCATGGACAGATAATGATATATTGACTAGAAAAACATTCTTAAACACTTGTCACAGGAGAACATCAAAGAAATTGGTGGAGTAAATACTTCAGAAAATTCTGCTTCATTAAAAGCAAGGAGAAAACTGACACAAACTGTTCAAATCAACTTAACTTAAAATTCTGGAAATTAACTAAAAGCTTGCAGGAATCCAGGTAATGCTGATTCAAGACAAGGGGCTGAGCCTTGGTAAAAACAGCAGCTCTTGCATTTTAACTTGCCCATTGTCATCTCTCTACCTCTACAGTAGCCTTGAAAACCATCAGCACACAATCACAGTAAAAACCAGCAGCCTAGTGGCAACTGGAAAAAAACAGAACAATCATGGAATGCTTTCAAAGCCTCACTCTCAAACTGCTGTCATTATTTGATGTGTCTGGTAGTCCCTAAAGGCCCACTCACAAGTGACCACTAAGATAACCAAGCAGAGATTTCAGTGACAACATATGGCAAAAATTAACTTCACAGAATTAGTTCGAAAAGGAACTAAGCAAATAACAAAAAGCAACAACAATAAACCCTGCAGAGAAGGGAGAATCTGATTTCCAGAGCTGCCACACTGTATTATTTGAAATATTTAAAATGTCTAGTATTCAAGAGAAAAGTATGAGCCTTGCAAAAAAAACTCAAAACTGCATGGCCCATGTACAGGGGAAAAAAGCAACAGTCCCTGAGAAAGCCCAGACATTAAACAAATACTTTAAACCTGCTATTTTAGATATGTTCAAAGAACTAAAGAAAAGTCTAATAAACTGTCAAGTATGAAAACAATGTTCATCAAATAGATAATATCAAAAAAGATAATTTTTTAAAAATTCTGGAGTTAAAAAATATAATAAATAAAAGTATTCACTAGAGAAGCTCAACGAAGGATTGCAGCTTGCAGAAAAAAGAATCACCAAACCTGAAAATGGGTTAAATAACATTAACCAATTTAAGTAAAGAAAGAAAAATGAACAGAGCCAGAGACCTACAGAACAAAATCAAACATGAAGTAAGGGAGGGAAGGAGAAAAGGGGTGGGTTTAGGAAGGAAGGGGCAGAATGTATATTTGAAGAAACAGAACTGAAAACTTCCCAAATTTGAAGAAAAACATTAGTATCAACATCAAAGCTCAACAAACTGAATAAGATAAAATCAAAGAGACCCACACATAACCAAACTGTTAAAAACCAAAAACAGAGAATCTTGAAAGCAGCTTATGAGAAGCAACTATATGTATAAGAGACTGTAAATAAGAATAGCTGACATCCTATCAGAAACCATGGAGGCCCGAAAGCAAAAGGATAACATATTTCGAATGTTGAAAGAAAAAGACTGTCAACCAAGTGAGCTATGATGGTGCCACTGCACTCCAGCCTGAGTGAGAGTGAGACCCTGTCTCAAAAAAAAAAAAAAGACAAGATGTAGAAAACAGCAAAATTACAGGTGTAAATCATATCACTACTTAGATTAAATGTAACTAATGTATTTTGCTGTTTCAGGTATAATAGGACTCCAATCAAAAGGTAAAGAATGGCTATGTGGATTTTTAAAAGTAAGATCCAACTATGTGGTGCCCACATGAGACATGTTTCAGAATCACAAACACAAACAGATTGAAAAAAAAGGACAGAAAACAAGAGAGAGCTGAAGTAGCTACACTAATATCAGAAAACACAGACTTAAAAGACATATTGTTACCACAAAGAAGGATATTTTATACTGACTGAAGGACCAATCCATTGAGAAGATAGAACAATTTTAAGCACGTATGTCCCTAATAAAAGAGTCCCCAAATTGCACAAAGCTAAGAAAATGAAAGGTAAAAAAAACAACTGAACAGTAATACCTGACCTTCAACACCCTACTTTCAATAACGGGTAAAACAACTAGACAGATGATAAAGAAGCAGAAGACTCAACAACACTATAAACCAACTAGACCTAACACATAGCTGTACAACATTCCACCCAAAAACAGCAAAACACAATCTTCTCAAGTGCACATGGAATATTCTCCAGAAGAGACCATATGTTAGATCACAAAACACGTCTCAATTTAAATGGGCTGAAAATCATACAAAGTATATTCTTCATCCACTAGAGAATGAAGTTAGAAATCAACTGCAGAGAAAAATCTGGAAAATTCACACACTTGTGAAAATTAAACAGTACATTCTTTAATAATCAATGGGTCAAAAACTAAATCACAAGGGATACTGGAAAATACTTTGAGATGAATGAAACTAAAAACACAACATACCAAAATGTATTGAATGCAGCTAAATCAGTGCTTAGAAGGAAATTTACAGCTGTAAATGCCTATATTAAAAAGAAAGATCTCACATCATAACCTTCCATCTCAAGAAACTAGAAAAAGAATAAACTAAACCCAAAACAGGGAAAACAAAATAAGGAAATGATTATTTAAGCAGAAATAAATGAAATACATAAAACAGAAACATTAACAAAACCACAAGTTAGTTCACTGAAAAGATCAACAAAATTGACAAAACCTTAGCTAAACCAGCCAAGAAAAAAAAAACCAGAACACTCAAATTACTAAAATCAGGAATGAAAGAAGGGAAATCACTACCAACCTTTCAGAAATAAAAAGGAACCTATGAACAATTAATTCCATGCTGACAACAGATCAGATTATAACCTAGAGGAAATGCAAAAATTCCTAGAAAGACATAAACTACCAAAACTGACTCAAGAAACAGAAAATCTGAATAGACCTATAATAGATTAGTAACAAAAAATAACTAACACACACACACCCCAAAAAGGCAAAAACACAACTTTACACAAAGCCCATACCCAGATGTCTTCACCAGTAAATTCTATCAAATGTTTAAAGGTTGTACAATCCTTCAAAAACTAGTCCAAGAAATAGAAGAGGATTAAATACTTCCCAACTCATTTTATGAGGCCAGTTTTACTCTGATACCAAAACCAAACACATCGAGTAAAAACAACCAACCAATATCTTATATGGATGGAAAAAAACATCAACAAAGTACTAGCAAACCAAATCCAGCAATAAAAAGGGGTTATACACCATAACCAATGGGATATATCCCAGAATGAATATGTTGGTTTTACATATGAAAATTAATCAATGTAATACACTAAATTAAAACCCACACACAACAAACACATAATCATCTCAGTAGACACAGAAAACACATTTGACAAAAATTCAACACTCTTTCAACGATAAACACACTTAACAAACTAGACATACAAGGGAACCTCAACCTCATAAAGAACATCTCAGAAAACCCACAATGATGAAAGACTGAATGCTTTCACTCTAAAATCAAGAACAAGACAAAGATGTCTATCATTGCTACTCCTAATCAACACAGTTCTGGAGGTTCCAGAAAAGGCATTTGGTAAAATAAAGAAATAAAATGTATCTAGATTGTAAAGTAATGTAAGTAGTATTTGCAGGCGATATGATCTTATAAATAAAAAATCCAAAAGAATCCACTAAAAAAAAAACACTACAGGAACTAATAAAGTTGCATGATATAAGATCAATATACAAAAATCAATTGCATTTCTATAAAAAAATTAAGAAAAAATTCCATCTGTGATAGCATCAAGAATAAAATACCTAGAAATAAATTTAACAAAAAGAAATGTAAGTCTTATACATGAGAACTATAAAAATGTTGTTCACAAAAACTGAAGACCTAAATAAACAGAAGATACTTTGCATTAATGGAGTGGAAGACTTAATACTGTTAAGACGACAATACTCTTCAAATTGATATACAAGTTCAACACCATGGCTATCAACATCCTTGTTGGCCTACTTGTAGAAATTAGCAAACTAAGCCTATAGTTCAGACGGACATTCAAGGGAACCAGAATAACCAAAACAATTTTGAAACAGAACAAAGTTGGAAGACTCACACTCCCCAGTTTCAAAACTTACTGCAAAGTTAGTCATCAAAACAGTGTGGTACTGCCATTAAGGACATATAGATCAATAAGAAACAAATGAGAATCCACAAGAAAACCCTTACATTTATGGCCAGTTGTTTTCACAGAAGTTGTCAAGACCACACAATGGAAAAAGACTAGTCTTTTCAACAATGAGTGATGAAACTACTGGATAGCCACATACAAAAGAATGACTCCTATCTCACGCCATACACAAAAATTAACTCAAAATGGATCAAAAACCTAAACATAAAGGTCTAAAACTATAAAACTCTTAGAAAACATAGGGGTATATTTTCATGACCTTGGATTAGAAATGCTTTCTTGACTATGACATCAAAAGCACATGCAATAAGTAGATAAACTGGACTTCATCAAAATTAAAAATGCTTGTACTTCACAGAACACTATCAAGAACGTAAAAAAAAAAAAAACCTGTGGAATTGTAGGAACTACTTGCAAGTCTTCTATATGATAAAGGACTTATATCCAGAATCTATGAAGAATTCTTACAACTGAACAGTAGTAAGACAACTTCATTAAAAACTCAGCAAAGCATTTTAATAGACATTCCTCCAGAGAAGGTGTACAAATTGCCAATAAGCACATGAAAAGATGTTCAACATCATTAGGGAAATGCAAATTAAAACCACAATGATACCAGCTCACACCCAGTAGGATAGTTTTAAAACACAGGCAATAACAAGTATGGACAAGAATGTGGAAAAACTGGAACTCTCATACACTGCTGGTAGAAATGTAAAATAAGGCAGCTGCTTCGGCAGTCAGGCAGTTCTTCATAGAGTTAAACTAGAGTTACACTACACTATGATGCAGTAATTCTATCCTTAGGTATATATCCAAGGGAATTGAAAACTATAGGTCCACACAAAAGCTTGTACTCAAAACATTCACAGCAGCATTATCCATAATAGTCAAAAAGTAGAAAACAACCCAAATATCAACTAACGGATAAATGAAATATGGTAGTATATATACAACAGAATAATATCCAGCAATAAAATGGAATGAAGTACTACTGAGACATGCTACAACACAGACAAAACTTGAAAACACTGCTAAGTGAAAGATGCCCATCACAAAAAGTCACATTATATGATCTCATTTATATAAAATGTCCAAGATAGACAAATCCATAGAAACGGAAAGTAAATTAGTGGTTGCCAGGACAAGGGAAGAGAAGGGATGGGGACTGATTATTAATGGCTGCAAAGTTTCATTTGGGGCTGATGAAAATGTCCTAAAAGTTGACAGTGACAATGGTTGCACAACCCTGAATACACGAAAAACCACAAAATCACGCTTTCAAGGGGTATATTTTATGGCATGTAAATTATCTCAATAAATCTGTGATAAAAACAAGCATGTACTGTACACTACCTTTCATAAATTGTTATATCTCCTTTCTCACACATATCTTCTCATATGCGCAAAAAAATACTCACAAAAAATCAATCAGAAACTGATGAGATCCATTACCTCTATCGATGTGTGGGAAAGTGGTAGAAAAAAGGAGAATGAGAACAGGGTAAAAGAAAGGTGGGAAGAATACTAAGTCTATTAACACCATAGTAATTTTCCATATATTCCCATTAAAAAAACAAAATCAGCCAGGATGTGAAAAGAAATAGTAACAAATAAAACTAATTGTATTTCAGAAGAATAACATGAAGACACTGAAGGGGGTGGAACAGAAAAGAATATAACTAACTTTGGAAAAAAGTATTTTGATTAGCATAAGGTATTAGCATACTATATTAACTAACAGTATTGGTACTGCATAAGGCTAAAGACAAAAAAAGCATACACAAATATACTCTAGCAAGTAAGCATATTACATAGTTCTGAAGTTACATCTATGTGTACAATAGGTTTTTCCAAGTATGTAAATAAATTGTAGATGAAAGCCAGGTTTCTCAATGTTGAAGAAAAGAGTTACAAGGAAAAGAGAAAGGCTAGATTGAACTCTGCATTAATAGATTGGAATCGATGTACCAGTATAAATTCATGGTTTTTAGTATACATATGCAAATATTTTTACACACATATACAAAAATACAGATGTATATATATAAATTCATATATTGCCTACCTCTGTCTGTTCAAAACATCTACTAGAGGCAGTGACACCCCAGCAGCAATGAGCACTTCTGGTGCCCAGATCTTGGTTCTTAATCACTACTCTCAAAAAAAGGTTGCTGGACTCCTTGGACAATGGTTGATTCCAAGGCTTAGGCACGAAAAATACAAGATGAACTAGAAAGTAAAGAAGTACCCCTAAAAATGATGGGTACACAGTGAAAGGATGAACAAGAGCCACCTGAAAGGTCTATCAATGGACAACTGAACAATGAAAAAAATTAATATATAACCGAACTGATGAATAAATAAAAGAGCTCTTCCTTACAACAGAATCCCAGCTTTTTTTTTTTTTTTTTTTTTTTTTTGAGAAGGAGTCTCGCTCTGTCGCCTAGGCTGGAGTGCAGTGGCGAGATCTCGGCTCACCGCAAGCCCTGCCTTCCAGGTTTAGGCCATTCCCCTGCCTCAGCCTCCCGAGTAGCTGGGACTACAGGCGCCTGCTACCATGCCCGGCTAATTCTTTGTATTTTTAGTAGAGACGGGGTTTCACCGTGTTAGCCAGGATGGTCTTGATCTCCTGACCTCGTGATCCACCCACGTTGGCCACCCAAAGTGCTGGGATTACAGGCATGAGCCACCACACCCGGTCAGAATCCCAGCTTTAAAATGTAGCATCATGTACATGTAAACAGAAAATCATGTAACAGAAAATCACCAGTAACACAAACAGCACAGTAATAACTGCCATAGGCAAGAATCATTGACAAGATACTAAAGTTAGTGGGTAAAAGTGTAATGAGAAATAGTGTATTTGCACAGTCCAACAAAAAACTAGTACCTAAAATATTAAAAAAACCCTTACAATTCATTAAGACAAATAACCTAATTTAAAAATGGACCAAAGATTTCAATGGACCACCAAAGGTGACAAACAGATGGCAAATAAGCACAGGAGATCCTCAACATCATTAGTCATTAGGAAAATACAAATTAAAATTACAGTAAGTTATCTCTACAAATCTATAAGAATGAGTAAAATTAAAAGCAGTGACCATTCTAGGTGTTGGTGAGCACATGGAACAACCTGAATTCTTATTCACTGGGGGTGAAAATGTAAAATGTTACTAATATATTGCAAAATAATTTTGCAATTTAAAAATTAAACATACATCTACCATATTACTTACCCCAAGAATTTACCAAAGAGAAATAAAATGTTGAGCCACTATCATTACAGCTTTTTTAAGTTTACAGAAAAAGCATGAAAGAAAATACTCTCCAACTTTTAACAGTTTCCCCAGTGACCAGCACACAGCAGGTATAAAACATGTGTTTGTTAAATGAATGAAGTTGTTGAAGTTCTAAACTAATGACTTAGCAGCAATACTACCAATAGTTAACATCAATGTTACAGTAATATAATATCAATACATTATTGATGTAATGAACTTAATGTCAATACTACAACTGATAGTCTCTTATTTCAAAGAGTTCAAAAGCACTGATACACTATCGAATGTGAAATGATCAATATCCCAAGTTACTCATCATGTCATGGTTGGTAAAAGCTTCTCAGAATGGGTAGTTTTGATATGGGCCTTCCTTAACAGATGATAGGACTTCAAGGCAGGTACAAACACCATAACCAGAAGCAAGAATACTAATATTGGCCGAGTGCAGTGGCTTACTCCTGTAATCTTAGCACTTTAGGAGGCTGAGGCAGGCAGATCACCTGAGCTCAGGAGTTTGAGACCAGCTTGGTCAACATGGCAAAACCCCATGCCTACAAAAATACAAAAAAATTAGCCAGGCATGGTGGCACACGCCTGTAATCCCAGCTACTGGGGAGGCCAGCAGCTGAACCCAGGAGAGAATGAGAATCGCTTGAACCCAGGAGGTGGAGGTTGCAACAGTGAGCTGAGATCATGCCACTGCACTCCAGTCTGGGTGACAGAGCGAGACTCTTTCCAAAAAAAAAAAAGGAATACTGAATATTACTCATTTGTAAGTAGGAAAAGGTCAAACCAAGGAGGTGCTAAAATGATGACCTAAAAGTTTTTAATATATAAAAGATTCATAAGGCAGTATATGTACAGCTAGCTAGAAATCTGAATTCCAGTATCTGCTGTAACTTATTTGTGTTCAGGCGGGTAAGTTACATAACCTTTCTGAGCCTTAGATTGGGATAACATCTTGATGAGGATATTTGTAAGGTATATACAAAACAATTAACATAAAGGGTTTGGCACTTCACATACAGTAAGTACAATAAATGACAGTTGTTACAGTGGTTGCCCTACAGATGATAGTTATTATTAAGGCCTCCGGACTTATATCTTGCAGAAAAGTTATTCCCAAACCTGGCTATAATCAGAAGAATATGGGGAGCTTTTGATTAAAAATAGAAATCTGTGCCCCAGTCTAGAAGTAGGGAATTAGAATCTTGCCGATAGAGCCCAAGAAATAATATTTTTAACAAGAGCTCTAGAAGCCAATACTATAAATAATAGACATATTTATGTTACTATAATAGGTAAGTTATTTTGTAAAAGTAATGTTTTAGGTATAGTAATCTTAAAAGATTTATTTATTAAATGAAGTGGGAAGAGACTGGAAGCCATAAGAACAATGAGGAAACTACCCTACGGGGGAAAAAGGTCCTTTGTTTATCTTAGCTAGATTCTAATTGTTAAATGAAATCCACTACCCACCAACCAGAACTAGAATACACATCCTTCAATTAAAAAGCAATGGAGCCTCCCAAAACTTTCAACACAGATTCAAATAAAAGATGTTTCCATTAAGCATAAAACCCCCATTCCCTTGACATTTCCCTTAACCCTGGCCAGTACTAACGTTGATGGTGCATTTATATCATATATCGTGCTATATTTGCATGTCTGTAGCATTATTTCTGCATTTCCTCTGTGTTGACCACATGTTTAGCTTTCAAAAAGAAAGGGGCTTCAACTTTTCAGCAAATCCAAAACTATTCCAAAATTAAAAAAAAAAAATGGGGGGGTGGGGAAGGGACGTGGGGCCTATGTCTATGTAATTACCTCTCTAACAGCACAGCACCATGCACTAACACAAACAAGTATTTTTGGTGGGTCTACTTGCCAGCTAAGTCATTCTAGTTATCTTTTTCGCCCACAGCTGAAGTTGAGTTAGCCATCTCTCTAAAAACTGTTTTTTTTTTGTTTTTTTTTTTTTTGTTTTGGAGACAGAGTATCATTCTGTCACCAGGCAGTGCAGAGGCTTGATCTTGGCTCACGGCAACCTCTGCCTCCTAGGTTCAAGCAATTCTCCTGCCTCAGCCTCCTGAGTAACTGGGATTACAGGCACCAACCACCATGTCTGGCTAATTTTTTTGTTTGTTTTTTGTTTATTTTTGAAACGTTCAAGCGATTCTCCTGCCTCAGCCTCCCGAGTAGCTGGGATTATAGGCACCTGCCACTGCAGGAAGCTAATTTTTGTATTTTTAGTAGAGACAGGGTTTCACCTTCTTGGCCAGGCTGGTCTTGAACTCCTGACCTCATGATCCACCCGCCTCGGCCTCCCGAAGTGCTGGGATTACAGGCATGAGCCACCGCGCCCAGCCTTAATTTTTGTATTTTTAGTAGAAACAGGGTTTCACCATGTTGGCCAGACTGGTCTCGAACTCCTGACCTCAAGTGATCAGCCCGCCTCGACCTCCCAAAATGCTGGGTTTACCGATGAGAACCACTGCCACCATGCCCGCCTCTTAATAAGCAAGCTTCTAAGCCCCACTTCCCACCTAGTGAGTTATAGAGTCTCCAACTGTGTTAAACATTAGAAATGTTTCCAATGCTGGTCCAGGGTTTAGGACCACTAATACACCCCTAATTACAACCTATATATTTAGAAAGAATACAAATTAACTTACAATGATTGAAATAATTTATTTTTCCCCTTGTGGCTAATTTGTTTAAGTTAATCATAAAAGAAACCAAGTTTATATACTAAATTTTTATTATTAGAAATACTTTAAAATGTTAATATTTGAGAGAACATTAGTTTCTGGAAAATTTTTCCTTGTATAGATCGCCTCATACCCCAAAATGTTACATGTAATAAATAAGGTGGTACTCTCCTTATTTTTTAAAAAAATATATAAATGGAAAGAACTAAGAAAATTATTATGAGAATTTTGCCTCCTCTTACACAAATAATGATCTCATTCAAAATATTTACTGTATTCTCTAAAACTGAAGGACAATACATACCAAAATCTTCCTCAAAAGAAAGAACTCGGCTGGGCACAGTGGCTCATGCCTGTAATCCCAGCACTTTGGGAGGCCAAGGTGGGCAGATTGCCTCAGGTCAGGAGTTCGATACCAGTCTGGCCAACATGGTGAAACCCCGTCTCTACTAAAAATACAAAAAAATTAGCCAGGCGTGGTGGCATGTGCCTGTAATCCCAGCTACTCGGGAGGCTGAGGCAGAGGAATTGCTTGAACCAGGGAGGTGGAGGTTGCAGTGAGCCTCTGTCTCACCACTGCACTCCAGCCTGGGCGACAGAGCGAGCCTCTGTCTCAAAAAAAAAAAAACTCATTAACTCATTACAATCTGAATGGACAATAACAATATATAAGGATACAAAATGTCACTCCTGCAAAGAAACACTAGCATAACCCTGAGTCTGAAGCAACTGCTGCTGTGAAACGTACCAGCTGAAATTTTAAATAAGTAAACATCTGGCTGGGCGCGGTGGCTCACGCCTGTAATCCCAGCACTTTGGGAGGCCAAGGCGGGCGGATCATGAGGTCAGGAGATTGAGACCATCCTGGCTAACACGGTGAAACCCAGGCTCTACTAAAAACACAAAAAATTAGCCAGGTGTGGTGGCGGGCGCCTGTAGTCCCAGCTACTCGGGAGGCTGAGGCAGAAGAATGGCGTTAACGTGGGAGGCGGAGCTGGCAATGAGCTGAGATCGCGCCACTGCACTATAGCCTGGGTGACAGAGCAAGACTCCATCTCAAAAAAAAAAAAAAAGGAAACATTTTAGTACTACCCCAGAAACTGGAGACCTCAGTCTATATTTGAAGGACAACGAAGTTTCACACAAATCACTTTATTGTAATTTCCTTCAACTCTGTTCACAAACTCACTTACTAAACATAAAAATTCAAAGCACAAATGAATACATTTACAATTATCAGAAAATGTTTATTTTCTATCCTAGATGTCTTCCTAGTATTGAGACCCTACAAGACATGTCCACTTGGATGTCCCCCAGGCCTCTCAATTTCATGTTTCAAATTACCTATTTCAAGAAATAGCATCTATTCATCTACCCATTCACTCAAGTCAGAAAGCTCAAATATTCTGGACTCATTACTCACCACCCACATCTTCCCTAACACCTTACAACCATCCCCCTCATGTCCTTTCCCATTGCCCTGCTTCTGACCAATTTTTAGTCCTAAACTGCTACATTAAACTCCTTCAATTTAATGGCTCCAACCTGGTGCCCTGTCAACTCTCAACAGAGAGAATTATCATCACGATTCTTACGATTACCACTTTTCTTTTAAAGCCTTCAATAAAGATTTTTAAATTCTCAGCACAGCAATACCAGTTGCCTACTTACCTCTTCTAACCTCATAACCTGATACTAACATAATTTCTCAGTCTAGAATAATTATCTTTACTCCTTCACCTCCTTTACCTAATCACTCCTACCGACTTTCAAAGATTCACCTTCTCCAGCATGGAAAAGGTATCCTGCTTTGAACTTTCACTGTATGCTCTGCATACCTTTATATCGTATCACAAATTTTTTACTAAATGCAAGCCAGTTATGGGTTGGGGACACAAAGGTGAACAAAACACAGGCCTAGACTTTAAGCACAGTGGAGGCAGAACATAAAGTCAACTGCAATATAGTCTGATAACTTTTTTTAAGCTAACATCTCAGTGTTTATTATATGCCAGGCATCATGCTAAGGATTTGTCATGTACTATCTCATTTACTTCTCCAATAACCTTATGATTCCCACATTACAGAGAAGGAAAAATAGAAGTTCTGTTATTTGCCAAAGGTTCAGTTAAGCTTTAGAACTGAGATATGAATCCAAGTCTGACTCTAGATCCGAAAACTCTTAATCACCATGCCTCTATTTCAACTGCCACAGCATTTAATTCAGTTTCCCCAGTGGCCAGCACACAGCAAGTACAAAACGTGTATTTGTTAAGTGAATGAACTTGATTGTTGAAGTTCTAAACTAATGACTTAACAGCAATATTACCAATACTTAACATCAATGTTATGATACTATAACATCAATACATTATTGATATAATGACAATGTCAATACTACAACTTTTAAGTGGTAGTCTCCTGCTTCAAAGAGTTCAAAAACTAACAGTTAGTGTATTTGTTAGATACACTAACAAATGTGAAGAGATCAATATCCCAAGTGACTCACCATGTCAAAGTTGGTAATAGCAAAACACTGGAAATTAATGTCTATCAGAGGCAGACATGTTAAACAAATCAAAATATATCCCATATCATGATCTATCCATATGCTATGGTCTTAATGTGTTCTCCCAAAATTTGTATGTTGATACTTAATCACTAGTAATGGTATTAATAGGATTAATGACCTTATAAAAGAGGTGCAAGGGAGGTGCTTGACCCTTTTGCTCCTTCTACTATGTTAGGGCACAGCATTTGTTCCCTCCAAAGGAAGTAGCATTTAAGGTGCCATCTTGGAAGCAGAGACGCCAAACCTGCTGGCACTGTGATCTTAGACTTCCTAGCTTCCAGAATGGTAAGAAATAGATTTCTGTTCCTTATAAATTACCCAGTCTCAGGTATTTTGTTGGAGCAGCACAAACAGACTGAGATATCATGTAACGGTTATGCAGCTGTATAAAAGAATAAGAATGCTCTTTATGTACTGATACGGAATAACCCAAATTACACTCATTGGAAAAAAACATGTGGGAAATAATGTGTCTTAATGCTACCAAGGGTGGGGGCAGGAAGGATAAATGTTTTTAACTTCCATATGCAAAAAACACCTTTGGAAGAACATACAAGAAACTGTTAACACAGGATGCCGAGGACTAGGAAACTGGGTGACTTGGGGGTAGAAGTAAGAAGGAGATTTCACTGTATCTCTCTGTTTAACCTTTTGAATTTTGAACCAAGTGATTATATTACCTATTAAAAAAAACAACAACAAAAAAAACCAGGCTGGGTGCGGTGGCTTGCACCTGTAATCCCAGCACTTTAGGAAGCCAAGGCAGGCAGATCACGAGGTCAGGAGAGACCAGCCTGACCAACATGGTGAAACCCCGTCTCTACTAAAAATACAAAAATTAGCTAGGCGTGGTGGCATGTGCCTGTAATCCCAGCTACTTAGGAGGCTGAGGAAGGAGAATCACTTGAACCCAGGAGGCAGAGGTTGCAGTGAGCCACGATCATGCCACTAGCCTGGGTGACAGAGCAAGACTCCGTCTCAAAAAAACAAAACAACAACAAAAAACCTCCCAATAAAATTTTTAAAAAGCAACCAGGTGCGGTGGCTCACACCTGTAATCCCATCACTTTGGGAGGCCAAGGCAGGTGGATCACCTGAGGTCGAGAGTTCGAGACCAGCCTGACCAATGTGGAGAAACCCTGTCTCTACTAAAAATACAAAAATTGGCAGGGCACAGTGGCTCACGCCTGTAATCCCAGCACTTTGGGAGGCCAAGACGGGCGGATCATGAGGTCAGCAGATTGAGACCATCCTGGCTAACACAGTGAAACCCCGTCTCTACTAAAAATACAAAAATTAGCCGGGCGCGGTGGCGGGCGCCTGTAGTCCCAGCTATTCAGGAGGCTGAGGCAGGAGAATGGTGTGAACCCGGGAGGCAGACCTTCTTACAGCGAGCCGAGATCGCGCCACTGCACTCCAGCCTGGGCGACACAGAGAGACTCCATCTAAAAAAAAAAAAAAAAAAAAAAAAAAAAATTCAGCCGGGCATGGTGGCACATGCCTGTAATCCCAGCTACTCGGGAGGCTGAGGCAGGAGAATCACTTGAACCGGGGAGGCGGAGGCTGCGGTGGCTGAGACTGTGCCATTGCACTCCAGCCTGGGCAACAAGAGCGAAACTCCGTTTCAAAAAAAAAAAAAAAGTTTTAAAAAAGCAATTTCAGAAATGAAAACAGAAACATCATAACATCCATGACCACAGCTTTCTTGATTGCTATGGTGTCAAAGTGTCTGATACTTCCTGGAGTCAAATACTTGTTAAATCAATGAACAAAGTTTACAAAAGTTTCAAATTACCACTGCAGGAATATTTCAAATATATTTTATAAAGCACAGCAAAACTGGTGGAAAATAGTTTTGATTTTCCTGAAAACAGTCAATCAGAGCCAAAGATTTTCAGGGCCCCATCCCAGGCCTATCATTTATCAAAGTGTGAAACACTATGAGAATCTGTATTCTTTGAAAAACACCATGACGTTCATTTTATTTGAAATCTTATATAATAAAGAAGTTATAGGGATGGGGAGACTTTAGAAAGTTACCCAGAAAAAACACTTTAAATGAGTCAACTAACAAAAACAAAAAAACTAATTCATGGCTATTAGAAATCTTATCAGTGGTTACCTGGGGCAGTAGAAGGAGAACTCCAACAGGGCACAAGAAACTCTGGGATGGTGGAAGTATTCTCTATCTTGATTAGAATAAAGGCTACAAGATGTGTGTATGCACATCAGCAATTCATTGAACTAAATACTTAAAATCCACGTATTTTTTTCTATGAAAGCATACAATAATGAAGTTACTTGATAAGTCGGAAAGCATTTGGAAATGTAGACTCCTGGGTCCCTCTCCCAGAGATTGCTAATCAATGGGTCTTGTAGTGGGAACCAGTTAATCTGCATTTTTAACTCCAAGCCATGGTTGACCCTTCAACCATACTTTAGAAAATAATGACCTAGCATAATGTTCTATGTCCAGTAATTACTGATCATGCTTTGCAAAAATATATCAATTAATGATAAACTTTTAATACAAAAAAATCTAGGTAATTTTGATTCCCAAGTTTAGGAAATACTAAGAATATTAAGTGGTAGGAGTTCCAGGAAGAAGTAAAAAGTAAGACAGTTAAGGAAGCTTGTTCCTTCTTCCCCGTCTCCCACAATCCTTCAATGGCTCTCCATCACCTAGTGCAGTGGTTCTCAACCAAGGATGATTCTGCTCCCCCACGTGACATTTGGCAATGTCTGTAGACATTTTTTTCATTTCACAACCAGAGAGAGCATGTGCTGCTGGCATCTTAGCACGATGACAGCAGGGATGCTGGTAAATACTGTACAATGCTCAAGACAGCCCTCCCCTCCCTCAAATAATTACAAAACCTCAAATGAGAAACTCTGACCTGGAGCCTCACCTCCAATAAAGCTACCAGAAGTAGTCAGTTGTGTCCCAGAGTTAAACAAAACAACAGAATTAAGATGTTACAACTTCAGGAAAGTCCATTTTTACTTCCAGATCAGTGGGGAAGGAGGAAGAATATCATCTTTATATTTCACATAAAGCAAACAAACATTGAATAAAATGCAAATGACACATGAATACTTAAGACTTAGAAAACTTCAAAATAACGTAAGCAGGAGCAGCTTCAGGCTATCCCCCCAATCACAGGGGATACTTAATTCTCAGCTTTCAAAGTATAGTATTTTTAAAGTTAACACTGGCCTAAAACATAATACTGTACATAAACTTTAGCATGACAGTCTGTTGCTGCAGCATAGTTTAACCTAGTGCTATGCAAAGTGTGGTCTGTGGACCAATGAGCCAGTCTGTGAATTATCAGTTTATGTCAGAGAAACACAAATTGAGAGCACAAAAATGGAAAATTTAATAGCAGAATAATTTTATGTCTATTGAAACTAATAATAAAAAATTGGGGCTTATAGTTTATCTTTCTTATTCCATTTCCACTTTTTTTATTTGCAGTATAGTCATGCAGTATGTCCAACGTTTGGTCAACAATGGACATTTATGACAGTAGTCCCATAAGATTACTATGGAGCTAAAAAAATTCATATCACCTGTGATGTCATAGCAGTCACAAGTTCATAGTACAGCACATCATCTTTTCTATGCTTAGAAGCACAAACACTTGGCCGGGCGTGATGGCTCACATCTATAATCCCAGCACTTTGGGAGGCCGAGGCAGGAGGATCACTTGAGGTCAGGAGTTCCAGACCAGCCTGGCCAACATGGTGAAACCCCGTCTCTACTAAAAATACAAAAATTAGCTGGGCGTGGTGGCGAGTGCCTGTAACCCCAGCTACTTGGGAGGCTGAGGCAGGCAAGCACCTGTAATCCCAGCTACTCGCGAGGCTGAGACAGGAGAACTGCTTGAACCCAGGAGGCAGACAGAGGTTGCGGTGAGCCAAGATTGCACCATTGCACTCCAGCATGGGCAGCAAGAGCGAAATTACGTCTCAAAAAAAAAAAAAAAAAACAAAAAAAGAAACACGCTTACCATTTGTCATAATTGTTTACAGTAGTCAGTACAATAACAAGCTATACAAGCTCATAGCCTAGAAGCAATAGGATATAGCCCAGGTGTATAGTAGGCTCTACCATCTAGGTTTGTGTAGGTAAAATACTCTATGATTTCTCAATGTACCGTATTGTTAACAACGCCTAACTGTAGTTTTTAAAATTACAATCTAACCTACTCTGACTGGTGTATCTATTGAGTAGCAAAGCCAAGATTTGCATCCATATCTAACATCAAAGCCCATGTTCTAAATCATTATTAAGATTTTGAACTCAAACCCCAATGTGTAATCCCTACATCTGGATAGCTGGACTGCACCAAGTGTAAGTCACAAGGATTTAGTGTGTGTCTGGTCTACGGCCTTCAACACTTAATGCCAGCCAAGCTGCCTCTTTGGCCCCTCTTCCCCAAGCCCATGCTCAAAGCTTAGTCTCCAGATCTCTGATGATGCAAAAGGACACAGGAAGACAAAAACAAAGAAAAGATTCATCCTCAAGGCCTAAAGCAGAGTCACCGAATGCTACCCTTTTCTTTTGGAAGCCACCCTGGTTTCTGGCTATGGGGGATAACATCCTCTCAAATAGGAGTAGGCCTCAGATCTCTCTAACCATGCGAGCTACATGGAGTACAGGATAAATGAATCCAAAGTAAGAAAAAGCCACACGGACTTAACAGTCTTTAATTTTAAAGTCTTCCTTCCTCACACCAAGACCTCCAACCCCTAACATAAGGTTCGAAGACCTTAGATTTGACTCATCCATACTGTACATTTTGACCACAATCCTTAAAAAAAATTACTTCCCCACCTAGTACACAATACCTGAAAGAAAATTTAATCTCCCTCAAAATATTAAGTGCAATGTCCACTAATGGGTCACAACCTGCAGTCTTCAAAACACTGCTGTAGAGTTCAATGGTCTACATTTAACAGTATGCTCTCATATAGCGAACTAAACCCATAATCAAACTACCTTACAATTCTGCTCCTTAAAAACATAATTTTTCTTCAGTTTCTATTGTATAATAAAGTTTATCTTTACAGTCCAAACTTAGTACAAAAAAAGAAGTATACAAAAAGTTTTGTCTCAAAACTTAGTAAAAGACATAAATCATTAGTTTAAAATGTTCAACTTATAATCAAAAATTGAAGATAGCTTATTAATTCAAAATGTGAAACACATTTCTCAGCAGGCAATTTAGTCAGGTAGGAATTCTCTATCGGCAATTCCCAGAATACAGTCTACAATGAATATGTATATCATCAAATTATACAAAGTCTGAAACTAATCTGCTCTACCACTATCCTTATTCTGACTGGTCCCTCATCTGATCACTCTCCATTACTGAGACCTTAGAAGCCATAGATGTAACTCTTCTTCCTCCCTCTTCTCCCCCAAGCTTTGTTGTTGTTGTTGTCCTAGCATATTCCTCTAAATTCTCCTAGGTTCTGTAAGGATTCCTAACTTGCCTCAGACTTGTTCAGAAGTTCTGGCATGGATTTACTTAAAATGACTTCTACGGGACAATGTGCAAATCTGAACAACCAATTTTATCACAAACTTCTGAAATACAATCTTTTAACACTACCTTTCATGTATTATGTATGCATCAAATATCTCCAAACCAAAGCCTGCAACAAAAATTGTTAAGCTACATTAGAAAAAGACAATATCCTTTCTTTTTAAAGGATAAGAACTAATTAAAATCAACTTAACATTTCTGTTATTTGTTGTGAATTTGAATTCTGTAAGCCTAAGATGTGGTAAAATATGTATTTTTAATAACTGTGTTATGAAGACCTGGTTCCATCATGTTGTCCCATCATAGAATAAGACAATGCTACCATGCAAATCACCTATGTAGCTTCCACATTTATTTCATAGCTTCACTCAACTCTTATCTCCTTTAGTCCCACCCACTGAACAGCTGAATGAGATGAAAGATTGTTTACTGCTCTCCCGCCACGACCGTACCACCCCCCCATCACCACCCAACCACCCCTTACTCATTCCCTTGCAGTCTGAAGAAATAAAGAATCCAAGCAGCAATAGCTGACTTGGTCATTGTTTATATCCCCCCTTCAGTCTATCAGGATTCCATAAATTTCATCCCTACCTGTACACTTTTAAGTCTAAAATACTCTCCTCCCCATGTCTGCACATAAACTTTAGGGGGAAAAACTGACTATACTCATCACCTGCATGTGCATAAATATGTAAAACAGGTTAGATGCTTAGTAATTTAGATGATCTGTTCATTTACATTCTCAGGGGCACTAACAAAGATATTTTTTCCTTTCATCAAAATAAAAAAGCCAGAAGAAAGAATTCTTAAAGCTGAACTATTTAGCAATAAACTCAAGAAATGTAGTAAGTTATTATTTCAGTAACTAAGAAAACACCTGGACGTCACAAATTCTTTCCTAGGACTGTAAAAACCCAAATTTGAAACAGTGTACTCTTCAAAAGTAACTCAGCAAATGGAAATGTCCTAGAAAAATCTCGGTTGCTTATTTCTTACTATACACACAGCTGAAATGGAACTCAGGAGTGGAAAATGTAAATGAAATGGCCTGTTCTTTTTCCAACATGTGGGGGAGGAAAGGAAATGAAAGGGCTCGTTAAGAGAATAACTGAGAATATTGAAATATTTTCAAAAATTAATTTCCCTAAACTTCGCCACTCCACATCTCCGCTCCCTCCCTTTTCCAAGGACCCTTCCCACCCTTTCTATCTCCTCCGGGGGGCGCCCTTCCCAGGCGTTCTCTTTCCCTTACTCCTAAAAATTAAGCCCAAATTCCAAACCAAACTACCGATTCTCCCTCCGTTCTCAAGACTCGCCCGCCATCCACCGGCCTTCCGGGCTGCGCCTGGAGAGAGGCAACCCCGAGAGGCGGGAGGAGGAGCGGGGAGGCGACGCGGTGACTGGAGCTGCGGCTGCAGCCGCCGCCGCCGCCTCCACCACAGCCTCAGCCTGGTGCATCCTTCTTCCTCCCTCCCCGCCGCCGCCCGCCCGGGTTGGCCCACACAGCACCCTCGCCCGAGCGTTCACACTCGTCCCCACCCTCCTAGCCAGGCCCACTGCCCCACGAGGGGACTTCTGCCGACGGGGATGCGGCCGGGGACAGGAGGAAGCGGGGCCGCGGAAGCCGGCGGGCCCGGGAGGAGACTGAGGAAAGGCGAAGGGACGGAGAGAAGCAAGGGCAGGGCTGAGACCACCACGCTCAGGCTGCTCCGGCCGCGGAGGCCGCGGCTCTGCGCCGGGGGCCAGCCCGCCGCGGCACAGGAAATGCCGCCGCCTCGGCTCTCCTCACGTTCAATTCAAACTGTCACCGCCGCCGCCTCCCCTCCCCCCGAGCCCGCCGCTGCCGCGCCCCGGGCCCGCAGTGGCCCCCATCCCGGCTCCCCTCGCCGCTGCCTCCGCCTCGCCTCAGGGCGTTCCCTAGCTCGGTCCAGCGGCCGCAGAGCTTCCCGGCATTCGGAGCCGCTGACCCCAAGTCGCGGCACCCGAAGCTGAGACTCACCCATGGTGCTGCTGTTGACGCTCCTCTCCTCAGCAGCAGCGGATCTCGCACTGACCGACATCCCCTCCCCCCCTCCGCGACCAGCCCCAGCGGAGCGCAGCCCGCCGATTCTCCAAAGGCGCCTACGCCGATTCCGCAGCGTAGCCGCCCGGCGTAGCTGCCTTGCTTACGCACGCTACAGCAGGCGGACTCCTCCACAGGCTCTCGCTCGACTCCCGCTCCCTCCTCCGTCCCCCGCCCCCTCAGACGAGGCTTCCGGGCCTAGCGGAGGCTGGCTTCCATCTCGCGAGATTACCGCCTCCCCAGCTCCGCCGCCTCGCTCCATTTCGAGCATGACTTCATTGGCGTCAGCAACGTTTTGCTGTTCGGGTTTAGCCGCCATGTTTAAGTTGGCCGGGTTTCGCACCACTGAGGTCATGGATACTCAGGCCTCTTTGCGTGTTTCTTCAACACTGCTTCTAAGGTTAACCGCGTTACATTTGTTGGAGAAAATCCTGGGAACGCTGAAAAGGACTAGTGGGTGGGGTGCGAGGGTGGGGTCTTGCCCGAATTAAAGATGGCCGCAGTCAGCTCTGCCCCGCGCAATTTCACGTCAAGTTTTGGAGCTGCGGGAGCCGGCCAGTTGGCCTCAGCGCCTCCTTACGGAATTGGCGTAAGGCAAAGAGGCGCGGCTGGAAGAACCAGACTGAGAAAGTGCCACAGGGCGGGGGCCGCATCCGCCCCTCGGCTTCTGGTTACTGACCCGACGGCTTTGTGAGTGAAAGTGAAGAGACACTTCGAGGCAGGTGTCTGTGCTCCCCATTCATCCCTGTTTCCGTGGCTATCTTGACTTTCGGGGTGAAAAGTGAGGTTAGGCCCTGTTTCCCCGACCCTTCCCTCGCGCCATCACACTCTAGTGGCCTGGCACAGCCCCAGAGGTCGGCCGCTGTAGCCCCCATTGCGGACTCGCCACATTCATATTGGCTCACCTTGTCGGTGCCCGGTTCGGTCCTCTTGGAGCTCACACTCCAGTTGAGGAAATGAATGGACACAGGAACTACTGGGTAACAAAATACTAATAAAGGGCTGCGATTGTGTGAGTTTCTACTGTAGCGATGAATGTCGCTGTCATTGGAACGTTCCCCAAGTGCCTTCTAGTGAAAGCCTTACTTCACTCGGAATAACCTGTGGTCTTTTCTTGAACGTGATGGCTCTCTTGGTTGTATTCTTCATGCACATGTGTTACTTTTCCTGTTTAACTACATGTTAAAGAAATGTGTATGTTCCTGTTTAACTGCATGTTTTAAAAAAGTATGTGTATTTTTAAGTTATAGGCACGTGCAAGAAAGTTCAGAGCAAAATAGCTTATATTAGTGAAACAATAAATGTCTACTAATAGGAGAATGGATGAATAAGTGTCATTGTTGAACAAATTGACATACAACACGAACCAAAAAATCAGTGAACTAAAGCTACCATTTTTCATATGGATAGAGTCATTAACCTAATATTGAGGAAGAAATGAAAAGACAGGTTGCGGAAAGATATATATGACATACCATAAATAAAAGTTTAATAATTACAAAAAAGTAAGATCAAACTAAAAATTGTATAAGGAAATGATAGATACCAAATTCAGAATACTGGTTGCTTCCAGAGATGAACAGAAGGGAATGTAACAAGAAGGGTTCATTTGTATCTATAACGTTTGTTTTCTACCAGAAATATCTTGAAAATGTGGCAAAACATTAAGCTAAGTAGAGGGCACATGGGTGTTCACTTGTAATTATTTCCTTTACTGTTCTATATACTTGAAATATTTCCAAGTAATTTTTTTTAAGAAAAGAAACTTATAGAAGCAACTTATTTTGTATCTTGATATATGCCATTTCGTAAGTCTACATTTTTACTGAACTGCTTATGAAGTCTGTTGCAACTTATCTGTTCAATCATTGTTTTAAGTTTCTGAAACTTCAAATGAACTTTTACTTTGGGAAATTTTGTTGAATTTCTATTTTTGAAAAAAAGCAGTGTACCAAGGAGGGTAAATGTATATAGCCTCCGGAGTCAGACTGCCTGAGTTCAAATCCCAGCTCTCCATTTATTAGGCTTGCAACCAAGAACAAGTTACTTAAACTTTCCTGTGATCCAGTTTCCTCATCTATAAACGGAGATAATACTTATCTAACAGGATTTTGATAAGAGTTAAATAGACTAATACATGAACACGGTGCTTAGTCAATGCTTAGTAAATATTACCTAAATATAGATTATTTTAAAATATAAAATTAAAGCAAATACTTATATTAATATAACCTAATAGTCTAAAGGAAGTAAATCTTTGCCTCCCATCTCTATTGATAATATTTCTTTGAGGAAGATCTCTTAATGGGTATGAAAGAGGTGAATTGTGTTATTTTGTGCTATGAAAATGGATAAATTCTTAATAGAAACTATATTAAATTCCTTGTCTGAAGTTTGTTCATGTTCACCCCACACTATGATAGCTTCACTACTTTTCATTGAAAATCACACAGAGTGGCCGGGCGCGGTGGCTCACGCCTGTAATCCCAGCACTTTGGGAGGCCGAGGCAGGCAGATCGCCTGAGGTCAGGAGTTCGAGACCAGCCTGGCTAACATGGTGAAACCCCGCATCTACTAAAAATACAAAAAATTAGCCGGGTGTGGTGGCGGTACCTGTAATTCCTGCTACTCGGGAGACTGAGGCAGGAGAATCACTTGAACCCAGGAGGCGGAGGTTACAGTGAGCCCAGATAGCACCACTGCACTCCAGCCTGGGCAACAAGAGCGAAATTCCGTCTCAAAAAAAAAAAAGAAAAAATTATACGGAGTGTTACAGGCAATGAAATAATGATATTCTGAGGAACTTTCTTTGTAGGGAGGTTTCATAGCCAATGTTCTATAATGTATATACATGTGTTATGCAAATTATACGTGGTGCACGAGGAAAGAGAATTGTATTGATCTTATGATCTCTTTATTGCACTTATTTGCAATATTTATGATCTCTTTATTGCATTTATTTGTTAATAAAATATAGCCTAGACTTTACTGACTCAGAAACAGATTTAAAAAAACTGATCTGAAATTCTGGACAGACCATATAGATGGTTTCCACCACATATTTACAGCGTCCAAACTCACGTGGGCCTTCAACTTTACCAAGCAATGCTTGTTTCCCTAGTTGGCTCTCTCTTAATTTCCACAACAGCCACTTCTGATTTTCTCCTTATT
Organism: Homo sapiens; assembly: GCF_000001405.40. Lineage (NCBI taxonomy): Eukaryota > Metazoa > Chordata > Mammalia > Primates > Hominidae > Homo > Homo sapiens. The sequence goes on along the minus strand of NC_000007.14, from coordinate 35,798,036 downwards.
TTTCAAACCACTCCCCTCACTTATTCTCAAATAAGAGAATAGAAAAAAATAGAAACCATCAAAGAGGAACTCAGGCTGAGCGTGATGGCTCATGCCTGTAAACCCAGAACTTTGGAAGGCCGAGGCAGGCACATCACCTGAGGTCAGGAGTTCGAGACCAGTCTGGCCAACATGGTGAAACCCTGTTTCTACTAAAAATACAAAAATTAGCCGGATGTCTTGGCGGGTGCCTGTAATCCCAGCTACTAGGGAGGCTGAGGCAAGATAATTGCTTGAACCCAGGAGGCAGAGGTTGCAGTGAGCCAAGATCGTGCCACTGCCAGCCCTGGTGACAGAGCGAGGCTCCGTCTCAGAAAAAAAAAACAGGAACTCCAACAATTTTATGTCTCCATACTCATTCTTTCAAGCTTCACGGTAGATTAGGTGCCCCCCTGTCTGAGGCACATATCTCTGCCAGTTCCCTGTATTCCATCTCTTTGTGCTCGTTCTCTAGATTCTCACTCCTCCTGCCTTTCCAGGAACTGCAGTCAATGGGTTCTTTATTCAACAAGCTTCTGGGTTCTGCAACTACCACTCCACTGAAATTCTCAACGAGGTCACCAAGAACCTCTTGTGTTCAATCCAGTAGACCCTTTGTCTTATTTTCCTTGACCTCTCTGCAGCATTTGATACTAGAACCCTTGGCCTTCTGCATTCATATGCCTTGATTTGTGAAACCACACTTTCCTAGTTTTTCTCCTAGATCTCTGTGTCTCTATTTTACCTTTCAGGACCCCCTTCTGGCTGTCAAATATCCATGAACCCCAAAGTTGTGTGCAATTTGTTTCTATCTCACTTTTTACATTATCCTTTATGTGGTCTCATTCACCTTCATGGCTTCAGCCGCCGTATATACACTAGTAACTCCTAATGCAAGTTTCTAGTCCAGTTCTCTCTTCTGACTACAAACCTATATGTCTTACTGCCTTCAAAATATCTGTCCTGGATGTTCCAAGATATCTCAAAAATCCCAAACTAAACTCTTTATTTTACCAGCTTTTATGTTTCTAATCTCTAAAAGTGGGTATCATCAACCCGCTTTTGTAAACCAGAAATATGGGTATTTACTCAGCCCGTCTCTCTCTGTCAGCCATTAGAAAGCCCTATCAGTTTTTCCTTCTCAACTCTAATTTTCCATTTCTCTCCGCTTCATTACTATTCTACTTAAGCCATAATTATCTCCTGCCTCAACTCCTTGCAGTAGCTTTTCTGGCCGGTAATACTGCAACTCATCCTTTACATCGTACCCAGAGTGACCTTTCTAAACTTTAACTATGTCAGTCCCCTGTTTAAAGTCTTAAAATTTTCCTTGAAGAAACTTGCATGACACATTCCCTCATTTCTGGCTAATCTGCTATACCTTGCTCACCCTAAATCCTAGTAAGCCCTGCTGCTCCCACTTCACTCTCCTTTTTACATTTGCATTCCTTACCTGGTTTTTCCTTTAAGTCTCAGCTTAACCACTATTTTCTCTAAAAGTCTTCCTTGATCACCAAAAACTAGGCTAGGTACCCTCTCACCTCCCATAGTATCTTGTGTTTTCTCCTATGGTAGTTCTAGTAGCAGAGTTTTGTAAATACTTGTCTCCTATTTAAGAGAGACAAATTTAAGTCTAAACTCCTTAAAGTCAAGATCTCTTGTCTTGTCCACCTCTGTAGCCTCAGCACCTGGCCCAGGATATGGTATTCATTACTTTATTTGACAATTACTTCTTGAGTGATAATTGGATACTAGGCACTAGCACATTGGTTGAAGTGTGGAATGGGGAAACCTCAAGAGGGAATCTCTTGAGATGTGCCAAGACGTCAATGTCTTAATTACAATAATAAGACGTATTTTTTACCTTTTTTGTTCCCATTATTTAATGAGCACACAGTGTCATTTTCCAGAGATTGTGTGAAGTGTGATATTGCAACAGCTTGAATGCAAAAACAAAATAATCCGGCTATCTTCTATTAAGCTAGACATTAAAGGGGTTTGCAAAAATGTAAAGCAATGGCACTCCAAACTATTTCTTTGTTGTTGTTTTGGAAGATACAGTTATTTTTCATCAAAATATGTTTTTTACATTATCATGTAACGGTTTAGTGTTATTTGATGAATTTTAATGAATTGGTTTTTTAATGAAGTAGTAATATTTTAAAACATTCTCAGTTTTAATTTTTAATACAATAAATATCAATAGATATATTTCACATAAAGAAATACTCTTTGGGGTTCTCGATAATATTTAAGAATGTAAAGGAGTACTGAGACCAAAAGTTTGAGAACTGCTGCACTAGCACATATGTGAGCTCAATGTAGATGTGTTAAATTATAATTAGTGAATGTCAGCTTGCCAAAACTCTGGCACACAGCTGCTTAATGTTTCTTAATAAAGGTTCCTCCCAAATGCCCAGACTTCGTGTCTGAACAGGTAAAAATATTACCCAGATTTAACATTTGAATATGCATAAGTGAAAGTATTCTTTAGGTCAGTGTGCTTTGTAAACTATGGAGTGTTATGCAAATATTCTTGTTTTAGTAATTGTCTGTGATAAATATGGACCAACATTCTAGCTGGTAGTAGAACCAGGACTACCTATAATAACCTGAAGATGAGAATTTTTATAGCCAGCCATTTCACATTAATCTCATTTAATCCATATAACAATTTTATGGAACAGGTATTACACCCACTTTTTAATTGAGTAAACCAAAGTTCAAAGAAATGAAATGATTTCCCTTTAGCTCTTCACATTTTATAAGGCTCTGAGACAAGGTTCAGAGAACTCATACTTTTCCAATAAATGAGATCTCAGGTGAAGAGATTTGTTTCCCTATTGTCCTGAATCCTATCCTTTATTTGCTGGACATTAGTCTGGTGAGAGGGTAAGATGATTGTTACAATTTTCAGGTACTTTTTTACCTTTGATGCAAGAAGAAGGACCAGAGAATGGTATTAGGTCTATATGAAGGTTCTATTTGAGGGCCAACTCAGAACATAACAGTAAAAATGAGATGGCACCTCTCAACAGATCTCTCCTGTTTTCTGCGTTACCAAAAATTAGCAGACATGGTCAGGTTGAGTGGTGGAGGGGAAGCTTGAGACTTCAGGTGTGTATTTTATGAACCAGGTTAGGCAATCCACAATATTTTGCTATTAACAGTAACATCCAAGTATCCAAAAAGCCCTTGAGTGCTTTATATTCCTCCTTTGAAGGATATTGGAAGAGGATTGAGAAATTATGTGGAAAAGAAAGAGCCATTAACTAAAACTTTTTTCTTGTGAAAATTAAAGTTATGTAACTTGTTCATGAAAGCTGAAACTAGGGCTAGGCACGGTGGCTCATGCCTGTGATCCCAGCACTTTGGGAGGCCAAGGTGGGTGGATCACGAGGTTAGGAGTTCAAGACCAGCCTGGCCAACATGGTGAAACCCTGTCTCTACTGAAATGCAAAAATTAGCTGGGCGTGGTGGTGCACGCCTGTAATCCCGCTACTGGAGAGGCTGAGGCAGGAGAGTGGCTTGAACCTAGGAGGCGGAGGTTGCAGTGAGCAGATTGTTCCACTGCACTCCAGCCTGGGTGACAGAGCAAGACTCCGTCTCAAAAAAAAAAAAAAAAAAACAAGTTGAAACTAACTTAGTTTTGTATGAATTAATTTTTTTTTCAGGTCAGATTTCAAATATGAAAACTCTTCATTCAAGATATAGCCAGCCCCTCCGTATCTGTGGGTTCCACACCCATGGATTCAACCAACCACAGAAAATTTTTTTTAAATTGCATCTGTACTGAACATGTACAGACTTCTTCTTGTCATTATTCCTTAAGCAATATAGTATAACAGCCATTTACATAGCACTTACCTTGTATTAGGTATTATAAGTAACCTAGAGATGATTTGAAGTATAAGAGAGGATATGTATAGGTTATTTGCAAGTACTACACCATTTCATATCAGGGAGTTGGGCATCTGAGGATTTTGTCATCCACAGGAGGTCCTGGAACCAATCCCCTCTGATACTGAGAGACAACTATTACACAAGAGAAATATTCTACCATTCACAAAATCTCGTTTAAGTGTTGTGAAATACAAACACCAGGGAATCAAGGTAAGTATGGTTTAAATATTTTTATATTTAACTTTTGAATATTTGAAAATTATACATTCTAATGTTAAGTTCATGATTAAATAGCATAGTTATTAGAGGAAAGTTATCTTGAGAACAAAGAATCTAAAATAATTGACAATGTTAATGTTCCACAAATTCAAGGGAATATTGACATGCCCTTTTATAGATTAGGAATCTGTAAGGTACAGGAAGTCAAGTGACACTTGCAAGGCTATAAAACTGATGAACAAAGTTGTTTTTTTTTTTAAATAAAGCCTCATAGCTTTTTTTTTCTGTTTAAAATCAAACTTCATCCCACAAAGGAGGAAAAGCCAAAAGACATAGTAATAATAACAAAACAAAAGAAAATAAAATGAGAGAACCATGCAGCTTGAAGCCCCAGAGAGTTAAACAGCAAAAAAGCAGAGCAAATAACTCCCATTCTTAAATTAGTCACCTCAGGAAGAGTTTTTCCCACCAGCCAAGGAGGGAAGGGGGAGGAAGCAGTGCAGAAATAGGATGTTTGAATCCAGACTGCCTCGGGAGGCCGGATTTATCTCAACTTATCACTGGAGGCTCAAGGAATTTTCAAATTCCAGGGCTCTTCTGGAACCTTAGTTCTAATGCAGATAAGAGCCTCACTTCCCTCTCAAGACTCCATATCACTGGTAATAGACTGGCAGCACGGTTGCCTCAGGGACCAAAGGAAGAGAGGAAACCATTTACCTCGGTGTTCTCTTGCCAATCAGTGCCTTGTTGTGGAGCTATCCAATCTGATTACACAGTAGAAATACTGCTGAACACAATACTGGAGAAAAATCCAAAGTACATCAAAGAAAATCTATTATAAGTGGAAAAGGCCATTGTTGCCAACTCCCTTTGGCATTTTCCTACCATTGACTCAGAAACTAACTGAAATAGGAAACAAGGACACATGGTTCTATGGGAAACCAGCTGCCTTCAACAACCAGACTTAGTATATTGACTTTGGCAATAAGTGAATGCCTCCTGCACTAGAAGAGACTCCTGAAAGTGAACTGAATTGAACTTTAGTAATTTTATGTAGATGAAACATGAGGTTAGAACAAGGCTATGATTTTAGCAAGCAATAAGAACCTGCTCTCTCCAAGTTATCCTTTCTAGAGGACCTCTAATGAGTGGCTGTTTCCTGAAGATGCACTTAGAGACCTCATATCCAGGAAAACAGGAAATTTGGAGAGGAAGCAAATTAGCCTGTGCCAGACTGATCCACTTGCTTTAAGCGAAGCAGTTGCATTGGATTACCATGGAGACTGACTGGTAGAGGACAAATGCTTAGTAATAGTTAAAGTAGTATAGTGTGTCATTACTCCCCTCCTTCATGAGGCTCCCAACAACTCAGAAATTCTTTCCTGTACTGTATCTCTAATCATTTGATATTGATTGGATCCTATTTTTAGGGAGGTACTTAAGCATCTATTAAAAAAAAAAAGCAAATGATGGTGTTTGTGATTGTTATCCATGATGTGCTCCTTTTCATGTGCAGAATCATGATTATGATTTATTTATGGTTTTTGGTTGATACTCCTTTTTCTTTTATTTGCTTTAAAAATTTGGCAGTAAGTGATAACATCTTTCCAGCCAAACACTATAAACAGATAAACAGATTTTATGAAACCAAAATAATTGTCATTTTTATTATCCAAAATGGTAGCAATGCAGCATTAAACACTGGTGTTGAACTCTGGATATTTCACCCTCAAGTTCTTATTCCCAAGACTACATTTGTGTCCTAATAGACTCTAATATCTTAGAGTTGGAAGAGACCTTATAATCTAAATCAGCTACCAAATTCAAGAACTTCCTCAAATATGATTTTTAATGTCATGTATACAGCCCACAATAACAACTATTGAAACTATAAATGTTAGAGTTTGAATTTAAATGAAGCAGCTGTACTGCAGATGATATGATATTACTGCCTAACTCTATGGTTCACATATGGCATGGACATAATTCCCTTTCCCTTTCACGATTTGTGACACACAAGTGAGCAGACTCTTCTGAAATTTTTGTTTCTGATAAAAGTGATCATTTAATTGTTCATTATTTCAAAATACGTTTTTGCTTTGAGCTAAATGTCCATGACATGTAGATGCTATCAATGAATGCTAGACAACTAAAATGTTTTCTTTTGTAAAATCTAGCTGTTTTTGCAAATCTATGAGCAAGCATGACCATGGGTTACTTTTGCTGTGAGACTGCAGACCATGAGGTAGACTAAATCTTAGCTCTCTAATGCAGAACCTAGCATAATACCTTGCACATAGTAGGCACTCAAATATTTATTGGAAATAATTGCATATATTTTGGAGGGTTATATGTGGTTTAGAAAATAGAGTAGAAAAAGCAGCACCAAAAAGGGGCAAAAAAAGTGGAACTTAAATATTGCAAATAGGAAGAAATTGTTATATTATCTTCATAGTTGCTCCTTAATTTATCTCCAGCTTCCATTGCATGCACACACAAACACATTGAGAAAAAAGGAAAAACAACAGTTCCTACACAATTTGCCCCCAGATTTAAAATCTGGCAGAGACTTCTCTGTTTTTAGCATCTCCATGACAGACAAATGAAAGCCTTGGCTAACTCTGCCATTGGCCAGGTTGGGTCAAGAGAACAAATCCATCTTTACTTTTCTTGCTTCAGCCCAGCTGCTTCTAGCCCCTCTCCCTTCTGATCAGTTCTAGATAAAAGGCAGCCCTGACTCTTAGCTTCCCAAGATAGGTACTAACCTATTAGGGAAAAGTATGCACAAGCCTTCCCAGACATATGGTGTTTTTTTTTTTTTTTTCAAGTTTATTGTTTTGAGACAGAGTCTTGCTCTGTCACCCAGGCTGAAGTGCAGTGACACGATCCTGGCTTACTGCAACTTCCGCCTCCCAGGTTCAAGTGATTCTCCATCCTCAGCCTCCCGAGTAGCTGGGATTACAGGCGCCTACAACCACACCTGGCTAATTTTTGTATTTTTAATAGAGACGGGATTTCACCATGTTGCCCAGGGTGGCCTTGAACTCTGGTCTCAGGCAGTCCGCCCACCATGGCCCCCCAAAGTGCTGGGATTACAGGCGTGAGCCACCACACCCGGCCCCCTATAGTGCTTAATCTACCAAGGTGAACTCTGAAAAGAAAAAAAGAGAAGGAAAAGATGATAAAAGTAAAGCCCTTTCTTCAATCACTGGTGGATACTCTCGCTCTTCCTCTCCTTTTGTCACCAATACACAACAATCTGCAGCAAAGCAATCTTTCACTTTACATGTAAAATGATTTGCTGAAGGAATCAATAAGCATAATCCATCACATAAACAGAACTAATGACAAAAACCACATGATTATCTCAATAGATGCAGAAAAGGCCTTTGACAAAATTCAGCAGCCCTTCACGCTAAAAACTCTCAATAAACTAGGTATTGATGGAATGTATCTCAAAATAATAAGAGCTATTGATGACAAACCCACAGCCAATATCATACTGAATGGGCAAAAACTGGAAGCATTCCCTTTGAAAACCAGCACAAGACAGGGATGCCCTCTCTTACCACCCCTATTCAACATAGTGTTGGAAGTTCTGGCAGGGCAATCAGGCAGGAGAAAGAAATAAAGGGTATTCAATTAGGAAATGAGGAAGTCAAATTATCCCTGTTTGCAGATGACATGATTGTATATTTAGAAAACCTCATCATCTCAGCCCAAAATCTCCTTAAGCTGATAAGCAACTTCAGCAAAGTCTCAGGATACAAAATCGATGTGCAAAAATCACAAGCATTCCTATACACCAAGAACAGACAAACAGAGAGCCAAATCATGAGTGAACTCCCATTCACAATTGCTTCAAAGAGAATAAAATACCTAGGAATCCAACTTACAAGGGATGTGAAGGACCTCTTCAAGGAGAACTACAAACCACTGCTCAACAAAAAAAAAAGAGGACACAAACAAATGGAAGAATATTCCATGCTCGTGGATAGAAAGAATCAATATCGTGAAAATGGCCATACTGCCCAAAGTAATTTATATATTCAATGCCATCCACATCAAGCTACCAATGAATTGGAAAAAACTACTTTAAAGTTCATATGGAACCAAAAAAAGAGCCCACATTGCCAAGACAATCCTAAGCAAAAAGAACAAAGTTGGAGGCATTATGCTACCTGACTTCAAACTATACTACAAAGCTACAATAACCAAAACAGCAAGGTACTGGTACCAAAACAGAGAGATAGACCAATGGAACAGAACAGAGCCCCAGAAATAACACCACACATCTACAACCATCTGATCTTTGATAAACCTGACAAAAACAAGAAATGGGGAAAGGATTCCCTAGTTAATAAATGGTGCTGGGAAAACTGGCTAGCCATATGTAGAAAGCTGAAACTGGATCCCTTCCTTACACCTTATACAAAAAATTAATTCAAGATGGATTGAAGACTTAAACGTAAGACCCGAAACCATAAAAACCCTAGAAAAAACCTAGGCAATGCCATTCAGGACATAGGCATGGGCAAGGATTTCATGACTAAAACACAAAAAGCGATGGCAACAAAAGCCAAAATAGATGAATGGGATCTAATTAAACTAAAGAGCTTTTGCATGGCAAAAGAAACTACCATCAGAGTGAACAGGCAACCTACAGAATGGGAGAAAATTTTTGCAATCTACCCATCTGACAGAGGGCTAATATCCAGAATCTACAAGGAACTTAAACAAATTTACAAGAAAAAAACAACCCCACCAAAAAGTGGGCAGAGGATATGAACAGACACTTCTCAAAAGAAGACATCTATGCAGCCAACAGACACATGAAAAAATGCTCATCATCACTGGTCATCAGAGAAATGCAAATCAAAACCACAATGAGGTACCATCTCACACTAGTTAGAATGGCAATCGTTAAAAGGTCAGGAAACAACAGATGCTGGAGAGGATGCGGAGAAATAGGAACGGTTTTACACTGTTGGTGAGAGTGTAAATTGGTACAACCATTGTGGAAGACAGTGTGGTGATTCCTCAAGGACCTAGAACTAGAATTACCATTTGACCCAGCAATCCCATTACTGGTTATATACCCAAAGGATTATAAATCGTGCTACTATAAAGACACATGCACATGTATGTTTATTGTGGCACTATTCACAATAGCAAAGACTTGGAACCAACCCAAATGTCCATCAATGATAGACTGGATTAAGAAAATGTGACACATATACACCATGGAATACTATGCAGCCATAAAAAAGGATGAGTTCATGTCCTTTGTAGGGACATGGATGAAGCTGGAAACCATCTTTCTGAGCAAACAATCGCAAGGGAAAAAACCAAACACCGCATGTTCTCACTCATAGGTGGGAATTGAACAATGAGATCACTTGGACACAGGGTGGGGAACATCACACACTGGGGCCTGTTGTTGGGGGGTGGGCTGGGGGAGGGATAGCATTAGGAGAAATACCTCACATAAATGATGAGTTGATGGGTGCAGCAAACCAACATGGCACATGTATACGTATGTATCAAACCTGCACGTTGTGCACATGTACCCTAGAACTTAAAGTATAATAATAAAAAGAATGATTTGCTGAAGGAAGAAAAAAGTATTATACCTTGACACCAATCATTCCAGCTACTGTAGCTGTGCCATTTTGGGTATATAATTTCTTTGGGAAATCGAAAGAATGTCAAGTATGTGAAGGTAATTGAGGATGGCTGCAGAATGGAATGTATGTAGATCCTCAAGTCATTTCAAGTTTCCTTCCTACCTCTTTCTCAAAGAAGCACATGGATCAGATATGGTGAAAGTTGAGGGAGGAGGCATGGTCAGGAAGAGGGAATATGTTAAGGCTCAGTTGCAAACGTTGTGTTAACTTACCCTAGCCACTAGGTAGATCTAGGGTGATTTAATTGTCTTAATCTAAAGACTAATGTACTTAAAATGATCTACTAAAGGTGAACTATTTACTCCCATCAATCAAAGAAAGAAATGTGGGAAAGATATTCTTGATTTTCTTCTCACTGTTTTGTAGTTTATATGATGACAAGTGGGGATAAGTGAATGGGAAAATACCTTAATAACTTCTTCCTGTAATCTTAATGCCATGTCATGTCAGAATGAGATACATCAAAAAACAAATTGTTCACAAACCTCCAAAGATCCTTGAAATTCCTCCAGGTTTATAATAAACACCATGTTAAAGAAACTGCAACAAGCAAGGAGGGTAAGGGTGATGAAGGAAGAGACAAAGGACACGAGTGGAGGGAGCAAGTGATTAGAACAGCTCGCTCACACCACAGGGGCCCCACCTCAACTCTCTAAATCCCGGGTATTGTTAGACAATCACGTATATTATGCCCAGTCCTCACAAAAACTTCTCAGGGCAAGTATTACTCTTTTTGTTTTCTCATGGTAGAAAACACAGCTCAGAGAAGTTAAGTAATTTGCAAAAGTTGCACAGCTAATAAGCAACAAAGCCCAGTGTTTGGTCTGCCTTATTATGCTGCCTTTCTCCTATTGTGTATATGATATAGAAATAAATTACTTTATCCTGTTGTGTACACAGGATACAGAAAAATTTTCATCCAGGCTGGGTGCAGTGGCTCGCGCCTGTAATCCCAGCATTTTGGGAGGCTGAGGCGGGTGGATCACCTGGGGATCCACCCAGGCTTTTAGAGTGATTCCTCTATTAGTCTTTTCAGACTGCCATAACAAAATACCACAAACTGGGTGACTTAAATGCCAGAAATTAATTTTCTCACAGTTCTGGAGGCTAAAATTCCAAGATCAAGGTGTTAGCAAATTAAATTTCTCCTGAGGCCCCTCTCCTTAGCTTGCAGATGGCCACCTTCTCACTGTGTCCTCACGTGGTCTTCCCACTGTGTGTGTACCTCTGTGGTTTCTCTTCATGTGTCCAAATTCCTTCTTATTAAGATACCAGTCAGATTGGACTGGGGCGCACCCTAACAGCTTCATTTTAACTTACCTTTCAAAGGCCTTACCTCTACAAATACAGTTCCATTTTGAGGACTAGGGGTTAGGACTTCAACATATAAATTTTTGAGGGATGTAGTTCATCCCATACCATTCTCCCTGCAAGCTACCAAAGTCTAGTTAATATGTATACCATTTGACTCGGCAATTCCTGTTTTAGATGTTTGTCCTAGAAAAATAACCAGTACATATATCAAAAGATTTTTTGTTTTGTTTTGTTTTGTTTGAGATGGAGCCTTGCTCTGTTGCCCAGGCTACAGTACAATGGCATGATCTTGGCTCATGCAACCTCCGCTCCTGGATTCAAGCAATTCTTCTGCCTCAGCCTCCCAAGTAGCTGGGATTACAGGCACCCGCCACTGCGCCCAGCTAATTCTTGTATTTTTTTTTTTTTTTAGTAGAGATGGGGTTGTCGCCATGTTGCCCAGGCTGATCTCAAACTCCTGACCACTCCGCCTCCTCTGCCTCCCAAAGTGCTGGGATTACAGGCATGAGCCACCATGCCCGGTGTCAAAAGGTATTTATATAAGGATGCTCACTATAGCACTGATTGAAACAGCAAAAATAGTAAATAACCTAATTGTCCATTAATAGGACAGTTGTATCATAAATTGCAGTTCAATCATATAAATAGAACACTAGGCCTGAAAAGATGTCCATGGTAAGTCAAAAACCTCAAGTTGTAGAAAACTGTATATAGTCTGAACTCATGTTTAAAAATTATATCGTGGCCAGGTGCCATGGCTCACGCCTGTAATTCCAGCACTTTGGGAGACCAAGGCAGGCGGATCTCGAGGTCAGAAGTTCGACATCTGCCTGGTCAAGATGGTGAAACCCCGTCTCTACTAAAAATACAAAAGTTAGCCAGGCGCAGTGGCGGGCACCTGTAATCCCAGCTACTTGGGAGGCAGGAGAATCACTTGAACCCGGGAGGCAGAGGTTGCAGTGAGCTGAGATCATGCCACTGCACTCCAGCCTGGGTGACAGAGTGAGACTCCATTTATAAAAAGAAAGAAAAGTTGTCATCCAGTTTGACATTATCTTATAATGTCATTCAAAGTTCATTACTGTATTTCCTCAGCAAATAAACTACCACCTGTAAATTTTAAAATATATATTAATGTGTCTGGTAGCCATTAGTCAGAAGTATTTGCTAGGACAATTTTGGACTCACAAGTGATACACTGATAAGTAGAAGAAAATTCCGTGGTCTTGAGCTCTCAGTGTTGGTGAGGTGAAGAGTACCAGGAGAGCCACTCTTGTTGACTCTGTTTATTGTAGGGTAGGGTGGTGCTGGTATTTGGAATACTAATAAAGCAGTGACTGGGTCTATCACTTCAGTTATCAAAAGAAAGAGGCTTTGATGGGTTGTGACCACTGATGACTGTCTTTGTGAGAAGCGTACACATACTTATTGTTCCCTGTGAAAAATGAGGACTTTGTATACATAGGCCTGTACAGTGGTATGAAAAGTACTTCTAGAGAATCTCTGAAGCAGCAGAACTCTTGATCAGCTCATCTCCCAAAATCTTATCATTTCCTTCAGATAGCAATAGGAGCAGTTTGAATGTGCTACAGCCTATCTACAAGTGTGATTTCTGGGAATTCGGTTTATCTTCCAAATCTTTCCTATCTCCAGCTCTTGATATCACTTTTATTCTTGTAAGTACCTCATCTTTGTTCAAACGCAATAGGTCCCAAAAGTACAATGTTTTCATCTGTCTTCAGACATGTATTCCTGAATGGGAATGGAGATGAAGAGCATGAGGCTGGTAGTCCCCTCCTAAGGGACTGGAAAAGAAACAGATATAATCAGGAAGGCTGTGGGCACAAAGAGAAACCTGCCAATTTCCCTATGTTGCCTGAGACATAATGCTGGAAATCAAGAGAACCTATCAGTCACTGGGAGTTTATTTCACCTACTAGTGAGGGGAGTGTGGAAATAGCCAGATGCCTGAAGCCTTACATGAGCAGAACCCCTTATACTCCAATGGTCTCCCTAGCTATTGCCCTGGGCGAGCCTGATGACCCTTTGCCCCAGTCCTTGTAGGCACCATGGAGGGGCAGAAAGAGAGGGGCTTTGCAGTTAGAATAGAGTTAAGCTCAAATCACAACTCAGCCACTTACTGGCTGTCTGACTTTGGGCAAATCAACCTGTCTCACAGGGCTAATTATAAAGAATCAATGAGATGACGTGAGTAAGAGCTTCACACAGTGCCTGCTACACAACTGGGACAAAATATACAGTAGATCTTTTCAGGATCCTTGCTTAGCACTCCACCGGAACCAAAGCCCAGCCTTGAACCTAAACCCTGGCAGCTCTGAGTTCTGACCCCTTGCCTAAATCCTGCTGAATTCTCTCTCTAGATTTGGACCCTGTTTTCAGATTCCTTCCGGCACCAGGATGCAGCTTCAGACAAATATCCTGCCTGCTTACACCTGCCAACTACACTCCAAGTTGAAGGCCAGCTTAAGTCAGACTAGAGTCTCTTGGGCACCTTAGACTTAATGACTTAGACCAGTGGTTCTCAGCCTTTTCTGGGACTACCTCAAATTTAAATCCCTCTGTTGGCAGGGCCTGGGAATCTGCATTTAAAAAATTTTGTTTTTATTTCCATAGCTTTTTGGGGGAACAGATGGTATTTGGTTACATGGTAAGTTCTTTAGTGGTGATTTGTGAGATTTTGGTGCACCCATCACCCAAGCAGTATACACTGAACCCAATTTGTAGTATTCCTCACAAAATGAAATTTTTTTTATTATGCTTTAAGTTCTAGGGTACATGTGTGCAACATGCAGGTTTGTTACATATGTATATATGTGCCATGTTGGTGTGCTGCACCCATTAACTCATCATTTACATGAGGTATTTCTCCTAATGCTATCCCTCCCCACCTCCCCCCACCCCACGACAGGCTCCAGTATGTGATGTGCCCCACCCTGTGTCCAAGTGTTCTCATTGTTCAATTCCCACCTATGAGTGAGAACATGCGGTGTTTGGTTTTCTGTCCTTGTGATAGTTTGCTCAGAATGATGGTTTCCAGCTTCATCTATGTCCCTACAAAGGACATGAACTCATCCTTTTTTATGGCTGCATAGTATTCCATGGTGTATATGTATCATCTTTTCTTAATCCAGTCTTATCATTGATGGACATTTGGGTTGGGTCCAAGTCTTTGTTATTGTGAATGGTGCCGCAATAAACATACATGTGCATGTGTCTTTATAGTAGCATGATTTATAATCCTTTGGGTATATACCCAGTAATGGGATCACTGGGTCAAATGGTACTTCTAGTTATAGATCCTTGAGGAATCGCCACACTGTCTTCCACAATGGTTGAACTAGTTTACACTCTCACCAACAGTGTAAAAGTGTTCCTATTTCTCCACATCCTCTCCAGCACCTGTTGTTTCCTGACTTTTTAATGATTGCCATTCTAATCTCAAAATAATAAGAGCTATTTATGACAAACCCACAGCCAATATCATACTGAATGGGCAAAAACTGGAAGCATTCCCTTGGAAAACTGGCACAAGACAGGGATGCCCTCTTTCACCACTCCTATTCAACATAATGTTGGAAGTTCTGGCAGGGCAATCAGGCAGGAGAAAGAAATAAAGGGTATTCAATTAGGAAATGAGGAAGTCAAATTGTCCCTGTTTGCAGATGACATGATTGTATGTTTAGAAAACCCCATTGTCTTAGCCCAAAATCTCCTTAAGCTGATAAGCAACTTCAGCAAAGTCTCAGGATATAAAATCGATGTGCAAAAATCACAAGCATTCCTACACACCAAGAACAGACAAACAGCCAAGTCCTGAGTGAACTCCCAAACACAATTGCTTCAAAGAGAATAAAATACCTAGGAATCCAACTTACAAGGGATGTGAAGGACCTCTTCAAGGAGAACTACAAACCACTGCTCAATGAAATAAAAGAGGACACCAACAAATGGAAGAACATTCCATGCTCATGGACAGGAAAAATCAATATTGTGAAAATGGCCATACTGCCCAAGGTAAGTTATAGATTCAATGCCATCCCCATCAAGCTACCAATGACTTTCTTCACAGAATTGGAAAAAACTACTTTAAAGTTCATGTGGAACCAAAAAAGAGCCCACATTGCCAAGAGAATCCTAAGCAAAAAGAACAAAGCTGGAGGCATCGTGCTACCTGACTTCAAACTATACTACAAGGGTACAGTAACCAAAACAGCAAGAGAATCTGCATTTTTAAATATTCTCACTTACTCACTAGAAGTGCCACCTCACTAATTTTTTTTTTTTTTTTTTTTTGAGACAGAGTCTCACTGTCACCCGGGCTGGAGTGCAGTAGCATGCTCTGCAACCTCCGCCTCCTGGGTTCAAGCGATTCTCCTCCCTCAGCCTCCCAAGTAGCTGGGACTACAAGTGCGTGCCAGCATGCCTGGCTACTTTTTTGTATTTTTAGTAGAGATGGGTTTTCACCATGTTAGCCAGGATGGTCTCAATCTCCTGACCTTGTGATCCACCCCGCTCTGCCTCCCAAAGTGCTGGGATTACAGGCGTGAGTCACTGCCCCAGGCCCTCACCTCACTAATCTTCAACCATTTTTGCTTCCTTGCAGAAGTTTCCAGCAAGCTTTATAACCAAGGCCTTGATACCTACTTTGCAGATATTAAGTGCTTAATAGATGTTTATTGAGGAAATAAATGCTTTCTGTTAGATGATATTTTTGTCACGCAAAAATAATTAGGCATGGAATTTATAAAATAATGTTAAAATAATGACACTTACTAGGTGTTCCATAAAGATTGGTTCATGAATGATTAAAACCTGTTGCATTCAGGATGGATGTTGGGAGGAAAACTATTTGGGAGAAGCGTGTGAGTACGGAAGTTCTGTGGGAGCAAATGAAATGACAGCACGTGGAAGAATTTTATGACGCATGAAGGAATATGAGGAACAATAATGATGCTATGCCATCCATAACTTAGGCTCAGTGCATTCTAATTTGTTCTGTTGAAAAGGAAACTTGAGTAAGCAGCTTTTCACAGGTTACAGTGTGTCAACAGGAAGAAGAAAAGAAAGGGGTCTCATTTACCACCAGCTATACAAGCCCCATAAGGAGACTGTCTCCTCTCTCCTTTTATGTTTTTTTACTTCTTATTATGAAACATTTCAAACATATACAAAAGAAGAGAGAAGAGTATGATAAACTCTCATATCCACCACACAGCTTCAACAATTATCAATGTTTTATCTATATTGGACTAACCAAAGTAATGCAAAAGAGGGCTTCTCAGTTTACTCTAAAGATTGTTTGAAAAGCATATGTAAGTAAATGTTCTAGGACTAGTTCAACATTCTTTGGGAAGATTTAGAGATAACATGTACTCCCAGAGCCTATTTACATGTATTTTTCGACATCTGGCTAACAATTCCTCTTTGAGTTAGATGATTACAACATCCCAAACTCTGCACAATCTCCTGATGAGTGTATATAATAGAGTCACTGTACTTGTCTCTAAAAAAAAATTTATTTATTTTCAGAACTTTAGAAAATTGTGGCTGTGTTCCCATATGTGGTACAAAGAACCAGTGAGTCCCATTTGTTGTGGTTCCTGCATTCGATGACTCCAGATGTGCCACCACCGAGCTAGTCTTATGACAACCTAGAAGGCAAATTGGTGAGAAAGCCTGTATTTCTGGGTCCATTGACTGTTTGTACAAAGAATCTTTGAGTGTGAAAATGTATACTCTTAGGGCAAAACATTAGGGAATGATTAGCAGTTTCAGGATGAATACAGGTAATTTCTTGAGCATTATTATTATTTACTTGGTCCAACCATTCATTTAAATGTATGGTGATGTTTCTTAATTACTGGATTTAACTTCTCTACTTTTCTTTCCTTCTTCATGGTAACTGATTTGTATTTTCTACTTTTAGTGCAAGGTCATCCACAAGGTGCTAAGTTGTACTCTGACAGTGGGAACTAAACTCAACGTTAATTAAACCATTGTTTAAAAACATATCCATCATATCATGCTTGTTGAATGTAGTTTCATGTTAAGCCCATTATATTACCTGATATATATTTGTTGAAGGAGCAAGGTTGAGTGACCCCCTTCCAGATACTTTTCTAGTGACTCATATTTTAATATCATATTAATGTGTGGCTTTCATCATATTAAATAAGTCTCAGCTACCAACCACAGTATTTTGGGAGATTCAAAATACATGTTGATAATCTTTCTAACTTTCTGAACTATTGGCTCCTTAACTTGATCTTTGTGACTTTCATCTCATTCTGCCTCAGATCCTCTTTGGTGTAGCCAGACATACCTTAGTTTTCACCATCACCCTCAACTTCTCCACATCTGAGACTGTCAAACGTGAAAAATTTCCTCTGACCACTACCTATCTTTCTATCTCTCCTATAACCTCATACCTTCTGACCCATTCTTCACATCACTAGATCCAGTCCCTTTGCTTTTTCCCCATCCACTAGTCTTCCTGGTTTCACAGGACATCATAAGGCACCTCATGAGTCCTTGGGACAACTTTTCTCACTTTGCCCTCGCCAGCATTCTAATGACTCATCTCACTGTTCTTCTGTCACACCTGTTCTGCTGATTTCCAGCCCTAGTTAAGGAAACCATCTGTATCTTCTTTACCCATTTCTTGGCAGCTGAACATTTCTGGAGAACATACCATAACCAGGCTGACTGACTGCTCTAAAAGTTGTATTGTACAGTTTGTCTTGGAACTCAACAACACTGGACATTCCTTTTCTCATCTCTCATTCATTCACTCTTAAAATAGTTCTATCTGTTGTTTCACTCCTCTGCAGTCTTACCAAATTTCTACATCTACCTCTAACCTCTTTTGCCACCTAATTTACTAGAAGCTGGAGGTCATCTGATAAGAATAACTTATAAATATCATTTTGTCCAAATTATTACCTATTCACTTATCTTCCCCCGGTGTCTGAAGAAGAATTTTTGTGATTTTGTTCTAAAGCCAGTGTTTTCATCTACCCTTTTTCTCTCTTCCCTTCCCATGTCCTCTTTGACTTTGCTCTATCAATCATCTCTTCTTCGAGTCCTCCCCTTAATAACTGCAAACCGTTTCTCTCCTGCCCTAAGGAGACTCTCCCTGGAGTCTAATTTCCATTCTTTGTATTTCTGTCTCTCTCTTTTTCTTCTTCATCCACAAACTTCATCCATCTTGGTTTCTTCCCCCACTTAATCCTAAGCACCTTCAGCCTCTGCAAAGTTCAAAAGCCAAAATCCTCTTCTTAGACCTTCTGCTGAAATTCTGGTTTCAGCAGAATTTGACAACATGGACCACGCTTTTCTCACTAGAACCCTCATCTCCACTGGAATTCATGTTGCATTCTCCTCTCCTCCTCCCTCATGAACTGCTTCTGTGTAGTTTCCTTTCAGGATTCCTCTTCTCCCCCTTTAGAATAGGCCGGTTACATGTAAGCTTTCTGAAGATTCAGTGTTCAGTCCTCTCTTTTAACTCTCAATAGTCCCTTGGTAGTCTCATCCTATCTTATGACTCAATTATTTAATTGCTATACCTCTCACCTTTGTGAGAATGACTCCTACCTCTGTCCCTTTAGCCCTCATCTGTCTTCCCCTAATCAGACCCTTATTTCTAATTGGATGCTGAGCATTCCACACTGATGCATTGCAGACACTTTAAACTCTGATCTAAATTCAACTCATCACTTTTTACTGGTGTGTTTTTGATCTTGGCTAATCAATTCAATGGCATCTCCTTCCACCATTATCTTTCAAATCAGTCTTCTCTGTTCACTCCCTTCTTCAGAAACTCATTAACTCCTCTGTGGACTATTGCAAAAGCATGTTAAAAAGTCTCTCTGGTTTCAGTTTGTCTTCCTCGAATTAGCAAAAAAATAGCAAAATAACTGTACCATTCACAGTGATTTCTTCACATTATAGAAAGCTCTTTCTCAGCTGGGCGTGGTGTATCACACCTGTAATCCCAGCACTTTGGGAGGCTGAGGCGGGTGGATCACCTAAGGTCAGGAGTTCTAGACCAGCCTCACCACTATGGTGAAACCTCCATCTCTACTAAAAATTCAAAAATTAGCCAGGTGTGGTGACATGCACCTGTAGTCCTAGCTACTCGGGAGGCTGAGACAGGAGAATCGCTTGAACCCAGGAGGAGGGTTGCAGTGAGCTGAGATCACACCACTGCACTCCAGCCTGGGTGACAGAGCAAGACTCCGTCTAAAAAAAAAAAAAAGAAAGAAAGCTCTTTCTCATTCTTTGGCTTACTTACTTGTCTTTCTCTGTCACCTCGAATGTCACATTTTTGAACACTGCTGCTAGTGTCATCTTCCTAAGGTTCAGATATGACCAAGTCACACTTCCAGTTCAAAGACTTTTATACCCTACCCCTTTCCTCTGTAGTCAAAGATCTCCATGATTTGGTCTGAATCCATCTCTCTCATCTTATCTCCACTCCATTCTTGCAGCCTGGTCTGTGTGGCAAGTCTCTCAAACAGACCAGGGTCTCAGTTGCCTTTTCTTAGACTATTGCCTCTGTCTGATGGTCTTCCTCCTAGATCAGCTTTTGTAGAGCCCCCAGAAGGCCAGAGTGGGACCCTCAAAAGTTCAGGGCCCATGGTCAGGGACCTCATTCAAATCATTCTCTTTCAAAATGCTGTCTCCATCACCAAAGTCAGAACAAGAGTCACCCTGCATTATCAAATACTTGGTTAATATCTGGAACACAGAACTGAGTACAGTCTGTTTTGGCACCTACGTGTTTCTCTTCTCCATTAAAGCATACATCTTGGAAGACAGGGACACAGCCTAATTCATTTTTGCATCCGACCCAATGAATATGAAGCGCTCCCATAGTAGATGTTTTATTGTTTATAGAATTGTTGAATTCTATATCAAGCTTTGACTTGATTTAATTTATAGAATTAAGGATCAATTTAACTTGTCTTGGGGAGCAAGATTTTTATTTTGTTTTCCTTAATAATTTAGTCTTTATTATAGTATACATTTTCTCCTTATAATGGAACTTCCATAATGGGAATTATTTAGTGGACAAAATTCATGATATTCATCATATCAAAATAAGCCTTTGGCACTATAGCAAATAATAACATGTTAAAAGGAAGACACAGTGCAAGTGAAAGAATATATGCAAATATCAGGGAAGCTTCTGATTATAATTGAAAGAGATCATGTATGTAAAGTGCTTCTTAATTATCTGGTACAAAGTCAGTGCTCAGTAAATGTTACCTATTATTATTATACAGCAAGTAAAGTAGCTGGAAAAAAGTAATTTGCCTATTCCCATGTGGTCTACATAGTTTTGTGTTACAGCTGATATTGACTTTGAACTGCATTCACCTTTTTAGTCAGAGTCAGATATGTCTTTTCATAATTTCAAGAGCAAGTAACAAAGAGTAAGGCATGTGAGAAGTTATCATGATGCAATTAACCATGTGCACTATTGATGAGGACTTGGCTTCCCTCTGTACTACTTGATATTCACTGAAATAAACAATGGTGATAATTGTCACATTCCTAACAAAGACATCTGCTAAACCAGGCAACTCAAGCAAAGCTGTTTGCTACTGACAGCTTGCTTCAAATGTGAATGTTGCCATTAAGAAAAAATAGCATTTCTGTATTTATCACATTACCTAATATGTTGAGTTGGCAGTGTTTCATCTGGAGACCAAAAGACCTATGCCTAATCATTAAATTCAGCATTCAAACTTCTATATTTGCATAAGAGACTATTAAAAGATCTTTAATTTTTTGTCATGTTAATGTAAATGTGATATATCCAAACGATAAAAAAGTCCCACAGTTCAGAATGGTATCAACTAAGGGTAAAAGTCTCCTTTTCCATTCTCTCTACTCCTATTACTCCTCCCTAGAGATTATCTTTTGGATTGCACATTATGTAAAAACCACACAAAATAATAATAAGAATCAACCAACTCCACTTCACTTTGTATATGACCTTGAATTTCAGAAAATTCTAATGCTGCATGATGCCAAAAGACAAATCACACTTGGTCTTAGCCAGAAGGCTGAGAAATGATCCAAAAGACAAATCATTACAACTTTTGATTTGTCAACTAATGTCATAAAAAATTTACATTTAAAAATAATATTCCAAAGTATCCAGAAGAATGAAAGCTTTACTCTCTATTCCCTCATCTAACGATTGATCACCAAGAAGTATCTGAAGCAGTATAATCCTTAGGCCAGAGTGAGAATGTCCCCTGAGCCTGAACCCCAAACATTTGAGGTTTCCACTCTGGCCTTTCTTGGGTCCTGCCCCTCTTCATGGGGTAAAGTGTCTGTGTTGCTAAAGGGATGTACTCACTCAGAGTCTGTATGCCCTCATCAGACCACATTTGGGGTAACCAGGATGGAGGAATTCCTAGCTCACATGGTCCAAGCAACTTCCATGGCTTCTTCCTCACCTCCACCCTCCCAAGGGTAGGTAGCCATGGGGCTGGGGACTAAGCAGGTATGGAACTTTGAAGAGTTTGAGAAATCTAAATTAAAACCTGATATTTCAGGGTTTTATAAAGGTGTCCAGGCAGGAGGATTTAAGTATTTATTTAACAGTTTATTTTGCTTTGTTTGTAACTTTAAAATATTTAGAGTTTTAAAGTCAACATGAGAAGTTGACTTCAATATGTGCTTTTGACTCAGATCCTCCAAATGTTAGGGGGTAGGCCTGATTTGAAGACAATGTTATTGTGAAGCTCATATAATTAAATGTCCTTCCATGAGAGTTGTGTTTCTAACAGCTCTTTGGAATCAAGGTAAAGTGAATTTTACTCTTTAAATCACTAGTTTTTTTAAAATGAGAAACTTCTGATTTCAAATTATTCTGTCCCTGTTATATATCTACTGTTAAAATATTCAGGGAAGGAATATCGCAGTAGAGGTAGGACAGAGATTGACTTCGTTAATCTTTTTTGAAAATACCAATTTTCATAGCTTGCTTTTCATTTGGAACAATTTCTTATGGATCTGCCATTCTGTACTTACTCCCCTGTTTTTTCTCTCCATAAATTATCTCTCTTTCATTGATAATAAGAGTTTTTCAGAACAGAAAATTTTATTTATGCCAGCCCTCACTTTACATAAAAAGAAACAGGATACCATGGAAGGGTGGCATGATCTTTTAGGCATTTGGGAGTTTTGGTTGTAGGAGATTAGTTCACACAGGTTTGCCAGGCTCAAATCATTTTACACTTAAAAAAAAAAAGAATACACAGAGATACAAGAGTGGAAGATGCAGCATTTGAGGAAAAGGGTTGCTTCTCAACTATGATCTCATTTTACCCAGGGTCCATCTCACTGCTTATTTATACAATCATATAGGCAGGAGGCAACAAAATTAGTTAAATAGGTATTGCATTTACATGGTTAGTGTGTGTGTGTGTGTGTGTGTGTGTGTGTGTGTGTGTGTGTGTGTGTGTATCTTCTCACCCTGTGTTCCATCCACTTTGTTTCATCACTCCACCTCAACAGATGGCCACTGATATTAGATGCTTGTGTGTGCATGCAGGGTTTCTTTTTTTTTTCTTTCACTTTTTCTTTCTTTTTTTTTTTTTAATTTTTTTTTTTTTTTGAGACGGAGTCTTGCTGTGTCACCCAGGCTGGAGTCTAGTGGCACCATCTCCGCTCACTGCAACCTCCACCTCCCGGGTTCAAACAATTCTCCTGTCTCAGCCTCCCAGGTAGCTGGAATTACAGGCGCCTGCCACCACGCCCAGCTAATTTTTGTATTTTTAGTAGAGACGGAGTTCCACCAGGTTGGCCAGGCTGGTCTAGAATTCCTAACTTCAGATGATCCTCCCACCTCAGCCTCCCAAAGTGTTGGGATTACAGGTATGAGCCACCGCGCCCGACCTCAGGGTTTCTTTAGACAAATAAAAGTCCTTACATAACTCTTTTTTTCAGTTAACAACATTGAAGATTTTTTTTTTTTTGTTACTTCAGAGAGAGCCTCTTTGTTCTTTCTTGAGTGTTGTATAGAACTGTTCTATTATATGGCTATCCTGTAATTTACATATTTTTATTAATAACCTCCTTTTTTTTTTTTTGACAGAGTCTTGCTCTTTCCCCCAGGCTGGAGTGTAGTGGTATGACCTCGGCTCACTGCAACCTCTGCCTCCCGGGTTCAAGTGATTCTCCTGTCTCAGCCTCCCGAGTAGCGGGGACTACAGGCGCCTGCCACTACGACCAGCTAATTTTTGTATTTTTAGTAGAGATGGGGTTTCACCATATTGGTCAGGCTGGTCTCAAACCCCCGAACTCAGGTGATCCATCCTCCTCGGCCTCCCAAAGTGTTGGGATTACAGGTGTGAGCCACCATGCCCGGCCTAATAACCTTCATTTTTAAGAACAGTTTTATATTTGCAAAAATATTGTGAAGATAGTACAGAGAATTCCCATACACCAGGCACGCAGATTCCCCTATTATTAACATCTTACTTTAGTATGGTATACTTGTTACAATTATTGAGCCGATACTGATTTATTATTACTACCTAAAGTCTATACTTTATTCTGATATCCTTAGTTTTATCTTTTCCTGTTTCATGATATTATACTACATTTAGTCATCATGTCTCAGATTCTTCTTGGCTGTGTAAGTTTCTTGTTTTTGATGACCTTGACAGTTTTGAGGAGTACTGGTCAGGTATTTTGTAAAGTGTCTCTCAATTGAGATTTATACAATTTATTTTATTTATTTATGTTTGTTTTTGTTTTTGTTTGAGACAGATTCTTGTTCTATTGCCCAGGGTGGAGTACAGTGGCACGATCTCATCTGATTGCAACCTCTTCCTCCCGGGTTCAAGCAATTCTTGTGCCTCAGCCTGGGACTACAGGCATGCACCATCATGCCCAGCTAATTTTTGCATTTTTTTGTAGAGATGGGGTTTCGCCATGTTGGCCAGGCAGGTCTCGAACTCCTGACCTCAGGTGATCCACCTGCCTCAGCCTCCTAAAGTGCTGGGATTACAGGCGTGAGCCACTGAGCCCTGCCTAGTTTATTTTTGTACAAATATATTTTGTACAAAAAAAGCCCTTTTGATGAATGTTTGGTTTTTTTCCCCAATCCTTTGCTATTACAAACAGTGAGGCAATGAATAACAGTGTATATCTGTAATTTCATGTGTTGCAGGTGTAAAGGATAAATTCCCAGAAGTGACGTTGGCAGGTTAAGGTGTAAATGCATTTGTAATTTTGATATTATTGCCAAATTACCTTCCATAAGAATTGTGCCAGTTTATGCTACATGCATAAGAGTGCCTGTTTCCTGACAGCTTTGCCAATAGGGCATGTTGTAAAACTTTTAGATTTTCACCTGTCTGATAGAAGAAAGCTAGTTATCTGTATGGTTTTACAATTTTGATAACATTTCTCTGATTATGAATGAAGATGAAGTATTTTATATTTATTAACACTTATTATAAATAGACTCTTTTCCATTCTATTCATATATATATGAAAGCTATTGCTTTCTGAATAATAATTTCATAATATGGAGATGATTTCAGCTCAATATTTTAGTGATGCTTGCTATGTGCCTCTATATTAGGGCTTGTATTTATATATTGAATCCTGTTCTCAAATGCAATAGTTATTAACAGGCTAGTTTCCAAGAAACTGTTATTAGCCATCTTAAGAGATATCTGAGGAAGGTTGCAGCTCTGGTTTCTAGTAAAAATGTTGTTCTGTGATGTGTTTCCTTTACTATCTTGTACCTTTCTTACTCATGTCAGCTAGGACCTGTATTGTTCCATTATTTTTTTCTGTGGAGAGCAGAGATCATCACCCAGGTATAGAAAAGTGACCTTAGCACTACCCCACTTTATCAGCAAGCTGCAAAAATGCTGCAGTCACATCTACGAAGGAGTTGCCCATCCTGGGCGAAGCATTTATTCTCCCAAAGGGAGAATGATATTATATTATAATTGCCCTAGGAAGCAAATTAATTCTGAAGTCTTTTGAAGGAAAGGATCAATATGTACCTTTCATCTTCATGTAGAACCCTTATGTGTATTTGGGAAGATCTTATGAATGATCTCAAGAGTAAGCGTCTCAAATGCAGGCAATGACAAAATCATGGCTTCATGGATAGAAGAAAATTGGACAATTCTCTCTTTTCCTCTAATTTGCTTAATTTAATAAATCAACAATTTATTATGGGCCTTTCATCTTTTTAGATAGTGGTATGAGCTCTGGAGATATAAACATGCTATGACACTCTCTCTGATGCCCAATATAATTATAATTTAAGTGAAGGAGACAGACTTGGGAAAAGATAATTATGAATTTAAGAATTTATGTTTTAAGTGCTATTAAAGAGAAATGCACAAAGAGTGTTACAGAGACAAATAATTATCTAGGGGATTGGTGGTAGGAATAGAGAGGTAAATAAGAGGAAGTAGGATATTACAGACAAGATGATATTTAAGGAAGAGTGAAGAAGATTGAGAGAGACTGAATTGTCTAATATTATATGAACCCTGACTCAACTGGTCCCTTTACAAGAAGGCCATCTTTCCTAAAGAATGGGACATTACCCTGGTCATTTGTATGATGATTTTAGGTGGCATACTGATATGACTTCAAATAAAATTGGTTTGCTCAGAAAATTATTCTCTTTAAATCCATCTGATTAAATCAAATAGAAAGTCTGTTTGGAACTGGTATCCTCTTTTGATATCTTCTAACACTTACACTACTTTTTAAATATAGAGATACTGGGCTCAGGTCCAGAGCCTTCAGGAAGCAATAACATTTAATAATTTTATATTATTTTCATCATATTTACTTAGAAGATAACTTTCTATTTCTGGCAAATGGTGCTGGTTTGCTACTTATAGTTGTGATATAAAGTTATTTATTCACTTATTCACACAACAAATATTTGTTGAGTACCTTCTGTGTGCCAGGCACTGTTCAATGAACTTGTGAATAAAATATTAGTGGATAAAACAAAAACTTCTGTCCTGAGGACCCTATAACATAGCTTATTATTTTGCTTGATTATTGTTTTTTAAGTTTAAAAATGGGTTTAATTTTAAGTTAGTAAGTAAATAATAATACATATCATAGCAGTACAGGATACAGGTCAGAGATAGTATAGAGGAGAAATGAAGATGAATGCTACATCAAATTGCCTAAGGTTGAATCCTGGTTCTACCAGCTATTAGTTCTGTGACCTTGAATAAGTTGCTTACTTTTTTGCGCCTCATTTTCCTCCCTTGTCAAATATTGTGACAATTCACTACATGTTGATTGTTGTTGTTGATATTACTATTATTACATAGATTGTCAAAATCCTGAAATTTATATTCAAATGACTGAATTTGGGGAAATATTGGACTAGATTGTTTAAACAATTTTTTAAAACAATGCAGGGTCTGGGCTTACTTTCCTTCTTAGCATTTTATTTTGATATAATTTTAGACTTACAGAAAAGTTACAAAAATAGTACTAAGAATTCCCATGTACGCTTCACCCAGCTTCCCCTAATGTTTACATTTTATGTAACCATATTACAATTGTCAAAACTAGTAAATTAACATTGGTATAATACTATTATTAGTTAAACTACAGACTTTATTTGTATTGCCCTGGTTTTCCCAATATCATTTTTCTTTTCTAGGATCCAATTTGGGATCCCACATTGCATTTATTTGCTTATTTTTGGTTTTTCTTTTTTTAATTAATTAATTTATTTATTTATTTGAGATGGAGTCTCACTCTGTTGCACAGGCTGGAGTGCAGTTGTGTGATCTTGGCTCACTGCAACCTCTACCTCCTGGGTTCAAGCGATTCTCCTGCCTCCACCTCCCAAGTCGCTCGGATTACAGGCCCATGCCACCACGCCTGGCCAATTTTTGTATTTTTAGTAGAGATGGGGTTTCGCCATGTTAGCCAGGCTGGTCTCGAACCCCTGACCTCAAGTGGTCCTCCTGCCTTGGCCTCCCAAAGTGCTGGGATTACAGGCATGAGCCACTGCACCCGGCCCCACATTGCATTTAGTTGTTACGTCCTTTTAGTTGCCAACTATGTAGACTTTATGTAGACTCGGTGTCTCCTTGACATTCATGACCTTCACATTTTTGAAGAGTACTGGTCAGGTTTTTGTAGAATGTTCTTCAGTTTTTCTGTGTCTGATGTTTTCTCATGATTAAATCAAGTTTATGCATTTTTTGATAAGCATACACAGCAATGATGGGCCCTTCTCACAACATCATGATCGGGGGTTCATGATACTGATATGTCTTATTACAGTAATGCTAGTCTCCATCACTTGATTAAGGTGCTATTTGCCAGGTTTCTCCACTACAAAGTTACTATTTTTACCTTTATTATTAATAAATATCTTGGGGAAGATATGTTGAAATTGAAAATATCCTGTTTCTATTCCACTGATTTTAAGCATTCATTAATGGATCTTGCCTGCAACAAATATTAGTGTGGTGTTCTGTTTTTAATTTTCTATTTCCCTCATTTTTTCCATATTTATTAATTGGAATTTTATGTAGGCTGTCTCTTTTGTTCCATTAGTTTTTAAAAATGCAATTATTTGTTAATATCAATATGAATTCATAAATATTTATTATGTGGATTGTAATCCAATGCTATTGTTACTTACTTTTTGATCAAATTGCTTCAGCTTTGGCCACTGGGAGCTCTTTCTAGTTGGCCCCTATGTCTTCCTGACATGCCCCCATTATTTTTTTTAGCACTCCTTACTTTTTTGGCACCACATGATGCCTCAGACTCACCTTGTGTTTTCCCTGCCCCAGCCTCCACAAGCACTTCTCCAAAGAAGGTCTTAAATAAAGTAAAATTTTACAATATAAAAATTAAACAGGGCTGGGCATGGTGGCTCACACCTGTAATTCCAGCATTTTGGGAGGCCGAGGCTGGAGGATCACTTGAGGCCAGGAGTTCAAGATCAGCTTAGCCATTATGGCGAAACCCCATTTCTACTAAAAATACAAAAATTAGGCCGGGCACAGTGGCTCACGCCTGTAATCCCAGCACTTTGGGAGCCTGAGGTGGGTGGATCACCTGAAGTCAGGAGTTCAAGACCAACCTGGCCAACATGGTAAAACCTTGTCTTTATTAAAAATACAAAACTTAGCAGGGCATGGTGGTGTGATGTAAACCCAGCTACTCAGGAGGCTAAGGCAGGAGAATCGCTTAAACTTGAGAGGCAGAGGTTGGAGTGAACAGAGACTGTGCCACTGTACTCCAGTCTGGGCAACAGAGCGAGACTCCATCTCAAAAAACAAATAATAATAATAAATAAAAATAAAAATACAAAAATCAGCTGGTGGTCTAATTAGCTGTAATCCCAGCTACTCAGGAGGCTGAGGCAGGAGAATTGCTTGAACCTGGGAGGTGGAGGTTGCAGTAAGCCAAGATCGTGCCACTGCACTCCAGCCTGGGTGACACAGCAAGACTCTATCTCAAAGAAAAAAAAAGAAAAAAAGAAAAAAATTATACAGAAAAAAAATTAAGAATATGAAATTTAAATGTAAAACACTTTAGTTAAAAATTGTTTTAAAAACCAACACAAGGTTTAACATAGATGAAAGTGGCATATATTTTTTTCTTAGAATTTGACTGCTACTTGAATTATAGTTTTCCTCACAGTGCTAGGTTAACAGAATTAATCAGATGATCAAAACATTATATCATAGGGCAGTGGAGGGATGTTATATTTTGGGTAAATAATAATGTAATTCGCAGCATAAGAATTAAGGGCAGTCAATCTAGAGTCAGAATGGCTGGGCTCAAATCCTAATTCCACTACTTACTAGCTGTGTGACACCAAGCAAGTTACTTGACTTCTCCCAACCTCAATTTTCTAATGGGTAAAAATGAGGTTAATGACAGTACTTAAAAAGTTTAGGACGGGCGCGGTGGCTCACGCCTGTAATCTCAGCACTTTGGGAGGCCGAGGCGGGTGGATCACCTGAGGTCAGGAGTTCGAGACCACCCTGACCAATATGGTGAAATCCCATCTCTACTAAAAATACAAAAATTAGCTGGGTTCGGTGTCGCGCCCCTGTAATACCAGCTACTCGGGAGGCTGAGGCAGGAGAATCGCTTGAACCAGGAGCCGGAGGTCACAGTGAGCCGAGATCGCGCTATTGCACCAGCCTGGGCACCAAGAGCGAAACTCCTGCGAACATGGCCCTGCAAGCAGCACGGAGCATGCGGGCCGTGCTCTGCAGCCTGCGCGCGCTCTGGGCACCCGCCGTGCCCTGCCTGCCAAGGCCCTGGCAGCTGGGGGCGGGCGCCATCTGGACGCTGCTCACAGGACCCGTTCTGCTCTGGGTGTGTAAATTCACAGAGAAGCATGAATGGATAACAACAGAAAATGGTATTGGAACAGTGGGAATCAATAATTTTGCAAACGAAGCTTTGGGAGATGTTGTTTACTGTAGTCTGTCTGAAGTTGGGACAAAATTGAACAAACAAGATGAGTTTTGTGCTTTGGAAAGTGTGAAAGCTGCTAGTGAAATCTATTCTCTTTAATCAGGAGAAGTAACTGAAATTAATGAAGCTCTTGCAGAAAATCCAGGACTTGTCAACAAATCTTGTTGTGAAGATGGTTGGCTGATAAAGATGACACTGAGTAACTCTTCAGAACTGGATTAACTTATGAGTGAAGAAGTGTATGAGACATACATAAAATCTATTGAGGAGCGATAATGGAACCCCTAAATAAACTAGTATGAAATTATGCAACCCAGCAGAATTGTCTTAAATTAGCGGTGGTTAGAAGACTTAGAATAGCAACTTTTAGCATTACCGATGGGGAAAAAAAAACTACTGTTAACACTAATGAAAGAAAATGCCCTTTATCTTTCAAATGATTATAGACAAACATAATATTCTTCTATTTTATAATACTCTATGATTTTTAGACTAGGCTCTAGTATTCAGAATTCATTAAATTATCCATGGTAAAAACTAGTTATAAAAATTACATAATGTTTGCAGATGACATGATTGTATATTTAGAAAACCCCATCATCTCAGTCCAAAATGTCCTTAAGCTGATAAGCAACTTCAGCAAAGTCTCAGGATACAAAATCAATGTGCAAAAATCACAAGCATTCCTATACACCAATAATAGACAAGCAACCAAATCATGAGTGAACTCCCATTCACAAATGCTACAAAGAGATTAAAATATCTAAGAATACAACTTACAAAGGGAAGAACCTCTTTAAGGAGAACTACAAACCACTACTCAAGGAAATCAGAGAGGACACAAACAAATGGAAAAATATTCCATGCTCATGGATAGGAAGAATCAATGTCGTGAAAATGGTCATACTGCCCAAAGTAATTTATAGGTTCAATGCTATCCCCATCAAGCTACCATTGACTTTCTTCACAGAATTAGAAAAAAACTACTTTAAAGTTCATATGGGACCAAAAAAGAGCCCGTATAGCCAAGACAATCCTAAGCAAAAAGAACAAAGCTGGAGGCATCATGCTACCTGACTTCAAACTATACTACAATGCTACAGTAAAAAAAACAGCATGGTACTGGTACCAAACCAGATATATAGACCAATGGAACAGAACAGAGGCCTCAGAAATAACACTGCACATCTACTACCATCTGATCTTTGACAAGCCTGACAAAAACAAGAAATGGGGAAGGGATTCCCTATTTAATAAATGGTGCTGGGAAAACTGGCTAGCCGTATGCAGAAAACTGAAACTGGACCCTTCCTCACACCTTATACAAAATTTAACTCAAGATGGGTTAAAGATTTAAACGTAAGACCTAAAACCATAAAAACCCTAGAAAAAACTTAGGCAATACCATTCAGGACACAGGCATAGGCAAAGACTTTATGACTAAAACACCAAAAGCAATGGCAAGAGAGCCAAAATTGACAAATGGGATCTAATTAAACTAAAGAGCTTCTGCACAGCAAAAGAAACTATCATCAGAGTGAACAGGCAACCTACAGAATGGGAAAAAATATTTGCAATCTATCCATCTGACAAAGGGCTAATATCCAGAATCTACAAGGAACTTAAACAAATTTACAAGAAAAAACAACCCCATCAAAAAGTGGACACAGGATATGAACAGACACTTCTCAAAAGAAGACATGCAGCCAACAAACGTGAAAAAAAGCTCATCATCACTGGTTATTAAAGAAATGCAAATCAAAACCACAGTGAGATACCATCTCACACCAATTAGAATGGCAATCATTAAAAAGTCAGGAAACAACAGGTGCTGGAGAGGATGTGGAGAAATAGGAATGCTTTTACACTGTTGATGACAGT
Organism: Homo sapiens; assembly: GCF_000001405.40. Lineage (NCBI taxonomy): Eukaryota > Metazoa > Chordata > Mammalia > Primates > Hominidae > Homo > Homo sapiens. The sequence goes on along the minus strand of NC_000007.14, from coordinate 35,766,510 downwards.
GTAAATTAGTTAAACCATTGTGGAAGGCAATGGATTCCTCAAGGATGTAGAACCAGAAATACCATTTGACCCAGCAATCCCATTACTGGTTATATACCCAAACGCTTATAAATCATTCTACTGTAAAGACACATGCACACGTATGTTTATTGCAGCACTGTTCACAATAGCAAAGACTTGGAACCAACCCAAATGCCCATCAATGATAGACTGGATAAAGAAAATGTGGCACATATACACCATGGAATGCTATGCAGCCATAAAAAAGGATGAGTTCATGTCCTTTGCAGTAACATGGATGAAGCTGGAAACCACATTCTCAGCAAACTAACACAGAACAGAAAACCAAACACCACATGTTCTCACTCGTAAGTGGGACTTTAAAAATGAGAACACATGGACACAGGGAGGGGAACATCACACAACAGGGTCTATCGTGCCATTGGGGGGCTAGGGGATGGATAGCATTAGGAGAAATACCTAATGTAGATGACGGGTTGATGGGTGCAGCAAACCACCATGGTACGTGTATACCTATGTAACAAACCTGCAAGTTCTGCACATGTATCCCAGAACTTAAAGTATATAAAAAATTACATAATTCAATGATAATGTTATTCTTAAGCCTTCTATAATGTTGTAACTTGTGTATATCTATACCTGGATTTGGGTTGAAACACTTAATGATCTTTCCGTTGGAAATAACTGGGAGCGAAGAAGTTTTTGTTGCTTGTACAGTGTCAGATGAAGAACAACACTATCTTAATTTTGCAATATACTGCATTTGCTGGTGCTATTTTTACACTGTGAAGCAACAGCTTTGCAGCAAAATAATAAAATACTTTTTTGTTAAAAAAATAGCAAAACTCCATCTCAAAAAAAAAAGTTTAGAAGAGTTTCTGGCACATAATGGTATAAAATATGACCACCAATTTACAGTGCTCTTTACATCTTATGAAGGACTTTCAATTATATTAGCTCATTTTATCACACAATAGCACTTAGTGTATTTATTACTATTTCAAACTTATAGATAAAGAAGCTGAGGCTCAGAAAGGTTAAGTGACTTTCTGAGATCTTACAGCTTAAAAGTGGGAAAGGGAAGGCTCAAACCCCAATCGTCTGGCTGCAAACTCTGGGTAGGAATGTAAGTACCAACTGTGGAGTAGAATATTAAACAATTAAAAAACTAATGTGACAAAATTTCAGGTTAACAAATTACCTAACAATTCATATAATAGTATCAGAACTTCAATGCAGGTCTTTAACTGACCTTCTTTTCTTAATCTGGTCTATGACATTAGCTTCAAAGAATGTCAAAAACACCTGGCTATATTTATGCAAATTTGTATACATGTGCTTTTTTTCCAGGAAAAGTGTTCATATGTTTCATCATGTTTTCTAAGGGGTTTATAAGCCCCAAGAAGTTAAGAACTTGGCTGGAATTCCTAATTCTCTGACAAGCTGCTTCGTTAGAGTGGTTATTATTTGGATGTTTATATTACTTTTAATGGTAGAAACTGCAATTACCTTTATACCAACCTAATATTTGAAGTGACAAATAGGGGACAATTCTCTTCTCGATGGGGAAATGGCTAAATTTTTAAAAATCTCTTTTTAAACTTTTTTTTTTTTTTTTTTGAGACGGAGCCTCACTCTGTTGCCCAGGCTGGGGTGCAATGGCGCAATCTTGGCTCACTGCAACCTCCACCTCCTGAGTTCAAGCGATTCTCCTGCCTCAGCTTCCTGAGTAGCTGGGACTACAGGCATCCACCACCGCACCCAGCTAATTTTTTGTATTTTAGTAGAGACAGGGTTTCACCATGTTGCCCAGGGCGGTCTTGAACTCCTGAGCTCAGGCAATCCACCCACCTCGGCCTCCCAAAGTGCTGGGATTACAGGCATGAGCTACCATGCCTGGCCTTTTTAAACTTTTTATCTTGGAATTTTCCAAAAATCACAAAAATTCAACTCTCATATAATACTCAGCTTCAAAAATGTTTAACATATAGCCAATCTTGCTTTATTAATAACTCCCAAAGATAAATGGATTTATTCCTGCATTATTTTAATAAAATCTAGCATCATTTCACTTTTTTTCTGACAATATTCAAGATTGTCATATGACTAAATCTAAATATAATTCCTATGCACCATAGAGAAGCAATTGTAAAGTCTATTATTCATTCAACAAAATTTTTGGGGTTACCTAATATTATACATTGCAAAGCACTAGAGGAGACGCAAGTATAAGTAAGATAAGATTTTCACTAACCTTAAGTAATTAAAATACGACATCATAAAACACCTTTTAGAGTTCTAGATTTCAGCCTTTAGATGCCTTTAAAATTGCTCAAGGCCAAAAATTAGTATTCATCCTTGATTTTTCACCTTCTCTCAGCAACCCCTCTTGCCTATCAAATTCATCAGCAAGTCCAATCAGCTGCATCTCCAAAACGTATACTAAGTTTCTCCATTTCTTTTCATCTCAATTGCTGTTCTCTTAATCCTAGCCTCCACTAGCTTTCTGCTGGGCTACTGAAGAGTCTTCTAACTGGCTTATGTATTTCTACTCTTGTCTATTTTCCATTGTCTGCCCAGGGAGATATGAACAAAAACATTGAAAACAACATAAATGCCCTTCAACCAAGGAATGGAGAAATCACGACATGTTAATCCAAGAAAATGCTAAGTAGTTGCTAAGGATTAATGAGCATGGATAAATCTCAGCAACATAATACTGAAGGTAAAAAAGCAAGTACAGAAGAATATGCACAGTATGGTACCATTCATATAAAGTTTAAAAACATGCAAGGCAGTGCTACATATTGTTTATAGATATGTATGAGTATGTGTGGTAAAAGCACAAAAACATGCAAGAAAATTACAAGCATAAAGTTTAGAATGGCAGTTACCTTTAAAGAGGGAGGAGAATAGGACTGAAAAGAGTACCATGGGGATTTTAACTGAATCTGATTTCTTAAGGTATCCCTTTTCTTGTTGTCTGTAAGTTCTTAGATGCCTGAAAAATTTTATAATTAAAATAAAATCAGATCAGATATTTTTATTTTAATTATAATATATAAATCAGATAAACATTACTCACTCATATAAATTCTTCAATGGCTTTTCATTGTTCGTAAAAAGTCCCAACCTGTTAGCAAGGTACAACAGGTCCCATGTGATCTGGTCCCTGCCTGCCTTTCCAAGCTCATCTTTTTCCCTCTCCTCATTAATTATCACCTTGCTGCCTTTTTTTCTGTTCCTTGAAGAAGTCAAGCCTGTTACTGCCTCAGGAACTTTGCACTGGTTCTTGCCTCTTCTCCAGATCATTCCCCAGTATATTCACTTATTTGCTTCTTGCTCTTCAGGTCTCAGCTCAGACAAGCCTTTCCTTGACCATCCTATTTAAAATAGTCCCCACCTTTTCTGTCTTTCTCTACACATCACTCTTTCATCCCCTTCACAGCACTAATTACCCTTGAAGAACTCTTGTTTATTTATTTATTAGCTGACGTCTCGTACTAGCATGTGAGCTCCTTATCTGTCTTTCCCACTGCTATATCTCTGGCAATTACAACAGTGCTTCATGCATGGGAAGCCCTCAATAAACATTTGTGGAACGAGTGAATTTATTCTTATTCTGAATAACCAGAAAAACCTAGACTTTTTTGGTGAAGAAATAGAAGCTAGAAATCTAAATCATAATACTTTTGGTGGGGGGTGGGAGGGGGTGTTGTTTTCCAAATGTGTCAACATTTCTTTACCATGATCCATATCAAAGGATTATAAATCCAATTTGTATTTGATGATAGAGACTGATATTTGGCTCCTTTTCATTGTCTTTAATATGGACTGTAAAATTGGGTGATTTGATTAGTTTGTGTGTACTTAAATGTACTGCTGTGTGTCTACTGTTGAACCATGTTGCACTATCTTCTACTTTTTCTAAAATAAATCTGGAAACAAGTAAACCATCAGTTCCCTCCTAAAATATGAGTCATATTAAAGGCATCCTGACATATTTCTACTTGTTCTAAGTAGAACTCTGAATAATTATTGATACTGTAGAATGTTCTTAAAACATACCATCCTTAGTGAACTCAACTTTGGTCTTTTATAGATAATGGAGATATTTTTGTTAGGAATGTCCCCTTGATTAGCAATCATTTCTCTAAGGACAAGTTCTGCCTTGTTGAGGCTGCCCTGAGATAACCCAGGCTTGTGATGCATGGCTAACAATTAATTTTCCTTTGGAAGTTACTTCAAACCTTTATTTTTCAAATTCACAATTGAATCTATGCTGCACATTTCTCGAGTTCATCACTTAATTCAATAGCAATTCAAAAAATCTTCCAAGGTTTATAAATTTGATCTTTAGGTTAAAGATAAACATGTATGCTTTCCTTCTTTCTGGCTAGGCCTAGCTTGCAAGCTGAGAAACAGAGCATATGTCTTACATTAGTGAATCTTATCAGGCTCTGAAGATGTACTCCCATTTCCTGTTCATACCATGCTTACGTGCTATGGAGCTAAATTGTAATCATAGCTGCGACGCTATTTTTAAAATGTTGTTACAATTTTGAGTTCCTGGCTGCCTTTTAGAACCATGATCATACTGCCACTTTCTCCCCAAAGGTGCTATTTTACAGCATTTGAGTGACTGAGTTAAGAAATATCTTTATGCTTGCATTTTTTCTGGAAACGAATAAACCTTGCTACCTGGCTGGGAAATTTCATTGGTGTTTATTTATTTATTTTTAAAGATGAGGTCTCACTATATTGCCCAGGCTGGTCCTCAACTCCTGGACTCAAGCAATCTTCCCACCTTGGCCTCTCAAAGTGCTGGGATTACAGGTGTGAGGCATTATGCCTGGCCCTAGGAAGGGAAGTTTATTTGGTAAATGAGATATGTAAGAAGTTTCTTTGGAAACTGAATGAAGTGATTTGATGTCTAAATGGCATTTTCTTATTTAACAGAGAGGCAGGAGGAAAAAAAAATCCAACAAACTAATGAAAAAATAACGTTCTTGTTTTAGGATTAAATGACATGTCATTTTAAATCAAGTAAAGCAATCTAGGCATGGTGGCTCACACCAGTAATCCCAGCACTTTGGGAGGCCAAGGCAGGAAGATTGCTTGAGCCCAGGAGTTCAAGACCAGCCTGGGCAACATAGGGAGACCCTGTCTCTACAAAAAAAATACAAAAATTGGCCAAGCCTAGTGGCACACACCTGTGATCCCAGCTATTTGGAAGGCTGAGGTGGGAGGATTGCTTGAGCCTAGGAGGTAGAGGCTGCAGTCAGCCATGATCATGCCACTGCACTTCAGCCTGGGTAACAGAGCATGACCCTGTCTCAAAAATAAAAATAAAAAAATCAAGTAAAGCAGAGATTTAGCATTTATCAGTTACCGATTTAATCTGGAAAAAGAATAGCTTGCAAAATGCAGTTTGGTTGTTCATTGTTGGTGGGAGTTGCTGTTGATTGGTTTTTGTTTGCTTGCTCACAGTACCTGGCTTGGCTGCTTACAACTATTAAATTAGCTAGATAATCCTGTGCTGTGTAAGTACAGCCATAATCTATTATTGGTTTTCATATGCAAAAATTTGGGAATAGATAATGTTCAGAAGGGCCCTCCTTCTGATTTCATAATTTGATTTAGAGATTGAATGCTCAAAGAGGAGAGAGAAGAGATTGAAGTCAGATTTAGAAAAGAGACTTGAATTTTAGTTATTAATACTCCCATTCGACAGAGATTTTTATCACTTCAAATATAATTGGGCACAGATAAAAGGGTAGGTCAGCAAGCCATAGAATAAATCTTTCAACTGTTGCATTAGAGAAGAGTTACTGAAGTTATTCTTCATGTGCTCCAACTCTTAACGTTCCTCTTCAGAGCCCTAATTTTGGCATCAAGACGTTGGATCATTTGGGTTCAAACATCTGTTGTTTCTGGATGGCTTTAAAATTCCATTGCAAGCTCAAAAATGCTCAAATTGCAAAGCGTGTCCGTAGGAGAAGTATCTACTTGGTGTATATTTGCCCTTCTGTCTCACGAATCTTCCACGAACACTTCATTTGCGCCTTCAATTTCTGTTCTGTTCCTCACCATATATTAATAACATAACTTATTTCTTCCACTCAGATCCTAGTTTCAAAGACACAATTTTAGGCATGGAATGCCTTTCCCTGCTAAGTTTATTCTTCATGTGTTTAGAATGCTCTGGAATGTATGTAAATACTTTTCAAAGTCAAGACTCTTCATTTTTTCCCTCTTGTACTTGCCATTGCCTGACTGCTTCATACCAATTTCTATTAGAACTTTGCAAGTTCTAGCAAGATTTTTTGGAAAAAGATGATTGAAATCAGATAACCCTTAAAGGGCAAATGGAGTACAAATGCACTTCTTTTTCTGAGAAATATTTGCATTATAGCTTTTACCATTCCATGCAGCACCCCAACTAGGAGATGTGACTGCAGGCAGGAAATGAGCAGAATAAGTCTCCTCATTTGGAAAAATCAGTCTTTGATGAACACTTATCGAAGGAAGTCAAGCCTTGCAACTGTTCCACCAAGCTATGGAACCCCCTGGTTCTGCATTCTTCCAATTTTTTTTTTTTTTTTGAGACAGAGTCTTGCTGTGTTGCCCAGACTGGAGTGCAGTGGCGCTATCTCAGCTCACTGCAACCTCCGCCTCCTGGGTTCAAGCAGTTTTCTGCCTCAGCCTCCCGAGTAGCTGGATTACAGGTGCCTGCCACCATGCCTGGCTAATTTTTGTATTTTTAGTAGAGACGGGGTTTCACCATCTTGGCCAGGCTGGTCTTGAACTCCTGACCTCGTGATCCACCCACCTCAGCCTCCCAAAATGCAGGGATTACAGGCGTGAGCCACCACGCTCGGCCCCCAGATTTTTAAAATGTTTGAAAGTAAAGATGGATAGACATTATTAAAAGTAGGATTTTGGTAGAGAGACCACTCCATCGCCAGTGTGACTGGAGTTTATGGTCATTTAAAAACTGTTGGAGATTAGATCATGACAGAGTGATTTCAACCCTTCAAAAATGGCAATCAAGGCCAGGCGTGATGGCTCATACCTGTAATCCCAGCACTTTGGGAGGCCAAGGTGGGCAGATCACCTGAGGTCAGGAGTTTGAGACCAGCCTGGCCAACATAGTGAAACCCCATGTCTACTAAAAATAAAAAAAATAGCCAGGTGAGGTGGCGCATGCCTGTAATCCCAGGTACTTGGGAAACTGAGGCAGGATAATTGCTTGAACCTGGGAAGTGGAGGTCGCAGTGAGCCAAGACTGCGCCATTGCACTCCAGCCTCGGCAGCAGAACGAGACTCTGTCTTAAAAAAAAAAAAATGGCAATTAATTACTGGCATTGACTCCTTCCCAACTCCTCCAGTCAGGTATCTAAAGAAAATAGTTTGGGAGAATCTTCTCTTTTTGTATACAAACTTTACAAATATAACAATAAGGGACAGAATACAACCTAATATTACATTCTCAGCCCAACAGATAAAGAGTAGTCATGATTTGTTAAAGAGAACAGATCTTTAATTTGTGTGTGATGTTTAATTTGTGTTTTTCTCTCTCAACCTAATAATGATTATAAGTTAACAGTGTGTACTATCCTAAGAACTATCGTGTATTAAGTAAATGATCTATAGCAATAAATAAATAAATAAAGCAAGGAGGAGTCTTGGCCTTCAAAAGCCCTATTGTATTTACTAATGGTTAGTTTTTGACTTCTCGGTGTCTGTCCTGTTCTGATTGTATCAGCCACCCCCTGGTGTCAGGGGTTACTTACTGCCAGAGGATTTCTAGTCCATGTGGGTCATTAACTCTAATCTTTCCTCAGCCCTTCTGACCTCTTTATCTCCAGATGCATACAAGTTTTAAACCCACCCCCATCACTGACTTTCTGGACTTTTACCCCATCAGTCTCAACTCAGTCTTGACTCGACTCTGCAGAAGTAATTGTTTGGAGAGTTGCCTGCCTCTGAGTATGCTCTGTGGTTTCCTCTTTTCTCTAAGTTCTCTTAAAAAGCATCCCTCACAAATTAAAGGTCTGCTCTAAGATATCATTACTACTTCTTATCTGTTGGACAAGAAGGTGCTATTAGGTTGCATTCTGTCCTTTATTATTATGTTTGTAAACCTTTTAAAAAATGTTTGTTAATGGATTCTATGTTGTTTGACTGAGCCATTTCATTTTTATCTTCCACAGGGATGGCCCTATATTTGTCACTGAGAGCAGAAGGGTTGAGAACTTAGATCCTGACAGGAGGCCCACCTTTATTGGAGAAATGGCTCTGCAACTTAGTAAGTGACAATTGGGCTGTTATTTAACCCTGTAAGCCTTGGTTAAATGAGATTATGGATGTGAACCACTAGGCATATGTTTGTACAGTCATTACTCAAAATATTAGCTATGAAGTATGTATCTACATGTTGAATCAAAGGAAGTTAACTGCTACCTGGATAATGTTTTGATGACACAATTTCTGGAGCATGAAGAATGTTTCTACAGAAGAGGCCACGTACCTCTCTGATGCAAATTATTTATATTGATAGTACATGTTTATACAAACTAGTTGACCAAAATCTAAGTGGAAGCCATTTCTAAATACTGCTTTTATAATTGCCATTTTCACATCCATGTGACGAAATGCATTTACAGTCCCAACTTGGCAGAATGTGTGAGTGTGGGATATGCCCAGTAGTGGGGCAGTGACCTTAGTCAACAGCCTCGTAGCTGGAATATCAGATACCCTGCTTGGCCTTTGAGTCTGGGACTGGCAAAGCTTCCTGGCAATGAAAGTTTTGTGGGTTATGGAAACCCTGGAGAATGTGAAGAAAGCTATGCATAGATAAACTTACATGGTAAAGGAGAGAGAGAGAAAGAGAAAAAGAGGGAGAGAGAGATATACAGAAATTGAGGAAAAGGAGAAGAAAGGGGGGGAAAGGAGACAAGAAGCCAGGGTGGGAGCAAGAACCAGAGAGAGGAGTAAAATGCCATGTTCTGAATTCAAACAGATTGGGTTTTAAATATTTTTCAAGCTGTGTGATTCTGGGCATTACTTAACCTAAGTCTCAGTTTCCTTATCTGTAAAATAAGAATAAAAAGAGGCCAGGTGCAGTGGCTTATGGCTATAATCCAAGCACTTTGGGAGGCTGAAGCGGGTAGATTGTTTGAGCTCAGGAGTTCGAGACCACCCTGGGCAACATGGCAAAACCCTGTCTCTGCAGAAAAAATGTGAAAATTAGCCGGGTGTGCACCACTGGTCCCAGCTACTCAGGAGGCTGAGGTGGGAGGATTGCTTGAGCACAGGAGTTTGAGGCTACAGTGAGCCAAGATCACACCACTGCACTCCAGCCTGGGCAACAGAGCGAGACCCCGCCTCAAAAACAGAAGTAATAAAAGAATATCTACCTCACAAGGTTTTTATGAGGATCAAATGGGATAGTACATTTAACAGCCCTTAGCCCAGAGAATGTGCTGTTTTGTAACTTCCTTATTTCAAAACTTATGGAAGACCTTTCCTCATGTATGACATTTATTTGTGTTTGATTATTTATTTATCTGCTTAGGGAGTATTTGTTTTATTGGAAAGGAGCATCACTAGAACCGGAGGCATGTGATTCCTTGAGATGTAGAAAGTCTTTTTGCTGTTTCTGCAGGAATGATTGCAGGCAGGCGATGCTATGGGGCATTTTCTCTTCTAAAGGGATAGACTGTAATGTCCTAAGAAATTTTTTTTCTTTATTTTCCTTTCTCTCTTTCTTTCTCTCTCTTTCTTTCTTTTCTTTCTTTCTTTTTCTTTCTTTCTTTCCTTCTTTCTTTCTTTTCTTTCCTTCTTTCTCCTTCTTTCCCCTTCCTTCCTTCCTTCCTTCCTTCCTTCCTTCCTTCCTTCCTTCCTTCCTTCCTTCTTTCTCTCCCTCTGTCACCCAGGCTGGAGTGTGGGGCAGCAATCATAACTCAAAGCAGCCTCAAACGCCTGGGCCCAAGCAATCCTCCTGACTCAACCTCCAGAGGAGCTGGGACTACCAGATTGACTAATGTTTTTCTTTTTACTTTTTGTAGAGACAGGGTCTCTTTATGTTGCTGAGGCTGGTCTTGAACTCCTGTCCTCAAGCTATCCTTTTGCTTCAGCCTCCTGAGTCCCTGGGATTATAGGCATGTGCCACCATGACCAGCTTGTTTTAAGAAATATTGATTTAATGGGTTGAACACCAAAAATGGGAGTCACAAGGCCTTCATTGATTCATCCTGTCATCTGATCCTTGTTTGCTAGGGCCAATGCAAGTGCTGAATTAGGTAGCACTGGGGAATGAGGGTGAAGGTGGGCCCACCATGATAAGCAAAACAGAGCCCCTGCTCTACGTGAGTCCTGGAATTTGGCTGTTTCCTCTGCCCTTGTGATGGCAGGGGAAGCTTCTCCTGGTGTACGACAGTGCAATGCCAGGGGTTCCTAAGTTGTTATCTGGTCAAAGGACGCAAGGAGTTAGAATAGGAGCCCCAGAGTAAATTCTAGGCAGCATTTCTGCTCCCTCTGTCCCAGTCTCATATCATTCTACTCTGACTCTTACTCACTGAGTCACCATCCCTGGCTTAACAGCTTGTACTTTAGTTCTCATATCTGTCAAATGGAACAATGGCAATTGCTATTTCTCTTCCTGCAGGGACTATTACAACTTGTAAAAATTAGTGAGTTATACGTGGGAAGCATTTTGGCCTCACAATTGAGAAGCAGAGAAGTGGTTCAAGGTATAATTTACATATTCATGGCATTTGATAATTTCCTTTCAGATTATTTTCTTCAAAGTGGGCATGGATGTTTTCAATTTCATAATCGAACCCAACTATATTTACTGAGCACCTACCTATTGCATAAAAAATAGAAAAATAAACAAGACTCTTTTTTGTCCTTCAGTTGGTAAATTCTACTGTTTGGGATTTTATTTGTGTACTCCCAAAGGGATCTGTTTGTCTGATTGAATATACAAATGACATTTGTATCACTAATTAGATCCTTACCTACCCTCCCATTTACACCATGCAGATAGTTAGGTTAGAAAGAAATTGGATTCTGATGATTTTAGTTTAGTAAAGATTTCTGAACACAGGTATATCCAATAGGGAGCGGTATCTTCCTTTATCCTATTTGCTAGCTTATAATTAGGATAAAATGGGAGAGGAAGAAAGGAATGTGTGGGGAGGGCTGTTTGTCAACACTTGGAGAGCTCCTGTCATCAGTATGAAGAACTTTTTAATTTCTGAGATTCTTCTTCTCCTTTACTATAGGCTCATGTAAGACTGCTGGGATTTGAAATTTATCCTATTATTTGAAGACTGAAATCAAAATATGAAGGTGGAGCATCATGTGTGCCTTCTGTCTTGTTCTCTACTAGGGTGTAAACCATTTAACTAAAAATAGTCTCCAATTTGACACCTTCCCAACATTTCACTAGTATACTCCAAATCTCCATGCAGGGTTACAGACCTATTTCAGCTGGCTCCATTTACTCTGAGGCAGATAAAGCTGAGATTGCAACATCAGAAGCAGTTCAACCAATCATTATGTACAAACCTCAGCCCATTTGTATAATGCAATCCTTCTGGTAGTAATGACACAAAACATGCCTATAGGGACGATCACAACCCTGTCAAAGTCCCAAGTCATCTGTGGCACCAGGGCCACAGAACTTCTTACCACTTGGAAGCAAAATAGTTGCTTTAATGGTAACCAAATGCCCTCCTTCAAGACAGTATTTCAAGAAGGAGGAGTATACGTATATTATACAAACATATCCAATCCCTTTAGAAGATAATTATCAATATCATGCAGGGAAGCTGGAACACACACACAAAATCGAGTACTATCTAGAAGATCAAGCCACAAATCTCAAGAGAAGCAGTAAGTGTCCAGGGCCTGGGATTTTTTATCTTGGCCGTGAGAATAGCACAGCCCATGGTGCAGAAACGACAGGCTAGTTGTCCAGCATAACATGGTGTTTTATTTCACCATAGTAGACTGCTGGGAAATCTCTGGAGGCCTTGGCAGCTGTGTCTTGTCTTTAATATGAAGCCTGGGGGGGAAGACAGAGAGAGAGACTCATAATTCACAAGAGGCCCAGCCGTAAGAAAGCCATTCTAAATAACTGAATCAGGCACCGAGGAGGAGCGACTATTCCATTCCTAAGTCAAGAATGCTTTTTGTCTTTCCTTCTCTCCTAATTGGCTCATGAAAAGATCATTTATGTGTGGTAGAATCAGTACATCAGAGGCAGCTTCTGTTTCTCTCCATTTCTCCTCCCCACTGCTGCTGTCCTGTAAAAAGACCCTTTGTTACAGACTGAAACAGCAGATGCAGCTCAGATATTATCTTGAATAATTTTGTGGGGAGCATTTTATCTTGAATTGGTGTAATGCCATTTTCACGTGGAAAGTGGTTCTATGTCTGATCCAAATGTTCTAGAAACTTGAGAGACCCATATGGCAAAGAAGTACTTTACACACATATCTCTTTAAAGTAGTGCAGGGTATGGGAAGAACTGATAATGCTGATTAAATGATATGTAGACGAAATGAATGTAAACTGGCATCATGGGCTGAGTGAGTCAGGGGAGGCCTTGTGGAAGAGATAAGAGTAATAGAAAATGCTAGGTCAAGTATGTGTAGAGGCCTGGAGAGAGGAATGGACTTAGTGGGTCCAAAAGTAAGAAGACTTGTTTGTTGTGAATACAGAGTTAGAAGTAGGTAGAAGAAAAAGTTGGTCGGGTCCTGCAGAGATTAAAAATCCGGTTTAAGATTTTAGATTGTTTCAATCATCAATTAGTTGGTGTCTGTGTTCATTGTGGAAATGCTTTAAATATAGATAACAAAAAGGATAATAACTTACAATCCTACCAGTCGTAGGATGATGATGGCAGACAATGTGGTGCACATTCTTTCATATATTTTATTGTCCTAGTTTAAGGTTCCCTATAGGCAGATCCTGAGATGAAGATTTAAATGCACACCACTTATTGAGGAGGTGATTTCAGGAAACACCGGCAGGAGAGTGGGGCAGTATGACAGGGAAAGAAAGGAAGCAAAAAAATAAAGGGCATGTTCTCAAAGGAATCAGTTGGAGAGCAGTCATGCTGGAGACACTGGAAGAGAGTATAGAAGATGTCTCAATGTAGTCCTGCCTAGGGATCAGGAAGTCGAAGTATTTATCCACTAATTCTTGTCAATTGAGAATTTATTTGAGGGGCATTAACTCTCCAAAACGGTCTCCCTGTGCCGGAAAAATAACCCTAAGCAGAATGTTGTAGGTATTTGCAGCAAATAGCCCTCAGTGTGTCCTGAGGATTGGTGTAGTACATAAATATACAAAATTATTTTTATTTATAAAAAAGCTTTCTATGCATCAGGCTCTGTACTGTGTGTTTTACTTGCATTCACTCAAAATAGTTCTCACAGAAGCCCTATGAGGTCGGCGCTACTCTTATCCCCTGAGGATTAGAGGCTGGGAGAAGTATATATGAGAGTCATATGGAGATTAAATACCTGAAGTCATGAGGAGATGATGCACTCTCCAAGAGAGCTTTGATGACAGCCTATTTATGCAGCTTCTGTCATCTGTACACATTCTCCTCTTTCTGTCAACAAAGAGTTTTTCTTTTGCAATTGTAAATGTCCTCTGTTTTCAGAGACTTTTGTTGGAAAACAAAACAAAATCTTGAGACATGAAGGATCTGTAATGGACACCTGTCGATTGTGTCTGTTCAGCAGCTCCTCTCCCACCTGTCTTCCAGTACAACACCTTATTTCATTGGAGAGAAAGGTTCTACCTCTTCTCCTTAAGGTTTTAGTGGACAGCCAAACCAGTCTTCAGTCTACAGGGTGAGTATGAGATCCAGGCTTGACCAACCATAGTCACCACCCACTTGGCTACATCAAATTGAGCCAGAAAGAGCCTTTCCCTGGGAATTTATATGTAGACTTTGGGAAAAGGAAGCTTTCTTCTCTGATGTTACTAGACAGCGATGACAAAACCAGTGCTTGTCTGGACCATGCTCCACTTCCTCTCCACAGCAAGATGAGCAAGCTCATCTGTAGTAGGAAAGAATGTAGGAATGCATCCCCTGCACAGAGAAAAGCGGAGGAGAGAATGAGAGAGAGAGAGAGAGAGAGAGAGAGAGAGAGAGAGAGAGAGAGATCTGACTGTACTGCTAAGTCCCTGCAATCCCCACCAAGGTCTGCAAGGTCTACTTCCCCTAGACTACAACTACCCATTACTTGTGCCAAATATTCAATAAATCGTAACCTTAGCAGGGAGAGGGATGAAGAGAGATTGATTAATGGGTATGTATATACAGTATGATAGAAGAAATAAGACCTAGTATTTCATCAGTCAGTAGTATGACTATAGTTTACAATAATCTATTGTATATTTCAATATAGCTAGAAGAGAAGAATTAGAATGTTTCTAGCATAAAGAAAACACAAATATTTAAGGTGATGGGAATCTCAGTTACACTGATTTTATCTTTACAAGGCATATGAATGTTTTAAATTGTCATAGTACCCCCAAAATATGTACATGTTATGTATCAATAAAACACAAAATTAAAAAATAAATATTTAAACAATCATAACCTTACTCCTTCCTTCCTTCCTTTCTTCCTTCTATTTCTTTCTTTCTTATTTCTTTGTTTATAACTGGTTCAACTTGGGTTTCTGTTTCTTGCAACCATAGTCTTGACTAATTCAGGACCAAGTGCACTCTTAATCATGAAGTATATCTGTGGCCCTTAAGTTATATATTGGAGTAAGAGAGCAGGGGGTGGAGAGAATCAAATTATGACAGGACAGAAATGGCCTTTTTCCATCTATCACAATTTTATTTGCCTCCATGATTATCAGGTCGATTCCAACTCTTTGAGGCATGAAGGACCAGGAAGGAGGCATCTGCCTTTAGGAAATGCTGAACTGCAATAGCAACATGAAGCATGGTTTCCTATTGACTGCTGCCTTTGACCTGCAGCCATTGATGGCATTCATCAATCAAAGTCTAACCAATTGGGACTATCAGACTTTTCCCTCCTACTCACACAACTCAAGGACATGGAGAACTCTGGTTTTAGGGGGTGTAAGCTGATGGTTCCATGAGTTCTAACCTGTGGCTTAGCCAGTCTTTGGCTTGTATAAGCCTCTAAAGGTTCAGCAGATCTAAAATCTTAGCGTGATTGTATTAACCTGAAAGCTATAAGACACCCTTGAAATAATAGTTGCCCTTAATTAAGCACTATGTATCTGGACTTTGTGTGTGCTGCCACAATGCAATCCTCACAGAATCCTGCAAAGTAGGTATTATTGCCCTTTTATGAATGAAGACCTTGAAATTCAGAGAGGTTAGCAGCCATCAGCCCCTCAAACCCAGGCCTGTAAGACTGAAGGCTTTACTCTCAGGATATGCAACGAGGCTATACATTTAATCCTAAACTCCCAAGCACAACTTTTAGAAGGGCTCTCTAGCCCTTTGTTATTTAAGTCAGTGATTCTTAAACAGGATATGGAAACCCCCATTGGGTGGATTTGTGTATCAACTCAGCTAAACTAAAACTATGGCACCCAAAATTCCCTTCTCTGCCTTAGCCTCCTAAAGTGCTGAGATTATAGGTGTGAGCCACCATACCTAGCTTTGTGTGAGATTTAGAAAGCAAAAGTAAAGCAGTGAAGTAGCAGACATACATTTTTTACACCTGAAAGGTTGGTGCAGGTCACAGGTGCTGTTGCATCTCATTCATGTTGTTCCTTACCTGTTGACTTGCATTGTGGTGTGGAACAGTAGCCACGCCTGCAACTTCTCCAGCCTCTCTGACTTCCAGACCCAACATGTCCTCCATGACGAAGGACACCAGCTTCTCCTAGAGAGTACCTGACCATTGAAGTTGGCAGCTTGAAAGCAGTAGGATATGAATGCAGATTCCAGTCCGTCCTCGTGGGTTCCAGTTTGCCTGTTTCCCCAACTTCACAGACATCTCTCTTTCCCAAATGCCTTCTCTGAGGATTTCAGGCTTCAGCACCAAACACAGATGCGATGGCCTCACACAGAGTAAGTAACAAGCTCCCCCAAATGAATAAGATCAAATCCCTATAATAAATGCCCTACTATATCAATCTATCTACCTGTCTGTCTATCTATCTGTCTATCTATCTACCTACCTACCTACCTACCTACCTACCTACCTACCTACCTACCTATCTATCTCCTAGTATTCTACTTCTCTAATTGAACCTTGACTGATCTCCTACACCTTTGGTAAGTGAAGACTTTAAGACTACAGATAATTTTAAGGAGACCATTTCCTAGATCTTCCATCTCCTGTCTACTGTTTCCTAACACTGATCTATAAGCCCATGTTTGCCCTCACTGTACCAGTTTGGTTCTCCAGGAAGAAGATGCTGACAGAGAGAGAGAGAGAGAGAGAGAGAGAGAGAGAGAGAGAGAGAGAGTTAGGAATACCAGTGTTTTATTGGGGAGTGACATCTGGGAAATGAGGGGGAGAGCAGGGTTAGGCAGCTGGAGTTGTCTGACTGTAACGCAGACCCCACAAAGTTGGCCAGCTCAGTGGGGAAGCTCCAGAGCCAAGATTGCATCTTAGAAGTTCTCCTGTTGGGTGGAAATGGCCAAGCCCATGTACATCAGCTGTTTTTCAGTTATTGCCTGAGGCTGCCCCAAGAAGAGCATGACCTTGGCTGGAAAGCTGAGGCAGATCCTGAGGAACGTAACAGCTGGAGGGTGTCTGCTAGCCACACTCCTCCCAGCTAAGGAGACAGCCTTTCTTGCAGGGGGATCTGAGCAGCACATTTCCACATCTGCCACCTCTCTCATCCCAAATCTTATGAAGGAATATTGCCCCAGGCTATGAAAACTTCCCCTGTGAATGAAACAAGTGGGTATATTGAAATGTTGATTTGGGGGCCTCATCAATCCATAAGTGTCATGAAAGAGGGATTCTTCTAGACCAGTATTTCTCAACCTCTCTTCATTATTGCACCCCATACATTTAAAAGGAATCTTTTTAGACATTTTTCCCTTAATTATTCATGAAAATACCACAGGTATATGTGTATATACTGTAAACATACAGGTTACGTACTATACATATATCTGTGCTTTGTACATAAAAAATAGTGCATTTTTTTTTCATTCCTCAAGAACCAATTTTCACTCCCTGGGGGATAATATCACCCTCCCACCCCCGGGTTAAGAATGCATGTTCTAGATTAAAAGAGACTTATGGGATATAACACCAGATGCAGTATATGGCCCAGGATTTAATCCTGGATTAGAAAAACTAACCATAAAGGACATGTGAGACATTTTAATATGGATTAGATATTTTTGTTCTGTGGCAGTGTAATTTGGCCTGTTTAGGAAAAGGTTTTTATTTTTTGTGGATACATATAGAAGTTAAAAAAAAAACAAGAACAAAATATTGGTTTGATGGAGAAATCTTCAGTTATTATTAATCAAGTTGCCTTACATCCATGGGGCTTCCTTTATTTGCCTGACCTGTATACATATTTCTGTTAAGGGTGAAGCTTGTCATTAGAAATGGAATAATTGGTCTTTGTGGGGAAAGCTCTGAATTTGGAATAGCTGAACCGTATGAATTAGTGATGCTGATTCTCTTAAAGTCAACTGGAATGTCTTACAACACAAGCAAGTTTTTTGAGAAACATTGGATAAAACTGGCTCATAAAATTTTTAGATGATTTCTTTCAGATTTGGGGTATTTTATTTATTGTGAAGTTAAAATATCTTTTATCAAATACTGTCATGAAATATTTATCCCAATTACAGTCTATCATCATCTTATTTTTATCTTATGATGAAAAATGCTAGATGTCAACTTAAAATATGTGAAGAGTTACATAGCTTTACAACATTCTTTTGGGGGTTATGTAAGCAGAATATTTGAAGATCCTTGGACTAAGATATTTCAAGTAAAGGAGGCCCTCTCTTTTTGCATCCCTTTAGTTTCTTTCCTTCCCAAGAGCCAACAGCTAATTATAGGCACGCAATACACCTGGCTGGAATTCCAGGCTTTGTTGGTGAGAACCAAGTTTATTTCAATGGCATTTTCTTTTCTCTTTTCTCAGTGGTAGAGTTCCACTGTCATAAAGTCACAAACACATCAGTAGGACTCCAAAATCTTATATAAAGATGCATCTGGTTTCCGCAACCTTTCTCCCTGCAGCTTAAAAACCCCACTACTTGGTTTTGGAGCACTCACAGACCCCCTTCCTGCTTATTGGTGGGTAAATGAAAAATCATTCCAAATGACAAAGAGATAACTTTTGTTTCTTTTTTGATAACTTCAATTAGTGTTGGATTGAAAATCAAATGTGAGGGTCTGTAATGTTTTTGTAGACAAGATGAATCATTGGCATGTTGCTTTTTGTAGGGTGTCTATATCATTTTACATAGCACACTTTTAAACAAAAGCCCTCCCACGAGGCTGAAGCATCTGTCATGATATATGTTCTTCCAGATTTCTCCTGAGCCTGAGCTTCCCAAGACACATTGTGCCCCACCTTTCAAGGTATTTTTCCTACACAGGACTTAATTTGCTGGCGTATCTCCCTGTCAGGTCCTGCATATCATTCTCATTACTGCTGACTTTGGTTTTCTGGTCTTGGCCTGAGCTTGGAAAATTCCTAAGGGGAATGCTGTACTAATTCTTAGGCCAGAAATGAAATTCTAGCAAGGTCTGTTGCTCACCGACAGAGTCTGCAGTTCTTAGAAGATGACTGTAATTGTCTGTCAGGATTTAGGTGGGCTACGCTTCTCAAATCTCAAACCCTTGTCTCTCTCTTAATTCTAGGCCTGTATTTTTGTCTGACAAATAGGTTATGTTATTTTTTAAATTTATTTTTGTTTTTCCTGGGGCAGGCTCCATGGGGAAGCCAGCAAGTGTTCAGCACTCTGTATGACCAGGTAGGCAAGTCTGCCCAGTTCTTTTTTTATTTTTTAAATATGCATACTTGGCTGGGCACGGTGGCTCACACCTGTAATCCCAACACTTTGGGAGGCAGAGGCGGGTGGATCACCTAAGGTCAGGAGTTCAAGACCAGCCTGACCAACATGGTAAAACCCCGTCTCTACTAAAAATACAAAATTAGCCTGGCATGGTGGCACATGCCTGTAATCCCAGCTACTCGGGAGGCTGAGGCACGAGAATCGCTTGAACCCAGGAGGCGGAAGTTGCAGTGATCCAAGATCGCACCATTGCAATCCGGCCTGGGCAACAAGAGCGAAACTCTGTCTGAAAAATAAGTAAATAAATAAATATGCATACTTTTAAAAAATTCAATAGTTTTGGGGGTACAGGTGATTTTTGGTTACATGTATAAGTTCTTTAGTGGTGATTTCTAATATTTTGGTGTACCCATCACCTGAGCAATGTACACGGTACCCAATATATGGTCTTTTATCCCTTACCCCCAAACTCTTCCCCCCGAGTCCCCCAGAGTCCGTTATATCTCTCTTATGCCTTTACATCCTTATAGTTTAACTTCCGCTTATAAGTGAGAACATGTGATATTTTATTTTTCATTCCTGAGTTACTTCACTTAGAATAATGGCATCCAGTTCCATCCAAGTTGCTGTGAAGTTGGTTATTTCGTTCCATTTTATGGCTGAGTAGTATTCCATTGTGTATGTACTATGATGTCAAATTCAAGATCTCTTAAACAGAACTGCCATCTTTTTCCTTTAATACTTTTTGCATGGGTTGTTCTACCAGATGAAGCTTCCTGTCACGTCATCTTGCTCAAAAGTCTTCAATGATTCACCATTGTCTATAACATGAAATGTACATTCTCTTCCTGATATTCTAAGCCCTGACACTCCACCTAAGCTGGTTCATTTAATATTGCCCAAGCCAGCCTTCTACATAATTCCATCAGGTTTTTGGTCAAATGTTCCCAAGTTCTGGAATGTTCCATTTACCTTTCTCTCATTTTTTTCCTACAAATATTTAAATTGCTCTTCAAATTTAACCCATATATCTGTATCTGTATGGCTTTCCCCTAATTTCCTTGAAATCTCTGCTCAAATGTCACCATGAGTGAGGCTTTTCTTTAACATCCAAATTAATATTGCAACAAGTCACCCCTGCCTGCCTCTATACCTCCTATCCCCATTCCCTGTTTTATTTTCCTCCATGGCACTTATCATTATACATTGTTTATTTATTCATGTCTTGTTCATCTGTCTCCATGAGGGCAAGGCTTTTCATTAGCTTTATTTATTGCAATATCCTCAGCAACAGGAAAAGGTCCTGGCACGTAGTAGGCACATGATGCATATTTAAAGATGAAATAAGTGAATGAATGAACTCTGAAACTATTTAAGGGCACTTAGAATGTGTCAGGCACTCTCCTAAGCTCTGGAAAGGTGGTTATGAACCAAACAGAGTTCTTTTATTTTATTATTTATTTATTTTCACTAAGTACCCTCATCTGTATAGAGTTCTTATAGAAACTTGCAGTCTCTTGGGGAAAAAATGTGTTGACGTGTTTACCAAGTCCAAGTGGAGCATGGCAGAGGGAAGAGAAAGGGACCAATATTATTGAGCTCCTACTGTGTGCCAGGTGAGTTCATATATCTGGTCTCATTTAAGGCTCACAATGATACAATCTGCTAGGTTTTATTCTCAATTTTGCAGATAAGAAAATTGAAGCTCAGGAAAGTTCTCCAATCTTTTCCAAAGTTTTGTGCTAGTAGGTGGTTAAAATCAGAAGGAATTTACACCCACTTTTTCTGAGGCAAAAACCAGTATGCTTTCTGCTCTACTAGGTTGCCTTTCAAGTCGTTAGGAAACAAATATGTTTGGCTTAACCTGAGGAAGCCATCATGGAACAGAAGATATTTGAGTAATAAATGAGATGTTCACCAAAGTGGAGGAAAGATGGAAGGATACTCACCCTCTGTATAAACTTCTCAGCTCACTACAACTCACAGAACGCTCTCCCTTCTGACTTTCATTCACTTCTATAATGTAATACATTGATTCAATAAATATTTATCAAATACCTACTATATGCCAAGTAATGTTCTATATTCTGGTGTCACAGGAGTGAATGAAACAGGTATTTTTTTCCATGGAGTTTTCAGTGGGATATTGGGAGAAAATAGTAGATTTAGATTAGAGTTATGGCTTCATCATAAAGTCTCTAAGGAGGACCTCAGAGAGGTCACTTAGTCTCTCTGAATTTTGATTTTTAGGTTTAGAATAGGAGTAACTACCCATCTCAACAAAATATGTTGCTGTGAGGATCAAATAAGATGAAAATACTTTGAACTATGAAGCACTAGAGATTGTGTTTTAATAAATCTAAGATATCATTGATTTTAAGAAGTGCAATTATTTTATGTACCATTAAGAAGGAAAAAATTCTACCAATTATGACATGCCATTGATGTAAGACCTATCCCAATTTCAGAAATATCAAAATGTGCAAAAAATCATACATCTTAGAATTGTTGAAATATGGCATAAAAATCTATTATTATCATTCCCTATGGTATCTAGCATATGGTATATGTTCAGAGAGGAATGAATTTAGCAGGATACATTGGCATAGATGAATGAGATAGGGGATAGAATATGTTTCTTAGAGATTTTTAAGGCTCTTTCTATCTTTTTACCTAATTTTTTCTTCCTGGATAAAATCACTGCAGACATTTTTATGTTGTGGAATTTTAGAGCTCCAATCACCTCATTTCCCTTGTGGTCTCTTAAACAGAGACACAATACCATCCTGAACACTACCTCAAGTCACATAAAAAATTGTCAGACACCCCGAGTAGCCTAACTGGGAGGCACCCTCCAGTAGGGGCAGACTGACACCTCACACGGCCGGGTACCCCTCTGAGACGAAACTTCCAGAGGAACGATCAGACAGCAACATTTGCTGTTCAGCAATATTCGCTGTTCTGCAGCCTCTGCTGCTGATACCCAGGCAAACAGAGTCTGGAGTAGACCTCCAGCAAACTCCAACAGACCTGCAGCTGAGGGTCCTGACTGTTAGAAGGAAAACAAACAGAAAGGACATCCACACCAAAACCCCATCTGTACGTCACCATCATCAAAGACCAAAGGTAGATAAAACCACAAAGATGGGGAAAAAACAGAGCAGAAAAACTGAAAATTCTAAAAATCAGAGCGCCTCTCCTCCTCCAAAGGAACGCAGCTCCTCACCAGCAATGGAACAAAGCTGGACGGAGAATGACTTTGACGAGTTGAGAGAAGAAGGCTTCAGACGATCAAACTTCTCTGAGCTAAAGGAGGAAGTTCGAACCCATTGCAAAGAAGCTTAAAACCTTGATAAAAAATTAGACAAATGGCTAACTAGAATAACCAATGTAGAGAAGGCCTTAAATGACCTGATGGAGCTAAAAACCATGGCACGAGAACTATGTGACGAATGCACAAGCTTCAGTAGCCAATTCGATCAGCTGGAAGAAACGGTATCAGTGATTGAAGATCAAATGAATGAAATTAAGCGAGAAGAGAAGTTTAGAGAAAAAAGAATGAAAACAAATGAACAACGCCTCCAAGAAATATGGGACTATGTGAAAAGACCAAATCTACGTCTGATTGGTGTACCTGAAAGTGACAGGGAGAATGGAACCAAGTTGGAAAACACTCTGCAGGATATTATCCAGGAGAACTTCCCCAACCTAGCAAGGCAGGCCAACATTCAAATACAGGAAATACAGAGAATGCCACAAAGATACTCCTCGAGAAGAGCAACTCCAAGACACATAACTGTCACATTCACTAAAGTTGAAATGAAGGAAAACATGTCAAGGGCACCCAGAGAGAAAGGTCAGGTTACCCACAAAGGGAAGCCCATCAGACTAACAGCTGATCTCTCAGCAGAAACTCTAAAAGCCAGAAGAGAGTGGGGGCCAATATTCAGTATTCTTAAAGAAAAGAATTTTCAACCCAGAATTTCATATCCAGCCAAACTAAGCTTCATAAGTGATGGAGAAATAAAATCCTTTACAGACAAGCAAATGCTGAGAGATTTTGTCACCACCAGGCCTGCCCTACAAGAGCTCCTGAAGGAAGCACTAAACATGGAAAGGAACAACCGGTACCAGCCACTGCAAAAACATGCCAAATTGTAAAGACCATCGAGGCTAGGAAGAAACTGCATCAACTAATGAGCAAAATAACCGGGTAACATCATAATGACAGGATCAAATTCACACATATCAATATTAACCTTAAATGTAAATGGGCTAAATGCTCCAATTAAAAGACACAGACTGGCAAACTGGATAAAGAGTCAAGACCCATCAGTGTGCTCTATTCAGGAAACCCATCTCACATGCAGAGACACACATAGGCTCAAAATAAAGGGATGGAGGAAGATCTACCAAGCAAATGGAAAACAAAAAAAGGCAGGGGTTGCAATCCTAGTCTCTGATAAAACAGACTTTAAACCAACAAAGATCAAAAGAGACAAAGAAGGCCATTACATAATGGTAAAGGGATCAATTCAACAAGAAGAGCTAACGATCTTAAATATATATGCACCCAATACAGGAGGACCCAGATTCATAAAGCAAGTCCTTAGAGACCTACAAAGAGACTTAGGCTCCCACACAATAATAATAGAAGACTTTAACACTCCACTGTCAACATTAGACAGATCCACGAGACAGAAAGTTAACAAGGATATCCAGGAATTGAACACAGCTCTGCACCAAGGGGACCTAATAGACACCTACAGAACTCTCCACCCCAAATCAACAGAATATACATTTTTCTCAGCACCACATCGCACTTATTCCAAAATTGACCACATAGTTGGAAGTAAAGCACTCCTCAGCAAATGTAAAAGAACAGAAATTATAACAAACTGTCTCTCAGACCACAGTGCAATCAAACTAGAGCTCAGGATTAAGAAACTCAAGCAAAACCGCTTAACTACATGGAAACTGAACAACCTGCTCCTGAATCACTACTGGGTACATAACAAAATGAAGGCAGAAATAAAGATGTTCTTTGAAACCAACGAGAACAAAGACACAACATACCAGAATCTCTGGGTCACATTTAAAGCAGTGTGTAGAGGGAAATTTATAGCACTAAATGCCCACAAGAGAAAGCAGGAAAGTTCTAAAATTGACACCCTAACATCACAATTAAAAGAACTAGAGAAGCAAGAGCAAACACATTCAAAAGCTGGCAGAAGGCAAGAAATAACTAAGATCAGAGCAGAACTGAAGGAGATAGAGACACAGAAAAACCTTCAAAAAATCGACGAATCCAGGAGCTGGTTTTTTGAAAAGATCAACAAAATTGATAGACCGCTAGCAAGACTAATAAAGAAGAAAAGAGAGAAGAATCAAATAGATGCAATAAAAAATGATAAAGGGGATATCACCACTGATCCCACAGAAATACAAACTACCATTAGAGAATACTATAAACACTCTATGCAAATAAACTAGAAAATCTAGAAGAAATGGATAAATCCCTCGACACATACACCCTCCCAAGACTAAACCAGGAAGAAGTTGAGTCTCTGAATAGACCAATAACAGGCTCTGATATTGAGGCAATAATTAATAGACTACCAATCAAAAAAAGTCCAGGACCAGATGGATTCACAGCCGAATTCTACCAGAGGTACAAAGAGGAGCTGGTACTATTCCTTCTGAAATTATTCCAATCAACAGAAAAAGAGGGAATCCTCCCTAACTCATTTTATGAGGCCAGCGTCATCCTGATACAAAGCCTGGCAGAGACACAACAAAAAAAGAGAATTTTAGACCAATATCCCTGATGAACATCGATGCAAAAATCCTCAATAAAATACTGGCAAACTGAATCCAGCAGCACATCAAAAAACTTATCCACCATGATCAAGTGGACTTCATCCCTGGGATGCAAGGCTGGTTCAACATACGCGAATCAATAAACATAATCCAGCATATAAACAGAACCAAAGACAAAACCACATGATTATCTCAATAGATGCAGAAAAGGCCTTTGACAAAATTCAACAGCAATTCATGCTAAAAACTCTCAATAAATTAGGTATTGATGGGACGTATCTCAAAATAATAAGAGCTATTTATGACAAACCCACAGCCAATATCATACTGAATGGGCAAAAACTGGAAGCATTCCCTTTGAAAACTGGCACAAGACAGGGATGCCCTCTCTCACCACTCCTATTCAACATAGTGTTGGAAGTTCTGGCCAGGGCAATCAGGCAGGAGAAAGAAATAAAGGGTATTCAATTAGGAAATGAGGAAGTCAAATTGTCCCTGTTTGCAGATGACATGATTGTATATTTAGAAAACCCCATTGTCTCAGCCCCAAATCTCCTTAAGCTGATAAGCAACTTCAGCAAAGTCTCAGGATACAAATCAATGTGCAGAAATCACAAGCATTCCTACACACCAAGAACAGACAAACAGCCAAGTCCTGAGTGAACTCCCAAACACAATTGCTTCAAAGAGAATAAAATACCTAGGAATCCAACTTACAAGGGATGTGAACGACCTCTTCAAGGAGAACTACAAACCACTGCTCAATGAAATAAAAGAGGACACCAACAAATGGAAGAACATTCCATGCTCATGGACAGGAAAAATCAATATTGTGAAAATGGCCATACTGCCCAAGGTAATTTATATATTCAATGCCATCCCCATCAAGCTACCAATGACTTTCTTCACAGAATTGGAAAAAAACTACTTTAAAGTTCATATGGAACCAAAAAAGAGCCCGCATTGCCAAGTTAATCCTAAGCCAAAAGAACAAAGCTGGAGGCATCATGCTACCTGACTTCAAACTATACTACAAGGGTACAGTAACCAAAACAGCATGGTACTGGTACCAAAACAGAGATACAGACCAATGGAACAGAACAGAGCCCTTAGAAATAATACCACACATCTAGAACAATCTGATCTTTGACAAACCTGATAAAAACAAGAATCGGGGAAAGGATTCCCTATTTAATAAATGGTGCTGGGAAAACTGGCTAGCCATATGTAGAAAGCTGAAACTGGATCCCTTCCTTATACCTTATACAAAAATTAATTCAAGATGGATTAAAGACTTACATGTTAGACCTAAAACCATAAAAACCCTAGAAGAAACCTAGGCAATACCATTCAGGCCATAGGCATGGGCAAGGACTTCATGTCTAAAACACCAAAAGCAATGGCAACAAAAGCCAAAATTGACCAATGGGATCTAATTAAACTAAAGAGCTTCTGCACAGCAAAAGAAACTACCATCAGAGTGAACAGGTGACCTACAGAATGGGAGAAATTTTTGCAATCTACTCATCTGACAAAGGGCTAATATCCAGAATCGACAAAGAACCCTAACAAATTTACAAGAAAAAAACAACCCCATCAACAAGTGGGCGAAGGATTTGAACAAACACTTCTCAAAAGAAGACATTTATGCAGTCAAAAGACACATGAAAAAATGTTCATCATCACTAACCATCAGAGAAATGCAAATCAAAACCACAATGAGATACCATCTCATGCCAGTTAGAATGACGATCTTTAAAAAGTCAGGAAACAACAGGTGCTGGAGAGGATGTGGAGAAATAGGAACACTTTTACACTGTTGGTGGGACTGGAAACTAGTTCAACCATTGTGGAAATCAGTGTGGCAATTCCTCAGGGATCTAAAACTAGAAATACCATTTGACCCAGCCATCCCATTACTGGGTGTATACCCAAAGGATTGTAAATCATGCTGCTATAAAAACACACACACACGTATGTTTATTGCTGCACTATTGACAATAGCAAAGATTTGGAACCAACCCAAATGTCCAACAATGATAGACTGGATTAAGAAAATGTGGCACATATACACCATGACATACTATGCAGCCATAAAAAATGATGAGTTCATGTCCTTTGTAGGGACATAGATGAAGCTGGAAACCATCATTCTCAGCAAACTATCACAAGGACAAAAAACCAAACACCCCATGTTCTCACTCATATGTGGGAACTGGAGAATGAGAACACTTGGACACAGGAAGGGAAACATCACACAGCAGGGCCTGTTGTGGGGTGGGGGGAGGGGGAAGGGATAGCATTAGGAGATATACCTAATGTAAATGACGAGTTAATGGGTGCAGCACACCAACATGGCACATGTATACATGTGTAACAAACCTGCACGTTGTGCACATGTATCCTAGAACTTAAAGTATAATAAAAATATATATGTTAAAAAAAATTGTCAGACATTTTTACAAAGTGGCTGCACCACAAACAGTGTATGAGAGTTCAGGTTGTTCTGTGTTCTCTCAACATTTAGTGTGGTCAGTCTTTCCTTTATTTTAGCCATTCATGTGGGCAGTAGTATCATATTGTGGCTTTAATTTGCATTTCTCGTAATGTGGTCCATTATGTAAGAGAGAAATTAATTTCTTGCTTGTTTAATGTGTAAAATCTCTTAACAGAACTGCAATGTCCAGTCTCCTCTTCATGAAAACTTCGTATCAGGAAAAGTGGTGCTTTACTAGAAGAACTTTAAAAATCATATGAGTATTGCTAATTATGTAACTGAGCTCTCTCCCGCCTCTCTCTCTCCTCTCTCTTCATCTTCCTCTTCTGTCCTCCTCTGCCCACTTTTTGTTTTGGCTCTTAGGAAACTCAAAGGCAGATCTGTAGTTCTTCATTGTGTTCTAATATTGGCTTCATCCTTTTTTATCTGATCTTCATTTTCCTTTTCTTCTAACTCTTAACCTATCTTTCCCAACATTTTGTTATAAATTATTTATTTATTTATTTATTTATGTTTTTGAGACGGAGCCTTGCTCTGTCGCCTAGGCTGGAGTGCAGTGGCATGATCTCATGCAAGGTCTGCCTCCTGGGCTCATGCCATTCTCCTGCCTCAGCCTCACAAGTAGCTGGGACTACAGGCACATGCCACCACGCCCAGCTAATTTTTTTGTATTTTTAGTAGAGACGGGGTTTCACCGTGTTAGCCAGGATGGTCTCGATCTCGTGACCTCGTGATCCACCCGCCTCAGCCTCCCAAAGTGCTGGGATTACAGGCGTGAGCCACCACGCCCAGCTTGTTATAATTTTTTTAAATATCCAGAAAAGATAAAATGATTTCATAGTTAACACCCATATACCCACCATCTGCCTTCTACAATTAACCTATCTCTGTATTTGCTTTCTCACATAACTGTCCATGTAGCCATTCCTCTATTCAATCATCAACCTATCTTATTTTATTTTATTTATTTATTTTTTTGAGCTGCAGTCTTTCTCTGTTGCCCAGGCTGGAGTGCAGTAGCATGATGTAGGCTCACTGCAACCTCTGCCTCCCGGGTTCAAGCAATTCTCCTACCTCAGCCTCCTGAGTAGCTGGGATTACAGGCATCTGCCACCACACCCAGGTAATTTTTGTGTCTTTGGTAGAGACGGGGTTTCACCGTGTTGGCCAGGCTGGTCTTGAACTCCTGACCTCAAGTGATCTGTCCGCCTTGGCCTCCCAAAGGGCTGAGATTACAGGCATAAGCCACCATGCCCAGCCCCATATTATTTTTAAAATATATTTCAAAGGGAGCAGCAAACATCTATATACTTCACCCCTAAACATTTTAGTGTGCATATTATTAACCGGAGTGCAATATTTGGTTACGTAGAGTTCTTTTTTGTTTAGTGAGGTAAAATGACATACAGCAAAGTACGCATACCTTAAGTGTACCATTCAATGATTTTTTTTTGATTAATGGAAACATTTGTGTAACACAAATCTTTATCAGGACACAGAATATTACTATCATTCCAGAAAGTTTCCTCATGTCCCTTCTCTCATCCCTATAATCTCAGAGGCAACTACTGTTCTGATTTTTTTCCCCACCATAAATTAGTTTTGCCTGTTTTAGCACTTAATATAAATGAAATCACACTGTACGTGTATTTTTTGTTTGTTTGTTTTGTTTTGTTTTGTTTTTTTGAGACAGAGTCTTGCTCTGTCACCCAGGCTAGAGTGCAGTGGCGCGATCTCTGCTCACTGCAACCTCTGCCTCCCGGGTTCAAGAGATTCTCCTGCCTCAGCCTCCTGTGTAGCTGGGGTTATTGGTATGTGCCACCACGCTGGGCTAATTTTTGTATTTTTAGTTGAGATGGGGTTTCGCCATGTTGGCCAGGCTGGTCTTGAACTCCTAGCCTCAAGTGATATACCCACCTTGGCCTCCCAAAGTGCTGGGATTACAGGCCTGAGCCACCACTCATGGCCTACACACAGTATATGCTTTTATATGCCTTCTTCCACTCAGCATGTTTTAAAGATTCATCCACACTATTATATGTACTGGAATTTGTTTCTTTGTATTGTTGAGTAGTATTCTATTGTATGAGTATGCCTTAGTTTGTTTAGCAATTAAACCTGCTATGATGGTTTTTGTGTAAGTTTCTTTGTGGAAATGCTTGCGTAACTCTTGGCTATCTACCTAGGAGAGGAATTGCTGGGTCATAGGGCAGGTATGTGTTTAGTCACATAAGAAATTGTCAGACCTCTTCACAAAGTGGTTGCACTACCAACAGTGTATGAGAGTTCAGATTGTCCTGTGTTGTCTCAACATTTAGTGCAGTCTTTCCTTTATTTTAGCCATTCATGTGAGCAGTAGTTATCATGTTGTGGCTTTAATTTGCATTTCCCTAATGATTAACAATGTTGAGCATCTTTTAAAGTGGTTATGGGACATTTATGTATCTTCCTTAACGAACTGTTTGTTAAAGTCAATCCATGTTGGTTTTTAAAAATTTTTGAGATATAGGAGCTTTTTACACATTCTAGATATGAATTCTTTGTCATATGATTTGCAAATATTTTATCTCTGTCTATGGATTGCTTCTGTATTCAAATGTGACCTGTATTTGGATCTGTGTTCCCTTTGGCTTTGGCCTCATTATTCATGTTCCTGCCTCCTCAGTACAGTGAAAGGCTGCCATGCATTCACTTGCCCATAAGAATGATTAGCTTGTTCCTACCTGATTTTCTGGAGATGTGGGAAGAGACAGGAAGATGCTTACGTGGATGGTCTGTGGGTCTGGAGTGGTCTCAGTGGGCTTGATAGGCCTCCAGGGCTCATCTTCAGCACTTTGGAATAATATCTGTGCTCAACAACATTTTGAAAGTGGAGATGTTAGACTGTGATGAGCTCTAGAGACAGCAGAGCTGTGCTCCAGGTCTTTTGGTAAATTTGATTCATGGTTTCTCATTTCTGAATGAATCCCAGTTGCTAAGAGGAGGAAGCTTTCTTTCATTTCCTTCTAAACTGTGTCCCCTACCTTTCCTCCTCCTTGCTCAGCAAAGAGAATGGGCTTTGGAAACAGACTTTGTATGTATGTATTTAGTACATATTTATAATATATAAGTATTTTTTCTAGTTATAAAGTAATATAATCTCATTATCAAACATTTTGAGAATACACACATATATAGTTTTAGAAAATGTATACTCTCCCATGTCTTGACTGTGATGGCAACTATACAACTATATGCAATGGTCAAAACTCGTAGCACTATACACTAAAAGGGTACATTTTGTTGTATATAAATTGTATTTCAATAAACCTGACTTTAAAAAAAGTTCATTTAAAACAAAGTCTTAAATTTCTTCATTGATTTTAAATTAGTCCTTCCAGCTCCTCTCAAGCTTTCTTTTCCAATTTATCTCTTTTCTACATTATTGAGGCTTTTTACCTTTGTGATGCTGTTTTGAAAGCTTGTTTAGCTCTCCTGTAAATTGTCATACTGGATTCTTTGTTCCCATTCTCCCAACTTTGCTGCATATTTTATTCCCTTCAATTGACACTCTGTTGAGCTAGCCTCAGCTGTGCTTAACAAACAAAATGTATGGCTGTTTCACTTGCTCTTTTTGTGTCAGTAGAGGTCTGATCAAGGCAACTAATTATAGTGAGCAAGATAAGAAAAAAGCTGATCCTGAGTCGTTGTGTCGTGGTTAAACAGAACTCCTTTAAAATCTTCTAGGTTGTTGCTTCTACCACGAACATAGGACTTGGAACAATTTTTATGTTCAAAAATAAGTGTAACACAAGCCCACAGTGGAACCTGTTATAGTTATTTGTTGCAACTCCTTTAAAAGATGTTCAGCTATTTGAGGATATATGCTGATCATATGTCCTGAATTTTCCAGGACAGTCTGAATTTCAAATATTTCATGTCAAGTTCTCTCTAAGACACTCATATTCCATATAACAGACGATGTGTCTTGATTTGGGTTTATAAAATACAGTTGACAGATTAATAAATTTATTCATTTGTTATTTAGCTATTTTTCCATTCTGCAAGTATTTACTGAGCACCTACTACTGAGTGCCAGGCTCCATAGTAGGCTCTGGAGAAAGAGATAAATAAAATCATTTTCGAGAAGTTAATGTTGGGGATAGATAGACAGGCTAAGAAATGAGCTCAGTTCCTCCAGGGCATGATTGCATACAGGAAAAGCCCAAATCTAAGGCAATTCTTGTACAATATAATTTATTGAGAAAACTTTTCAACTTTATTGTGTATATGTATATATTTTATTTATTGAGAAAACTTTTCAACTTTATTATGTATATGTATATATTTTAATGATCTCATTAGACAACTATCTATAAAAATATTGAGTATTTACATACATGTATTATGTATACGTATGTGTTTTTTAATAGGAGATATCACACTCTATTCTCAGTGCTTTCGCTAGTATAGCTTTTAGTTAGAAATCTTCCTCTGACTAGCTTGACAACATTTCAATTACTTTCAATAACAGCTGGCATGTAATGAATTCTGCCAAATGTCAGGTGATTTGCACACACCCTTTCTAATGCTCATACAATTCAGTGGAGTAGGCATTGTTCGTTCTCTGCATTTTATAGACTAGGTGGAGGTGGGTTTTAGAGAAGGTGAGTGACTGTCCGGAGCCACCATCCCACTGGAGGTGGCAGGCAATCTAATCTGCCTCTGCCTGACTGAAAGCAGTGTGCTCTTCTGCTCTTCTCCAAACCACACAGCCCTCATTGTTGGCATGCTTTTAACTCTGTATCTGGGATGCATTTATTTAAATCTCTGCGGCCACTGGAAAAGAAAGTGAGAAAGAGGGAAGTAATTAGGATGCAGTTACTGCCAAAGCAACCCTTGTAATCCAATATTCTTGCTGCAGCCAGAGTGTTCCCTTTAAATGCCAGTTGGGCCATGCCTCTCCACTGCTCCAAACTTTTCCGGTGCTCCCATGAGTTTGAGGCACACCAGCCCATTCTTATTTATCCAGCCCCATGTAGTTGTACTTTCACCTGGAGCCACCCCAGCCACACAGGGCTCTTTTTGTCTTTTTCTCCCTCCTACGTGCTCTCTCCCACTCCCGGGCCCTTGCTCACCGTTCCTTTTGCTTGGAATACTCCCAGATGCCTTCCCCCCTTCTTACCCATCCATTTAACTCTGTCTCTGGCTCTCAGAACCCTGTGGCCCCCTTTAGAAAGCCTGTCCCTGCTGCGCCAACCCTCCTTACATATCCTCACATATGCCCCTGCATCCCCCTTCATGGAGGCCATTATTAGGTTGTAATTTACAGACAGATGCAATCGGATTATCTGACAATGTCTCCTCCAGTTCTAGGAAGACAGAAGACAGGAACTCTGCAGCTTTTGCTTACCTTATTCCAGGCCTTAGCACTGTTTGGACAAGAGGTAGGCATTCAAAAATAATTGTTGAAAGAATGAATCCTTCAGATCTCAGTCTTTCCTGTCACCCCCACTAGGTTAGGACCCCCTGTCCTACTCTCACAGGACCCTGAACTTTTCCTGTCTAGCCCAGTGGCTATATACTTGTCTGATTATTTGTTTATGTGTCTCCTCCCCTGAGGGTCCCATGGAGGCAGGGTCTGTGTTTACTTTCCCCACCATTTGAGTTTAGCACAGTGCCTGCAGAAAGTATGCCCTCAATAAATTTTTGTCGAATGAATGAGTTTGGGACTGACTGATTTAAAAGGGAGTGAATCAGAAGTCAGAGTGTAAATGTTACAAAAAGTGGCTCCTTATCTAGTAATTCAAACTGTATTAATTAATCATCTAGTAATATTATTAGCAAGTTCTAAGCTGAATAAAACATTATTGCTACAAACAATGGCTAATAAATCCCCTTCCTATAATAGAATCAGTTCTCTGGGCATGAAGGTAAATTACTTCTGTTCTAGGCAAAAGCTGATTTTCCAGGAGGTTAAGTTTCTGAAGTTCTCCCTTGCAGAACCCCTTCCCAGGCCCAGGCAATGTGTACACTGGGTCAGATGGTTTTTGTAAAATTGGCAAAAGGGATTTTAAATCACAATTACTTGAGGCCTCTGACTTTCCTTTTGTCATCTTGTGGGGGATTAGAGTGGCCAAGGGTATCCTGGGGCTCTGGCCAAGGGGAAGTTGAGTTGGGGACATATTTAGTTTGACTTTTGTGGGATACATTTATGTGATTCATAGACAATTCTGTGTATAGTTAAGTCATTTCTACTAGTCCCATTGTCAGAATGGCTTCTGGGAATACCCCTGCTTTCCACTGTGACAACTCACCTGGTATTGTGACACAAGGTGATGGCCAATATCAACAAGGATCCTTCTGAATCACATGCTTTGGAGCTGTAGGTGTGGAGTTATTGGTGGTGGCTTCTGTCTTATCCCTGTACTTCCTAATTTATTTTTTTCCTGAAAATGACCTTTTGGTCTTCACTCCCCCAGTCCATCCAATAGCGGTGTCAGCCTCTGATTCCCTGCCTTATCATCCTTTCAGGTATCATCTGAAATACCCGGAGGGACTTCTCTTGTGGATGAGAGGGGTACAAACGCTTTGCTTGTGGCATCAGCACAATCTCCATGGCAGAGACATCTCACTGGGCACCTTCCGTGCAAGTCACCCCTCCCTGCTTCCTTGTCCTTTTGATATCACCTGTTGGAATGTGACTCTTAGAATCCATAGGCCAAAAGGCTTGCTGCTCTCTCTTCAAGATTCAAAACAAATCTTCAAAACTGTGCCCAGAAAAAACATTATAGTAATAAAAGGAAGATAACAGAATGAGAAGGAGGCAGAGAGAGAAGAAAGGGGGAAGAATATTAAGGATGGGGTTTAAGAAGATTAGGGAAAATGATGATGATGGTAGTAGATGGATGGTTGAGAAAGATGCAGAAAAGAAAACAAATCTGAGATCTTCCTTTGCCAGCTATGCATGTGTGGATTCGGGTCACAATAGGACACTAATGAGAATCCTTATCCAGAGTTGGTTTCATGTCAGGTGCTAAGGTAAGGACATCACATGCATCATCTCTCACCTGGATCATGGTAGTCGTTTCTTAATTGGTTTCCTTGTCTCCACCCTTACCCTCCTTAAGTGTATTCTCAACCCAGCAGCCAGAGAGATTCTATTAAAACACGTGTCATGCCGTGCCACCCTTGTGCTCAAAACCCTTCAGTCTCCTACTCTCTGACCTCATTTTCCTCCACTGTGCTCCACCTTCGGTTGACTCCAGCCATACTCACTGTTCCTCAAACATTCAGGCTTGCTTCTGCCTCAGGGCCTCTGTGCAGACTGTTCCCCCTGCCTGGAAGGCTGTCCCCCTGGTGCCTACCTGTCACTTTCATGTCCATAGAGTCACCTTATCACTCAGGCTCTTGGTCACTCCATCTAAAATGAAAGCTCTCCCCAATGCTGCCTAGCTCTTTCCTTGTAACATGATATATAATTATATATAATTAAATATATACATGATATCTATTTTTTTTTTTGTCTATCTTTTTCCTCTGGAATGTAAGCTCTAGGGCAAAGATTTTGTTTGCTCACTGCTGTATCCCCTGTTCAAGGATAGTGCCTGGCACATAGTAAGAGTATACTAAATATTTGTTCAACAAATTACTTCATGAGGTAAGGAGGTAGGTGCTGTTTTTTTTTTTTTTTTTTTTGAGACAGAGTTTTGCTCTTGTCACCCAGACTAGAGCGCAGTGGCGCAATCTTGGCTCACTGCAACCTCTGCCTCCTGGGTTCAGCTATTCTCCTGCTTCAGCCTCCCGAGTAGCTGGGATTACAGGTGCCCGCCACCACCCCCGGCTAATTTTTGTATTTTTAGTAGAGATGAGTTTTCACCATGTTGGCCAGGCTGATCTCGAACTCCTGACCTCAGGTGATCTACCTGCCTCGGCCTCCCAAAGTGCTGAGATTACAGGCGCGAGCCACCACGCCCGGCTGGTGCTATTATTAAGCACATTTTATAGATGATAAAATTTGGATTTACAGGTGTAAAGTAACTTGCCCAAGATCGTATGGTTAAGTGAAAGAGCAAATGTTGAACCCAGCCATGGCTGTTTTTTCTTTTTTCTTTTTTTTTTTCTGATGGAGTTTTGCTCTGTCTCCCAGGCTAGAGTGCAGTGGCGCGATCTTGGCTCACTGCAATCTCTGCCTCTCAGGTTTCAAGCGATTCTCCTGCCTCAGCCTCCTGAGTAACTGGGATTACAGGCGTGTGCCACCATGCCTGGCTAATTTTTGTATTTTTTTTAGTAGAGATGGGATTTCACCATGTTGGTCAGGCTGGACTCGAGCTCCTGACCTCATGATCTGCCCACCTCAGCCTCCCAAAGTGCTGGGATTACATGCATGAACCACTGCGCCCGGCTAAACCATGGCTGTTTTTAAAGCCTGTGCTCATAAACACCTCACTGTCACATGGTCTTCCTCTTGCTACAAGCAGCTGAGCTTAGTATAAGAAAATAGCATTTCTCACACCAGTCTTTCTTTATGGTTAACCAGACCACTAGACCTTCAGACGGCCTTCGTGGGTTGCAGGTTGAGTGTTTGTTGACAGAAAGGGATAAAGAACAAAGTCATAATGCATGTGATATATGGGGAAGTGAAAGAACAACTTTAAGTCCATTTGGTTAAGAATAGGAATATGAACTTATGAGGCCAACCCCACCTGGGGTTTCTGGCGTGGGAAGGGGCTGCCTCATCAGTGCAGGGTCACCCATAAGCAGGCATGGGCACTGGCAGAGCAGGGGCACCAAAAGAATCCCAGTACCATTACATGGGTGATGTTGGCTATTTGATATTTTGAAAAACATCTAAAATGTGTCATTGTAGGAAAAACCAGAACTTTGCTGGACTTCTTTACAGGCATGTGCATGATGGCATTGTTTCCTACATTAAATTACGTATGGAAGCACCATCAACTTTGCAGTG
This sequence comes from Homo sapiens, assembly GCF_000001405.40. Classification (NCBI taxonomy): domain Eukaryota; kingdom Metazoa; phylum Chordata; class Mammalia; order Primates; family Hominidae; genus Homo; species Homo sapiens. The sequence goes on along the minus strand of NC_000007.14, from coordinate 35,730,196 downwards.
CCCAGAGTCTCTGAAGATCTTAATCTGGCCCTGCCGATCATGGTTGATGGGGCAGTGAACTCATTTCATCTATCATATACTTTCAAATATGTGTGTGTGTGTGTGGGTGGGTGGGGGGTTCCCATTATGTAATAAGAGGTAAATGGGATAAGAACAGTTTCTGTGTAAATCCTTGAGGAATAATAGTGGTCTTTGGGGAAGGTTGGTCTAATTCAGTTATTAACATTGGGGTTAGTGTTCTGAAAAGCTCCTATTCCTCCTTCAACACTTTCCCTGCGGTTACCTTTGTGAAGCTTTCTTTTCCCAGCTCCCTGCTCTTGCTTCCCCCAGCAATTATCAACTCCTCTTCTGTGCCATAGGTATTATATTTATCACATTGCATCATGCTCCCTTTTATTCACTTCTGATTCCCTGTGAGGCTCAGAGCTCCTGGAAATATGTCTCTTGTTCATTATCTTATCTCATTCATCTTTGTATCTAGCACAGTCCCTGAGACCTGCTGGAGGCTCTGAGATTATGCCACAGACAGTTTAAAACCAGACTCTGGAGGCTAGGGGAGTTTCTAAGAAAAAGATGTCCTTTGGTGACTCCGCTTTTAAGACATGTCAGGTGTCTAACACTGGCCCCCCAGCAGGACAGATGAGCTTGATTGCCTCTAGAGCTTCTCATTTCTCCTCACAGCTTTTCTGCTAGGCTGCTCGGTGACTCACAGCAGGAAGAGGAGGCATTGGTGCTAAACTGTCCCCTAACACCTCCTCCACCATGCCCCAAAAAACCAAAAATGACAAAAAAAAAAAAAACTAGCTGAGATACTTTGGGTTGCCGGGCCCATCACTTTCTGCTTTTCAGTTCCTTATTCTGTAGAAGTCATGAGTTGAAATGGGAGACCTAAGTTTCCTTCAGGCTGTAAACTCTCTGAGTCTTTGATACTACTGCTGGGCAATGGTCATCTCATACTCCTGCCCTCCTCCCACTCTGCAGAGCAGATCAGGCCTGGTTCCCAAGGAACAAGACCTGCACCCACCCCAGCCCCTGGGCTGCCCTTCTGTAGCATGTCTTTCCTTGCTGTCTGCCTCTGTGCTCTCCTGCTGTACCTTTCATTCTGTGGATCAAGCCTGCTCTCAATGGCCATTTTAACCAGATTTTATCTCTGTAAAAATGGTAAGTGATAAATTTAGAACATTACATATACCATGATGCTATTTATGTGTTTTATTTTCAACTTCATGTGCTGGCCTTTTGTCTGCTTGCTCTCAGATCCATTCCAGACCATCCTCTATCTGGGCTTTGTATCCTTGGGAACTACATTTTCCAGGCTCATTTCCAGACTGGCTAAGGAGAGCCAGTGACAGACACTGGAGAATGAGAGGAGGGAAGAAGACAGGTTATGTCTCCCTTTCTCCCTGCTTCACATGGTGTCTGATAGGTTTCGTCCATGTCTCCACCTACTGTCAGATAGCCTCTTCCTCTACTGCTCCAGATTTAGCTGGAAGTGCTGCCATGGTCCCAGATTCTTCCAGTTGACCCAAGCTCCTGGGCTCTGGTAACTCTGCTTCCTCCCTCTGTCCCTCCAGCTCCAGGGTTGATAGTGGCTTCCTGCTGTTCTGTGGCCACTGAACTCCCCCACCATCTCTGTTAAATTCCCTCTGCTTGCAATGTCATATCTAGCACTGCTCTGCCTTCTGATTGCACTCTGACTAAAACACTCTGAATGTATGTGCACAATGTATATATGTGCAAAAACACAAATATATGAGTATTCATCTGAATATACATGTATGAAAGCACATAATGTATGAAGATATGTACATGTATGAAAACACACAGAAGAAGATCTAGAAGTTTACACATGAAACTGTTAAGAGTGGAGTGTGTGTCTGGGAAAGGAATGGGACTGGGCTGGTGTGGAGTTGTGAAGGAGGATCGCGGCTTTTTAAAAAGTAGCTTTATTGTGGCATCATTTACATATAAAAGACTATAGCTTTTATATGAGTTTGATTTTTTTTACAATGAACTTGTATTCACATGTTGCTTATATAATATGAAAAATAACTAGTTAAAAATATTAACAGCAGGAGTGGGCAATATATCAAGTGCTTTAGCCTAAGCTGTAATCCATGTAGGGAAAGCTCTGCAGAGATGCTGACATTCATAAATGTTACTATTTACCATGTTCCAGGCACTATGCTAGGCCTTGAAGGGCTATCAATATGGGCATGATCCCTCTCTGTGTTATCTGCAATAATTAAATACACAATTTGTGTCAACCTTTACTCATTATGAAGAAGTAAAGAGGGCAACACCAGGCCTAGTCTAGTCAGTGTAGGCTCCCTTGAGGCCATGACTCACCAGCTAACACCCAAAAGTTGAGTAAAAACAGCTTAGTTACTGGAGGGACATGCACAGGCAGTAGGGGACAGTCAAGCTGAGCTGATGCTGATTGCTTCCCTGGTTCCTGTGCTCAGGGAAGCTGTTCTAACAAGAGAGAGTTCTTTAGAAAGTGTTTCTCATTGGAACCTGGTGGGGGTGTGGGGGTCGCCAGTCTATTGGAAGTGTGTGTAAATTATGGGAGGAGTCTGTGAGGGCTGTCGCCATGCCTCCCACAGTGCTGGACCCACTGTCTGTACCCCAGGTGGCTCTCGCCTGAGAGGGGGAAGCCAGTGGCATGCATCTTGCAGTGATTGACAAGGCTGCTTGGAGGTGGCTCAAAAACTAAGGACACTCTGGAATCAACAATGATGCCAAAGGTGCTGATGTCCATCAACCCCCTCATCCTTTGATAGGAACAACTGACATTTTTCTCAGTCTTTAGTATAGTAGTGTGCAATGTTCAAGACAAGTCCTTTGTTCAGCTTCCATCCATATTTCCAGCCATAAGTTCTCCTTGAAAAGAAATGCTGAACCTTGTGGTTAAAAGGTACCCATGGCGCAGGCTTCATTCTTCCAGAGCTTGTATTTTTCCTCTTTTTTGCATAATTCAATTCAAATGTTTTTTGCTTGAGTCTTGGTTTTCCAAATTTATAGATGTTTCAGCTATGGCTGTCATCCCCTTATTTTATTATAAGTCACCAATCTCCTTATTTTATTGTAAGCCACCCATTTTTTTCATGAGATTAGGTTACTCACAAAGTAGCCCATTAATTGCAATTATAGTTTAATTACAGCATGTCCAGGTCTCTCCAGACCATATAAAATCAGGTTACATTTCCTTTTGATGTCCAAATTACAAAGGTAACAACATACTCTTAGCTTGACCTCAGTGTCCTCCAGCTATTTCTGGGCGTCTCCAATGGGGTGTGTCATTCGTGTTTATAAACCAGCTGCCATAACCGCATGGATCCACCTGGTCCTTTCTCTCCTGCTCTGGTTCCTCCAGGTCTGCTTTCTGCAGGGCCACATGGAAATCCTCAGTGTTGTCACAGCCCATCATGAAAGCAGTGCTGATTAAGCTCAAAACACAGTCCTGCCCTGTGCTGCCTGGTGGGGGTGAGGGAAAGCTGGTCCATTGGAAGTGTGTGAGATTCTGGGAGGAGTCTGTTAGGGCGGTTGCTGTGCTTCCCCCAGTGCCGGACCCACTGTCCATACCCCAGGTGACTCTCACCTAAGAAGAGGAAGCTAGTGCCATGCATCTTGTAGTGGCCTGCCAGCCCAGCCAGTCCTCAGGTTGTCAAAGCAGAGGGGGTTTTATGCACAAGCAGGGAAAATGGCCTCTCATCTCAGCACTGAGCTACACTTTGTCACCTGGGAGCTGAAGCAATGATGCTTGGAACTGAGAACCATAAAGGGTTTTTTGTGGACAGTTTCCCTGCTTTCTGGCTCTTATGCATCTAACCATTGGGGTCTAAAACCAAATCCAAAGAGCTAGGAAGGAAGAGAATCCATACCATCCTTCCAACCTCCTCCTCTTGGTTCTTAGCTCTCTCAGCAACACTTGGTTCTACTCCCCAGGTCACAAAGCAAAACTTCCCAACCATATCAACAGAGACAAACAGATACTCTTGTGTCTGTGAGAGTGTAGGTGTGCTGATGGGTGTCTACACTAACAGTCTACAATTAGGTTTGACTGGTCAAAATATATTTTATGTGCTACTTAATAGTTTTAATTCACTCTAATAACTGAAATATCTGGTTTTAAGTAGATTCTGAAGAGAAATGCTCCACATTACAGTGTCTTTCCCTAAAAGATAGAACCTACATACACATTGGCCGGGTGCGGTGGCTCACGCCTGTAATCCCAGCACTTTGGGAGGCCGAGGCGGGCAGATCACGAGGTCAGGAGATCGAGACCATCTTGACTAACACGGTGAAAACCCATCTCTACTAAAAATACAAAAAATTAGCCGGGCGTGGTGGCAGGCGCCTGTAATCCCAGCTACTCAGGAGGCTGAGGCAGGAGAATGGCATGAACCCGGGAGGCGGAGCTTGCAGTGAGCCGAGATAGCGCCACTGCAGTCCGGCCTGGGTGAAAGAGCAAGACTCCATCTCAAAAAATAAAAATAAAAATAGTAAAAATAAAAAAAAAATAAAAAAAGAACCTACATACACATTGATGTCATGTAATTCACAGGAGCTGCACAGGTGAGAACCTGTTTGTTGTGGGAAGAAGCAAGAGCTCCTCCCCACTTCCCGTGCAGGGCTGGGGTACGCAGCTGCTGTTTAAGAGCAAGGCCTGAGGTCTAGCAATGTTCTTGCCCATGTGAGGCCTGGTTTTGCCTCAAAGTAGAACTTCTGAAACAGAAAGTTTCCTTATCTCCCTGGCAGGACATGCGACAGATGTGCGGCTCGCATGTTCAGTGTCCCACTGCTCAAACCCCTAGGGGGAGCATGCAGACAGGTCGTGGGGAGCTCCGGACAACTGACATTTTTCTCAGTCTTTAGTAGAGTAGCATGCGGTGTTAAAGACGAGTCCTCGGTTCATCTTCCATCCATATTTCCAGACATAAGTTCTCCTTGAAAAGAAATGCTGAAACTTGTGGTTAAAAGGTACCCATGGAGCTCCGACCTCACAGCAGTGCCTAGGGTTGAGTATTTACAGCTCCTGAAGCCCCAGTGGGCATGTGTTACAGTGTGCTCTTTCAGTTTTGCCGTCTGCAGGCAACTTGTGTTAACCAGCTCAATTAGACCCTCTGCCGTATGACAAGGACAGAGGGCCTCTGTATCCTCAGTTCTTGCCCTAGCGTACCGGAAAGAATCGGATAACATGTAGGCTTGGAAGATCGGTGCAAGGTTTTATTGTGTGGTGGAGGTTGCTCTCAGCAAGGTGGATGGGGAGCCAGAAGGGGGATGGAGTGGGAAGGCGGTCTTCCCCTGGAGTCAGGCTGTCCAGCGGCTGGACTCTCCTCTGACTGCCCCGACCGAATTTTCTGCATCGTCTTGCCTCAATGGCCTGCTGTTGTCTGCTGGTGTCTGTCGGTGCGCTCTTCTGCTCCTCTGCTCCTCTCAACGTCCAACTGCTTGTGTCCACGCCCGCTAGGGTCTCAGGGTTTTTATGGGCACAGGATGGGGGTGTGGCAGGCCAGAGTGGTCTTGGAAAATGCAACATTTGGGCATGAAAACACGGGTGCCTGTTCTTACTTAGGTCCATGGGCACAAGCCTGAGGGTGGAGCCCTCGCCAGGAACCCCACCCTTGTCTACCCAGCACTTCCCTGGCCACCTCCTGTGTCACTTCTACTGTTTCCTGGTGAAAATAGTAACACTGAGAATGAGTTGGGGTGGAACATTGACCTCTCAAAACATTTATCATTTTCTCATGTAACAATGATGGTGTCATTTCCTGTTAGGGGCATTGGGGAATAAAAACACTTTTTAAAAAGTATAAAACATTCTCTTTGGAAATTTACAATAAAAAAAAAACACGATTCTTTAGTGAGTACTTATCCAGGCACTATTTAATTTACACTCAACATGGAGCCTATCAGTCAATCGTCATATAAGGTAGAAGCTACCATAGCTTCATTTTACGAATGAAGAAACTGAGGTGTAGACAAGTTGAGTAGCTCACTCAAGGACACAGCAGAGTCAAGATTCAGACCTGGATATCCCGATTCCGGGAGCTTTGCTCTTACCTGATGCACTCTTCCCCTCACCTTTAAGAATTTGAAGACTGTTGCCAGTCAGTTCATCAGATTCCCCTCAGTATGTATTTGAACACAGCACAATCTGTAAGTTGGTGTAAAAGCAGTCATTGACTGGCAAGAATTCTAAGGGTAATCTCATCAAATTACAATGCTCATCTTTCTGAGTAGAAATTTGGGTTTAAAGCTTTAAATTCTTAAAAAATAATACAGCCTCTAAAAAAACCCTACCACTGGTTATATTTATATCTACTTGTGTTATGATATAGAAACTTAGTTTCATAAGTAACTGCCAACATGTTTCCCAAAGTGGCTGTACCATTTTGCATTCCCACCAGCAATGAATGAGAATTCCTGTTGCTCCTCACCCTTGGCAGCATCTGGGGTTGTCATATTCTGGATTTTGGCCATTCCTATAGGTTTGTGTAGTGGTATCTCACTGTTGTTTTAATTGGCATTTTCCTGATGACATATGATGTGAAGCATCTTTTCATATGCTTATTTGCTATCTGCATATCTTCTTTGATGACATGTCTTGTCAAGATCTTTTGCCCACTGTTCAAATGAGTTGTTTTCTTATTGTTGAGTTTTAATAGTTTAAATGTAGAGAGAAATAGATGATGTTTGTTTACTAGAGTAATCAAGATATAATCATTTTAAGAGCTAGTTGATAGCAAATATAAGTTATTTGCTCTAAATTTGATAATATAGAAATCTATCTCTAATATAATAATAATAGTGAGAGACTGTATTCTTGTAGGGAAATTTTTTCTAAAAAGCGTGGTAAAGCTCTGATGATTCTATAATAGGTTCAAAGGATTGGATTTGTTAGATGTTGATGATGTTGATGGGTTGCTAGATGTTAGATCATGACTCATGATCTAACATCATCTAACACAATCTAACGTGATCATCGTCATGACTCATGATGAGAGAGAGCACAGCATAGTGGTTAAAAGTATGGATGCTGGCGTTCAAGTCCCAGTATTGACACTTATTATTTGTGTGACATTGGGCAAATTACTCAATCAGTGTGGCCTCAGTTTCCTAACCTGAGAAATAGGGAGTACAATATTACCTACCATTGTGGACTGAATGTTTGTGTCCCCCAAAATGCATATGTTGAACCCCTAACCCCCAATGTAGCTGTATTTGGATATGGATATGGTGGCTCTAAGAAAGTAATTAAGGTTGAATGAGGTGTTAAAGATGGAGCCCTGATCCCATAAATTAGTATCTTCATAAGAAGAGACACCAGAGAGCTCACTCACTCTGAGGAACACAGAGGAAAGGCCAGGTGAGCACACAGTGAGAAGGCAGCTGTCTGCCACCTACGAGGAGAGCCCTCACCAGACACCAGCTCTGCTATACCTTGGTCTTGAACTTCCAGTCTCTGGAACTGTAAGAAAATAAATGTTCGTTGTTTAAGCCACCTAGTCCATGGTGTTTTGTTATGGCAGCCCAAGCTGACTAATACCTGCCTTGCAGGGCTGTTGAAGGATGAAATGAGTCAATACACATGAAACGCTTTGCACAGTGTCTGGCACATGGGAAGCACTATATAAGTGTTAGCTGGAATTGCTGACCTCAGATCTGTAGATCTGGGGTTTGAGAATTGGTGATGTTTTGCACAAGTGTGATATACATAATTGTACTGAGTTTTGAAAAACATATTTGAATAACTAATTTTAAATTAATTAAGTGGGAAAACATTTTCATTCTAAAGTCAACCCAGTCGGATGAGAGTAAACATACCAATCTAGGTTAGGGCCAACATCTCATGCCTTCCTCCTTTCCTCCACTTCTCCTCGGTTCCCTCTTCCCTGGATATAACCTCTACCCAACGATAAGCAAGTTGTAATGGGTCTCTGGGGAAAGAGAAGACAGAACAGGAAATGTCTGCATAGATAGGGGAAGCCTGTAAAATGCAGATGATGGTTGTAATTTTAGGAGTTCAAATATAAATGGCATCGAGTTGAACTCTAATTTTAAAATAGTAGAGGCTAAAATGCTTAAATGTTAGTCTTTAAATGATTTTTTTCCTTTTATTGTATTTGACTTGTACATATTTGGATCCTTAAATCTTTAGATAACTATCATAAAAGTCAATTTAGGATGGAAGAATTATTTTCTGTGAAGGGTCAGGGAACCATGGACAAAGAAACAACTGCTTTAGATAAATATTAAAATATACTTTCAGTCCCAAAGTATCACCTTAAAGGGGGAAGAGGAAGAAAAGCTGGACAAGCAGGAAGAAAGAGGGAGAAATGTAAAGAAAGAGAAAGGAAAAGAAATAGAAAAAGAAGAGAAAGGAGGAAATAGAAGCAAGGGAATAAAAAGAGCGTTATAATAAAATTTGGTTCTATAGGTTTTGAGGGGTTTTTGTCAAGGTCATTTGTAAAGTTCCTCCAGCGGAAAGGAACAAGAATTTTCTGCACCTTTTTAAAATGTAGATGAACTAATTGGCAAGTGTTTATATGGCTTCCACTGTCCCCACCCTGGGAAGAACAATTTTTGGCCTGCCTGTGTGACAGATATCCTGGCCCTCCAGATTTGGAGATGTAGCACTCGGTCTAGTTTTAGCAGTAAGATTTAGACTGGTGAATGACTGTCCCACTTCCTCCTTCCTCAAATGCATGGATAGGTAAGACCTTCCCTGAGCTGGGGGATTCCATCTGGCCCACCTCTTGCTTCCCTGGGCTAGAGACTCTGCAAGCTGCTGTCTCCACAGGGCTTAGGTCCTGATAGAAACCAACTGAGAGACAGTGGCATTTAGGACTATACATGTGGGCATATGTCGGACACAGAGAATGACTAAGAGAGATATCTTTAGCTCCCTTCCTGTCTTCTTCAGGCTCCCATCCAGCAAGAATATACCCTTCCAGGTTTTTATAGTTTGGGAGTAGAGAATGACATTTTTTAATTAGTTCAATCAATATTTATTGAGCATATACTATGTTACAGGCAATGTGGATACAGATAGGCATTGGAGAAAATGTCAAAGTTCCTGCCTCCTTGAGTCTGCAGTCAGGAAGGCAATAAATATCCCTTATTTGGGCAATTTTGTACTCTTCCAATATGTGACCAAATATGGGCACATCTTCCAATACACAGACTGACCCCTGTCCCCTTTATGTAAATAAAGAAAGAAATCTTTGATGACCAGGAAATAATCTGAAAGGCAATTGTTCATGTTCTCATTTGTAAAAAGACTTTTAAGGGGTTGGGTGTGGTGGCACATGCCTGTGATGCTAGCACTTTGGGAGGCTGAGGCAGGAGGATTAGAAGCCCAGGTGTTCAAAACCAGCCTGGGCAACACAGTGAGACCCTGTCTCTACCAACCAAAAAAAAAAAAAAAAACAAAAATAAAAACATAAAATATCTTATTTAAAAAATAAGTCTTAAATATTATTTCACTTTAACTCAACCCTCATGCAGTCAAAGCAAAACAAAACAGAAAATTTGCTAACCTTTAAACCCAGGACAGGATCTTTTACAAGGGCAGCCCTTGCAACCTCCTGGGAGAAAGTTCATTCTCTGGGTTTCAGCTATAGCAGCCTCTCTCCCTTGCTTCTTACTTAGTTCTAAGTTCCTGGATCAGTGTGGCATGCTGGACCCATTGTCCTCGCGGTGTGGAATCAGAAGCAAGCTGTAAAAGCGTGTTCCTTCTGGTTGTTCTGGTTGCTTTGGAGGCTTTCCATCTTCATCACCTTCTGAACTGGCCTGAAGCTTTACAATGGCTCCTTGGTGAGGGGTTGCCTATTAATCACCCCATCTCTGCTCTTACTCACTGGCAGAGCACTGATTATGTTCAGGCATAACAACCCCCACCCCCATTCTCCTCCATCTAAGGATAATGGCAATCTCTCCCTCCTGGCCAAGTGATCCACTTAAACAGGTGTTTGTGACTTGTTCCACAGTTAAGTAAGTGGGTCAAGAGAGTGGCAGAAAGGCCTGCAGGTTTTTCCTTGCCCTTAAAATGAGACTTATGAAAAGAGATACTTTTTGTATCTGCATACTTTTTGCATTTGCATTTTGCATGGCATGATAGCAGCCACCTTGCAACTACCTTTAAGCCAGCTGGAGGACGAAACTGATAGGCTGAGGATGGCAGGGTAGAAAGTGGGAAAGAATTTGGGCCCTTGATTATCAATCAAGCTGCTGAATCAACTGACCCTAGGACTACCCTACTCAAGATGTCTCATTATATAATACACTGTATTTTCCTTTGCTTAAATCAGTTGAGTCAGTATCTTCCAGTATGCGTGACTGGATGCCTCCTGATACACCTGCCTATGTCCACTAATACGGGCACCAAAGAATCTCAGATGGTGGTCATGGGTAGGTTTCTGTTTGGCTATTCTGCAATTTCAGGAGAAGGAAAATGACAGGATAAGAAATTAATGCTGTTAATTGTAATCAATTGTTAATTAAATTTTTATTTTGAGATAACTGTAGATTCACATGCAGTTGTAAGAAATAAGGCAGAGATATCCCGTATACCCTTCAAACATTTTCCCCCAATGGTAACATCTTGCAAAACTATAGTACAATATCACAATGTTGATTTCTACCCCTCTACCTCACTTCAGAGCATATCCATGTATATACATTTTATATTTTAGGCTTCATAAATTCCTAGTTTAAAAACAGTTTACTTGGATTGAACTTTGTACTTTTCCAAGGCATTTTCTAGTCCACTATTTCTCTTAAGGCTTAAAACATCTCTGACTAAGTGAACAAACAGATGAACAAATGAAACAAACATCTATACAATCAGAAGTTAAGGGAGGTTTGAAATAGGCACTGCCACAGAGTAACTGTTAGAGAAGGAGTTCCATGGTACAAACTTTGCACTCTCCATCTACGAAAGGTGGCAGAGTCCTTGAAGTGTTTTTCCTCTCTCCAGCCAGTCCCCACCACTACTGATAATTAAATCCTTCTTGTCAAAGGACAGGACTGGTTCTGGAACAGGTGATTTCAACATCGTGGTGAGTAGTATTATGGAAGCTGGCAAGCACTGTATAAGATGGATCCTTTTGTGCTCATCACCTGTCACGCAAAAAGGTTTGTTATTTTGTGATGATTTCCATGAAATCTCATGGGCTCTATTGGGGGAAAGTTACAAAGCAAGAATTAACAAATAAAGATAAGAGATGGGCCAAAGTTATCTATTGGACACACCATCGGTGGGCATTCCTTGTCCCCTTGCTGCTCTCCTTCTTATAGGGCAAGAGTGAGAACAACCTAGTGGGTGGGAGGGTAATCAGACTTATTGAGTAACATCAGTGTGGGGTTAGACACCAGCTCTCTGAGTTGCCTGGGAAAGTCAACTTTCAGCACCTGAAGGCACTGGGGTCTGTGGAAGGGAGAAACTGGTCTCATGAGCAGTTTGGACGAACCCCTCCTGTGGGGATAAGGTTGGGGGCCTCAGGTGCCAATTGGCTTGTTATCCAGACAATGCAGGTGAGCCACCTAGGTCAGTTGTTGCCAATCCTGATTGTGGCAGGGTACATTTTATTCATCTTCAGATCCCCAGCTCTTAGCACACAGCCTGGCATATGATAGGTACATGAACAATGTCTGATAATGTAATGATTGAATGTGCTTTTGTGCCAATTAAAAACAAGTAATTTGGGTTTTGCTCATGGAAGGAGAGGAGGGCTAATAATAGACATTGTTGCCTACATTTCTTGAATCCCTGAAAGACGGTATACACATTCTGCCCTTACTTTGGTAAAACCTCTCTGAAGAGTCCACAACTCTATGAGGAGGCTTCCTGGTTCAAGCAATATTTTTATTGAATTTTTACTATTTCTTTGCACCACTGGCCAATAAAGCCAGTGTCTAGGATTTGTTATACTGGCACTGAGACACTCAGTAAAGGAAGGCTCTGCTGGTGACAGCAGCTCTGGAATTTTCCACAACCACTCTAACAATCTTTTTGAATCTTCAGTACTTTTACTGAATTAGATACACAGTACAATGGGACACTAGCCACTGTTTGTAAATTTTTCATAAAAACAATTTGGAAAATGACACCCCTTAAACAATTAAATTAAATTAATTAATTTATTTATTTATTTTTGAGATGGAGTTTTGCTCCTGTTGCCCAGGCTGGAGTGCAATGGTGCGATATTGGCTCACTGCAACCTCTACCTCCCGGGTTCAAGCGATTCTCCTGCCTCAGCCTTCCAAGTAGTTGGGATTACAGTCATGCGCCATCATGCCTGGCTAATTTTTTTTGTGTGTGTGTTTAGTAGAGACGGGGTTTCACCATGTTGGCCAAGCTGGTCTCGAACTCCTGACCTCAGGTAATCCGCCCACCTTGGCCTCACAGAGTGCTGGGATTACAGGCATGAGCCACCGCGCCCAGCCAACAGTTTTCTTTAGGGCAGTGTTTCTTATCTTATCACTGCTGAAAAGTCCTTTTAAGACTATTTCTCCACAGACTCCTGTTCTGAAATATTTTGTTTATAAATACATATTTTTGTTAAATAATAATCTTCCCAAGAGGAAATCAAGTAGTCAAGAAATTTTTTTAAACTAAAAGTATCCTTGAGGCTGTATTTTAAGTAAACAAACAATTATCTTTAAGTTTCCTAAAAACTTAAAGTTTCAGGAAAGCTTCAGTTTCAGTAAAAACTGAAAATAACTAGAAGAATTCTCATCCTCTTTATACCCTCGCTTCCCTCCCCACCCTCGCCCCCAGACACTGGTTATTACTTTCCTCAGCTGCTGGGATTCTGGGTATTCTAACTTTGAAACTAGAGTTCCAGAAACACCAGGCAGATAGAATAAAATTAACAAAAGCCTGTGGATTCTCCTAGGTTTTTTGCTATCCATTTACCCTCCTTACTGTTAATGGGTCTTTTACTGTGGCAGTTAGCCCTGCCTCAAAGTCTCCCAAACTGGGGACGATTAGCCCCAGCTTATTGCTAAGATAACATCAAAAGAGGCAATAAGCAAGTTGGCATAGGCAACACCTCTCACCTTAAGGAACTGTCTCCTGAGATGTAGAATAAATCACTTGTCCTCTTTAAATGAATCTCTTCACCATGGTTTTGCTTGATTCCCCCATCCTGAAGTTGCTGCTTTAAGATGGGTGGGAAAATCTCCAGCAAAAGCATAACAAAACAGCAAGTAACAGCAATTTTTTTTTTAACAGAAAAAGGATTATTTTTATTACTTTCATACATTGCCACAGCACTGTTTGGGAAAGATTAGAATCAATAGAAGTTTGGAAATCTGACCTTGGCTGGTGGAAGAATAGAAAGAATCTGGTTCTTCTTAATTTCCCATTCAGGTTCTCAGTGTTCCAGGAAGCAGTTTGCTCAAGTTTCTTTTCTCCATTTAGCTCTCCTGAATGCCCGACTTCAGTGCCTGGGCATTGCTGCCAAGGATCCCGCTGGTGCATTCAGCTGCCATTCAAGGCAACAGCCCTCCACACTGCCTCGCACTTGGAAGTTTGTCTTACAGCATAAAACAGGTGGAAGGACATTCTGCCTTTAGAGTTCTGCTGGCATGTCTTATCACTTCTGTTGTCCAGTGCCAAGAATGACAAAAATCTTTTGTGTATGTTTGGGGGTGGGAAAGACCAGATATAACTGGGAACAGCAGTTAACTTGTTGTTCAGACAAGATTCCCAGGGCAGCTGTTATAACTCAGGCAGCAATAACTCTAACACTTGGCTCTGCTGCTAAGATGGATTGATAGAAACTTTGGACAAATCATCAACAAAAATTATGTTCTCATGAGACTGTTGAATATACTATGGATCAACTTAAAGATAATCAAATATTCGCTAGACTCACAACAAGGAAATACAATAAGCATATTAATCAACTGGGGTTGTGTTTATACTTTCATTTCTAAACATCTGCTTTCAATGAAGTCATTAGTATCTGCTGGCAAAAATTTGAATTGACACAGGACTTGCAATCTGTAGCTACAATTGAGACAGGATTACCTTTTTATGTGCTGACACTCACAGTCTTCTTTAAACTAACAATTTAGTCCACTTCATGATGGAATTCTAAATTCTAATCTGTGAACTTGCCGACTATTTGTCCTTTGCCAAAGACTTTACCCCGTGCTTAATTTTTAGTCTTGACACATATGTGTACACACACATAAACAATCTTTTTGTATTTTTTATACAAATAAAAAGATTATGTTAGTATTCAAATGGTAGTTATTTACACTAAATTAAGTTTACACTTCAGTAGAAGATAAAAATGTGACTAACTGAAATAAATAATTCCTGGAAAGAGAATTCTCAACATAAAGTTATATGAATCTCAACACTGTCCATTAAATCTCAAGATTTTCTAAATCTTATTAATGTGCATCAGTTTAAAAAAATAGTTCCAGCTGGGAATGGTGGCTCACGCCTGTAATTCCAACACTTTGGGAGGCTGAGGCGGGCGGATCACCTGAGGTCAGGAGATCAAGACCATCTGGCCAACATGGTAAAACCCCGTCTCTACTAAAAATACAAAAATTAGCAGGGCGTGGCGGCACACACCTGTAATCCCAGCTGCTCGGGAGGCTGAGGCAGTAGAATTGCCTGAACCCAGGAGGCGGAGGCTGCAGTGAGCCAAGATCGCACCACTGTACTCCAGCCTGGGTGACAGATAGAGCAAGACTCCGTCTAAAGAAAAAAAAAAAATAGTTCCGTGGTTTTGCCTTCTTCCTTTCCATTTTGTTAAACATATCCAGACCAAAATTACAATTGCCCCCATTGTAGAATGAGTTGAATGTGGGCATTATTGATACCGTTAATGATTCTGTATCACCAGCAAAGCATAGGATTAAAATTGACCTTGGCTTAAGTTGACTTACATTTTAATTTGGCCATTAAATTGATGCTGGAAAGTTGGGACACACCACACGGTTAACAGCCATCTGGCCTGCCTGTCTCCTTCTATCCTGACAACTACCTTGGCTTACCTAGTGTGTTTTATCTCTTCTCTCTCATCATTGCCTCCACCAGGATTCCTGAGTCAAAGCCCAACATGGCCCTCTGCTGTTGTACTGGCCAATCTGGTCTGTCCTGCTCTGCAGCTGCCAGTCTTCTCTGTCACTCCTGGTACCCCAACAGGCCCAGCAGCCTCTGCCAGTTCTGCTGTTCACTTCCTAACCAATGCCTCAACAACTCCTGTGGTGTCTTCTTCTGCCATCACATTTCACTTCCATTGAGGCCCCAAATCTCTGACACACCTGCTTTCTGCCTCTCTTGGCAGCTCTCAGCTCACTGCTGGCACTTCCATATACCCACATAAAGCCAAACCATAAGGTAAACTCATGGCCCTACCACACTGACTTTGGTTATTTCTCTAACCCCTTGGACATGGCACTGATATTTGATCTTGCTGGGACTCTTCCTTAGAGAATTTTCCCCCTTGCTGCCTTGGGGTGGGGAGCACCCTCCTCATTCCTGCTCTGGGAACGGACAGTGATGGGGCTGCCTCCTGCCTCCTGTTGCCTTCTCTTACCACCTCTGAGTCAGGCCAGCCCAGCAGGTTCCCAGCCTGGCTCAGATTCACTAGAATGCTTTTGTTACCACCTGTTTATCTGTCCTCCACAATTGCAGCACTTTTTTTTGACAGGTTGACAGTGTTTCCTTTGCTGGGCTTTAGGTGAAAAATGTCTACAAATCAGAGTAGATGTGATTAGTGTTAAGAGGGGAAAATAAAACTTACTGTGGGGCAAGAGGTGTGGGAAAGGTCAGATGAGAGAATCTAAACGGAGATATTAGTAGGAGTAAGTAGGAATGAATAGAAGTGAAATGAAAGACTTAGGGGAGATGGGAATATGTAAGAATGAGATTGTGAATATTAAAAGAGATTATCCTTGACCATGAAATCCAACCTACTCAGAACCTTGACATTTGACTGGTTACATGCCCTACACACTTAACATACTTTAACAACCCATTTTATTTAATAAATGTCCTAGAAAAATTAATGAGAATAAAATTAAGGAAGGAAGTTTTCTAATTCCTTAAATATAATTAGTGAAGTCCGTGGAGGTAAGGCTGATACGTAGATCAGAAAAAAAAAAAAACCCTATAGCTTTAACATGAATTTTAAACATAATTTTATCATATCCCAAAGACATGATACAATTGGTGTCTGTGAGTGCAAACATCTTGAGAAACAGTGTGCTAAAATGTTACATGCTAGGATGGCTTTTCACAAAAGTAGATTGTTTCTTTTTGAAATAAGACAATATAGGACAACTCCCCCAGCAATAAATTAGGATTATTCCCTCTATGACAAAGAAGGGGAAAAGGGTTACTCAAAGACAAATCATTATAAATAATCCATTATTCATATAAATTTATATTTTTAGAAAGGGAATATTGGTTAAAAAAAGATATTAAATGCCTGGGCAATCACCAAAATTTATTTTATAGCTCTAGCACTTGTGTTGTCTATATCCCTGATCACACTTTTAAATTGGCTTCAACGTAAATGATGGTTTAAAAAGAATTTTAGGCCATTTCTTTTGAAATTGCGGACCAGGGTTGTTAACAGCGGGAGGATGAGTGAGGTGGGTTGGGTGTGGCATCCTTTGTGTTACTATAAAGCTCTCAATGTTATAAGGAACATTATATTTTTTATTACACTTAACTACTTTCCAGACCACTAATTATTTGTATCTGTGATCAGGAATTCAAAAAACCTCTAAAATTCGATTGTTATTGTTGTTTTCCTGATAAAGATTGAGGAGGTTCCCATTCCAGCAGGAGTAGCTTAAAAAAAATAAAAGCTAAAAAATAAAAAGATTGAGGAGGATTCTGCAGCTTGCAGCTTTAGTAAAGGGCCCTATCCTTATAACAGAAGGACCCAGGAATAATTTTAAAAACTGCCAAATAATCTGCAGGTGATTCTAACACAGTATGCCTACATCCGTAGTCCTTATCATTCACCTACATCGAGAAGTCTCTACAATGTGCTCCTGAATCTCCAATGCACAGATCATGGAAGTGGATCCTATTTCACCACAAAAGCAATATCATAATCAGGAGAGAGGCCTATCAGCAAGGACTCAGAAGTAAATAAAGTATAGATGTGAACAAAATGTGCAATGTAGGCAAAATTACATGGCTATATAATAAGTTAGTTAAATATACTCTGTGTCCTGAGAAATGGGTACTAATACACTATGTACTTTCTTCACCAACATATCATAATGAAAATTTATTTCATACAGAAAATGAAAGCATGTGAGCTAGAATAAATTTTTAGTCTTTATATTTTTTATTTTATGATGTCACAGATCATTGAAAATTAGCACCAAGGACATCTGGTCCAACAGATTTATTTTATTTTATTTTATTTATTTTATTTTATTTTATTATTTTATTATTTATTTTATTTTATTTTATATTTTATTTTATTTTATTTATTGAGACAGAGCCTCACTCTGTTGCCCAGGCTGGAGTGCGGTGGCATGATCCTGGCTCACTGCAACTTCTGCTTCCCACGTTCAAGCGATTCTCCTGCCTCAGCCTCCTGAGTAGCTGGGATTACAGGCGCGTGCCACCACACCCAGCTAATTTTTGTATTTTTGGTTGAGATGGGGTTTCACCATGTTGGCCAGGCTGGTCTTGATCTCCTGACCTCAGGTGATCCGCACCCCCCTCGGCCTCCCAAAGTGCTGGTATTACAGACTTTAGCCACTGAGCCTGGCCAACTGATTAATGTTATAGAGAAAATTGAGAGCCCAAAGAAGTTAAATAAACTGTGACAGCAGAGTCAGGACTAGACTACAGGACCATTAAATCCTAGCACCAAAGCTCTCTTTCTCTCACCCTTATCTCAGCCTAGCTGCTTAGTAATGCATTTACTGGTCTTCCTAACATATAGAAGAACTTTTGGGTCATTACTTGAATAGCTTAGATTATTTTTATTTTGCTTTTTGTTTTTTGTATTTTAGGTTCAGGGATACATGTGCAAGTTTGTTATATAGGTAGACTGTGTGTCACAGGGGTTTTTTGTACAAATAATTTTGTCACTTGGGTAATAAACATATTACCTGATTGGTATTCTTTTGTGATTCCCTCCCTCCTCCCCACTTCCCCCTCAAGTAGGCCCCAGTGTCTGTTGTTCCCCTTCTAGTATCCATGTGTTCTTGTTGTTTAGCTCCCACTTATAAGTGGGAACATTGTGTATTTGGCATTTTGTTCTGTGTTAGTTTACTTAAGATAATGGCCTCCAGCTCCATCCACGTCCCTGCAAAAGATATGATCTCATTCTTTTTTATGGCTGCATAGGTTTCCATAGTATATATGTACCATATTTTATTTATCCAGTCAACCACTGATGGGCATTTAGGTTGATTCCATGTCTTTGCTATTGTGAGTAGTGCTGCGATGAACATAAACATACATATGTCTTTATCTTTCAAAACTATATAATAAATTCTGAAAATATGCCTTTCTTCTTAATCTGTTTCTTCATGCTAAACAGATAAGATTAAAATCATAGCTGCATTTCAAGAAATTGTCTGCAATCCTTCATTTTCTCCAGTAGATGTAAATTTTTATGTGGCCAGACTGTGCAGTGAACAAGCAAAAATAGGGAAAACTGAGCTTCAGGTCTAAATTAAAGCGAACGAAGACTGATGGTAAATGTAGCATTACTATATTAAAAAAAATAAATGTAGTATTTAATCTTAAAAATAAAATGTTAGGTAAAAATAGCAAATTGCAGAAGGCTATGTAGGGTTTTGTGTGGATCTGTCTTCACTTGGTAGAAGATAGCTGAGATCCACTCTCTCCCTGATCACCTATGAGATTCCTTAATCCTTTCCCCTTCTGCAGAGAACTCTGTGAATTAAGTACATGATATGAAATTAATGTCAAATCTGGGATCCATAATCTTATATTACTTCTTCCCCCTCATTTATTTGAATATTTAAAACAATGTATTCTTTAACTCATAACTATATCTTTTCCTGATAATGTGAACTTGATATTTAAATTCTACTTTCCGTCTTGAAGTTCTGTCACCTACACCAAGTTCTGTGTTTGGCTACTCTATTTGTAGTTTGTAGAATCAAAAATATGTTGTCTATAATTTTGTTGCTGTTTGAATTCGAAGTTTGTTCTTCTGATTCCACCATTCATTAGTTTCCTTAAGCAGATAAGTAAATCAGTTATATAGTCAGTTTATTATATCACAGTGAATACTAGGGGACGTATGCAATTGTATTTGTGTTTAGGGAGCATCTTAAACTTTGAACTATTTATGTTAAATTTCTAGAATTCCTTTCTTCTGATGGAATGATTTGAGGCTAAGGTAGGATTTTTGAAAAACAATGACTTTCATTCAAAATTTATCTACTCAACCAAGCAAATGAAAAGGGGCAGCGAAGGAAAAATAAAAATGGGAATGGTAGATGGCAGAAGAAACTGAGAACACAGAAGAAAGCGGTAGGTTTGGAGTGGAAAAATTAAACTAAAAGAAGGCAAGATGAAGAAAAAAATGTACCCTAAATGAACAAATTGCAAATTTAATGGCATCTAGAAATATAAACTGAGGTTAAGTTTCTAAATTATAGTCAGTCCCAAGGTTTAGATCTGCAATCCCAGGAATGGTTAGTTTTTTTTTTTTGTTGTTTTTTTTTTTTTTTTTTTTTTTTGAGACAAGCTTTGTTGCTCAGGCTGGTGTGCAGTGACATGGTCACTGCAACCTCAACCTCCTGAGCTCAAGCAATTCTCCCACCTCAGCCTCTTGAATAGCTGGGACTACAGGTGTGCGCCACCGCACCTGGCTAATTTTTGTATTTTTAGTAGAGATGGGGTTTCATATGTTGCCCAGGCTGGTCTGGAACTCCTGAGCTCAAGTGATCTGCATACCTCCTCCCAAAATGTTGGGATTACAGGCGTGAGCCACCCTGCCTGGTGGAGAGTTAACTTTAAAGATCACCTACCCAGAGGCCAGTTCTACTACTCTGTGGCTGATTCCTGTCTTTTTCTTCTATTCACTAGCTCTTTTGGGGCACAGTGACATTTCTCAGAGGTAGAAAGCTACCAGCAATATAGTTTTCTACTTTTCCAAAAGGAAAACATACCATATTCCTGTCTAGTGGTAAATTTTCTTGCTTTTAGTAGAGTTATTTCATTATAGAACTCTGAAAATGGTAGCTATGAAAATAGCCAAGATGTCGCAAATGAAGAATCTTTGTTTCCGATTTAAAAATTGGAATAGGAAATGATAGGATGTTAAGAAAAATAATAAATGTTTCCCTTCCTCTCCTTGGCAAATCAAATGCCCAGTTATCAAAGAATGCAAGAAAATATTGCCTACATGAGCAGAACTGTTTCTAAATAAAATGTCTGGCATGTAAATGCTGCATCAGTTCCTAATTAAGAATTCTGTAAATAAAGCTTTGCTCTTCATCTCCTGTTTTCGTTGGAAACTTCCATCAGAGATAGTGACTGGTGTGAAGCAGTGGAGACACCCAGTGGCTACTGTGGTTAACCACCGCAATGGTACATTTCATGCTGCGTTTCCTGTTTCTTGTTTTAGATGTGTCTATTTCCTTTTGAAAATATGACACTAAGTACCTCTAAATAGAAATTTAATAATGTAATAGTAATTGTGAAATTAATGACTTGAATATTACTCACAAATTAGGCCTTAATCTGAAGGATGGAAGGATTTGTGAATAAGCAACATTTAAAAATACAGTAAAAGAAAAATATTCAATCTTGCCTAATTCATTTTTAAAAATCATAGTTTTTCAAAACATAAAGGTAGATCCATTTTATTGAAGTAAAAATTTTGATTTAGGAAAGGATTTTATATAGAAATTAACACTTGAAATTTGAAATTTAAACTTGAAAATGTCTCTCTGACTTCACCCAAACTGTCAACAAATAAAATACATTAGTTCAAAATGTAAGGGCTATGAAGAGAATCTGGTTGTTCTTGTAAAATGTATATTTTATTATTATTTTTTAAAAGGCTCAAACTGAGAAATAATGCCAAGACTTGCTACTGAATGAAGGAATAAATGAACTTAAAATTTCTTTTAAATAGCTTTTTTTTTTAATCAAAATAGTAAAATGAGTTCACTTAGAAAAAGTAGAAAATATAAACAAAAAGAAATAAAATGCCCACTACAATTTCACTCCACACTTTGGTTTATATAGTTCTAGAAATTCTTCTTAATGCATGGAATATATATATATATAATTTTTTTTGAGATGGAGTTTCGCTCTTGTTGCCCAGGCTGGAGTGCAATGGTGCGACCATGGCTCACCACAACCTCTGCCTCCTGGTTTCAAGTAATTCTCCTGCCTCAGCCTCCCAAGTAGCTGGGATTACAGGCATGTGCCACCACTCCCAGCTAATTTTGTATTTTTAGTAGAGACAGGGTTTCTCCATGTTGGTCAGACTGGACTCGAACTCCCAACCTCAAGTGATCCGCCGGCCTCGGCCTCCCAAAGTGCTGGGATTACAGGCGTGAGCCACCGCACCCGGCCCATACCTGATTTTTAAAAGCCTATGAAACAGCAATCTAAAAATGGTTTTTGTTCATGATAAGTAAAAATGAGATTGTGTATACAAAATGGAGATTCTAAGGGAAATATGAAAAGACTGGAAACTAGGCTGGCTGTGGTGGCTCATGCCTGTAATCCCAGCATTTTGTGGTCCAAGGTGGGTGGATGGCTTGAGCCCAGGAGTTCAAGACCAGCCTTGGCAACAGGACAAAACCCTATCTCTACAAAAAATAAATAAAAAAAAATTAGCCGGGCATGGGGTCATGCGCCTGTAGCCCCAGCTACTCAGGAGGCTGAGGTGGGAGGATCACTTGAGCCCAGAAGGATGAGGCTGCAGTGAGCTGTGATCGTGACACTGCACTCCAGCCTGGGTGACAGAGTGAGACTCCATCTCAAAAAAGAAACAAAACAAAACAAAATGAAACAAAAATAAAGAAAGAGTGAAAGGAAAAAAGAAACTAATATATATATAAATGGTGGGAATCAAAAAGTGTCATCTCTCAAATGAATCTGAGCAAAATTGAGTCTCAAGTTAAGCTGAGACTTCTTTTCTTTCTTTAAGCTTATTTACCACCATTGATTCCCTGGCATCCTTAGAAATTTAGGTGGTTTATAAAGAGGATGCCTCAACATTTTCCCTTCCTGAAGTATGCTATGAACTGTAATTTTGGGTGAAAGTGAATAAAAGATGGTTATGTTAACCAAAGAATGACTTTCACAGACACAAGAGAAAAGCTACAAACATATAATAATTATAGAAGATTCTAGTTATATGTGCAATAACAACTAGTACATTAAAATACTGAGTTTGGCGGAGAAGGAGTTAGCAGGAAAATGGCCTCTGGTATGACCAACCATTAAATGAGAGAGGAATGTGTACAAGAGACAAGACAGGTACAATGCTGAAATTCCTATGGGTTTTCTCCGTTTTGCCGAGTAGATACCAAACAGGTTTATCAGGGATGCTGCTTTTAGCTGCATGACATTCCTAACAGATGTGTAAAGACCGATGCCCCCCCATTGCTTCTAAACTTTGTACCCATGATGCTTCTGTGGCTTTTTCCTTAACTCTTTTTGCCAAATCTCCTCCTGAATGTGGCTCAGACTCTCCCAGACATATTACTATTATTGCTCACAAGATAGAGGATGTAAAATGGGCATACAAAACCCTATAGAACTGCATGCTCTTAAATAGAAATACTGTGAATAAAAGTCAAGGGCAGCCGGGCGCGGTGGCTTACGCCTGTAATCCCAGCACTTTGGGAGGCTGAGGCGGGTGGACTGCTTGAGGCCAGGAGTTTGAGACCAGCCTGGCCAAATGGTGAAACCCCATCTCTACTAAAAATACAAAAAAAATTAGCCAGGCGTGGTGGCTCATGGCTGTGATCCTAGCTACCTGGGAGGCTGAGACACAAGAATTGCTTGAACCCGGGAGGCGGAGTTGCAATGAGCTGAGATCGCGCCACTGCACTCCAGCCTGGGTGACAGAGAGAGACCTTGTCAGAAAGAAAGAGAGAAAGAGAGAGAGAGAGAGACAGAAAAGAAAGAAAAGAAAGAAAGGAGTCAAGGGCTTTAGTATC
This sequence comes from Homo sapiens, assembly GCF_000001405.40. Taxonomy (NCBI): domain Eukaryota; kingdom Metazoa; phylum Chordata; class Mammalia; order Primates; family Hominidae; genus Homo; species Homo sapiens. The sequence continues at coordinate 35,707,021 of NC_000007.14, read as the reverse complement.
AACAGCTCTATCAATTACTAACTGTCGAACTTAGGCAGGTAACTTCCCTACAGCTCATTTCCCTCTGTAAACTAAGTATTATAATTTAGTCCGTAATATTTATTGTTGCTCTGCAAAAAGGATTGTGCTAGGCAACAATGATATTGAAATGGCTAAGGCACAATATCTAGCCTCAGGGAGCACATAGTCTAGTGAGGGAGACAGACTTAAGTCATTACCAGCCAGGGGTGGTGGCTCACCCTTGTAATCCCAGCACTTTGGGAGGCCAAGGCAGGCAGATCACCTGAGATCAGGGGTTTGAGACCAGCCTGGCCAAAATAGCAAAACCCCATCTCTAAAAAAATACAAAAATTAGCCGGGTGTGGTGGCACATGCCTGTAGTCCCAGCTACTCGGGAGGCTGAGGCAGGAGAATCGCTTGAACCTGGGAGGTGGAGGTTGCAGTGAGCCGAGATCACGCCACTGCACTACAACCTGGGAAAGAGAGCAAGACTCCATCTCAAAAAAAAAAAAAAAGTCATTACCATATAGTAAATGCATTATTAGATTTCACAGTGTCTAAGGACAGGATAGGACAAGTTTGAAAGTGGAGAGACTCAGGGCTTATCTTAAAGGGATTCAAAGAGATCATCATAAAACACCTAGCACACTCCACATCTGTAATAGGAACTCCACTAATGTTAAGTTGTTTTATCCTAATTACACATTCTTGCAACAGAACTGAGCATTTTAGTACTGGACAATATCAAAGTTGTAAAACATAAATCTCTTCAGGGAGATAAACTCCTGCATTCTTTAAAAATGAATGTTACAAACATTATACTCAGGAAGCTGTCCCATTACTCTCTAAAGCCTGAAATTTAACAAGTTTTCTTAGTCAAAGCTAGCTTGCTTTTTCAAAGATTCAACCAACTTTACAAACCATAGGGAGTCATGAAAGGAAATACACAAAAAAACTAAGATGGAGAAAAAATGCAAACTCAGCCAAGATTTTTCTCAAGAACTTTGGCCTTTTCTCTTCACCAGTTATATAACTATTTAAAATGTGTTATGCATGTTTTTGGAAAATTTTCAAGATAAGACAGGAAGTATAAAAGTTTGTAACTCTGGAGTGCTAAATCCTTAGAATGAATGAAGGAAATGGGTTTCTAGCATGTAGTATTTGAAGTACTTGACTTAGCTGTCATTCCCTATTCCTTACCCTTGTCAATCAAACTAACCAGTTATTCTGCTGATCCTAGATCTGGCCTCAGAACTTTAACAAAATTAATTAGGAAGGTACTACCAACATAAAGAAGTTGCTGTAGATACTGGAAGTGACATGGGAAGAGACAGTGGGAGTGTGATGAAAAAGAATGAGGTTGTTGTTAATAATGGCAGTGGGGACACAGACATTGATATGGGGAAGGTAGATATGTATGCCTGGTCATTTGGGGTCCATCTTATTTCCTGGGGCACAGCTGGGTCTCTTTTCCCAGTTGCCAAACTGAAGGAGTCTCAGCTGGGCCTGAGGAAGGGCAGTAGATGAGGTTTTGGCCAGGCGCGGTGGCTCATGCCTGTAATCCCAGCACTTTGGGAGGCCAAGGCAGGCGGATCATGAGGTCAGGAGTTCGAGACCAGCCCGACCAACATAGTGAAACCCCGTCTCTATTAAAAATCCAAAAAAAAAAAAAATTAGCCAGGTTTGGTGGCGGGCACTTGTTATCCAAGCTACTTGGGAGGCTGAGGCAAGGAGAATTACTTGAACCTGGGAGGCGGAGGTTGCAGTGAGCCGAGATAGTGCCACTGCACTCCAGCCTGGGCAACAGTGCAAGACTCCATCTCAAAAAAAAAAAAAGTAGATGAAGTTTTAAGGAAGGTATACTCTGGGAAAATGTGAGGAAAAGCTGGAAAAGACTAAGGAAAGGAAGAATCCTGTCAAAGCACTGTTTCCATTTTGCAAATGGCCCCAGCTAAATTTGATATAGCAGATCACACCCTTTCCTCACTTCCTTCTTCCACTTTTGGCTGAGACATAAGGTGGTTGGTGTACACAAGGGCCTGGGATACCTCCTTTACTCTATTTTGTTTTATAGTCACTTGCATGTGTGTCTTATTTTCTCCTACTAGATTGCAAACTCTTTGAAGGCAAGTATATCTCACTATCCTTTGTGTCCTTTATAATAGTGACTGAGACAAATATTAATGTAAATAATGGACATTAAGTATTTTTGCAGTTGAGCTTGAATCTGCATGCCTTTCTGCATGCAATGGTCTTGAATTCAAAGAATATACTTCATCCTGTAAAACATATCCCCAGCCTTCCATAGTGCTGTCTCTCAAGTGGCACAACTAGGAAGTTCATCTAAATGGTGGCATCCCTATACTCCCACCTGGTCTACAAAGAGCAACCACAGAGCTTTACAAAAATGCAGGTGCTCCCTTTTACTAATGTACCTCTCAATGCCTTAGTGAAGAGAGTGTCTTATGGGCCTTCTCATGGAACAGTGGAAGGAGAAGGGTGTGCCGGTAACACTTGATACAGTTTAACATTCCTATCTCCCTAAGTCCTTGGATTGCTTTCTCCACATGATGCCAGGAAAGCTCTGGCATCTCAGCTGTATTAAATGTAGGCTGTCTTTGAGTCCAAGTTTCAGTCAATACACCAATAAATTGTAAGAGCCACCTTCAGCTGGATGAGCTAACACATGAAATCTGGAATCTCTAGCAAGTACAAGCATAGCAAGCTGGCTCTTTATTTTACCCTCCTTGGTCTAACACCCTTAGGATATATTCCCCAGATTTCTGCCAATATATATTAGCAAAGTCTTACAATTCTTTTGGTGTGTCAGCTAGTTCTTCCTGGGTCATAGTGTGTACCTGTCCCTGTGGGGCATGCTGAGATGTAACTGTAGTTATAGGTCTAGTGGCGATAGCGAGTGGTTATGGTAGGTCTTGAGAAGGAACATCCTCTTTTAAGGACTCTGCCCCAAGTGAGGTTATCACAGAGTTTTCAGGCAAAGAAAGGTTAGTCTCCAGAAGGCAAGCTACTTTCGCGAATAGGCAAAGCTTAGAGTGACCTGGAGTTTCAAGATTGTCAGCATCATCTGGGTCCAAGGAGATGGCCCTATTCCAATTTTCAGGTCTCCATTCTTTTCCAATCAATGACCTATAATATATATATATATGTACATGTGTGTACATATACCCATATGTGTGTACATATATACATAGTGATGTGACCGTGAATTTAACTGTTACTATAATTCAGCAACCCTTAAAATGAAATTTAGTGCTTGATTTTCAACAGTATCACCCCTATGCCTGCAAGAACTAAAAGGTTCTTTGTAGTTCTGGTCATAGTCTGTGACTTGACCTGAGAACTGAAAGACATAAGGTTGTCATTTTCTACCTACAGGTGCTTAAGGGCACTCAGAAGGATCTATCCCATACCACTGTCCTTATTGTCATCTTCATTGCCCTAATTGTCAAATGCATCAACTGCTGAGGCAGTCACTTGCTTCAGTTGGCATGTCATCACAATCAACCACAGACGGTAGTAGTCTGACCAATTGTAATGCCCCTGCATGCCATGGATTTCTAGCATCTAATTTCCCTCTGAGGAAGAGCTCAGCCAAAGGAATGACCAAACCAATTCTTAAATTTTATCTTCATTGTCCATCTCCTGGGACCACCTCTCATACCAATGCTGTATCAACCAGGGTCCAACTAAGAGAGAGAAACCACACCACATTTTGAACATGGAAGGTTAAGTATAAAGAATTATCACTTATAGGCTGGGCGCAGTGGCTTATGCCTGTAATCCCAGCACTTTGGGATGCCAAGGCAGGTGGATCACTTGAGGTCAGGAGTTTGAGACAGCTTGGCCAACATGGTGAAACCATGTCTCTATTAAAAATACAAAAGTTAGCCAGGCATGGTGGCATGTGCCTGTAATCCCAGCTACCCAGAGGCTGAGGCAGGAGAATCGCTGGAGTCCGGAAGGCAGAGGCTGCAGTGAGCCAAGATCGTGCTACTGTACTCCAGCCTGGGTGACAGACAGCGAGACTCCATCTCAAAAAAAAAAAAAGAAAATAATTATCATTTATAACAGAGAATAGAGTAATAAGGAGGAGATGGCTAGTGAGAAGGAAAGCAAATTCTAAAGAACATAGGAATAGCAGATATAGGGAGCAGCCACTGCCCTTAGGGATGAGAAACTCTCATTGACGAAGTTCAGTGACTCAGGCTCATTGAATGTCAGAGAATTTGCTGAGGCTGCAAAGCTGGCCAAGGGGCGTGAGGGGAAGCCATTCACAGAGGGTGTTATACCAGTGGCACTAGTGGTACTAATGGTACTCCAGTGCAGAGCCACTTGACGGGTGCCAGGGGAAAGCTCTTCATAGCAGTTGCCTGCAAAGTTACCTGAGAGGGTTTCTGGAGAAGTTGTCCGTGGAAGGTGCTACACACTGTTGGCCACTGGGCACTGCTGGAACTGGGTGCTACAGAAGCCACATGCACTGTAACAACCTGCCTAAAGGAGCATACTACACTGTACAGGTAGAGAAATTTCTTTCTCTAGTGTCCCCCCAATGCTCTCTACTGACAAAGCTTAATGTCATGCCTGCTGGAAAAGAATTTTTTACAGGACTTATCTATATTATCACAAAGCAGACAATGATGGGTATATCTGGAGCCTTGAGGGCATAATCTGGTAATTGGCTTAGTAACCCATTGCCTTTAACTGGAAAAACCTCATAGTGAGGACTGAATTTCACTGGGGTTCTGAAAGGCATTACAAATGGCCTCTTTGAGAAGCTGATAAAAGCTATGGGCTCTCCTTTAGATAAATGCCATGTGTACACATGCACACAGTATTACAGACAATTCAGGAGTATACACATGTTGGCCATCTATCTCTGAACCCAGATTAAGAACCCCTGGGATAGGCCAATGACTCTTCTCCAGGTTTGTTTCAATTTACTGATATTTTCTTAACTTTATTTGAATGTAGTAGGAAATGTTTTTCCAAACTGTTAAACTATATTTGCTTTTTAACAATAATGACAAACATTTGAGAAATATGGAATAGTGTTAAGATAGTTCTAAATTTGGAGGTGAAAGGCCTTTAGAAAGAGAGAGGCTGAATGCCAGTTGAAGGGCAAGCAGTTGTGAAACAGTCGCAACACAGGTATTGGGATTTGGAATTGGATAGTAGTATACAGAAGGAAAAAGGTATCTATTAGACCTGCCATGCTTTGGTAAAGTACATTTGGTAAGCTGGCCTCCAATATGAGACTAACAGTCCTTATCTCTGGGTATTCATGCCCATATTTACTCTCCTCCCAAACTGATTCAGGGCTGGTCTGTGTGACTAAAGAACACAATGCAGGTGACAGTATTTATGTAATTTCCAAGATTAAGTCATAAAAGGCATTGCAGCTTTTGCATTGGTCTTTTGGATCTCTCATTCTGGGGGAATCCAGCTGCCATGTTTTGAGGATGCTCAGGCAGTTCTATAGAGAGGCCCACATGGGGAGGAACTGAGACTTCACACTAATAACCAGCACCAGCATGCCAGCCTTATGAGTGAGACATCTGGAAAGTAGATCTTCCAGTCCCAATCAAGTCTTCAGATGACTGAATGCCACCTGAAATCTTGACTGCAATGCCATGAGAGCCTCAAACCAGGACTCCCAGTTAAGCTGCTCCCAAATTTCTGACCCACAGTTTTGGAGGCAATTTGTTTTACAGCAATAGACAACTAACACATACCCTTAGGTAAAAATTCTCAAAGGGTGAACAGTGTAAGTGATTTGCCCTCTTTCCCTTACTACTTCTCTGGTCACCTAAAAGAGCCTCAGTGAGATGGTATTTAGCTACGATATTCTCCAATTGTTATCCTAAATAAGTCACTAGATTGAATCATCAGAGAAACAAGAGGTTTCTCTCTTAGCCAAATGGTCACTGTAAATACTGACTAGACATAGAGTTCCTGAAAAGCAGGAAACTCAACTGCTAAACCAGATTAGGTAGATTTCTATTAACAAACTAATAGAAATACAGACGTGTCTTTATGAAGACTATTATAGGGAAATCACAATCTGTATGAACTACTGTGCCTATTGTGTTCATAATTTATGGGGGAATTTACAAACTAGTGTGTTCAAAGGTGAGTCACTATTCTGAAAGATCTGGAAACTAAAGAATTGTTGAAGGATCTAAGGCTATTTAGTCTGCAGAAGATATAAAGAGCATTTTACAGCTGTCTATTTGAAGGGCTGGCATGTGGAATAAGAGTAAACACATTTTGGATTGATCATTGTAGGCCCAATGACAAATTATAGGAATGCAAATTTCAATTCACTTATAAACACCATGGCTGTTTAACAACCTGTCATGTTGCAGTAAAAACTATGGTGCTCCTTGTCTCTGGAAAGAGCTATGTCAATTGGCTGATCACCCTTCAGAGATGTGGTAAGACTGATTCATTCTGGCAGTACCTAGAAGACTGATCTAGATGATCTCTAAGATGTTCCTGAAAGCCTTTTCCTCCTGAATGTGTCTTGTTACCCATGATTATCTTTAAGTAATAAAGTTCAGTGTAGTGGAAAGTGTGTGCATTACAGTGGGGACAGAGCTCTATTTGGAACTTACTGTGTGATTTTGGGCAGGATACTTACCCTTTCTGAGCTTCAGTGTCCTCATTATCTCTCGAGACTGTTCTAAGAATTCATTAGATGACATATAATTCAAAACACCATTTGGGATTTAATGAATGGTTTTGTTTCATTTCCTACAAGATGACTTGTGATCAAACATCTGGGACCATTTACGATTTTTAAAGTAGAGTGTTGAAATGAGCTAATTTTCTTAGGCTTCCAATGTAGGTTTTCATTTTTTAAAAACAATAAACTTGATTAAGATTTGATTAGATGCTTTGTGACACAGTCTCTTTAAAAAATGACAAGGATGGTGAAAGTAGAAATGAATGGAATCAGAAGCCAGATGGCCAACATCATCTCTGAAACTTGAAACCGCAAGATCATCACTTGAAGTCTTTCCTTCCAAGAGAGCTAACAAACTCAAACTATACTATTCAACATCATAAAAGTATTTTAGCTTCCTGGAAGGTACTCCAAATTTCAGTAAGAAAAGCTCAGTGACAAGCACTTACTTTGAATTTTTAAAGGAAACTGTAATCTCACTGAATGAATCAATTTTTTTTTTTTTTACTGTTTTTCCCCAAGATGGAGGTCTCACTCTGTCACTCAAGCTGGAGTACAGTGGTGTGATCTTGGCTCACTGCAACCTCTGCCTCCCGGGTTCAAGCGATTCTCCTGCCTCAGCTTCCTGAATAGCTGGGACTACAGGTGCGTGCCACCATGTCCAGCTAATTTTTGTATTTTTAGTAGAGACGGGGTTTCATCATGTTGGCCAGGCTGGTCTCAACCTCCTGACCTCAAGTGACCCGCTCGCCTCGGTCTCCCAAAGTGCTGGGATTACAGGTGTGAGCCACCGCCCCAGCCACAATATGTGTTTTCTAGCTGTTCTCTTTTACACCTCAAAGAAGAAGTGGAAGTAAACAAACATCCCATTAATTCACAGAAAACCATTATTTACAAATAAGTTTCTTCAAATTTATATTTTATTTGTTAACAAAGAGAGCTACCCAACAGTCAGAAATCACTGAATTGCTAAACTCACTTATTGTGTACTGAATAGTTAATATCGCTAAAGCAGAAATTATACTTATTTTTTAATTTTTAATTTCCATAGTTTTTTGGGGAACAGGTGGTATTTAGTTACATAAGTTCTTTGGCGATTTTTAAGATTTTGGTGCACCCATCACCCGAGCAGTATATACTGAACCCAATTTGTAGTCTTTTATCCCTTACGCCCTTCTCACCCTTTCCCTGAAAGTCCCCAAAGTCCATTGTATCATTCTTATGCCTTTGCATCCTCATAGCTTAGGGACATATGAGAACATATGATGTTTAGTTTTCCATTCCTCAGTTGAAGTAGAAGTATTATATTTATTATTAATGATCATGACTCTTTTATTATCTATTACCATATTATATTACCATGGTACTCTTGAGAGTTCTCATTACGGGCTTTTTTTTTTTGAGACTGAGTCTCACTCTGTCGACCAGGCTGGAGTGCAGTGGCACAATCTCAGCTCACTGCAACCTCTGCTGCCAGAGTTCAAGCAATTCTCCTGCCTTAGCCTCCCTAGTGGCTGGGATTACAGGCATGCACCACCACACCTAGCTAATTTTTTGTATTTTTAGTAGAGATGGGGTTTCACCATGTTGGCCAGGCTGGTCTTGAATTCCTGACCTCAGGTGATCCACCTGCCTCAGCCTCCCAAAGTGTTGGGATTACAGGTGTGAGCCATCGCACCCAGCTGGGGCTATCTTTAGTAGCAGATGGTAACTGAGCTGGGCAATTGTTCTTTGACATTTCCAGTTCTTATCTGTTAACATGGACAGTGATTTAAATAGGCAGCTGCATGGACGGCCTCTCCCTAACTGCTGCTATCTTGTATCTCCTCATTGGTAATTATTTTTCCTAGCCCAAATTCCACGTCAAACACTATCAATATTCTGGGGACCACCCTTTCATACACTGCTCTGTACACATACCTGTTTATACATATTTTAACAAAAGTGGAATATTTACATACTGTTGTTATCATAGCCAAGCTCAACAGCATCAAAAGCATTTTTAGGTACTTAATTCAAGTGGCTGTAAAATTTAAAAAAAATCATTTTTTCTGATACTATATCATCTTTGTACCCGTATATTTCAATTTCTTGAATGTTCATTACAATTTTATTTTTACTTTTTATTCTTTCTTGAGACAGAGTCTCACTCTATCACCCAGGCTGGAGTGCATGGTATGGTCTCAGCTCACTGCAACCTCTACCTTCTGGGTTCAAGCAATCCTCCCACCTCAGCCTTCAGAGTAGCTGGGAACACAGGCGTGCACCACCACGCCCGGCTTATTTTTGAATTTTTTTGTAGAGACGGGGTTTCTCCGTGTTGCCCAGTCTGGTCTTAAAGTCCTGAGCTCAAGCAATCTGCCTGCCTCGGCCTCCTGAAGTGCTGGGATTAGAGGCAAGCCACTGCGCCCAGCCTTTATTACAATTTTAAATGTTTTTCTCTGTGTTAGCGAACCTTTGATGGACTGTTTTAAAGAGTGTTAAAGAGTGTTTAAATCACTGTGAAATGCACATTCTGTCTTAATATTTATAATTATTAGGGTACCTTCATTAATAGTGTACATTGCATAGTGCCAAACGAGATCACCACATCACTTCTAAAGGATTCCTGGAAGTCTGAGTCACAAGCATGAGACAACAGCTGCAGGACTGGGTGGTGAAGGTTGTGAAAACTTCCTGGCTTAAACAGGAATTTGACCCAAAACAAGAAGTCTTAGGGAAGATAGCTTAGGGCTTGTCTGGTGGCACCACAATGCCATCAAATGCCCAGCCTCTTTACAGTTTTCTGCTCTGCCATCCTTGGAATGCAGGCCATTGTTCTCCTGTTTGTTGTTTCATGACTGAACTATGAGTGCTGTAGCTCTTCACGTTCCTCCTGGAAGACAGGTGTAGGGCAAAGATGAGCTCTGATTCGCAGAGCCCTTCCATCTATATGCTTTCTTAGAAGCCTCAGCAATAAGTTCAACATTCAACTCATTGGCTTGAAGTGTGTCAAATGGCTGCCCCTTGCTTCAAAGGAGTCTGAGAAAATAACTTTAGCTAGAATTAAAGTTCCATTAGAGTGCCTGGGTAGACAAAGAAGAGTCAGCTACAGAAGGCCAGTATCATAGCAAGTTGTTGCTCCATGACTGGAAACAAAGAAGACTTCACTCTTTACTTCAGATGCGCAGTTGATAGAGTACAGCTAAGATATGGTACGTGTTCTACCATGAAGAGCAAGAGCAAGGTGAGGGAGGGTACGGTGTAAGAGATCCTGCTGCATTAGCTGTTGAGAGGAAGAATTTCCTCCTGGTCACTATGTTACTGGGGGTCCTTGCTCCCCAAGTTCCCAAGATGGTGGCAGGTCGCTTCCAAGATGGTGACGGGCCACTTCCGAGATGGTGGCAAGTCTTGTGTTCTCTGACCTGGGGTTCTTGGCCTCATGGATTCCAAGGAATGGAATCTTGGGCCAAGCGGCGAGTGTTATAGCTCTATTAGAAGCTGTGGGTCATGGAAGAGAATCGTGGAACCCAGTGACTAGTGTTTAGCTAGATTAGGACGAACCTGGGCACTTAGCCCTGCAGGAACAAGGGCAAGCCTTTAGCCCGATCAGGAGCAGCAATGGGCGCCTCGCTGGATCCAGAGGGATGGAAGTCAGCTGTGGGTCTGTGACAGCGGCAGACAGCAGTGGTGGACGGTGAGCGAAAGCTCAGCTTGAGCTGTGACACACACGTACCAGAAAAGTGTGCAATTGCAAGATTTAATAGAGTGAAAACAGAGCTTCCATACAAAGGGAGGGGACCCAAAGAGGGTAGCCACCGCTGGCTTGAATGCCTGGGTTTATATCCTGATCATTGTCCCTCCTGTTGTGCTCTCAGGCGATAGATGATTGGCTACTTCTTTACCTCCTGTTTTTCCCTAATTAGCATTTTAGTGAGCTCTCTTTACTACCTGATTGGTCGGGTGTGAGCTAAATTGCAAGCCCCGTGTTTAAAGGTGGACGTGGTCAATTTCCCAGCTAGGCTTAGGGATTCTTAGCCAGCCTAGGAAATCCAACTAGTCCTGTCTCTCAGTACCCCCTCTCAACAGGAAAACCCAAGTGCTATTGGGGAGGTTTGACCACCGCTCTAACTGCTTCCTGCTGAATTGGGGCACAGTAGGGGTTGTGCAGTTGAGATTTCCTCCGTAGGGGTGCCTTGTCTCTCAACTAATTCAGTGGTGGCTACCTCGAAGCCCTTCTGAAGCTAAGAGGGAAAGAGACCAGCTCGCAAAGTCCCCTATGTTATCTACTCCTAAGTGGAAGCTGGGAGCTGTGAAAATGCACATCTAACAACCCTTAACTTACTATACCGACTTCTAAACCACAGTAGAAAATGAAGAAAAGTTCGGCTATGGGCAATAGACTCAACCTTTTGTTCTATGTCTAACCTATAAAATAGAAAAATAATACTGTCATCCCTCATCTCCCACCATACTGAACACGCATTAGGTGCTCAATGAATACTTGTCCATTTTAGTGAAGATTAAGAGGAATGAGACGGAAACTGACACTTGAGAGGCTGGCACACGCCAGAACTGCACCACACTTTGCACTCATAGCTCATTTACTCATCAGCTTGTGGTCAGGTAGGCATTACCGTCCCCATTAGAGAAGTCAACGGAGGCTCAGCAAGGACGGCCAGGGTCCCCCAGAAAGTAGAGGAGGACTTCAGGTTTAACCAAAAGCCTGTACTCTTTACACATGTACCCCATGCCTTCTCCACCAAAGCTCCTGGCACCGTGCTTTGCAGACAGACGACGCTCAACACATTTTGAGCAGAAGCGTGGTTCAGCACCAGGAAGGACACCAACTTTTGCAGAGACGACTCTTGGGATGGAGAAAGACTTCCCAAATCTTCAGGGTGCGGTCAAGACAGGGTAGGCTAGCGCCAGGGGAGCTAGTGGCTAGGCCCCAGGGCAGCTGGGGCCGAGGCCGAGCAAACGGCCAGGGGAGAGGCTCCCAGGAGCCCGATCTGCCGCTGGGCGACGCGAAGCCTGGCGGCTAGAGTCCCGGGCAGCCCGAGCACGGCGGGAAGGCGGCAGCAACAGGATCGGCAGGGATGGCGGGGACGGGGGAGGTCCATGTGCAGGGGCGTGCCGCCGGTGACGCACTTCCGCCCTGCCTGTTCCGGCTTAAAGGGGCCCCAGACAATCCTCGCAATAACAACAAAACCGGCGCGCCAGCGGTGGCGCAACGGCTCTCGTCCCCGCCCTCCTGCTACCTGTAGTCGCCTGGGCCGCCCCCGGCCCAGCCCTGCCTTGCCGCCACCCTGCGCTGTCCAGACTGAGGGGTCAGGCGGAGAGCCGGGCCGCGCCTTCGGTCAGCTTCTCTCCCTTTCACCCGCGCCTCCTCGCGAGACCCGGGGCTGGGCCGTGCCGGTCGCCGCGCAGCAGGAAGGGAGCGGCTGCCACGGAAAACGCCTGGCCGGACGGTGTGGCTGGCGGCCCTGCCTGGGCGCGGAGGGCGGCGGTGGCGGGCCCCGCGGCCTTCTCTCAGGTACCCCAGTGCCCGCTGACCGCCCTGAGCGGCCCAGCTGCTTCCCCGATCCGCACCGCGGGGCCGTGGCGTAGGGGCCTTGTTGCGTTCCAGCTTGGGGGTCGCGGTGGGGCGGGGCAGTGACCCCGGGCCGGCCGTTGTGCCCTCATCCCTCCCACCCTTCCTTCGTATAGCTTCCTTTCTCCTCACGACGGCCTCCACAGTCCGGAGCCCGGCGGAGCCCGGACCTGGCGGGGAGAGCTGCCTCCACGGCCGGGCACCCAGACCCCACCGTCGCAGTCGCCACCACCTCAGTCCATCCTTGGTACCGGCAATGGGCTTCGTATCCTCCAGTGCACTTGTAACTGACTTGGACACGGAATACTAAGAACTCACTTCTGTCCTCATCCCAGTCGCGCCGGCGGTGACCATCTCGGCTCTTTTGGGCTTAACTGCCGCTCCTCTGGACTCTGTCTGACTTTGGGGGCACCATGGACCAAAGTGGGATGGAGATTCCTGTGACCCTCATCATTAAAGCACCGAATCAGAAATACAGTGACCAGACTATTAGCTGCTTCTTGAACTGGACCGTGGGGAAACTAAAAACGCATCTATCTAACGTTTACCCTAGCAAACCAGTAAGTGTGTAAAAGCTGGGGGCAGCTGCTCTGACCAGCAGCTTTTCGTGCCGTGTACCCTCCTTTTTCCTGCTTCTCCCCTCCAGTCTTGAATCAAATAGGTCTCTTTTGGTAGACCGCGAGGTATTTTGAGTTCTGAGGTTGTGTCTCCTGAGTGTTCGAACCATCATTAATATTTTCCTGATGAGGTTCAGTTAATTAGTAAGAGGAAGCAGAAATATCAAGGGACTTAAGAATTGGCAGGCAAAGACCGGGCGCGGTGGCTCACACCTGTAATCCCAGCACTTTGGGAGGCCAAGGCGGGCGGATCACGAGGTCAGGAGTTCGAGACCAGCCTTACCAACATGGTGAAACCCTATGTCTACTGAAAATACAAAAATTAGCTGGGCGTGGTGGCGCATGCTTGTAATCCCAGCTACTCAGGAGGCTGAGGCAGGAGAATCGCTTGAACCCGGGAGGCGGAGGTTGCAGTGAGCCAAGATCGCACCACTGCCCTCCAGCCTGAGTGGCACAGTGAGACTCTGTCTCAAAGAATTGGCAGGCATGGAAAAGGGACTACTTTCTTTGGACTTAAAGTCATCAACCTAATATGCGAGTGAGAGATATATCCTTTCTTAAAAAAAAAAAAGATAAAGCACTACAACCCGTATCAGAGCTTTTATTGCTTATTACACTAAAATTCCATTTTACTTTCAACACTTGGCCCAGAAACTTAAACAGAAATTGAAGATTTTTTTTTCTTAGAAATAAGTATGTGTCCCCTATAAAAATTATACTTTCAAGGTTACTATATATGTTTCAAGGACCAAAGAATTATAAGTTGTAGATTCGTTTTCACCACAACCCCTTTCAACATTTTTCTCCTGTAGAGGATACATGGACATTAGTTTAAAAGAGAACTGCCCTCCACCCCACCACCATTTGGTGCATCCCTCTCATATGGCTTTTCCATTCTGTGTTCCATTCTGAATCATAACTGGATATTGCAGAGATAATAAATAAAATATAGACAGTACAGCTCCATCTGTCCCCAAAGTCAGATTTGAAAGGCCGTGGTTGGTAATCAAGGAGTCTTGGAATAGTTTAGAAAAGAAGTATACCGTCATGTAGAGTACTGTATATGAAAGTGAGGCTTTCGCATTCTCCACTGTATACATTTTTTATTCTTGAATAAGTAGTGTTTAATTACTAAAACTTTTGTTTAATAAAGAGGGTCGGATTTTAGGGTGGGAAATAACTTTTGGCATCAGGTACATTTAAGCATGGATCTGTTGGAAGGCAACTATGCTTTCTACACTTAACACTTGTTTTATGCACCTAAGTTAAGGAAGACACTTGATCTATATTACGATATTAATGAATTATGAGCATTTCAGTGTTGTAGTATTAAGTTTAGTTAGGCTTTTAGACTTGCAGAAGAACCACAGAAATAGGACGGTTATTGCAAAAACAGGAGGTTTAGAAAAACAACTCTTAATCGGCATTAGCTGTGTTTATCAGTACTTTGTGATACAAATATTTTTAGTAGGAGGGAAAAAAAACCCTGAGGAATTTAAGTACTTAAACTAGTTAGAGCCCCTGTTTATTCACATCTTTTGTTTGAAAGTTAAGATTTACACAGGGAGTAAGAATCTGTTTGAAAATACCTTGATTACAAAAGATTTCCTGTTGCATATGATTAGTTTCACACATTTTTGAAGTGGAAAATAGGTTTTTAGGATAGTCAATTGAAAGTCATAGACTTCCATAATACTGTTCATAGCAAATATATGCTCTGGTATGTACGTAGGCGAGATCTTTACATTGTACTATTAAACCAAAAGGGACCTAGTCTGCAGTTTATAGACTTTTTTCTAAAGCTTTTTTAAAAAAAAGTACCTGAGACGGGAGTGGGAAGCCTGTCTGCCTTATCTACCCATGAAGAGGCCTGCTTTTGGCAGGAGGTCTGCCTGTGCAGCACTGATCACTAGTGGAGGATGTCAGTGCCGCTGTGCATTAGTTAGCTGTCTGAGGATGAGATCTGTTACAGAACTCCTTCCCAAACTGCCTGCCTCCTGTAGCCACACTGGAGACACTTTTGGAGGCTAAACCAAATACTATGCAGCCTATTAATGATTAACATGGCAAACCTTTTTTTCTCCTTTGACAAGTTTTCTTTAAGTGAATTGTAATGTCTGACTTTCATTTCTAGGTTGAGTGGGTGGAGCTCTGGAGCGGTGGGGGTATGTGTGTTTATCGTCATAGAATTTCACTGAAAACTTTGTATAGTTACTAGATTTAGTAAGTTTACATTCTTATCACGTGAGAATTGATTTGAAGCATCACAGTTGTTGAGCAGCAGTTTAATGGTATCGCAAAGCCATAGGTAGTCCTCAGCATAGGAGTTGGAGTCCTAAAAGTTTACTTTGTAAGGTCATTATTTAGAATTCAGCACAGTTTGCTATTAAGTAATATTATAAAGGAAGTTTAGGTTTTTCTGACCGCCTGCAATGACTAAACATTGATTCTGTGTTTTAGTTTTCAAGTGCTGTTATGTTTAACAGAGATAATTTCTTGTGCATCTTCCTTGCACATATGCCTACTTTCATTATCAGTGTGTGGACTTAGCAGAGTAGGGCTCCAGTGCTTTGTAGGAACAGGAGTGCCCCAGTAAGTAAAAAGTTGATGGCTCTCATCAACATTGCTCTAATTGGATCTGATGGGTCAGGAGTAGGTGGAGGGACTTTGTTCCTGTGGGCAGTGGCTTCTAGGAAAATAAATTGGTGCTGCTAGAGGGGAAAGAATGGAAATTTGAGATTGTCCTTTTAGGATCCTACAAAGATAGGTCATATGTCTATATGCTGTTAATGGAATTCTGGCTGAACTCTATGAAGTTGTAAAATCTTGGGATCCTAGCTTCATGGTCAGATATTGATTTGACTAATCACAGTCTCCATATGGGTATATTAAATTCACTTCTCCCTCCCCTAGCAAACTTAGAACAAATGTACCCCTCCCCCTCAAAGCACATTTTTTTGGGTCTTCATTTATTTATATAACTAGGATTTTATTGGCCTAGCATTTGAATATTTATGCTAAGTGTGAAGATGATGGTAAGAGTCCTTTGCTTTTGTGAAGCTCAGATCCAGTGACATGTAAGTAAATAAGCGTAATAGTATGTGACTAGTATTATACAGGAGGGATGTTCTGTGTGTTGCATAGGAACACAGGAAGGGAATGATCATCTCTGGAGTAGGGGTTAGGGGAATGTGTAGCTGTTTCAAGAAAAGATTCACGGGGACATTTAAGTTTTCTTAAAGAGTTGATTACAGTTTTAAGCAGACAAGAATCAGACTCTGATAGCTTCCTTTTTTATACCGTTCTTTTTTTTTTTTGAGACGGAGTTTCGCTTTTGTTTCCCAGGCTGGAGTGCAATGGCGCTATCTCGGCTCACTGCAACCTCTGCCTCCCGCCTTCAAGCAATTCTCCTGCCTCAGCCTCCCAAGTCGCTGGGATTACAGGCATGTGACACCACGCCCGGCTAATTTTGTATTTTTAGTAGAGATGGGGTTTTACCATGTTGGTCAGGCTGGTATCAAAGTCCTGACCTCAGGTAATCCACCCACCTCGGCCTCCCGAAGTGTTGGGATTACAGGCATGAGCCACCACTCCCGGCCTTAACTATTCTTTTGGAGTTAATGTTTGCACTGATGACTTTGTTTTATATTAGTATATTACTTAGTAATACAGTATTAGGTAAAAAGATTATAGATCCTTAATGATCTGTGAAGGGAAAGGTGTTTTCTGGTTAGGAATTTAGGCAGTTGCCATATTTGTGAAAATGTTCACAAAGTCATAATTAAAAACCTCGGATGTGGAGTTGAGCTGTTTTGGAGTTAACTTTGAATGATATTGATAATTGGTTTAAGACTTGGTTTAGGAAATGGGAAGTGCACTAGTTTATATTACAGAATATATAGATAATTGTGAGTTGTAATATGACATTTGACATCACTTCATGACTAGTTTTTCAGATCCTGAAATTGGGCTGCACTGTGAAATAATTCTAAAATTTAGGTAATTGCTGTTTGGTGGTGAAGATACTTGGCAAGAAGACCACTTTTACTTGAGTTTCAGACTTTAATCTGAGTTTAGACTTAGTTATTATAGATGTAAATACCAAAACGGTTGATAATAGATGGATCATCCTAGAGAAAAATTTTAAAAATATGAATATCCAAGTCCACTTAGGTACCTTTCTCATTCTCTTACTATATCTGTTCTCATGAACAAGCAGTCACTAAGATGGACCTGACTCACTCTGAATTCAGTTTTGAAGGCAAACCTTTTTGGGGCTTGCATGGCTTGGCTCTCCATTTTTCAGTCTTGGGGTCAAAATACCTCTGATTGTGTCCCTCAGTTCTGGGCAGATTTCCTCTGTCTTTGCTGTTCATACTGTTAAACCAAAGCAGTCATTTTCTTATCTACCTCTCCTGATCAGTTAAGCAGGTTTGTGCTGTTTTTTCAAACTGTTCCTTTACTCTCAGATTCTATTAGAATTAAAGAAGCAAGAATAGAACCAATTGTATATATAGGTTCTGTTGTGAGATTATAACACTCCATAACCAAATTGCCTGCAATCAGAAGTCTTACTTTCATTACAGGTAGAAATAGCTTATATCATTTGAAATTTTATCTCTCTTAGTTTTGTAATTTCCTATTACCTTACTTAGGTCATTTTAAAAAGTCTACTTGTTTAACCATTTTGGAATTGTTGATTTAAAGGGGCTATAATCCATAAACAAAATAATTTTTGTTTTATAAAACTATTGTCTTATAAGATTTTAATACATTTAAGAGGGTTTCATGTCGCCTGGGAATATAGTTCAAGATTTTAAAACCTCTTTTGAACAAAGGGTACTATCGAATGTGAAAGTTGATGAAAAACAGACTAAAAGTTTTGAATGACTGCTCACTAAAATTTTATTGCTTAATGTATTTGTAGCCTTATGTCTTTTTGGAAAATATAATAACATTATTATGAAGGTAATGTTTAATCATTTCTCAATACTTTCCAGATAGAATTTTTGTAGAACTTTTAGCTTAAGTTTCTTTTTTTAACATAATAAATTCTGCTTTGATTGTCTAGAATGCTTTTATTTAACTGCTCTGACTTTGCCATTTACTAAGTGTTTGCCATGTGTACCAGGCATTATAATAAGCATTTGATATGCTTTATCACATATATTCCTCCTAGACTTCTTATGATGTAAGGTTTATAATTAGCTCTACTTTATAGATGAAGAAACCGAGGCTTGGTGATTTTTTTTTTTGCTTAGGTCAGACTCTAAGGAGTGGAATTAGAATTTGAACCCAGGTTGGACTTACTGTACACATCATATGTGATGGTTATGTATAATAAGATGAAGAAAGGCATTTAGGGACTCAGCCATCTCAGTTATATACTTGTAAACTAAAAAGAACCAGTTGAGCTATAAAAAGAGATTTATATGTTTGGCTGGTTTGTTGTCTAAAGGCTGTAGATAAATGGATAACAGCCTTACTATGGTGCTAACACTTAGCTTAATGTGTGGTTATATCTCTTTATTCTGATAAATTATAGGAAAGATTAGATGCATAATATCTTAAGACTGCAGCGCACATATCTTTGTCCTGTCTTCACAGTCTACCAGTTGGTGTGAACCATAGTCATATACTTTGACAGGCTCTATTGAACATCAGAGGTGTACATCACTTGGTGTGTGAATATCATATATCTCTACCCATGAGTGGAAGCAGTTAAGCTGGGAATATCTCTTTGGAGTTCCAGAGAACATTACTCTGTAATATTCTGTAGGTACAGTTTTGCTTACTGTTACTGCAAGGAGATAAGGGGTAGAGGCAGTTTGGGTGACTGTGCCTCTATTTATAGTGTTTCTGAATTTTCAGGGTTTTTAGATTGGATGCTTTTAGTGGGAAATGGGAAGGAGATGTGTTCTAGTACAAATTTACAGAATTCATTTCCCACAGAAATGATATTTTGTGCACTTCCTGGGACCCAGCTCTTTAAAGCTATTTGATATTTGTGACTGAACTATATGTAAGTACTTAATAGTTACTACTTTTAAAGGACTAGATTATAGTTCATTGAACTAACCTGTAAGTTGAAGATTGCCTTTACTGAACTATTAAGATGATAGATATTTTAAAATTTTTAATTAATATTTTTAAATTAGCATATGAAATTTGATTATGCTGAAGTTGGATATACTAGGAACATGATTTTTAAGCCATACATAATTGAAAGACCCATTTAATCCTTGACATAAAAAATTTAATCATTTGATACTAACTAGGTGACTTTCTTGAAATATAAAAGTATTGTTGGCTTTAAACCCATTTATCAGACTCCAGGAGATATTTTAAATGTGTTAAGGATGTATGATATTTGATCTGTTTCTGATATTTGGTTAAACATTAAAGGGTCAGACACTTTCAATAATGGCATATACATAAACCTTTTAGAAACAACAAAAAAGTCCAGGTTAGGACTTATTTTAACCTGTTATACCAGCAAGTGAGCTTTCCTCACCTTGGTTTTTAGCAATGTCTGTTAAGTGGGTAGCAGAGGTTTTCTCGGCCAGCTAGTTAAGCAGCTGTTTATTTGAAGTGGGATATTTCTGTTTCTGGGCCACTCAGAGTACATCAGGATGTTTCCAACTTGTTCTTTGTCTTATTATTTGGCTGATTCTGCACTGCCATCTGTGACCAGGCTTCATTTAGGGTGAAGTATTGGTGGTGAAAGTAGTGAACCTGATAGAATTTGCTGACTATTGGATGTAGGGGTGAGTACCAGGAAGAATAGTGGTGGTGGTAATGGAGAGGCCAATTATATTTATATGTTACTCTGTGGAGCCAGTATCTTATCATTAGAATCTTTAAATTGACAATTTAACTAGTACGTTTAGATTTGTGAACCCTGAGTCTTCTGAATTCTTATATTAGAAGGGTACCATGCAATGTTTTTTAAATTGAGAAACGAATGAACTTTTATTGTGTTAAGCTACTGAGATCTTGGGATTTGTTATAGCAACTATCATTACCCTAACTAATATAGAAATGGGTTTGTTTTGGTTTGCTTTTTTGAGACAGAGTCTCGCACTGTCGTCTGGGCTGGAGTGCAGTGGCGTGATCTCAGCTCACTGCAACCTCTGCCTCCTGGGTTCAAGTGATTGTCCTGCCTCAGCCTCCTCAGTAGCTGGGATTACAGGCGCCTGCCCACCTAATTTTTCTGTATTTTCAGTAGAGACGGGGTTTCACCATGTTAGCCAGGCTGGTCTCGAACTCCTGACCTCGTGACTCGCGCCCCCCCCCACCCCCCCACCCCCCCCCCCCCAGCCTCCCAAAGTGCTGGAATTACAGGCGTGAGCCACCACCCCTGGCCTGGAAATGGGTTTGGTTTTTTTTTTTTTTTTTTTTTTTTTTTGAGACGGAGTGTCGTTCTGTCGCCCAGGCTGGAGTGCAGTGGCGGGATCTCGGCTCACTGCAAGCTCCGCCTCCCGGGTTCACGCCATTCTCCTGCCTCAGCCTCCCAAGTAGCTGGGACTACAGGCGCCCGCCACTACGCCCGGCTAATTTTTTGTATTTTTAGTAGAGACGGGGTTTCACCGTTTTAGCCGGGTGGAAATGGGTTTTTAATCAAGCTAAAAGATAATGTTAGGCCGGGCGCTGCGCTGACGCCTGTAATCCCAGCACTTTGGGAGGCCGAGGTGGGCGGATCATGAGATCAGGAGATCGAGACCATGCTGGCTAACACGGTGAAACCCCGTCTCTACTAAAAATATAAAAAATTAGCCGGGCGTGGTGGCAGGCACCTGTAGTCCCAGCTACTTGGGACGTGACGCAGGAGAATGGCATGAACCTGGGAGGCAGAGTTTGTAGTGAGCTGAGATCGCGCCACTGCACTCCAGCCTGGGCGACAGAGTAAGACTCTGTCTCAAAAAAAAAAGAAAAGAAAAAGAAAAAGGTAATGATATTAGCAGGGCTGGATAAATAACATTATATTACTTTTTACAAGTCAAATTGAGTTGAGATCTCAAAGTCTCTGCTTTTCCTAATGCTGTAGCTTACAATACCAAAATAACTAGTTGAAAATTCAGTTGATTATTGTCATTTGTTATTAGGTCTAACACATGATTTTCCTGATATTTAAGTTATTTATTTATTTATTTATTTATTTATTTAGAGACAGGGTCTCGCTCTGTTGTCCAGGCTGGAGTGCAGTGGCACAACCCTGGCTCACCGCAACCTCCGCCTCCCAGGTTCAAGCGATTCTCCAGCCTCAGCCTTCCACACCTGCCACCACACCTGCTGCTGCCACGTATTTTTAGTAGAGATGAGGTTTCCACCATGTTGGCCAGACTGGTCTGGAACTCCTGACCTCAAGTGATCCTCCCAGCTGGGCCTCCCAAAGTGCTGGGATTACAGGCGTGAACCACTGCACCCAGCCCTGATATTTAAATTAAATTCATTGATATTTAAACTGAAGAGGCAGTTTTTTAATGGCATAAAAAATTTCCGGCCAGGCACAGTGGCTCATGCCTGTAATCTCAGCACTTTGGGAGGCTGAAATGGGCAGATCACCTGAGGTCAGGAGTTCGAGACCAGCCTGGTCAACATGGAGAAACCCTGTCTCTACTAAAAATACAAAAAAATTAGCTGGGCATAGTGGCACGCGCCTGTAATCCCAGCTACTCGGGAGGCTGAGGCACGAGAATTGCTTAAGCCTGGGAGGCGGAGGTTGCTGGGAGCTGAGCTCATGCCACTGTACTCCAGCCTGGGTGACAGAGCAAGACTCTATCTCCAAAAAAAAAAAAAAACAAAAAAAATTCCAAGTGTTACTTTTTACCTAGTTTAGGCACATGAAAAAATTAATAATGTTTCTGTTTTCTTTTCTGTTTTTTTTTTTTGAGACAGTCTCTCCCTCTGTTGCCAGGTTGGAGGACAGTGGCACGACCTTGGCTCACCTCTCTGCCTCTTGGGCTAAAGTGATCCTCCTACCCCAGCCTACTAAGTAGCTGGGACTACAGGCATGCACCACCATGCCCAGCTAACTTTAGTATATTTTGTAGAGACAGGGTCTCACTATGTTGCCCAGGCTGGTCTGGAACTCCTGGGCTCTAGCGATTCATCTGTTTTGGCCTCCCAAAGTGCTGGGATTACAGGTGTGAGAAACCATGCCTGGCCAGTTTTTCTGTTTTCAATTACTGTAAAAATATAGAATACTTTTCCTTTTATTTTATTTTTTATTTCCATAGGTTATTGGGTAACAGGTGGTGTTTGGTTACATGAGTAAGTTCTTTAGTGGTGATTTATGATATTCTGGTGTACCCATCACCCGGGCAGTATACACTGCACCCTGTTTGTGGTCTTTTATCCCTCACCCCCTTCTCACCCTTTCCCGCTGAGTCCCAAAGTCCATCGTGTCATTCTTATGCCTTTGTATCCTCATAGCTTTAACTCCCATTTATGAGTGAGAACATACAATGTTTGGTTTTCCATTTCTGAGTACTTCACTTAGAATAATAGTCTCCAGTCTCATCCAGGTTGCTGCAAATGCCATTAATTCGTTCTTTTTTAGGGCTGAGTAGTAGTCCGTCACATATGTATATATATATATATATCTGTCTCTCACAGTTTCTTTATCCATTTGTTGATTGATGGGCATTTGGGTTGGTTCCACGTTTTTGCAGTTGCAGATTGTGCTGCTATAAATATTTGTGCAAGTATCTTTTTTTTTTTTCTTTTTCTTTTTTGAGGTGGAGTCTTGCTCCATCACCCAGGCTGGAGTGCAGTGGTGCGATCTCGGCCCACTGGAAGCTCCGCCTCCCGGGTTCACGCCATTCTCCTGCCTCAGCCTCCCGAGTAGCTGGGACTGCAGGTTCCCGCCACCATGCCTGGCTAATTTTGTTTTTGTATTTTTAGTAGAGACAGGGTTTCACCGTGTTAGCCAGGGTGGTGTTGATCTCCTGACCTCATGATCCACCCGCCTCGGCCTCCCAAAGTGCTGGGATTACAGGCATGAGGCACCGTGTCTGGCCACAAATATCTTTTTTGTATAATGACTTCTTTTCCTCTGGGTAGATACCCAATAGTGGGATTGCTGGATCAAATGGTAGTTCTACTTTTAGTTCTTTAAGGAATCTCCACACTGTTTTCCATAACGGTTGTACTAGTTTATATTCCCACCAGCATTGTACAAGTGTTCCCTGTTCACCGCTGCCACGCCAACATCTATTATTTTTTGATTTTTTTGATTATGGCCATTCCTGCAGCAGTAAGGTGGTATTGCATTGTAGTTTTGATTTGCATTTCCCTGATCATTAGTAATGTTGAGCATCTTTTCATATGTTTGTTGGCCATTTGTATATCTTCTTTTGAGAATTGTCATGTCCTTAGCCCACTTTTTGATGGGATTTTTTTTTCTTGTTGATTTGTTTGAGTTCATTGTAGATACCGGATATTAGTCCTTTGTTAGATGATTAGATTATGAAGGTTTGTCCCACTCTGTGGGTTGTCTACTCTGCTGACTATTCCTTTTGCTATGCAGAAGTTCTTTAGTTTAATTAAGTCCCAGCAATTTATCTTTGCTTTTATTGCATTTGCTTTTGGGTTCTTGGTCATGAAATCCTTGCCTAAGGCAGTGTCTAGAAGGGCTTTTCCAATATTATCATCTATAATTTTTATAGCTTCAGGTCTTAGATTTAAGTCCTTAATCCATCTTGAGTTGATTTTTGTATAAGGTGAAATATGAGGATCCAGTTTCATTCTTCTACATGTGACTAGCCAATTATCCCATCACAATTTGTGGAAAAGGGTGTCCTTTCCCCAATTCTTGTTTTTGTTTGCTTTGTCAAAGATCAGTTGGCTGTAAGTATTTGGGTTTATTTTTGTGTTCTCTAGTCCTTCCATTGGTCTATGTGCCTGTTTTTGTATCAGTACCATGTTGTTTTGGTGACTATGGCCTTGTAGTATAGTTTGAAACCAGGTAATGTGATGCCTCCAGATTTGTTCTTTTTGCTTAGTCTTGCTTTGGCTATGTGGGCTCTTCTTTGGTTCCATATGAATTTTAGAATTTTTTTTTCTACATCTGTGAAGAATGATGGTGGTATTTTGATGGGAATTGCGTTGAATTTGTAGATTGCTTTTGGCAGTAGGGTCATTTTTACAATATTGATTCTACTCATCCATGAGCATGGGGTGTGTTTCTGTTTGTTTGTGTTGTCTATGATTTCTTTCACCAGTGTTTTGTTGTTTTTCCTTGTAGAGGTCTTTTGCCTCCTTGGTTAGGTATATTCCTAAGTATTTTTTTTTTTTTTTGCAGCTGTTGTAAAAGGGGTTGAGTTCTCGTTTTGATTCTCCGCTTGGTTGCTGTTGGTATATAAAAGTGCTACTGATTTGTGTACATTAATTTTGTATCTGGAAATTTTGCTGAATTCTTTTATTAGTTCTAGGAACTTTCTTTCTGGAGGAGTCTTTGGATTTTCTAGGTAAACGATCATATAATTGTCAAACAGCGACAGTTCGACTTCCTCTTTACCGATTTGGATGCCCTTTATTTCTTTCTCTTGTCTGATTGGTCTGGCTAGGATTTAGAGTACTATGTTGGAAAGGAGTGGTGAGAGTGGACATCCTTGTCTTGTTCCAGTTCTCAGAGGGAATGTTTTCAACTTTTCCCCATTCAGTATTATGTTGGCTGTGGGTTTGTCATGGATGGCTTTTATTATATTGAGGTATGTCCCTTGTATGCCGATTAAGTATATATATATATATATATATATATATATACACACACACACACACACACACACACACACACGTGTGTATGTGTATATATCTATATATACACACACACACGTGTGTATGTGTATATATCTATATATACACACACACACGTGTGTATGTGTATATATCTATATATACACACACACACACAAAAATTAGCCAGGCGTGATAACGCATGCCTGTAGTCCCAGCTACTCAGGAGGCTGGGGTGGGAGGATCACTTGAGCCTCAGGAGGCAGAGGTTGCAGTGAGCTGATACCATGCCACTGTACTCCAGCCTGGGTGACAAAAAACCAAAAACTTCAGATTATTTGAAGGCATTTGGATATTCAATTGAAAGTAACAGTTTTTCTTAATGCAGGTATAATTCACATACTGTAAAATTTGCCCTTTAAAGTATATGACCCAGTGGTTTTTAGTACTTCACAAAGTTGTGCTGTCATAATCACTGCCTAATTCTAGAATATTTTCATCACCCCAGAAACTCCATACCTATTGGCAGTCACTCCCCATTCTTTTTTCTTCCAGTGTGCTAATCTACTTTCTGTTTCTTTTTTTTTCTACTTTCTGTTTCTATGGATTTGCATAGTCTAGACATTTCATATAAAAAGAATCATATGGATTTTTGTGCCTCCTATCTTTAACTTAGCATAATGTTTACAAGGCTCATCTACATTATAGCATGTGTCAGTATTTCATTCCTTTTTGTGGCTGAATAATATTCCGTGTGTGCATATATTTATATACACCATATTTTGTTTACCCATTTGTCAGCTGATAGACATTTGGGTTGTTTCTACTTTTTTTTGACTATTAAGAATAATTATGCTATGAACATTCTTGTACAAGTTTTTATGTGCACATATGTTTTCCATCATTTTTGGTATGTACCTAGCAATGGAACTGGGTATATATTGTGTCATAGGGTAACTGTATGTTTAACTTTCTGAGACACTGCCAGACTTTTTTTCACAGTGGCTGAACCCATTTACATTCCTACCAGCAATGTAGGAAGGGTCTAGTTTCTCTACATCCTTGCCCATACTTGTTTTTGCTTTATGTATTTTGGGGGCTACTATGTAATTTTGTTACATTTGTATGTTCTACATTTCTGAAAATTGATGTGACCTTGCTGTGGAAAGATAAAATCATTTATTCAAAGTTGACTATTAATTTAAAGAAAAAATACTAAAATACTAATATATGATTGCTTCTTTATCATAATTTGCTAATATCAGTATCATTTGTAGAAGTGAATCAGATAAATTTAGCACCAGCAAGTGTTTTAATGTTGTGATTCATAGACTGAATATTTCATTTCTGTTTTTCACGATTACATGTAAAATAACTAATTTAACAAACTTCAAATTAGGTGGTTTCTCCAAGTCTGTGTAAGCAGTTTTGGACTCATAACACCTCATTTAGCAGATCTACACTTAGCATATACTCTGTGAGGCACAGTAGTGGGCTGTGGGAACACAGTGACAAGCAAGATGGCTACGGACCCTTTGTTCTTGGCACTTTTATTTAAGAGAAAAAAACACATGTTGACATAATTACAGGTTGTGGTTTGTGTTACAAAGGATATAAACAGGATGTGTGAGAGGGAATACTCTACTGTAGATTTGTAAGTCAAGGAAGACCTCACTGAGGGGATGATTTTAAAACTGAAATCTAAAAGGTGATTAAGAGTCAGGTATGCAAGAGCTGGGGGAGAATACAGCAGGCAGGGTGTCTGAATTGAGAGAGCTTGGGAGCTAAGTGAATGTCAGTTTGGCTAGTGAGTAAGGAGGAAAGAATACTGTCGGGGAGTTTGGAGAGAGACAGAAGCCAGATCTGGCCATGGAAAGGAATTTGAATTAAATCCATTGTAGTGGGAATCCATCAGAGAGTGACAGGATTGATCTAAGTTTGTTTTGTTTGTTTTGTTGTTTTTGTTTTTTGGTTTTTTGAGACAGGGTCTTCCTCTGTCACCCAGGCTAGAGTGCAGTGGGAGTGATCATAGCTCACTGCAGCCTCGAACTCCTGGGCTCAAGTGATCCTCTCACCTCAGCCTCCCAAGCAGCTGGAACTACAAGCATGCCCTACCACACCTGGCTACATTTAAAAAAAATTTTGAGGAGATGGAGTCTTGCTATGTTGCCCAGGCTGGTCTTGAACTCCTGGGCTCAAGCAGTCCTTCTGCCTCAGCCTCCCAAAGTGCTGGGATTACAGGTATGAACCACCATGCCTGGCTGATTTAAGTTTTTAAAAGATCACTGGAGCTGCTGACTGTAGAATGGAAGCAAGAAAACCAATTAAAAGACTATTGCAGATGCCCAGGCAGGAGACGATGGTTTAGATTAGGGTAATGGCAGTGTAGGTAGAAAGAAGTAGACTGATCTGAGAGGAACTTTTGGAGATAGAGTCTATAGGATTTGACAATGGTTAGATATGGGAGGCAAGGCAAAAGAAAGAAAAGTTGAGGATGATGCCCAGGTTTTTGGCTTAAACAACTGGTCACAGGTTGTTATGGGATAGGGAAGAAGTAAGAGGAAGGATTTAGGGAATTGGGAATTGAAATGCATTGTAGAATTTGAGTTGCCTATTAAAATATATGAAGATGTCAAATCTCATAGCAGTTGGGTATATGAATCTGGGTCTGAGAGGGTGAGGCCTTGGACAGAGAGACAAATTTGCAACTTGTCTGAAGAACCCTAATGTTTAGAATTGGATGGGAAATTTAGCAGACTCTGGCAGGGCAAAAACCAGTGATATGAATGAAATGTACACAGGCCTACTAATGGTTTTTCTAAACCTTGATTCCTCTTCCAGAGAAGCAAATGATAAAGGCTGCGGTGTCTGTCTTTCTCCTTTCAAAAGTCAGAAACTTTTGCTGGGTGCTATTGCATCTTTTCCTCCTACTGCTGACAGACTTGCTTAGCTATTGCCTAACTGTTCTGTTTAGTAGGTGTAGGTGGTTTTAAAAAAGAAGGACTTGGAGATAAGGGATTACCAGTCTCTTTCTGGGATACTAGTCATACTACTTCAGTTAGCTGTATTTTGGGTTAAATACAATATGTGCTAGCTTTTAAATTTAATAATTATTTGTATGCGTGGGACCCATAGTTCTGGGACTAGGAATTCTCAAAATCTTCTGAGTTTTTTTCTGGATAAAAAATTAATATTATCAATAATCTGGATAATCACTTTATAGCCATCATGAGATTTCAGTACCTCTATTTTTAACTAAATGATCTTCCTAAATTTATTTAACTTGTATTGCATTGCAAAGTTTTCCAAGCTTTGGCTTTTGAAGTCTCTGACTGAAAGTGACCTATTGTTTCCGTGAAAAATTTGTTTTAAACCTGTCTACTAACAAATTATGGGAGTAAACATTTTAAGTAGGATTGCCAGTGTACTCCATTTATATGTATTTTGATCAGTAGTCCCAAATACTGAGTTTTCCAGCATATTTTTTCCCTATCTTGCTTAGAAGTGATGCTTGTGATAAAATATCTGACAAATTCCATTACTTTTACAGTTTAATAGGAAAATGGAGATTACCCATGTAGAAAGCAGATAATATATTAACATCTAGAAGTAGTTGGTAAATACTACATTCTTTAACCAAAAATAAAAAAACATAAGTTAGATAACTTATGTTTTGGATATGGACTTCTTTGACTAACATCAAAGTATTTTTTCTCGTAGAGAAGGCAAAATTAATTAAAAGATTTCCTTTTGTGATTTATAAATGTCATTTTAAACTGAGACTTTAGGCTGGGCGTGGTGGCTCGCGCCTGTAATCCCAGCGCTTTAGGGGGCTGAGGCGGGCGGATCACTTGAGGCCAGGAGTTTGAGACCAGCCTGGCCAACATGGTGAAATCCCATCTCTACTAAATATACAAAAATTAGCAGGGTGTGGTGGTGCACGACTGTAATCCCAGCTACTCCGAAGGCTGAGGCAGGAGAATTGTTTGAACCTGGGAGTTAGAGGTTGCAGTGAGCCAAGATCGTGCCACTGCACTCCAGCCTGGGTGACAGAGTGACACTCTGTCTCAAAACAAAAAAAAAGCAACAACAAAAAAACTGAGACTTGAAAGTTCTAATGTGAATTGGAACTTTGTTTTTTTTTTTTTAATAATGTGAAGTGACAGTCATTGCAACTTTAACCCAACCTGTTTTAGCAGCATCCAAATCATGTTCTTATGCATAATGAACATACACAGCCTGCTGTTAGTCATTCAACTTTTCTGTACTTTTCCATAATCTCATTAGAGCCTCATGAAACTGCATGATGTGGGAGGAGCAGGTACTAGAAATTTGCACCTGATGTTAACTGAATACTCAGTAGGCTTTGTGTTCTGTTCTAGTTTATGTGCATTTCCGTTGTTATGAAAATTAAGCCATGTGAGATACAATCTATTATCGCTCTTAACTTACAGATAAGGAAACTGAGGCACAGAGTGCTGGTGATGGGATCTTGTATAAGTTTCTTAGCATCTCTTTAGCTACATCTGTCATATTGTTCTGTAAGTCCAACTCCTCTACACAAGACCCCCATCCCTTATTAGCTGCTGAAGGACATTGCTCTTGAAATTGTTTTTCTCTCTTGCATCATCAGTTTTTTCCTTTCTACTGAATTACTTCTGTTGGCATATAAACACATTATTTCTCTCTTGAAGAAAACAAAAGCACAAAAGAATAAAACAAACCAAAAGGAAGACCCTCTCTTGATCCCATTTCCGTTCTAGCTATTGTCCTATTTCTTCCTTTAAGTGCAAAACTGTTTATAAGTTGTATATATTTGCTATCTCTACGTGTCTCTCCTTTTCTCTTGAATCAATTCCAATTAGGTTTTTACCCTGCTACACCATCAAGATTACCTTTATCAATGTCATTAATGATCTCCTTATTGCAGGATGCTATGGGGAAATATAGAGATAAATAGAATAATATGAAGGGAGGACACTATACGTAATAATGAAAGCCTAGAAACGCTCAAATATCCATTAACAAACTATAGTACTTTCATATAATGGAGGATTGTGCATTTGTTAAAAAGAATGGGGAAAATATTTTTATGCTGCTAAGCAGTAATCTCCCTGGTTTATTAAGTGAGAAAACAAGATGCAATAGAGTAAGTATACTGTACTACTTTTTATGTAAGAAAAGGAGGAAAATAGGAGTATGTGTGTATTCAGCTTTGTTATGTTGTTAAGCATTGTAAGGGCAATCCAAAATCATAGAGGGGACAAGGACAGAACTAAAGCCTCTTTGAATGCACCTTGTTTATAGTTTTTACCTTATTGCCATTTTTTGTTAGATATAATTATAAAAAAATAGAGAAATCTCTAAATGAAAACAAGAATTTAAAAATGTCAGGATGATGACACAGTTACAAGAATTATTATTTCAAGTAACTTTGAAACACTGTATTTTGACTAGTGACCTATATCCTAAGGACAGAGAAGATCAATGAGAAATCTTAAACTTTGTTCAATATTGTTAGTAACAATCTTGTTATTGTTAATTTGAGATTACATGTAGTAGGATAAAACAAATTAGTACATTTGCTAATGGCAGGTATTTATTAGTGTCATTAGCAAGAAAGATTTTCAGGGTGAGAGAAGATACAAATAAAATGAGTGAATACTATTTAATTGGAAATGTCACAGTGAACTCAGGATTTAAGTTTCTCTTTATAAAAATACATATTTTCTAGCTCTGCTTACTGAAGAAGTAATGACAAGTAAAAATCAGTACTCCTAGCTCCCAGATTTTGGTCTTTAGATACCATTTCCCATTAAAATGAATCATGGATCCTGGAGCAATGGCTGATTCTAGGTCTGGGGCATGAAATGTGTAAGATGAACTTCTGGGGCATTTTGTGCCTGAGAGCAAGGAAGCTACTATTAGAGACAGAGGTCATGTTAAAGTGATGCAGGAGCCACCTTGTAGGGACTCCTACTGGTCAAAAATGTGCAATTTGAGGTTCCCCTTGTCAAAAGTCCTCTTGTCATACAAAAAGGAATTGGAATTTGATCAGCCCTCTAGATCTAACTACATTGTATAGGAACTACAGGAATATGCTGAGCAATACCAGGAAGATACAGTTTGCCTAATCAGACTGGAAAGTTCTACGAGACAATTTCTTCAACACATAAATAGCCTGGGAAAAATTTTTTAAAAATAGAAACTGTTAAAAGATTAAAAGAGGCATAACAGTCAAATTTTGTGTGTGAACCTTATTTGGATTCTGATTCAAATCATCTTTAAAAAGCATTTTTGGGCAAGTGGGAAGAGTTGAGCTGCATTGGATATTACATATTAAGGAATTATTTGTTGAATGTGGTAACATTATGGTTATTATAAAACTTACTAAATTTGTACAGGTGAAGAGAAATGATGTGTAATATTGCTTTAAAATACAGTACTCAGCTGGGTACAGTGGCATATATCTGGAGTCCCAGCTACTCCAGAGGCTGAGGCGGGAGGATTACTTGAGCCCAGGAGTTCGGGGCTGCAGTGTGTACCATGATCGCACCTGTGAATAGCCACTGCACTTCAGCCTGGAAAACAGAGTGAGACCCCGTCTCTACATTTTTTTAAAAAAAAGATTAAAATACAGTATTCTCTTTGAAGAAAAGAAATGAGGGATGGATGAGACAAGAATAGCAAAATTTGGTAATTGTTGAAGCTGGGTACTTGAGAGTTCTTGAAGATGGTACCTGGGGGTTCATTTTATTCCCTCCACTGTATGTATGTTTGATAATTTTTATAAAGGAAAAAAATTCACAAAAAGAGACTGATGTCCTTTATGCAGAGTGATGATATGACGTAAAAGTATCTATTTATTAAATGTTTGGTCTGGTAAAAAAGTGATAGTTTATGATGACTGTAATACAAGAAACTTCTTTAGGTTCAAATTGTAATAAGTACATTATAGAGATTTATAAAGCATTGGATAATTCATTTTGGGCAGGAATTAAATCATTGATTATATATTTAGCATTCAACTTATGGTCATATAGTTTGCCATTCAGTGCCTATATGGATATAGGAAAAAACTAACTGAGTTTCTCCTACTATGCTCTCACAACACGCAATACAGAATGCTTCTGTAATGTCTGGTCCCCAAAATGTGTGGGGATTTCTCTCCAACAACAAGGAGTTCTGCAGATAATTCTCCAGAGGACATCAGCTGAATGTCCTTTAATTCAGTGTACTTCTGACACTATCTACCTGGGGATAGATTCCACAGGTTGAGGGCTCAATCCCACAAGACTGCCCCCCTTCATATGTGGTCCCAAGCACAGGTTGTGGTCTGTGTTTTTGACCAACTGGTTATAAATTGGGGTTCCCGTGACCCCCTCCTGGGGTTCAATTAATTTGTTAGTGCAGCTCACAGAACTCAAGGAAACATGTTACTTACATTTGCTCACTTACAAAGGATATTATTACAAAGGATACAAATGGAAGAGAGATGCATAGGACGAGTTCTTGGAGAAAGGGCTCAGAGCTTCCATGCCCTTTCTGGGCCCATCCACTCTTGAGGAACTTCGACTCATTCTACTGTGCTGGAGCTCTCAGAACTCAGTCCTTTTGGGTTTTATGGAAGCTTCGTTAGGTAGGCGTGATTGATTAAATCATTGGTCATTGGTTTGTCAACTCAACCTTAAGCCACTCTCCCTCTCTGGAGGTTGGGGGTGGGGGTGGGACTGAAAGTTGCAACCTTCTAATCACTTTGTTGGTTCCCCTGTTAAATTGTAGGGTCCCCCAGCCACCAGTTGTCTTATTAGCACACTAAAGATACTCATCTTTCTGAAGATTCCAAGGATTTTAGGAGCTGTTCGGCAGGAAACAGCATGAAAACCAAATACATTTTATACATTTTACGATACCACAGTGCTCCTCTCTCTCTCTCTCTCTCTCTCTCTCTCTCTCTCTCTCTCTCTCTCTCTCTCTCTCTCTATATATATATATATATATATATATAGGTTGTAAGACTTATGATTTTAAAACCTGTGCACTGTATTTGATTGTTTATATATAGGAGTTTGTACATGTGCATTTGAGGAATGGCACACTCCAAAATGCTTCCAGGAGAAACTGGAATATGTGTAATGGTTAAGTATCTTGGAAGGATAGCTATACCTTTGGTGTGTAAGGATGCCTGAACCACAGATCTTAGTATGATAATTTCTATTATGGCTAATTTTAATATAAGAAGACCCTTTTGTAGTAGCCATGTTGAATACATAGTCTTAAAAATTGTTATAGTTGTGACTTGGATTTGGCATATTTAACAATTACTGATATAGCTAGTATTTGTTTTGATAAAATTCAAAGAACATTCACCTGTTTTGCAGTTATGAAGTAGGCCTTATGTGGAGTATATACAGACGCTTTAATTTTACGTAATTTCATATTCTGGTTGCGTATAGAGATGGCAACTGACTCTCCATGCACTTGTGTTGATTTTTCTTTAGTCTTGTGTTTTTGAAAAACTTAACAAAGGTATTTGTGATAGTGGCAGGAATAATAATTAGAATAGTAAGTAAATTTATAACTAAATCTAAATGGCTCTTGAATTAAAACCAATAAATTGTTCTGCACAATATTAGTAAGGAAGAAAGTAAGTCTTGTATATTATCTTAGATGAAAAATTGACAAAATAAGGCAAAATGATTCTGGTGACATCGAAATTTTATCCTACTGTTGACGATTAATATAAGGCCAACCACTTTCTCATTTATATAGTCTTGAAGATTTTTTAATGATAGTCATATATGCATTGCATTACAGTTGAAAAGACAGACTTCCAATTTATCTACCTGTTCCCCCTCCTCAGGTTTTTAAATGTATTAATTATCTGTACTTTATTATAGCTACAATAGATACACTACCATTTGCTGAACTCTTAAATGTTTTTTTCTTAAGTAGAATTTGGAAAAACAAAAATTCTTAAATTGTGTCAGTTTTCTGCTTACTTGTGCCTAAAGGGAGTTTTATTTTACCCATAATTAGGCATGTTATTCCCAACCTTCAATTTGCATAATTAGAAAAGTTGAATTCTTTTCTTTGTCCCATTTCTTAGTTGACGAAGGATCAGAGATTGGTGTATTCGGGCAGACTGCTTCCCGATCATCTGCAGCTGAAAGACATTCTCAGAAAAGTAAGCTTTTCTACCACTATTTGATACCAGATACATTCAGAATGTGAGAGGAGATATGTTCTGAAATTTTATTCAACCAGTTCAGTTTTTAGATACTTAAAATCAATCCCTTTGCGTGGTGTAACAAGTAAAGATAAATTAGAAAGTAACATGATAGTTTCTTATTAGTTTAGGTAACAGTTCTGTATATCCATCTGATAGTTAAATCTGAAGTACGATTATGTATTCATGTTCAGGTGTTTGTCATTTTTTGTAAGAAAATGCTATTGACGTCAGTAGTGTAGAAGTAGAATGTTCAGTAGTGGTGACGGATTTTCATTGATAACAGTCTTTCCTCTTAATCTCCTTTTTGCCAGCTGCATGATATTTTTATACAAATTGCTTGAGTTGGGAGTTTAATTTCAGGAGGAAATTAACTGGTCCATCAGTTAGCAAACTTTGTGGGTGCTGAGAGCTAAGATATATTTCAATACATTTTTATATTTCAATATTTTCAATAAAATCAACTTGAAGGCTAGTTATTTTAGTGGTAGCTTTTAGCTTATGTTCATTTGTGGAATTTATACTTATAGAGCTTTTCAGCATTTGAAATGTTGCTTTTTGTTGGTGGGTATAGCAGAATTGAATTTCTTCTTTGTTTTGCCTTAGATCTTTGACTTAACTCTAACTGTTGTTGTGGATATTCCTTATCTAATTTAGAAGATCTGTATCTTCTCCTGTATGTTTATGATCACCTATGGGAAACTTTAAAAAAATATATTAGTATATTCCTTCTGCTTAGACAGTTGACATTTTAGCTTTGCCAATGTGACTTCTTGCTGTTATTGGCAATATGTAGTTTCAAATTGCTAACATGGTGTAATACCCACTCCCTCAAAAATAGTGGAATTTGCAGCAGGTTTTTTTTTCTTTCTTTCCTCTTTTTTTTTTTTAAACAATTTTTTAGAGCTGTTTTAGGTTTATAGCAAAATTGAACAGAAAGTACAGCAATTTCTCTTACATTCTCTGACCCCACATAGGCACAGCCTGCCCCACTATCAGCATCCCACACCAAAGTAGTACATTTGTTACAATCAGTGAGCTTACATTGACATACATTATCACCCAAAGTCAGTAGTTTATGTTAGGGTTCACTCTTGGTGTTGCACTTTCTATGAGTTTTGGCAAATATATAATGACATGTCTCCACCAGTATAGTATCACTTAGAATAGCCCTAAAAACCTCTGTATTCTGGCTGTTCTTTTTTTTTCTCTTGTTTTTATGCTGGTGCTCAGAAATAAAATATATTTCGGTATAGTCCTTTCTGCCATCTGCTCTTTGAAATATAGATATATTAATTATTTTATGCCAAGGATAGCTTAAATCTACACATGAAGACTTTTAAAAAGATTTTTGCTGCCAGGAATGGTTTCAGGCCAAACAACTTAAAATAAAAACTGCTTCAGTCAAAGAACTCTTGTGCCCCTATATAAAACATTTTGAGTAATACATTTATGTTTTGAATAGTTCTTTCAACTGTTTTTATTAAAGTCAATGTACCCCTTTACTTTTTTCAGTTAAATACTGCCATTAGCTTTACCTATTTAGTCACAAAATGTTTTATAGAAACATTCCCAAGATAAATAAATTCTGTGAATTAATTGTGATTAATAATGACCTTTTGGAACTAGGTTTCTAAGGATCAACATCTTATACTTGTATGCTTGTTAATATTCTGTATTAAGAAGCTAAGGGAGACGTTGAAAATTAGGAGTGTCTTCAACCTCCTTTGCCAGGCGTACCTTCTGTCATGCTGTCTCTGAAGCCTTTCTTTAGCATTCTAACCCTTAGTAACTCCTTCCTCCAAACTCCTAAAGCAATTAAGGTTGGGCTTCTCAGTTTCATGAAAAAAAGACTGTTCTCTGTGTTTCTCTAATTGTGCTGTAGTGCACTAGTCTACCCTCTTAACAATATCATGAGCCTCTTTAAGGAAGGGCCTGTTGTACCCTTTCTTGGATTTGTCTCCAAATTAAGCACAATTATAGGTTCATGGTAGGCAAGTGATACATTCATAGTTTCTAGTAGCTTTGTTTCCCTTTCTCCCCATTTGGTTATCTTTCTTTCTGCTCCTTTTTCTTTGTCATTCTGTTCTTTTCTTTTTAAAAAACTAGCTGACTCATCCTTCATTGTTCTCTGTCCTCCTTTATTCCTTCTTTCCTTTCCCCATCTTATTTGCTGGCTTTATGTCTAAGTATAAATAAATATGCTTATGATCTCACTAAGCTAAAATGCCAACCCTAATCGTTATTTGGAATATTTTTCTTCAGTCATATTTCTAGGTTTATGGAAAAACATGGGATATTTACAGAATATAGTTTAAATGTATGCTTTATATCTGCGTATAGGTGTTATAGATAAAAATAGTTTTTGACTGAAAAAAAGAGTAAAAAAAATCACCTTGCTAAAATTAAGGCAAATGTGATTATGATGAAGTTATTTGAGTTTATTTTATAGTTGCTAAGCCTCAAGTGATGGAAATATGTAAACTGTAAAAAGTTTAAGGTGCTAGATGTTTTCATGCTGAAATTATAGATTGTGCTGTTACAACTTTCACAACATTGTTTGCTTTAAGACTGCTTCGTATGCAAAATAATTTTTTAACCCAGCAATTGCAGAGTATTTAGATCATTTTCCAAGTATGGAGAAAATATTGAATTCAAAAGGATCACAAATAAAATGACAAATTTACCTTCAAATGATAACAATTTATCAGTAATTAAATGGCTAGGCTCGAAAGGGACCTAAGTTTTAGGTATTTCAGTTTAGCTACTGACTTTTTGAACTGTACATTTTGTAGTACTACCCTTTAAATGTAATCTTCTTTAATTTTAGCAAGATGAGTATCATATGGTTCATCTAGTATGTACTTCTCGGACTCCTCCCAGTTCTCCAAAATCCAGCACCAATAGAGAAAGTCATGAAGCATTGGCATCCAGCAGCAATTCTGTGAGTTGTTTTGGGAGGAGTAAACATTGAACTTTTCTTTTTTTTTCGTCGTCGTCTTATTTTTTGCCTCTAAAAACTAAATGAAAAACAGAACAATTGGAGCTTGTGAATTTTGAGATTGTGTTTTGAACTAAAGTTAGGCATTTTGTAAAGTTTACCATTTTGAAAGATCTAATACGCAGTGTTATCCCTTGAAGTCTATTCACCTTGAGTTATAATTTGCTGTATGGCAGGTCAGTAATAGATTTAATCTTCAAAGGTTTAATTACTGGAATACTCAGAAAACGGAATTATGTTACGGTTATATAATATAAACTCTTAGGCCAATGACGTTTCAGAAATATGCCAGGTATTTAAAATAGTATATTTTATTCAAGGTGGATTAAATTGTTTAAAATTTAAGTACCCTAAATCTTCTTGAAGTAGATGACTTGGTCAAGGATTTTGTTTTTTAAAAATGACTGGATTTGGGTGTACATTCCACCTGCTTGGGGAGGAAATACTTAATGTATTAATCTCTTTCAGACTTGGGTATTCATTCCTCCATCCTTATTTTTCCATCTGCCTAAAATTGTTTTGGAAATGTTTTGTAATAGTTGACCTTCTCAATTTAGACATTTTCTACAAATTTCAAAAACATTGTCCCCAATCCTTTTATGTTATTTTTGATTTCCCATAAAAGCTTTCTATGACACCTTTGCAGGTGAGAGGATTGGATGAGTGGAAGCTTGCTTTCAACTTCTTGAGCAGTCAGGGAACTTTTCTACTGCTAAGTATGCTTTCCTTGTCAAGACTCCAGCCAAAGCTTGAAAGAGAGCACAAGTGACAGGGGTGGGAGCTAGTTGAAAACTCTCTCAATAGATACTAGTTAACTGCTTCTTTAAGAAACTAGCTTCTCCAGTTGCTGTATTTAATTTGTATTCTCTTAATGGTAACTATTTCCTAGTACCAGCCATGGGAATTTAGCTTACATTAAACTAAATAAAATATGCCTTGTCAAAACACCCAAGGGTCTTTGTATGTTTCCTGCCTTGGCATGGAAAGGCACAGACATTGGCATTGGCACAGAGTTTTTTTTTGTAGTCGTCGGACACAGTTGCATTGCTTCAATTTTTGTTGGGAAAGAACCCTCTGACTTTGACTTGTCCAGTGGGTTGCTCAGCCATGATTTTGTGTCATTAGTGTGTATATTTGTTTTTTTCAGTGTTATGAAAGCCTGAAAAGTATCAAAGGAATGTTAAGTTGAATTCACCTTAATTTTTCATGGTTCAGAAATTTCAAGGGACTTGAAAATATTTTAAAGATCTAATCATAAAATAATTACCTAATAAGGTCAGAAATCATTAGTTCTAGAGAAATTAGGTTGTGCTGCCAAATGACTAGGCTTTTCTTCTAATAATTGTATTAATGAACACCGTATTATGATGGCCCATTTAATGAGAAATCTTGCTGAAAAAGAAACCTTTCCCAGTTTATGTTCCTAAGAATCCGGACTCCTTAGTAAGATATTTGATATCTATTGTGTGTGAAGTAACATTTTAAAAGTTTTTGTTAGTCTTGCAAAAGACTGGTGTGGACTGTTTTGCAAAAGACAGTTTTGGACCTTTCACATTGCAGGACTTAGCATGGGAGTCATGCAAAAAGACATCCTGTCAATAGGAAGGCAGTACGGGTAAAATACAATTTAACAAAATTGTTAAAGGAAGGATGTTAAAATAATACTGTACCTAGCTTTTTAAAGTGGAAGAACTATAATTTATGTAAAATGTAATTGTGTTTTAAATGTACATGAAACACTTGACAAACTATTTTCAAACAAATTGGGATGGTCTTCAGGGAGTTATATTGTTTATGGTTACTGAATCCATGAGCACGAGAATAAAAAGATTTGAGCATGAGAATAAAAAAATACTGATTAACATCTTGATTCTCGTAGTTCATTTTGTAAAAAAGCAATATTTGTTGGTGATTTCTATAAACTAATAGAATTCTAGAACTGAAAGGAATCTTGAAAATTTAGTCCAATCTCATTTTCTGTAGGAAAGTGGAAACTCTGAGAGGTTAAGTGAACCTTTAAGGTTATAACTCTTGTTAATGTCAGAGATAACACTAGATTTTAGATCTTTTGATTTCTAGGATTTCTAGCCTGTTTCTCATTACTTTAAATCAATATGTTAACAATAGCATGTTGTACAGTACTTGGCACATAGTAACTGTTTAAATGACTCAGTAATTAGTACCATTTATTGAACACTTTCAATAAATGTATGTGTTAGGCATCATGAAAGGAGCTTTGCATGC
Organism: Homo sapiens; assembly: GCF_000001405.40. Lineage (NCBI taxonomy): Eukaryota > Metazoa > Chordata > Mammalia > Primates > Hominidae > Homo > Homo sapiens. The sequence goes on along the minus strand of NC_000007.14, from coordinate 35,667,913 downwards.
ATTAATTTAATCATGTGAAAAGAGCTTTTTATGCATTAACTTAATCCTCAGAATTTAATATGCTGTTTTTGTATATTATTATTCTGCTCCTCGGCCATTTCTAGTTGAAAAAATGGAATATTTTAGTTTAATTAAGCAGTTTTGATAAGTTTTGACGTACTAAAATTAAAATATCTACTTATACTGGACACACGATGTAAAACAGTAAATTTCTGAAATGTTATTTTGCAGAGGGATTTCATGAATACGTTTTTAGTAATGTGCCTGTAATTTTATGATTGTAAAGAACTAAATCTCCTTTTAAAAATTACATTTTTATTTGTAGAGTTCAGATCATTCAGGATCAACAACTCCATCATCTGGTCAAGAAACCTTGTCTTTAGCTGTGGGTTCTTCCTCAGAAGGATTGAGGCAGCGTACCCTTCCACAAGCACAAACTGACCAAGCACAGAGTCACCAGTTTCCATATGTAATGCAAGGGTAAGTGAAATTGTGGTAGCTATGGAATGTGATTGGGGCCCCCTAAAAATGAATTGCTTTTGAGTTTCACTATAGCCTCTTTGCAGTAATTAAAGTACATTTTAAATTTATTCATATATTTGATTTTGTATTTTGAGAACTAGAGGGTTAAGAAGAGCACTGCTTTTCAAACCTGGCTGCACATGAGAATCATGTAGGGCAGTGCTTTCAATCTTGAATGTTTGTCCTAATCACCGGGAGACCTTGTTGAGCTGCAGGTTTGTATTCAATAGGTATGATGGGGCCTGAGAATCTGCATTTCTGACAAGCTCCCAGATGATGCTAATGCTTCTGATGTTTGGACTACACTTTGAATAGCAAGGATCTACGTAACTAATTTTTTTTTACTCAGTCTCACTATAGATCTACTCAATTTAGTGTTTAGGGGAATGTGGTTGAGTGAAGGTATACTTGAAAGAGTACAGAGCCCAGCAATCTGTTTTTAAAAGTTTTTAAACGTTCCACAAGTGTTTCTAATCAACTTGGTAACAACTGTGCTAGAGTAAAACCATGATGTATTACAGGGATATGCTAATCTTGCTGCATGTTGTCCAGAATCTTTGTTGTATTGAGAGTTTTATAAAGCAGTTTTCTTAAGAAGCTTGCCATAGTCACCCTATATTTAGCAATTACAGCAGGCCCCTTGGGTTAGGCACTTCCAGAGGAAATGCAGCCACAGGTAAAGCAGCTTAGAGAGTAGGATCTTGGAGAACATGGTTTGGACCAGGGTTGTGTGTGAAAGCAGACTGTTTTACTGGGGTATTATTGTTTGTTATTTTTGAGGTAAAGGAAGCTTGAGTAACAGATAGTGATAATTTCTGTGTTGCGTATCAAGCCATGGGGCTGCAGTGTGTGGCACTGGTCTGGATCCATGATGATGGAGCTAGAAATGAGAATATGGCTAGGACCTCAGAATTGTAATGTAGGTGGTGTAACCAAGGAGTAGCTATTGACTGCTGTGCTCAACAGGACGGCATAAACACTCAGGTACTTTTTACTTAGAACTTTAAACTTAATTCAGTTATTAATACAGAAAAACAAAGCTGAATATATAGCAAATAGAAGAGAACTAATTTGTCTCAGATTTCTTAAATGTGAAGCCTTTTCTTTCAAAATAAATGTTTAGATGAGGCTGGTTGTAGACTTTCATAAAGTACCTGTGAAACTATTTTTGTTTTCAGAAAGTGATTACTATTAATATAAACCAAGATTTACTTGTAAAAAGCAGTGTTCTCAGGGTTTATATTATGGAACAGTAGCTTCAAATACTTTGTCTTATGACAGTAATTCACTTCCTTTCTTTTTCACAGAGTAAGTTCCTCTCAGTTTATACAGAGTGATTTTACTTATTTTATTTGGTGGTAGTGGTGGAAGGTGGGAGTATTATAAATAAGCCTGGAAAAATATATAGTGCCACATTAATAGTGGTTATCTCTGGATAAAATTTATAACTCTTTCTCTTACTTACAGTGAATATATTTTGTAATAAACAAATCAAGCTTATAAGATTACAGGTCTTCAGAATAAGACCATAGATACATTGGTAAAAGATTAATAATTTCTCTAAACTAGGCTATTGAGAAAATTAATAAACATAAAAGACAAAAGCATTCAGCTCTTCGAAGTATATTAAGCTGATTAGAAAAATCTGAAATAGGTGGCGCCAAGATGGCCGAATAGGAACAGCTCCAGTCTGCAGCTCCCAGCATGAACGATGCAGAAGATGGGCGATTTCTGCATTTCCAACTGAGGTACCAGGTTCATCTCACTGGGGCTTGCCAGACAAATAGGTGCAGCCCATGGAGCAGGGCGGGGCATCGCCTCACCTGGGAAGCGCAAGGGGTCGGGGAATTCCCTTTACTACAAAAGGGAAGCCGTGAGAGACTGCACCTGGAAAATCGGGATACTCCCACCCTAATACTGCACTTTTCCAATGGCCTTAGCAAACGGCTCACCAGGAGATTATATCCCGCGCCTGGCTCAGAGGGTCCCATGCCCAAGGAGCCCTGCTCATTGCTAGCACAGCAGTCTGAGATCAAACTGCAAGGCGACAGCAAGGCTGAGGGAGGGGCATCTGCCATTGCCGAGGCTCGAGTACATAAACAAAGTGGCCAGGAAGCTCGAACTGGGTGGAGCCCACCTCAGCTCAAGGAGGCCTCCCTGCCTCTGTAGACTCCACCTCTAGGGGCAGGGCATAGCTGAACAGAAGGCAGCAGAAACTTCTGCAGACTTAAATGTCCCTGTGTGACAGCTTTGAAGAGAGTAGTGGTTCTCCCAGCACTGAGTTTGAGATCTGAGAACAGACAGACTGCCTCCTCAAGTGGGTCCCTGACCCCCGAGTAGCCTAACTGGGAGGCATCTCCCAGTAGGGGGGCGACTGGCACTTCATAAGGCTGGGTGCCCCTCTGAGATGAAGCTTCCAGAGGAAGGATTAGGCAGCAACATGAGCTCCTTGCCAGCAGCGGAACAAAGCTGTATGGAGAATGACTTTGACGAGTCGAGAGAAGGCGGCTTCAGACAATCGGTAATAACAAACTTCTCCCAGCTAAAGGAGGATGTTTGAACCCATCACAAAGAAGCTTAAAAACCTTGAAAAAAGAGTAGACAAATGGCTAACGAGAATAAACAGCATAGATAAGTCCATAAATGACCTGATGGAGCTGAAAACCATGGCACAAGAACTACGTGATGCATGCACAAGCTTCAGTAGCTGATTTGATTAAATGGAAGAAAGGGTATCAGTGATTGAAGATCAAATGAATGAAATGAAGTGAGAAGAGAAGTTTAGAGAAAAAAGAGTAAAAAGAAATGAACAAAGCCTCCAAGAAATATGGGACTATGTGAGAAGACCAAATCTACATCTGATTGGTGTACCTGAAAGTGATGGGGAGAATGCAACCAAGTTGGAAAGCACTCTTCAGGATATCATCCAGGAGAACTTCCCCAACCTAGTGAGGCAGGCCAACATTCAAATTCAGGAAATACAGAGAACACCACAAAGATACTCCTCGAGAATAGCAATTCCAAGACACATAATTGTCAGATTCACCAAAGTTGAAATGAAGAAAAAAATGTTAAGGGCAGCCAGAGAGAAAGGTCTCATTACCCACAAAGGGAAACCCATCAGACTAATAGCTGATCTCTCGGCAGAAACTCTACAAGCCAGAAGAGAGTGGGGGCCAATATTCAATATTCTTAAAAGAATTTTCAACCCAGAATTTCATATTCAGCCAAACTCAGCTTCATAAGTGACGGAGAAATAAAATCCTTTACAGACAAACAAATGCTGAGAGATTTTGTCACAACCAGGCCTGCCTTACAAGAGCTCCTGAAGGAAGCACTAAAACACGGAAAGGAACAACCGGTACCAGCCCTGCAAAAACATGCCAAATTGTAAAGACCATCTATACTAGGGAGAAACTGCATCAACTAATGAGCAAAATAACCAGCTAACATCATAATGACAGGCTCAAATTCACACATAATAATATTAACCTTAAATGTAAATGGGCTAAATGCTCCAATTAAAAGACACAGACTGGCAAATTGGATAGAGTCAAGACCCATCTGCTGTATTCAGGAAACCCATCTCACGTGCAGAGACACACATAGGCTCAAAATAAAGGGATGGAGGAAGATCTACCAAGCAAATGGAAAACAAAAAAAAGGCAGGGATTGCAGTCCTAGTCTCTGATAAAACAGACTTTAAACCAACAGATCAAAAGAGACAAAAGGCCATTACATAATGGTAAAGGGATCAATTCAACAAGAGGAGCTAACTATCTTAAATATATATGCACCCAATACAGGAGGACCCAGATTCATAAAGCAAGTCCTTAAAGACCTACAAAGAGACTTAGACTCCCACGCAATAATAATGGGAGACTTTAACACCCCACTGTCAACATTAGACAGATCAACGAGACAGAAAGTTAATAAGGATATCCAGGAATTGAACTCAGCTCTGCACCAAGCAGACCTAATAGACACCTGCAGAACTCTCCACTCCAAAACAACAGAATATACATTCTTGTCAGCACCACATCACACTTACTCCAAAATTGACCACATAGTTGGAAGTAAAGCACTCCTCAGCAAATAAAAGAACAGTAAATTATAACAAATTTACTCAGTAAAAGAACAGAAATTATAACAAACTGTCTCTCAGACCACAGTGCAATCAAACTAAAGCTCAGAATTAAGAAACTCAGTCAAAACCGCTCAACTACATGGAAACTGAACAACCTGCTCCTGAATGACTACTGGGTACATAACGAAATGAAGGCAGAAATAAAGATGTTCTTTGAAATCAATGAGAACAAAGACACAACATACCAGAATCTCTGGGACACATTTAATACAGTGTGTAGAGGGAAATTTATAGCACTAAATGCCCACAAGAGAAAGCAGGAGAGATCTAAAATTGACACCCTAACATCACAATTAAAAGAACTAGAGAAGGAAGACCAAACACATTCAAAAGCTGGCAGAAGGCAAGAAATAACTAAGATCAGAGCAGAACTGAAGGAGATAGACACAAAAAACCCTTCAAAAATATCAATGAAGCCAGGAGCTGGTTTTTTGAAAAGATCAACAAAATTGATAGACCACTAGCAAGACTAATAAAGAACAAAAGCGAGAAGAATCAAATAGACACAATAAAAAATGATAAAGGGGATATCACCACTGATCCCACAGAAATATGGCCATCAGAGAGTACTATAAACACCTCTACGCAAATAAACTAGAAAATCTAGAAGAAATGGATAAATTCCTCGACACATACACCCTCCCAAGACTAAACCAGGAAGAAGTTGAATCCCTGAATAGACCAATAACGGGTTCTGAAATTGAGGCAATAATTAATAGCCTACCAACCAAAAAAAGTCCAAGACCAGACGGATTCACAGCTGAATTCTACCAGAGGTACAAAGAGGGGCTGGTTCCATTCCTTCTGAAACTATTCCAATCAATAGAAAAAGAGGGGATCCTCCCTAATTCATTTTATGAGGCCAGTATCATCCTGATACCAAAGCCTGGCAGAGACACAACAAAAAAAGAGAATTTTAGACCAATATCCCCGATGAACATCGATGTAAAAATCCTCAATAAAATACTGGCAAGCTGAATCCAGCAGCACATCAAAAAGCTTATCCACCACGATCAAGTCAGTTTCATCCCTGGGATGCAAGGCTGGTTTAACATATGCAAATCCATAAACATAATCCATCCTATAAACAGAACTAAAGACAGAAACCACATGATTATCTCAATAGATGCAGAAAAGGCCTTTACAAAATTCAACAGCTCTTCATGCTAAAAACTCTCAATAAATTAGGTATTGATGGGACGTATCTCAAAATAGTAAAAGCTGTTTATGACACACCCACAGCCAATATCATACTGAATGGGCAAAAACTGGAAGCATTCCCTTTGAAAACTGGCACAAGACAGGGATGCCGTCTCTCACCACTCCTTTTCAACGTAGTGTTGGAAGTTCTGGCCAGGGCAATCAGGCAAGAGAAAGCAATAAAGGGTATTCAATTAGGAAATGAGGAAGTCAAATTGTCCCTGTTTGCAGATGACATGATTGTATATTTAGAAAACCCTATCATCTCAGCCCAAAATCTCCTTAAGCTGATAAGCAACTTCAGCAAAGTCTCAGGATACAAAATCAATGTGCAAAATTCACAAGCATTCCTATACACCAATAACAGACAGACAGAGAGCCAAATCATGAGTGAACTCCCATTCACAATTGCTTCAAAGAGAATAAAATACCTAGGAATCCAAATTACAAGGGATGTGAACGACCTCTTCAAGGAGAACTACAAACCACTGCTCAGCGAAATAAAAGAGGACACAAACAAATGGAAGAACATTCCATGCTCATGGATAGGAAGAATCAATATCGTGAAAATGGCCATACTGCCCAAGGTAATTCATAGATTCAATGCCATCCCCATCAAGCTACCAATGACTTTCTTCACAGAATTGGAAAAAACTAAAGTTCATATGGAACCAAAAAAGAGCCCGCATTGCCAAGTCAGTCCTAAGCCAAAAGAACAAAGTTGGAGGCATCACGCTACCTGACCTCAAACTATACTACAAGGCTACAGTAACCAAAACAGCATGGTACTGGTACCAAAACAGAGATATAGACTAGTGGAACAGAATAGAGCCCTTGGAAATAATACCACACATCTACAGCCATCTGATCTTTCACAAACCTGACGAAAACAAGAAATGGGGAAAGGATTCCCTATTTTATAAATGGTGCTGGGGAAACTGGCTAACCATATCTAGAAAGCTGAAACTAGATCCCTTCCTTACACCTTGTACAAAAATTAATTCAAGATGGATTAAAGACTTAAATGTTAGACCTAAAACCATAAAAACCCAAGAAGAAAACCTAGGCAATACCATTCAGGACATAGGCATGGGCAAGGACTTCATGTCTAAAACACCAAAAGCAATGGCATCAAAAGCCAAAATTGACCAATGGGATCTAATTAAACTAAAGAGCTTCTGCCCAGCAAAATAAACTACCATCAGAGTGAACAGGCAACCTACGGAATGGGAGAAAATTTTTATAATATACCCATCTGACAAAGGGCTAATATCCAGAATCTATGAAGAACTTAAACAAATTTACAAGAAAAAATCCAACAACCCCATCAACAAGTGGGCAAAGTATATGAACAGGCACTTCTCAAAAGAAGACATTTATGCAGCCAATAGACACATGAAAAAATGCTCATCATCACTGACCATCAGCGAAATGCAAATCAAAACCACAACGAGATGCCATCTCACACCAGTTAGAATGGCGATCATTAAAAAGTCAGGAAACAACAGGTGCTGGAGAGGATGTGGAGAAATAGGAATGCTTTTACACTGTTGGTGGGACTGTAAACTAGTTCAACCATTGTGGAAGACAGTGTGGCGATTCCTCAAGGATCTAGAACTAGAAATACCATTTGACCCAGCCATCCCATTACTGGGCATATACCCAAATGATTATAAATCATGCTGGTATAAAGACATATGCACACGTATGTTTATTGTGGCACTGTTCACAATAGCAAAGGCTTGGAACCAACCCAAATGTCCATCAATGATAGACTGGATTAAGAAAATGTGGCACATATACACCATGGAATACTATGCCGCCATAAAAAAGGATACGTTGATGTCCTTCATAGGGACATGGATGAAGCTGGAAACCATCATTCTGAGCAAACTATCGCAAGGACAGAAAACAAAACACCGTATGTTCTCACTCATAGGTGGGAACTGAACAATGAGAACCCATGGACACAGGGTGGGGAACATCACACACTGGGGCCTGTTGTGGGGTTGGGGGAGTGGGGAGGGATAGCTTAGGAGATATACCTAATGTAGATGACGAGTTAATGGGTGCAGCAGACCAACATGGCACATGTATACATATGTAACCTGCATGTTGTGAACATGTACCCTAGAACTTAAAGTAAAATAAAATAAAATAAAGGAATAAAAAAAATAAAGATGAAATAGAACAGGAAAAAAGAAAAAAAAGAAAAATCTCAAATATTTTGCCAAAAGTGAGTGTTAAAGTACTGAGCAACAAAGATATTTGAGCTTCACCTAGGGAATATATTACTAGATGAATTATATTTTATTTTTAATAATGAAGGCAGTATAGCTTAATGATTATACAGATTCTGGAGCCAGCCTGCCTGGGTTTGAATCTTGTGAATCTGGGTTTGAATTTTGTGACTAGTTTGGGCAAGTCTCTTCTCTACTGTGCTTCCATTTTCTCATTATTTGGGGGATAATAGAACTCTTACAGGATTTCTATGTGGTTTAAAAGAGTTAGTGTCCATAAAGTGATTAAAACAGTAACTGGTACATAGTGATATATTAGCAATTACTTATAAATTCTTTCATCCTTATAAGTGAATGTTGTACATTCAGCAAACATTTATAAGCATCTCTGTGTATGGTACACTAAAACAGTCAAATGAATGCTTGTGTTAGGTGCTAGAAAATAAGTGTTTATATTTGGAGAGAGTATTTGTTGATTTATAAAGCAATTGATGTGACGGTTCAGTAATTAGGTTATTCAGTTCAACAATGAACATGATTTGACTTATTCTCATAGTTGTCATTTTTTCTGATGAAGGCTTTATACTTTAAGTAAATTTTATTTAACATAGTCTTAGCCTTAAAATGTGCAAGAGCAGTAATTTAGTGACCTTGAACAATTTGCTATCAAAATAAAACAGCTCTGCTCTTTGTTTTCAAATTTATGTATAGCTTATAATTAGCTAGTCTGCATGTGTTGTTTACCACCATGTAGGTTAGCGTTCTCAATATTTAGTGAGTGTATTAAAACTGAAAATTGCTCATTTCTGGTCCCTACTCCCTGAGGTTTTGAATCACTAGTTTTGAGATGGTGTTCAGAAGTCTGCCAATCTAACAATACCCTGGGAACCTCACTTTGGGAAATCCAAATGTAGTTGATTATTTGCCTACCTAGCTCCTGAGAAAACATGAGAAGGACAAAGCAATACATTACCTACAACACTGGCTGTTCATTTACAAAGTTCCATTTGTAAGTCTTGACTGTTTTTGGACTCAGTCTGTTGTGTGGTTTATTTACTCTAACAATTACTGGCTGGTTTATAAAACACCCAGTTTTGTACATTCAGTTTTTCCTGCTGAAATAGTAACAGCCTTGTTTTATAACAAATCTGAAAAGCTACTTATTGTACCCATCTATATTGTCTGTTTTGTTATAATTTATTTTTAAAATTGTTATTTGCACATATTTATGGAGTTCATGTGATGATCATTACACATGCATAGAATGTGTAATGATCAAGTCAGGGTATTTACGGTATCCATCACCTAGAGTATTTATCATTTCTGTGTGTTGGTAAGATTTCAAGTCTGCCCTTGTAGCTGTTTTGAAATTTACAGCATTGTTGCTAACTATAGTCAGCCTACTCTGCTGTATTTATACCCATTAACCAACTTTTCATCTTCCCTTCATCACCTCACCCCCACCACTCCCAGCACCCTTCCTAGCCCCTTGTGTCTATCAATCTACTCTCTACCTCCATGAGAGGAACTTACTTAGCTTCCATATATGAGTGAGAATATGAAATATGTGTTTTTTCTGGCCTGGCTTATTTCACATAACATAATGACCTCCAGTGCCATTTGTGTTGCTGCAAATGACAGGATTTCATCCTCTTTTACGGTGAAATAGTGTTCTATTGTCTATATATAGCACATTTTCTTATTTGCCCATTAATGAACACTTAGATTGATTCCATCTTTGCTATTCTGAACAGTGCTGCAGTAAACATGGGAGTGCAGGTATCTTTGACATACTTTTCCTTTGGATAAATAGCCAGCTAGTAGTGGGATTGCTGGATCATAGGGTAGTTTTATGTGTAGTGGTTTTTTTCTTTTTTTTTTTTGAGACAGAGTCTCGCTGTGTCTCCCAGGCTGGAGTGCAGTGGCGCGATCTCGGCTCACTGCAAGCTCCACCTCCCAGGTTCCTGCCATTCACCTCCTGCCTCAGCCTCCCTAGTAGCAGGGACTACAGGCGCCCGCCACAGCACCTGGCTAATTTTTTTTTTTTTTTGTATTTTTTAGTAGAGACGGGGTTTCACAGTGTTAGCCAGGATGGTCTCGATCTCCTGACCTTGTGATCCGCCCTCCTCGGCCTCCCAAAGTGCTGGGATTACAGGCTCGTGAGCCACCGCGCCCGGCCTTTTTTTTTTTTTTTTTTTTTTGAGAGAAGGTCTTGCTCTGTTGCCCAGGCTGGAGTGCAGCAGCATGATCATACTCCTGGGCTCAAGCGATTCTCCCACCTCGGCCTCCCAAAGTACTGGAATTACACGTATGAGCTACCACACCCAAACTGTGTTTAGTTTTTTGAGAAATCTCCATATTGTTTTCCATAGTGGCTGTACTAATTTACATTCCTACCAACAGTGTATAAGAGGTCCCTTTTCTCCCCATCCTAGCCAGTATCTATTGTTTTTTTGTCTTTTTAGTAATAGCCATTCTAACAGGGGTAAAATTAAGTTTCATTGTGGTTTTGATTTGCATTTCCCTACTGAGTCATGTTGAGCATTTTTTTCATATACCTGTTTGCCATTGTATGTCTTCCTTGAGAAATAGCTATTCATGTCCTTTGCTTACTTTTTAATGGGATTATTTGTTTTATTAACTGTAAGAAGAGTTATATGAGTTCTTTGTATATTCTACATATTAGTTCCTTGTCAGCTGAATAGTTTGCAGGTATTTTCTCCCATTCAGCAGTTGCCTCTTCACTCTGTTGATTGCTTCATTTGCTATGCTTTTTAGTTTAATATAGTCTCATTTGTCTATTTTTGTTTTTGTTGTCTGTGTTCTAGATGTCTTAGCCGTAAAATTTTTGATGGGACCTATATCCTGAAGTGTTTCCCCTGTTTTCTTTTAGTAGTTTTATATTTCAGGTCTTCAAAGTTTAAGTCTTTAATCTGTCTTGAGTTGATTTTTTTATATGGTGAGAGAAAGGGGTTCAGTTTTATTCTTCTGCATATGGCTAGCCAGTTTTTCCAGCACCATTTATCGAAGGGAGGGTGTTCTTTCCCCAGTGTATGTTCTTGACACCTTTGTTGAAAATCAGTTGGCTTTTTGAGAAACATTCAGAAAAAAGAAAAAAGGAAAATCAGTTAGTTGTAACTACCTGGATTTATTTCTGTCTTCTCTGTTATGTTCCATTGGTCTTCTGTGTCTATTTTTATACCAATACCATGCTATTTTGGTTACTATAGCCTTGTAATATATTTTCAAGTCAAATTGTGTGATGCCTCCAGCTTTGTTCTTTTGTTCAGGATTACTTTCACTGTTCAGGCTCTTTTTTTGTTCTATATGAATTTTAGGATTTTTTTTCTAATTCTGTAAAAAATGACATTGGTATTTTCATTGAATTTATAGATTGCTTTGGGTAATATGGTAATTTTAATGATATGAGCTCTTCTGATTCATGAGCATAGGGTGTCTTTCCAGTTGTTTATATCCTCTTCAATTTCTTTCATTAGTGTTTTATAGTTTTCCTTATAGAGGTCTTTAACCTACTTGGTTAAATTTATTCCTAAGTATTTTATTGTATTTTTTTGTAGCTATTGTAAGGGGGATTGTCTTCTTGATGTATTTATTTATTTCTTTTTTTAATTTTATTTTTTTGAAATGAAGTTTCACTCTTGTTGCCCAGTCTGGAGTGCAGTGGCACAATCTCAGCTTACTGCAACCTCTGTCTCTCTGGTTCAAGAGATTCTCCTGCCTCAGCCTCCCAAGTAAGTGGGATTACAGGTGTCTGCCATGATGCCCGGCTAATTTTTTGTATTTTTAGTAGAGGCAGAGTTTCACCATTATGGCCAGGCTGGTCTCAAACTCCTGACCTCAGGTGATCTGCCCACCTCGGCCTCCCAAAGTGCTGGGATTACAGGCGTGAGCCACCACACTCGGCTCGATTTCTTTCTTAGCTAGTTTGTTTTTGGTGTGTAAAAATGTTACTGATTTTTGTATTTTGACTTTGTATCCTGTAACTTTCCAAATCTAAAAGTTTATTGGTGGAGTCTTTATCTACAAAGAGGGATGGTTTGACTTCCTCTTTTCCAATTTGGCTGCCTTTTCTTACTTTCTCTTGCTTGATGGCTCTGGCTAGGACTCCCAGTACTGTGTTGAAAAAGACTGGTGAAAGTGGGGATCCTTGTCTTTTTCCAGCTCTTAGAGGAAAGGCTTTCAGATTTACTTACTCAGTATGATGTTAGCTGTGGGTTTGTTATATATGGTCTTTTTTATGTTGAGATATGTTCCGTCTATGCCTAGTTTGTTGAGAGCTTTTATTATGAAGGGATGTTGAGATGATCATATGGTTTTTGTCCTTCATTCTGTTGATGTGATGTATCATGTTTATTGATTTGCATCTATTGAATCATTCTTGCATCCCTGGGATAAATCCCATTTGATGATGATGTATTCTCTTTTTGATGTGCTGTTGGATTTGGTTTGCTGTATTTTGTTGAGGATTTTTGTGTCTGTGTTCATCGTTGACCTGTAGTTTTTTGTTGTTTTTGTTGTGTCCTTCTCTGGTTTTAGTATCAGGTTAATGCCTTGTAGAATTCCCTCCTCTTCAATGTTTTGGAGTAGTTTGAGGAGAATTGGTGTTAATTCTTCTTTATAAGATTGGTCAAGGCTGGGCACAGTGGCTCATGCGTGTAATCCCAGCACATTGGGAGGCTGAGGTGGGTGGATTGCTTGAGGCCAGAAGTTTTGAGACCAGCCTGGCCAACATTGTGAAACCCTGTCTCTACTAATGCAAAAATTAGCTGGGCGTCGTGGTGCATGCCTATAATCCCAGCTACTCTGGAGGCTGAGGCAGGAGCATCGCTTGAACCCAGGAGGTGGATGTTGCAGTGAGCTGAGATTGCGCCACTGCACTTCAGCCTGGGCAACAGAGTGAGACTCTATCTCAAATAAATAAATAAATAAAACCCACAAAAATTAGTTGGATGTAGTGGTGTATGCCTGTAATCCCAGCTGTTCAGGTAGCTGAAGCATGAGAATCACTTGGACCCAGAAGGTGGAGGTTGCAGTCAGCCAAGATTGCGCCACTGCACTCCAGCCTGGGCAACAGAGCATGATTCTGTCTTTAAAAAAAAAAAAAAAAAAAGTTTTGGTCAAATTTGGCAGCGAAGCCATCCAATCCTGGACTTTTCTTTGTTGGGAGATTTTTTTTTTTTTTTTTTTTAATTACTGATTCAATCTCATTACTCATTATTGGTCTGTTCAGGTTTTCTGTTTCTTCCTGATTCAATCTTGGCAGGCTGTGTGTATCTAAGAATTTACCCATTTTCTCTAGGTTTTCTAATGTATTAGTGTGTAGTTGTTCATAATAGCTTGGTTTTCTGATGTATTAGTGTGTAGTTGTTCATAATATCTTGATGATTTCTCTTTTATATTTCTGTGGTATCAGTTGTAAGGTTTCCTTTTTCATATCTGACTTTATTTATATGGGTCTTTTTTTTTCTTTGTTACCTAGATAGTGGTTTATTGATTTTATCTTTTCAAAAAGCCAAGTTTTTATTTTGTTGATCTTTTGTATTGTGTTTTTTCAGTCTATCCTGATCTTTATTATTTCTTTCCCTCTACTAATTTTGGGTTAGGTGGTTCTTGCTTTTCTAGTTCTTGGGGGTGTATTTTTGGATTGTTTATTTAAAATCTTCCTACTTTTTTGATGTGAGCATTTATTGCTATAAACATCTCTCTTAGCACCACTTTTGTTGTATTCCATAGGTTTTGGTATATTGTTTTTTGACTTTCATTTGTTTCGAGAACTTTTTGTTGTTGTTTTAGAGACAGTCTCACTCTGTTGACCAGGCTGGAGTGTGGTGTGTGATCCTAGCTCACTGCAGAACTCCTGGGCTGAAACAGTCCTTCTGCCTCAGCCTCCTGAGTAGCTGGGATTACAGGCACATACCACTACACACCACAAACATTTTTTATCTCCTCCTTAATTTCTTCCTTGGCCCAATGGTCATTTAGGAGCATGTTGTTTAATTTCCATGTATTTTGTACAGTTTCCAAAGTTTCTCTTGTTACTGATTTCTAGTGTTATTCCGTTGTGGTCATAAAAGATACTTGATATGATTTTGATTTTTAAAAATTTTTTGAGACTTGTTTTGTGGCCTAACATACAGTCTATTCTGGAGAATGGTCCATGGGCTGATGAGAAGAATGTGTATTCTATACCTGTTGGATGAAATGTTCTGTAAATGTCTGTTATGTCCATTTGGTCTAAAGTGCAGTTTGAATCCAGTGTTTCTCTAGATGATCTGTGTAATGCTGAGAGTTGGGTGTTGATGTCCCTAGCACTTATTGTATTGGATTCTGTCCCTCCCTTTAGGTCTGATCATGTTTTCTTGATAGAGCTGAGTGGTCTGGTGTTGGATTCGTTTATGTTTAGAATTGTTATATCTTTTTGTTGAATTGATCCCTTTATCATTATATAATGACCTTCTTTGTTGTTACTGTTTTTAAATTAAAGTCTGTTTTATCTGTTATAAGGATAGATGTTCTTGTTTGCTTTTGATTTTTGTTCACTTGGAATATCTTTTTCCATCCCTTACTTTCAGTCTGTGCATTTACAGTTGAGATGAATTTCTTGTAGGCAGCATGTGGTTGGATCATTTAAAAAAATTCTTTCAGCCCCTCTGTATCTTTTAAGTGATAAGTTTAATTCATTTGTATTCAGGATTATTATTGATATGACAGGGCTTATTCCTGTCATTTTAGTAATTGATTTCTGGTTTTTGTATAGCATTTCTTCCTTTCTTTCTCTCATGTTGTTTTTCATTGTGGTTGGTGGTTTTCTGTAGTGGTGACATATAAATTCTTTCTCTTTTTTATTTGTGTATTTGCTCTACCAGTGGGTTTTATATTTTGATGTGTTTCCTTCCGGGTATAGGGCTCCCTTAATTATTTCTTGGAGGGCCGGCCTAGTGGTAATGGGTTCCTTCAGCTTTTTCTTGTCTGGGAAAGACTTTATTTCTCCTTCATTTATGAAGGATAACTTTGCTGGGTATAGTATCCTTGGCAGAAACGTTCCTTCCTTTCCTTCCTTCTCTCCCTTCTCTCCCTTCCCTTCCCCTCCCTCCCTCTCTTCCCTCCCTTCCTCCCTTTCTCCCACCCTCTCCTTCCTTTTCTTCCTTTCCTTCCTTTCTTTCCTTCCTGCCTTTCTTTCCTTTTTTCTTTTCTTTTTCTCTTTCTTTCTTCACTTCAAATATATCTGCCTATTCTCTCCTGGCCTGTAAGGTTTCTGCTGAGAAATCTGCTGATAGTCTGCTGGGGGTTCTAAGCATTAAGTGACTGGATGCTTTTCTCTTGCTGTTTTTAGAATTCTCTCTTTGCCTTTGACAGTTTGACTATAATGTGTTGTGGAGAAGACCTTTTTGAATTGTATCTATTTGAGGATTGTTGGGCGAGGTGTCAGAGCCCTGGCACCAGGAAGTGGTCAACTTGCAGGTTGGTAAAAAGAATTTACTGACAACAGTACAGGTTTGAAAAAGGAAACTTTATTAGAAAGGAAGAACGCTGCAAAACGGTGCAGTGGGGTGCCTCAGTGAGAGGACTGAGCGCACCGTGGTGGATTTTCCTTAGGAGCATTTATAGGCTTTAAGACAGTAGCTTAGGGTTGTAAAATTAGTTTCAGTATGGCATTCCAGAAATGTATAGAAATTTTAGTTACTTATAAAAATTGAAAGAGGCCTGGAATCATATGCTGACTTTAGATACTAGGGAGGTTTGATTACCTCTAAATTCCCCAGATAAGGAGTTTTGCCTCTGGATGACCTGTTTGATGGTCACCAGGTAGTCTTTGCTGCCTTCTAAATTGCTCAGATAAGAAGTTTTTATCTCTAAGCCTGTTCAGTGGTCACCAGGTGATTTTCACTCTCCTCAGGTGCTTTTTAATGATATCTGTGTCTTTGGTAAATTTCTCATTTGTATCCTGAATTGTTTTTCAGATTTTTTTTTATATTGTTTATCTGAATTCTCTTGCTTCTTTAATATCATTATTTTGAATTAGTTTTCTGGATTTCACAATTTTTTTTTTCACTGGAATCCATTGCTGGAGAATTACGTCCTTTTGGAAGTGTCATATTTCCTTGCTTTTTCATGTTTCTTCTATCCTTATGTTGATATCTGTGCATGTGGTATAACAGTCCTTCTTCAGTTTTTTGCATTTGCTTTTGTAGTGGGGGCACTTTTTCCTAAAGATGGGTCTATGGTGGTGTTCGGGTAGGCCACTTTGGCTTTGATTCTGTATGTATACCATAGTGTAGTCTCTGTATGAATTTTGTCAGGAACAGTGTCAGTAGTGTTTGATTTTCTCAGTGTCTTAGGGTGTGGTTTTTAGTGGAGGCTGTGGTGAAGTTTTGCTGGGGACAGGGGTGTCAGGTGGGCCAATCTTTAGGTCCCAGCGATGGCAGTGGTAGGCTGAGTATGCCTGTCCTTAGGCCCCAGTGTGGCATACGCTGGCACCAGTGTGAGATGGTCCAGGTGGGCCAATTCTTGGGGGGCCTCCAGTCAGCTTGTTTGGATGCCATCAGTGACAGTGGTGGGCTGGGCAGTTTGGCATGTCATCGGGCCCCTAGGCAGTGGATATGCCATGGATTATGGCAGTAATATTGGTGGGACAAACCTCTGGCTCCCAAGCAGTCTGTGGTGGTGTTGGTGATGACTGCAATGGGTTGGGTGGGCCAGTTGCCAAGCCCACAGGTAGTGCATGCACATGGGTGTCTGCTGTGGTAGTAGTGGCAGATTGGGTCCTCAGGCCTCTGGGAGGAGTACTCAGGTGCCAACAGTTGTGGATGGTGCAATCCACAGGCCCCTGGATGGCATGCTCAGCCACTGGAGGTGGGTGGAACTGGGCCAGGCTGGCTTGATCTCAGGCTCCCTGGTGGTTTGTGCAGCTGCTGGTTCTGGTAGGCGAGGATGGCGTGATCCCCAGACTTCCAGTACAGTGCTCGGGAGATGCACTGCAGCCTGTTACTGGGAGGGCTGGGTTGCTTTCAATGACAACAGTCGTAAATTGGTGGGGGGGTACACTTTGGTCTCAGATGGCAGCTGCAAGCTGGTAGCCTGTCCTCAGGGTGCTTGTAAATGCTCAGTAGCACCGTTCACAGGTGTGGGGTTGCTGACAATGTCTTGCACTGTGGCCCAAGATACATCAGTTATCCCTCATGCACAGGGGATCTCAGTGAAGCTCCAGGGATGTGAGGTACCGGAGTTCTTGGGCCCCAGGGCAGGATGCAGCCCGCTGGGGGTTGGACTCTGAAAATGGTGCCTTGCTGTAGCTACTTAGGAATTAGGAGGTGTGTGGGACCCATTGTGAACTCCTCTTGAGCAGTGCCTTCATGTGGTCTCCTGTTAGTCTCGGGGCCCGTGTGCATTAAGGGTCTCTCTTGTGGCTAGGATTACAGGAGTCTGCAGTGGGAATGTAGACTGCTGGGGGTCCCCACTTAACCTTTCCCTGCACTGGGGAGCCTTTCCAGGCTCCCAGCCCATCCAGTGCAGCAGGCTGCCTTGCTTCCCTCTCCTTCTTTGCCGTAGGTGTTTCCTGTCACTTCTCTATTGAATTCCAGCATTCTCCCTTAGGTGATCTACTGGAAGTGTGATCATCTACTTAGTATTTTTGTTCTTTTTTTGTGGAGGAGGTGAGTATCAGATGCCTCTAGTTAGCCGTCATGAAGCCTCTCTTAGAATCCCTATTGTCTGATTTTTTAAAAGTAAAAATTTCTTGTAGCCCAGCACTCAGAAATAACCATATAAACCAAAAATAAAATTCTCAAGTCCCCCAACCATCTGAGTGGACCTCTCCTCTTAGCCCGGAAACTCCATAGTGAACCTGAAAAACTGGTTCAGGCCATGATGGGAAGGGAGGGTGGGACATCCCTCATTATACCCTCTTCCCTTTTGGAATTCAGGAAAAGCCGACCAGCATTTAACATCAACACAGACCTTAAGTCTGATAAGAAATACTTACAATCTATTCTCTCTGAAGGCTGCTACCTGGAGCTTTATCTATATGATAAAACTTTGGTCTCTACAACCCCTTATCATAACTCAGACATTCCTTTCTATTGATAATAATTCACCCAATTGCCAATAATATTTTTTAAAAATCTGCCTATAACCTGGAAGCCCCTGCTTTGAGTTATCCTGCCTTTCTGGACCAAACCAATATATATTTCACATCTTTTTGATGTCCCATGTCTCCCTAAAATGTATAAAACTAGGGTATCCCCTGACCACCTTGGGCACATGTTCTCAGGATCTCCTGAGGGCTGTGTCACAGACCATCGGTCACTCGTATTTGGCTCAGAATAAATCTCTTCAAATATTTTACACCGTTTCACACTTTTTGTTGACAACGATTACTAACGTTTTAGTAACTATCCTTCTAAACACTTCTGTGTGTGCTTTTAAAATAGAAACATCACACTGTTTGTTTTGTAAACTTAAAAAAAAACATAATACAGCTTGGACATATTTCCAGGTCAAATATAAATCCACAACTTTTTTTTTTTTTTTTCAGAGATGGAGTCTCGCTCTGTCGCCCAGGCTGGAGTGCAGTGGCGCAATCTCAGCTCACTGCAAGCTCTGCCTCCCAGGTTCACGCCATTCTCCTGCCTTAGCCTCCCAAGTAGCTGGGACTACAGGCGCCTGCCACCACGCCTGGCTAATTTTTTGTATTTTTAGTAGAGACGGGGTTTCACCATGTTAGTCAGGATGGTCTTGATCTCCTGACCTTGTGATCTGCCTGCCTGGGCCTCCCAAAGTGCTGGGATTACAGGCGTGAGCCACTGCTCCCGGCCATAAATCCACAACATTTAAAGTCTGTATGATTTTTCTTTATGTAGGTTTACTAATTTGTTCACACATATATTGATGGAGAGCGTATTAGTTAGTTTTGCTGCATGCTAACCTCAAAATATCAGTGGCTTACAATACATTTTATTTTTCTTGTTCACAGATCTTTTAGTCACTGGTGCAGCTCTTTCTTGGATTGTAGATTGAGTTCAGGGCCGTTTCAAGTTTCTCATTCTCTTTAGATCAGTAATTTCGTGGCACACATTCTTCTCATGGCAAATGACAGGAAGACAAGAGGGCAAGCTAATGACTGAGCACATTTGAAGTCTTCTATCTGTCACATTTACTAATACTACATTGGCCAAAGCAATCACATGGCCACTCTCAACAGGTCAGCAGCATTGAGAGGGGGAAGTATTGCAAAATTACATCAGGTGCTGTGCTGGTAAATGCTTAACAGCTGGCTTTGGTGGGGGTGAGGGAAATAAAGCCCTAGATTTGTAGCATTTGCTGATTTCTCTGGTGTAAATACTCCCATCATGGCTCAGCAGTCTACTGTTATGAGCCAGGTAAGCCAGCGTAAACCAGCTTTGCCACTGAGGGGCACATAGTATGCATGTATAATCCTGTTATAGAAGACTGAAGAACTGGGGCGATCTTTTACCATAAATATTTGGTCAGTTTTATTCCCGTGAAATATTACCATAATCAGCATTCTTAAATATGTATGCTTACATATTAGCAGTTATTATTTTAGGATAAATTGTGACAAAGGGAATTCCTGAATCAAAAGTGTTCTTAAGATTTTTGAGGCCCTTAAAGACTTGCAAAATTGCAGTAAAGTTGTACCAGTTTACTTTCTCGGTAATGTTGAAGATCCTGAGTCTCTTTACTTGTACAGATATGTACTTGCTAACGTGATAAGTTGGAATGTCCTTGTTTTAATCTGAGACATGATAAAGAGGCATTCTTTATGTTTTGTGAGTTGCTTATTTGTTGGTGTGGTGGTTATCTTTAAAAATTCATTTACCACACTTTATCCAAAAGGATATTAATAACTAATACTTATTGAGCATTAGCAGAAGTTAGGCATTGTATTAAGCACCTATATGTGCCTTACTTCACTACATTTTATAAAAACTCTGGTCTCAGCACTGTTATCTGCCACTTATGGATGAGGAGAATGAGACTTAAAGGTTATGCAGTTTGCCTAAGTTCACAATAGCAGAACTAGAATTCAAATCCATTTTTAACTTGGAGGCCTATATTCTTAACAGCATTGCCGAAGTGACTATTTTGTCTATCATTTGTTTCACTGTTCTTTCCTAGGTTATCATTCGTATTTTGACTTTGTTCATAATGGCAGTGTCCCACCTCCAACCACAATTCAAAACTTTTTTCTGGTCAGATCTACCCGTCAGATTTTAAGTATTGGTGACTGTGTGAGCAAATCTATTTGCATGAAGACCCTGTGACTTCATTCAGTAAATGTTTACTTTAGAATCTGCTGTGTACTAGGCACTCAGGAGAGGAAAATGAATTCTGTACTTTCTCACTGAAAGTAGGTCAGATAGGCAAATGAATTACCATCTGCTGATGGGCTGTCATGGCCTCGAAAAAAATGCTGAGGGAGCCTGGAGGAGGGTGGGACTATCTCTGCTTGGAGGAGTGGGAAGGGCTTCAGAGGTGATAACATTTGAGCTGCCTTGAAGGGGGTTAATAGGGAGAATAAAGCAATCGCAGAGTCTTGAAAAGGAGGCTTCTGGGAACACAGTGGGGATTCCATGAGGTTGCTGCTTGGTCGCTTGTATGGAGTGGTGGGGGAAGCAAGGCTAATTTAACAAGTTTCCTGTGAAAGTTTGTTCCTGAAGTTTCCAGTTCCTTTAATCTCTTCTCCTCTGTAATTTTAACTTTTTAAAACCTACGATGATTGTATTTTGGTATAGCTTTCAAGTATATAATTGTGAATGACAGTCTTTCTCCTTCTTGGTTTTTTTTTCATAATTTCTAAGGTACTCCAGTAATTTTATGTGTTTCAGTGAATTTGCCTTGCTCCCTTTTTTCTGTTATTATCCTACAGTGCTAACTAGTATAGCCGATCTGAAAAGAAAAAAACAAGCTGTCAGAACTTCTGCCACCAGCTGTGATTTCCTCCAGCTTGTTTATTTCAGCTGTTTCCTCATTGTGAATTTCCTAGGGGCAGAGGGAGAAACCAGGTTATTATCTTACTCAGTTTTCCTTGCATAAAGAATATGACATTTTCTATGGGGACAGGCATATTACACATTCCAAATAGTTACATTTTCCTCATGTTTCTGCTATTTTATTTTGCTTTTTGCCAAAAAAAGAAGACAATTAATTTAACATTTTGTATTTTCTTCCAGTATGCTTGCTTGCTTTTTCTTTTTTTAAATAGATGGAGTCTCACTCTGTCGATGAGGCTGGAGTGTGGTGGTGCCATCATAGCTCACTGCAGCCTTGAACTTCTGGTTTCAACTGATCCTCCCACCTCAGCTTCCTGAGTAGCTGGGACTTCAGACATGTGCCACCATGCCCAGCTAATTGAATTTTTTTTTTTAGAGATAGGGTCTCGTTATGTTGCTTAGGCTGGTCTCAAACTCCTGGCTTCAAGCAGTCCTACCATCTCAGCCTCCCAAGTAGCTAGGATTATAGGCTTGAACCACTGTGCCCAGCTCATTATCCTTTACTTTGTAAATGTTTTTATTTAATATAGTTGAAATTTTTACTGTGTTGGTAACCTTACATGTTTTCATTTAATGTTGAATAATTAAGTGGAATTTACAAATTACTAGATTAAATAGTTGCTTATAATCAGTATTTTATTTTCAATATTTTCTTAATGCTCATATGAAGTTGTTCAAAACATATTTATTGTGCTAGATGCTAGAGATACAGTAATAATGGATAAAGCCCATTCCCTATTCTTAGGAACACAGAGACTGGTCAGAGAGACAGTAGATTAAACAGGCAATTTATTTTTAAAATTATTTTCTAAGAGGTAATACATGTGAGTGGTACCGTGTTCAAAACAAAACGAAACAAAAGTATGTAAGAGTTTCATTTCTATGTCTTACACCACTTGCCCTCCTTAGAGGCAACCATTATTAGCTGTTTCCCCTGTATTATTCTAGAGATAAAATGTGCTTACACAAGTATGTGTGTATGTGCGTGCATGTGTATATGTGTGTTTATTTTAACACATAATGGCATACTTTCTATGCAGTAAGTCCTCACTTAAAATCACGATAGGGTCTTGGAAACTGCAACTTTAAGTGAAACAATATTAACAAAACCAACTTTTTTTTCATTAATGTTATAAAAATATGACATTATTCCAGGACCTGTTATACATCATTTTGTTTAAAGTCACAGTTTCCAAGAACCTATTGACAATGGAAGTGAGGGCTTACTGTACACACTAGCCTATATCTTGTTTTTTCACTAAATATATTAACAACTGCACCACATTAATACACAAGAGCTGTCCCATTCTTTGTTTATATAATATATATTTTTTAGTTTTTATTTTTATTTTGTTAGAGATGGGATCTCACTATATCGCCCAGACTTCCCTGAACTCCTGGGCTCAAGCAGTCCTCCTGCCTCAGCCTCCCGAGTATCTATGACTATAGGGAAGCCCAGCTGTCTCATTCTTTATTAATTGCACAGCATTCTATTATACAGATTACTATAATTTAATGAACCAGTCCCTGCTGATGGATATTTAGGTTAAACAGTCAGTATTTTTATATACTGCTTTTTTATTTTTAAAGACTTTATTGTACTTTTTAAACATTCACAAAGTACAGAAGATATTGTAATGAACCCCAGTGCAGCTAATACCTAACTTCAACAATCAGCAAACTACCATTGTTCATCTAGTTCCCCTTCTGTTTCCTTTTTTATCCTTGGGCTAGAGTTTAAAACAAAACCTAGACCTTATAATTTTATCTGTAAACAGTGTGTATTTGTAACAGATATGGTAGCTATGGGCTTTAAAAAATCTTAATCACAATACCATTAGAAATCTCAACAAAATTTAAAAATCTTCAATATCATCTAGTATTCACTTTGTGTTCAGTTTTCCCTGAGTGTCTCAGATGTCTTTTTATAGTTATTTTGATTGAATGAGTATTTGAAGAGACTGACATAGTGCATTTGGTTGATGTTTCCTTTCTTTTTTTGTTGAGACAGAGCCTCACTGTTTCCCCCAGGCTAGAGTGCAGTGGTGCGATCTTGGCTCACTGGAACCTCTGCCTCCTGGGTTCAAGTGATTCTCCTGTGTCAGCCTCCTGAGTAGCTGGGACTATAGGCACACGTCTCCACACTGGCTAATTTTTGTATTTTTAGTAGAGATGGGGTTTCACCATGTTGGCCAGGCTGGTCTCCAACTCCTGAGCTCAAGCAATCCACCTGCCTCAGGCTCCCAGAGTTCTGGGATTACAGGCATGAGCCACTGCCCCTGGCAGGTTGATGTTTCTTAAAGCTTTTCTAATCTAATTCCCTTTTCCTTTCTTTTCTTTCTTCATACTCTTTCTGTAGTTGTTCTGTGTTATTTCCCACAGTGGTCTAAATATAGCTGACTAAGTTCTCATGGTGTCATTTAGCATTTTTCTTTATCCTATATTGCCTGTAAACTGGTAGTTAGATCTAGGGCCTGATTAAATTCAATTAAGGTTCATCTTTTTTTTTTTTTTAAAGGAATTATCCCATGGGTGGGTGGTGCTATGTATGTTTTAGAAAAAAGGAAAAAAGAATCATGAGTTCATACTGATATATCAAATTTAGGTTAAAAGTTAAAGAGTTTTCACAAATCATCTTTGGTATGTGTATTTATATATCTTCTATGCTAAAACATCCTAGTCCCTAATGAATTAGCATAATTACTTATTTGCTTTATTTGTATGTATATATGCTTATGTTTTTCAAATAGTTTTAAAATAGCAGTACTATTTCCGCTTTTGTAAGATCACTGAATGTGGTTTAAAACTTTCATTGTTCTTTTTGTATTTAGTAGTTACCCTACTAGGGATAGTTAAAATATTGTTTTGAAGTCAGTAGAATAATTCTCTGTGTGGTTATACTATTAAACATGAAACTTCTTTAGTTTTTTTTTTTTAACAGCTTTCTATTTTTTCTTTTTAGTTTAGTTTTTTTTAATTACATAAAACATTATTAGTGTTCCAGTGTCAAAACAAGATACATTCAGAGAGGCTTATTTTCATTTTCTTCACTCATCTTGTTCTCTTCCTTTCCATAATAATTTATTATTTTATTTTTATTATTATTTTTTCCATTGGTTTCTTTGTGGAAAATTCATGAAAGTGTGTGTGTGTGTGTGTACACACATATATGTATACACACATATAAATATATCCTCATTCTTATACAAATGTTATTATGCATATTCTTCTTAACATTGTTTTTCAACAAAATTTCATGTAAATATCTAAGAAGTCACTCCATAGGAGTAGAGAGAGATCTTCATTCCTTTTTATAGCCGCATACTAATTCATTCAGTGCATAAACTGTGACATCCAACCTCATATTGACAAATATTTGAGTTATTTGCAATCTTTGCTATTATAAATAGTGTTTGATGAATAGTTTTGTGGAAACATCCCTTCATGTTTTTGTTATATTTTGGCTTTGCTGTATTTAGGATAGATTTGTGTCTTACAGTAGGAATGGGCCAAAGTAGATAGGTCAGAGAGTAAATGTCTACATAGGTGTGCGGTTAAAAAGGCAGTTTCAACGTGGCGATAAGTGCTATGATAACATCCTCTATTTTTAAAAAAATTAATGAGCTATTGTCCCTGTCTCCAGTTTCTCTCTATTATTAGAGGACAGCAGGCTGGAAGTGGGAGTATGTATAAAGGTTTTATTAAAGGGCAGAGATGTGAAGTTTTTTTCCATATTTCATATTTCTATAAGCTAATTTTCAAAAATAGAATTACTTGGGCAGTTGGGCATAAGAGCAAAGCTTTTTGAAAAACTTTTGGGTTCACGGGTACACGGTCAGATTTGTTACATAGGTAAACTCGTGTCATGGAGGTTTGTTTTACAGATTATTTGGTCACCCAGGTACTAAGCCTAGTACCCAGTAGTTATTTTTTCTGATACTCTCCCTCCTCCCACCCTCCACTCTCAAGTACGCTGAAGTGTCTGTTATTCTCCTCTTTGTGTCCATGTGTTCTCATCATTTAGCTCCCACTAATAAGTGAGAACATGCGGTATTTGGTTTTCTGTTCGTGCGTTAGTTTCCTAAGGATAATGACCTCCAGCTCCATCCATGTTCCCGCAAAAGACATGATCTCATTTTCTTTTATGACTGTTTAGTGTTCCATGGTGTATATGTACTTTTTCTTTATCCAATCTGTCATTGATGAGCATTGAGGTTGATTCTGTGTCTTTGCTATTGTGAATAGTGCTGTATGAACATTCACATGCATATGTCTTTATGATAGAATGATTTATATTTCTTTGGGTATATACCCAGTAATGGAATTGCTGGGTCAAATGGTAGTTCTGTTTTTAGCTCTTTGAGGAATCACCACTCTGCTTTCCACAATGGTTGAACTAATTTACACTCCCACCAACAGTGTAGAAGTGTTCACTTTTCTCTGCAACCTTGCCAGCATCTGTTATTTTTTAACTTTTTAATAGTAGCTATTCTGACTGGTGTGATATGGTATCTCATTATGGTTTTGATTTGCATTTCTGTAGTGATCAGTGATGTTGAGCTTTTTTTCATTTGCTTGTTGGCCACATGTATATCTTCTTTTGAAAAGTGTGTGTTCATGTCCTTTGCCCACTTTTTAAATGTTTTTCTATTCTTTTAAAATTGTTTAAGTTCTTTATAGATGCTAGATATTAGACCTTTGTCTGATGTATAGTTTGCAAATATTTTCTTCCATTCTGTAGGGTATTTGTTTACTCTGGTGATAGTTTCTTTTGCTGTGCAGAAGCTCTTAAGTTTAATTAGATCCCATGTGTCAATTTTTGCTTTTGTTGCAATTGCTTTGGCATCTTTGTCATGAAATCTTTCCCCATTCCTGTGTCCAGAATGGTATTGCCTAGGTTGTCTTACAGGATTTTTATAGTTTTGAGTTTTACATGTAAGTCTTTAAACCATCTTGAGTTGATTTTTTGTCTGTGATGTAAGGAAGGTGGGTCCAGTTTCAATCCTCTGCATATGACTAGCCAATTATCCTAGCACCATTTATTGAATAGTTTTCCCATTGCTTGTTTTTTGTTAGCTTTATCAAAGATCAGACAGTTGTAGGTGTGCAGCCTTATTTCCGGGCTATTTTGTTCCATTGGTCTGTGTGTCTGTTTTTGTACCAGTACTGTGCTGGTTTGGTTACTGTAGACCTGCAGTAGTTTGAAGTCAGGTAACATGATGCCTCCATCTTTCTTCCTTTTGCCTGGGATTGCCTTGGCTATTCAGGCTCTTTTTTGGTTCCATAAGGATTTTAAAATAGTTTTTTCTAGTTCTGTGAAAAATGTCATTGGTAGTTTCATAGGGATTGCATTGAATCTACAAATTGCCTTGGATAATATGGCCATTTTAATGATATTGATTCTTCTTATCCATGAGCTAGAATTTTTTTTCCATAGAGCAAAACATTTTTAAAGGTCTTTAATTTTGTAATTGTGTTTTAACGGCTTATTCCAATTTATACTGCCACTAGCAATCAAAGAGTTAGGTTTTACCTGTACCTCTTGCCAATAATGGATATTTTTATTTAATCTTTTCTACCTTGGCAAACAAACTTAAAAAAGCTATCTTTGCTTTAATTAATAGTTGATATCCTAATGATTATTCTATCAGTTCTTTATATAGAAAACATATTAACTACAATTTATTGCAACATTTCTTAGCCATTTCTCTTTAAATTTTGTTGTCAAATATGTTGATTTTTTTTCTTCTTTCTTCTGTTACTTAAGTTAGGAAAGTCCTTCCTCCAAAGGGTTGGTAAATAATTCTAGTTTCTTCTAGGCTATCTGTGGTTTCACTCTTAATACTTTATTTCAGCTCTGTTATTTGAATATACAGAATGAGATGAAGCTTTTAAACTCCTTTTCCCCACAGATTTGATCATCTTTTTCCCTAGCATTAAATAACAGTTCTCTTTAACTTGTTGTTTAATGATGCATCCTCTAACATATATTAAATTCTTAAGTAATGTGTTTCATTGTATCTATTCCTATATATTTTATTAATAACTTTATAATTTAGCATCAGATCCTTTATTCCTTGTTTCTGGAGAATACCAAATGCATACCATCTTGTCTGAGGGTAATGAACACAACTGAAAATTATAGTATGTCCTCTTGGGCCTGGGATGTATTTGGCAATTATATCGTCCAGTAGTTTTCTAACTTATTAGGGAAAAAGGGAAGAATACTTGGGGAGGTTATTTATTTATTTTGGCAACATATTTTCAACAATCACCTTATATTCTCCATATGTTTTGGGCAGCATGCAGGAGGGTGACATGGGAAGCTATAACTTTTTAAAAAAGTAATGGTTAGTGGCTTTTCTCCCTTGAGCTTTAAAAACAGTGACAAACTCCAGCCTTCCCATTTTACAGTTGAAGTAACAGACTTGTTTGACATTCTTATTAATGATAGAGATTGGTGGAGATTTACTTTCAAGGGGATGGGTTTTTTCATAATGGGAAATACTAATAAAATTTAAAATATACATCTAGATACAGCATATTGCTGTAATACTTGATTTAGGTAGTTTTATAGATTTGCTCAGAGATGCATCAGCTCCCTGGTGTAAATGCTGAGTTGTACAAAACAAATGTTTTTAAAATACTTCTCTGCCTCAGTGGTATGGCTTTCTCTCCAGAGTTGCTCACTAACTGACATCTTTTTAAAGGAATAACTGGGTTGAGGTTTGCTTTTTTTGAGGTGGGGAGGTGCTGTGTCATCTGTTGTCCTGTGTCCAAGAGAGCTGAAGTTTTTTCCCCCTTATATAGGACCCTATATGAAGGAAATATATATAAAATATTAGGAGATTGAAGGGTCTTTTGAGGATGGGACCCTATGTGGCTGCCACTGCTCCATCAAGAATAAGGAAAGTTCAGGTAATATGTGGGGAAGGTGATGCCTTACCTAGCACCACGTTTCTTTAAGTATAGCCTGTTGATAAGGCTTAGCTCCCCAGGCTCTTCTAAGTTAGGTTTCTATAATCAATTATTACCAATTGTATGTGTAAACAGTCTTTAGAATATAAAATTATAGCTAATGAATTTATTCTTGTCTCACTCTGGATAGACCAAACTAGTATCAGCTAAAGATAAAAATCAAGTAATGTGAAGAAGAGTTAGCAAATTCACAAAGAATTGTGCATTTTCTTACCTGTTTATCTCTGTAGTTGTCTTGATATATGTGATTTTCTACAAATCTCACATTATACACTTTGGCATCATGTTCGGTGTTGGAATGGGGGAGAGTAAAAATAAAACTAGCTAACATTTCATGAATACAGGATAAGAATCCTGTGAGGAAGATTCTATTATTAGATCCATTTTAGAAGTGAGGAAACTGAAGTATGGAGAAGTTAAATGTGACCTTCCACAAGTTTTACTGAATTAATAGAATTTGGCCAGGCGCAGTGGCTCATGTCTGTAATCCTGCCACTCTGGGAGTCCAAGGCGGGCGGATCACCTGAGGTCAGGAGTTCGAGACCAGCCTGGCCAACACAGTGAAACCCTGTCTCTACTAAAAATACAAAAAAAAAATTAGCCAGGTGTGGTGGCGCGTGCCTGTAGTCCCAGCTACTTGGGAGACTGAGGCAGGAGAATTGCTTGAATCCAGGAGGCAGAGGTTTCACTGAGCCGAGATCACGCCACTGCACTCCAGCCTGGGCGAAAGAGCGAGATTCCGTCTCAAAAAAAAAAAAAGAAATAAAATTTTAACCTACTTTAAGAATGTATATGTGAACATGTTCTACTAATCTTGTCTCTTTACAGAATATTTTACAGGTTTTTGTAATGTTCTTTTTTATTTTACAGCTCATAGCTGCTATATTTTAATAATAGTTTATTACTAATATAAAATATCATTTGTCTATTTCACCATTCCCCAAAATATTTTGTCATGAAATTTATTTTAGGGCTTTGTTTCTTAAGGAAAATGTACTTAAAATGAAGGTATTTTTGGCTTCATGTAATGAAATGGGAAGATAATAAATGTTTAGATTGGATGTACATTTTGTGGTGTTTCTCTTTGTTTTCCCTTTAAAACTGGACTGAAATGTTAGTTATTCTATATAGTTGGGCCCTGGGTCAACTTATGTAAGACATATTGTCTTATTTGAAGAATCGTTGAAAGTAAGTATTTTTCTTTTCAGTGAGATTTAAATATATTCTGTCAATGGTTGACTTGGGGTTCAGAAATGAAAATTTAGAATAATACTTTTAGCTGCTAGAGCATTAAAAGAGCTCATTATTTATTTCTTGCAGAAATGTAGACAACCAATTTCCTGGGCAAGCTGCTCCACCTGGATTCCCAGTGTATCCCGCGTTTAGCCCACTGCAGATGCTATGGTGGCAACAGATGTATGCTCATCAGTATTATATGCAGTAGTAAGTTAATCTGAGTTCATTTTTTAAGTTACTCAGTGTGTTATTTGCTTTATTTTCTTTTTATCCTAAGTAAGTTGATTTGGCATTTCATTTGTTTATGTATTTAATGTTGTTTTGACTAAAGGAAAAAGGGTTCACCTCCAGTTCACATGAACTAACCCTGCCCTTGGCTCCTCCCTGTCTTCCCTAATTACATTTAGCAGTATTCAGATTTTTAATATAACATTTTATAAATTTAAGAGGAGAAAACTTAGGAATGTTTCACTGGAAGGCAGCAAATATACATGAAGAGTTAGTCAAATGAGTAAAGGAATAGAATCATGTCAGGGAGGCCATAGCTTATGTAGGGCTCAAGTGCAGCTAATATGCTTACTTGACTCTCAGTATTTAGTCCGTTTTGATTCTGGTCAGCATGGAACAGTCCTAGCATTGAGGACACTTTCTCAGCCTTCATTCTCCTCAACTCATTCTGCATTCATTTAACATGGATTAGCTTCTCTTTACCATTCTCCTCTCCTTGTTTCTGTGATTCTTTTGTCTTCCGTACCTTTTTTATCTTTCTGGTCACTCTTTCTGTGTCCTTTAATAGCTCATTTTATTAACATTTCTTTCTCAGTTCATCACGTATTTGTTACTACGTGCTTCTCAGCACTCATAGTCGGTAGAGAGGATGGGATTTAGTTGTTGGGGTAGTTCTCTTGGATTTCTTTTTTGCGTGGTCTTAGTTGTTAGCTCTCTGTGGATGAATCCTGGTTCTTCATCTCCTGTGCTTCATCCTGTGTCTCTGCTTTATTGTTGGAAGATTTCCATAGGGGAATGAGCCTTTACCTCAAATTCAGTACATCTAAAATTCAATTCCTCTGTTCTTTAAGTGCCTTCTCCTTTCTCACTTCTTCGTCAGTCATACTAGCTCTCTTCTTATTACTCAAGCTCTTAACCATAAACAGCTTTGATTCTGGCTTCTGTTATTCCTGAAAGCAGTATTTTATGAAGAGTTAATAGAGCTTTTGTCCTTCCCCATATGCTACCTCCAATGTTTCACCCAGATCTTTTCTCATTCTAAGTCCACTTGACTTCAATAGCTCTTTCTCCTTTTAGTCTTTTTACTGTATTTCCTTATACTGCTGCTGGGTTACATTTCTTTTATCTATCTATCTATCTATCTATCTATCTATCTATCTATCTATCTTTCTTTCTTTCTTTCTTTCTTTTTTTTTGAGACAGAGTCTCACTCTGTTACCTAGGCTAGAGTGCAGTGGCATAATCTTGGTTCACTGCAACCTCCGCCTCCCGGGTTCAAGCGATTCTTGTGCCTCAGCCTCGCAGTAGCCGAGATTACAGATATGTGCCACCACATCTGGGTAATTTTTGTATTTTTAGTACAGACAGGGGTTTTGCCACATTGGCCAGGCTGATCTTGAACTCCTGGCCTCAAGGGATCCATCTGCCTGCCTTGACCACCCAAAGTGCCGGGATTACAGGCATGAGCCACCATGCCCGGTTTGCCAGGTTACATTTCTTAACACATAATTAAGTCAGTCATTCCTGCAGCCACCCAGATATCCACTGATTCTCTTGCCCACTGTGAAGTCTACATCCTTGTCCTTCCTCCAGACCTTTCCCCATAAAGCTAAGCTGCTTTATGAACCTCGTATCCTAAGGCTCTCTTTCATAAGCCCTTGGCTCCAGACAGGATGTTCATACCTTACATGTTGCCATGGTAATGGTTATCATTTGAGTGACTGCTTTGTGCTCAGTACTCTGCTGGATGCTGTACCCCACCTTGTCTCGTTTGTGAACCTCACAAGAACTGTGTAAGATAAGGGGGGCTTATTATGCTTGCTGCTAAATCATATACTCTTATGTGCATCATTTAACTTGAGAGCCTTAGTTTCTCCCCTTTAAAGTAATGTAACTCACCTGTGTATCAGAATATTCATGAAGTAGGAAGTGTTTTCTAAACTAAAAAGCCCTATACAGGTACAAGGTATTAGCATACTGGCTTAAATAGGATTTTGTAGCCTGGGAACCACTTATTTAACTTTCTTGTGCTCTCTTGATTATTAACTTCTTATTGTAGAAAAATTTAAAAACATAACAAGGTAGGGTAGTAAAAGGAATCCATGTGTACCTATCACCCAGCTTTGACATTTATCAATTCATGTCAGTCTTATTTTACAACTTTCTTCCTTCTGTTGGATAATTTAAAGCAAATCCAAGATATATTATCACTTTACTAGGAAATTTATTCTTTACTGGGAAATTTTAAGCAATCAAATTATATAAGCAAACCTCAGAATCACAATTCTTTCTAACTTGACAAGGATCAGTGGTCCCCAGTTGGAGTTCTTCCAAATCAGTATTGGGGTGGAAGGGTTGTTATCTGAGATGTATTTAGGATTTTAGGATACTAATACAAATCATTTATCACTGACAGTAGACACACAGTATAATAATAGTATATATTTTTAGACAAGCCTTTCAAAACGTGGGTCTGAGGGAGAGGTAGGTGGTGAGCTTGGGAGTATTCATCCCATGTAGAATAACAAAAGGGGGCATTCATGAAAAGGTTTGGACATCTCATTAGCTGTTAAGGTAATTTATTGAAAGAGAGAGGAGTGGTTAACATGGCTGCTCTCACGTCTTTTGCCTTCCCCTGTCATCTTACAATAGCAGGCTGAGAGAACATCCTTTCCTGTGCGACATCTACCATCAACCTTGGCTCCACTTTTCCATTGGAATTTGTGCTTACCTAAGAAATGTGGTGCAGGAGTTGGGATATTCCATATTAGGTTTATGAAAAATACATATAGCTCCCCAAGAAGTTTAAAAAAATATGGTATGGTAAAGTTTTTTTTTCTTTTTAATATTTATTTTGGTGACTATTTCAGTCAAGCTGCAGTTTCAGCTCAGGCCACATCAAATGTCAACCCAACCCAGCCTACTACTTCACAGCCTCTAAATTTGGCACATGTTCCTGGAGAAGAACCCCCACCAGCTCCAAACCTAGTGGCCCAAGAAAATCGACCCATGAATGAGAATGTTCAAATGAATGCACAGGGAGGTCCAGTACTAAATGAAGAAGACTTCAATCGAGACTGGCTAGACTGGATGTACACGTTCTCACGAGCTGCGATTCTCCTTAGCATTGTATACTTCTATTCTTCTTTTAGTCGGTTTATCATGGTAATGGGAGCCATGCTACTGGTTTATTTGTGAGTGATGTTCATTAACTTTTTGTGGTTTAATTTCTGCAACTGTTCAGCACAGAATCTGGTGTAGGGTAGTCTGTTGTGAATGTTGAGTGAAGGAATATGAATGCTGGGCTTTAGATATCTGGCATGTTTTTGATGCCAAAAGCAAGGGAAGGTTTTGTTGAGTGAGAATGTTTATCAGAATTATTTAGAAGCAGATTTTTTGTTTACTGTATTTTATAAAAGTTGTTCATTCAGTGAGACATACTCTATCCATTATTTCGAACTTAACAAGTGTATGATGCACTCCTGCATAAGGTCATCCTCTTTCATTAGAATTACCAATAGTAAGTTCTATAGGTATAAGCCAGATTTTTTTCATAAGTAGACTATTTTTCCCCTGCTCCCTTCTCTCCAAGGGGCAAACAAATATCTAAGTTGTATTTCATTTTGAAAAGTACCAGAAAAGATTTATGATTCCTGATATGTTTTAATAACTAACATAGAGCCAGTGGAGTCCATGATAGACTTAGAGATTTGGGTTGGTTTTCTTTTGCTGTCGTTGCTTTGAAAAGGGTAGTTCCCTGTCCTGAAGTGGGAGATTTGGTCTTTTTATTTATTATAGTTTTAATCATTTTTCTCTTATAGGACACTAATAACATTTTATAGTGTTACAAATAAAAACAACTGTGACTTATTTTATTTTCTCTTTATTTTACTGAACAGACACCAAGCTGGATGGTTTCCTTTTAGGCAAGAAGGAGGTCATCAGCAGGCTCCCAACAATAATGCCGAAGTTAACAATGATGGGCAAAATGCAAACAACTTGGAACTTGAAGAAATGGTATGTGATTGAAGCTTTTGTATACTTAAGATACTGAGATTTTCCCAGCACGGTATGGGACCAACATGATGAAAGAATGTTGGATGTTCCATAAGTATTTGTGAAATGGCACATGAAAGAAAACTAACATATAAATTGTGGTGGTTTCATTTGGGAGAACTTAGAATATTATACTGAATCAGTCATATATTATAACTAAATGGGAAGAAGTAACTTTTTTTTTCTTGAAAATAGCCTAGAAATAAAATTATACACATGGTAAGAATTTATTGTATTGCATTGGCAGTTGTCCCCTTTACGGAACAGTGAGGAATTTATCAATT
The DNA here is from genome assembly GCF_000001405.40 of Homo sapiens. Taxonomy (NCBI): domain Eukaryota; kingdom Metazoa; phylum Chordata; class Mammalia; order Primates; family Hominidae; genus Homo; species Homo sapiens. Next base: position 35,633,988 of record NC_000007.14, on the reverse strand, counting down.
TTGGCCTTAAAGATTTCTAATGACCACATACATACCACTTCATAGTCCTTTGTTCTACAAAGAATTTAACTGTATTCTATTATGAGCTAATGCTCGTTCATATCACTCAGGAGTATCTTTCTTGTTTTGCTTGAAAGGAGCGTCTTATGGATGATGGGCTTGAAGATGAGAGTGGAGAAGATGGAGGTGAAGATGCCAGTGCAATTCAAAGGCCTGGATTAATGGCTTCAGCTTGGTCTTTCATCACCACCTTCTTTACTTCACTAATACCAGAGGGGCCTCCCCAGGTTGCCAATTGACCTGAAAAACTGTGCCAGCTACAAGGAGGGTCTGACTTCAGGAAAGTGGTTTAAATAACAGTGCAATTTCAAAAAAATTTATAACTTTCTTTTGATCATCATGTACAGAGGTGTTTTTTTTCTTTAGGCTTCTCATGCATATGAATATTTTAAGCACGAATGGACTACTAAATATCTGAGTTTTTTTTTTTTTTTTTTAAAGATCCTAACAGAACATAGCGTAACAATATTGGTCTTCCAGGTGTTACTCATTTCAATTATGTGTAGTATACCAGGACAGACCTATTTTCATGTCTTATTTCTTTAAAGAGCTGCTTCATTGGCCGGGCGCCATGGCTCACGTCTGTAATCCCAGCACTTTGGGAGGCCGAGGCGGGTGGGTTACTTGAGGTCAGGAGTTCGAGACCAGCCTGGCAAACATGGCGAAACCCCATCTTAACTAAAAATACAAAAAAATTAGCCGGGTGTGGTGTCACGCGCCTGTAATCCCAGCTACTTGGGGGGCTCAGGCAGGAGAATTGCCTGAACCCAGGAGGCGGAGGTTGCAGTGAGCTGAGATTGGGCCACTGCACTCCACCCTGGGCGACAGAGTGAGACTCGGTCTCAGAAAAAAAAAAAAAAGAGCTGCTTCACATATAAATGTCTATAGCTAGTAGCCTGGCCCTTTAATGTTTAATTTGAATAGATATATCTGTTTTCCGTGAATTATCTTGAAAGTTTTAAACAGAATGACCTCATAGTTTTTAATAAAGAATATTATTTACCTAAAATGTGCTAGTAGCATCTTGCCCAGCCATAAAGCAATAAACTTCTCAATAATCTTAATTTTGATATTTGAATAAATAATGGAAACTTTCTGTATTAAGGGCATGTATCCCATCAATTGGAATCAGTACCTTAACAGAAAAAGGCAGCTCTTCAATGGAATTAACGTGATATAAAATGTTTGATATAGGCAGTACTTTTATAAAAAAAGATAAGCTGGAAATTGCTCCGTGTAATTTTTTAAATAAAAAGTCAATTATGGTAAACAGTTTTATGGGATATTTGTTCAAACTCTTCACCCATTACATGCAAACATTTATGTAAATTTTAGTAGTTGTTTGGAAGGGTTGCTGAAGTCTTAAAGGTCATTTACACCTCTTTCCATTCCAGATGGATATCTCCTAGTTAGATTGAAACCTCATTAGTTTATTTAAAAATCCCTGTGAAAGCCAATTTAATGTATCATGAGAAGGCAGTAAGTTTCTTATGGGATAGCTAAATAAAACAAATATGTGTGGGAGAACTTTATATCACATGAAATACATTATAAAATTATGAATGTGGTAGTGGCCCAGGGGAAAAAATATATATATATGATTATATATATATGATTATATATATGATTTATATATGATTATATATATATGATTATATATATGATTTATATATGATTATATAAAAATTTGTATATTTTTATATAATTATATATAATTATAATATATATTTATATATATAATTTGTATATATTTATATATAATTTATATATTATATATAATTATATATTATATTTATATATTTACATATAAATATAAATATATAATATATATTATATAATTATATATATTTATATGTAAATATAAATATAAAAATATATAATTATATATAAATATATATTATACAATTATATATATAAATATAAAAATATATAAATATATATTATATAATTTATATATATTTATATATAATTTATATATTTATATATTTATATATAATTTATATATTTATATATTATATAATTTATATATTTATATATAATTTATATATTTATATATTTATATATAATTTATATATTTATATATTTATATATAATTTTTATATATAATTTATATATAATATATATATATAATTTATATATTTATATATAATTTATATATATAATTTATATATTTATATAATTTATATATATAATTTATATATTTATATAATTTATATATATAATTTATATATTTTTATATAATTTATATATTTATATATATTTATATATATAATTTATTTATATATATTTATATATTTATATATATAATTTATATATTTATATATATTTATATATGATTAGATAACAGTAGAAGATTAAGAAAACATCAATAAATTATTTTCTGATTTGTTTACTTACAATGATAAAAGTGACATTATCAGGGATGACTGCTTAGTTAAGCGTTTGAAAAGTAAAGTTAGATTTCTATTTATAAATTTCAAGACATGATTGAATATGAACAATCAAATCGTGGAAATACTAAGAAAATGTGGGTGAATATATAACATTGGAGTGAGAGAACACTTTTATGGCAGAATCTTTAAAGATTGCTGAGTATATAATGTTTTGACATAAGTAATTTAAAGGCAAATAATTAGAGCACAAAAGATAGAAAAGGTAATAAATGAAGTCTTAAATTCATTCCAGTAAAAAATAATTTGTATCCAGTAAAAAAAAAAAAAAAGCACTCCAATAGGAAATGGGTAATAAAGATGAAAAAAGGTAGTATCCAGTAGTTAAAACTACCATATTCTTAAGATGATATTTAGTGTTGGTGAAACTGTAGGGGAATGTAAAACAGAATATAGCCTTTCCAGCAAGTATCAGATTTTCAAAATGTGCACAGATCATTCACTGTCATCCTCTTATTCCTAGAATACAAATCAGACTAATGAACATGGCTTACAAAATCCTGAAAGGTTGTGCTCTCGCCTCCTGTCAGTTTGAGCTCCTCCTTAATTCCTGGTTTAGCTAGGCTGCTCTTCCAATTCCTGCACCTTCCAGCCCCGGACTTTTTAAATTGCTGTTCTTTTTGCTGCAAACACACACAGTTTCTTCCTTCTTTGCCTCACTAGCACTAATGACTCATCAGATCTCAGCATAATTGCCAATTCTTTGGGAGGCTTTTCCCTGGAAGCACAGTTTATTACTTTGCCTTTAACACTGTTGCAGTTTACATTTATTTCCTTGTTTCTCTCACCATATAGAAGGGATGAAGTTGGGGAGAACCTGGTATTTAGTTCAGTCCTGGATGAGTGCCAGCAGAAGTTTGAAAGGATGTCATGCATGTGTGAGATTTAGCTTTCCAGATATTCATTGCATTGTTGGTTACTAGGAAAAAAATCAGAATTAGCAGATGTTCAGCAGAGTGAGCTATGGCCACATTTGAACACTGTTTGGGTCCATGATTAGGGATGGCTTATTTCAAGACTGATGTAATTATTGCATCCAGAAGAAAGGTCTGGATTTTAACCTGGGAGCTAAATAGATAAACTATCAAAGCTGGCAGAAATGCCCCATGGGTCAGAGCCTAAAGCCAGGTACAGGGTGGGGAGAGGATGCAGAGTTAATTGTGAGACTGATCAGTTTCATTTCTGTTGGAAGTTGGAGAGAAGATAATTGGAGCTGTAGATCTCACTGGGGGTGGGCAGCATTGTGGGGACACCCCTCTGGAGGAAATGAGCAAGTCCCTGCCTCCTAGCAGCAGGGTGGGGCCTAAGGAGAAAGGTCCTGGTTATAAACTCCTGTGAAGGGATGTCACAGGTTCTAAGAACACTGAAATGCGTGAGCCACTGTTATTTTTCCTACATTGTTAATTCCCTTCTGTTAGCCTCACATTCATTAAGTCTTTGTCAAGAACTACAGCCCAATGTGAGCTGTGTTTTGGATGATTCAGGGAGGGACTGTGTCCATACTGGGGCCAGATGGTACCTAGGTGGCTGGGGTAATCCAAACACTGGTCTCAAGGCCAGATTGTGACTAGTAACAACCAGGATATATGTTTCTGGAATATAAACACTTCTAGGACTTCTTACATTATTATACATTACCATAAAGACTAGACCTACAGTGAGAGGGTCAGATTTATGTTAGATAGGTAAAAGAAAAGGGTGATCTGGAGGGCTGGAGAATTGGAGACATTCACATCATACTTTGGTGACATAATTAGATGCCACAGCTCACCAGTATTGTAACTATTTTCCTTGGCTCTTTCTACCATCGCTATTGAAATTAGGCTTTTCAAATTAGTGGCAGGAAAGGCCATATTTGGAGCTTCAAATACACAGTCCCAGTGGCAGTTCTTGCCTCTGTGTTTTTTTGTTGTTGTTGTTTGCTTGTTTGTTTTGAGACGGAGTCTCACTCTATCGCCCAGGCTGGAGTGCAGTGGCACTATTTCGGCTCACTGCAACCTCTGCCTCAGCCTCCCAAGTAGCTGGGATTACAAGCGCCTGCCAACACGCCCAGCTAATTTTTGTATTTTTAATAGAGATGGGGTTTCACCATTTTGGCCAGGCTGGTCCTGAACTCCTGACCTCCTGATCCACCTGCCTCGGCCTCCCAAAGTGCTGGGATTACAGGCGTGAGCCACTGCGTCCGGCCTTGCCTCACCGTTAAAAGACTACAATATGACGTGATACATCAGCTTTTTCGAAGTCCAGTGTACGTCAGACCCTGAGGCCTGCAGTATCTGGAATGGTGTTGCTGGATGTGCAAAACTGCCAGGCTCTGGCTTGTGGTGTTCTCATCTACCAGATCATTCCTGGGAGGCCCAATTTGGCCAGCTGGCTCACCTCTGCCGGTGGTATTGCTAGCATTGCACATTGGAACTGCAGCTTGGGAAAGTGATAGAAACCAAACACATGGTGGGTACAAAGCAAGTTTGTTGTATTTTATCCACATTAGTATTTTGGATGTTTCAATATTTAAACATTTCAAAAAGCAAAATCAATGATAATACTTCTTGAATGTGTTGTGAACAATGCAAGCCTTTTATTAAAAATTATGGAATATTCGAAAGAAATGTTTTTCTTACAAGAGAGCAGAGAATAATTACTCAGGGTTCCTGTGTCAAAGCCTCTAGGGCCCCTTTACTGTCCAGAATTCTTAGTAAGTGGAAAACCTTTCCCAAGCACAATGAAGTCTCAACCCTGATACGGGCAGGACAGCAAAAGACCTGTCTCCTCTTTCCAGAGCAAACCCCAGTGGTTGCACCTGTCCTCCCATTACACTTTGGGGATAAACCCTGGAGGCCATAGTGTAGGGGACCAGTTTCATGGGTCTTGTTGCCAAAGCTTACTTTTTTGATCCTACTGCTAAATTCTGACCCTTCCTCCAATTGATCTGCTTTCCAAAAAGAGCATACCAACACCTGCACAAACCATTTGATGTGGTGCAGTAAGCTGTTTCATCCAAGTGTTCCAAAGCCATAGGATGAGCAAGGGGGAAAAACTTAGACCTGTATAGGATCTTCCCCCAGGTAGTTACTCTTTCACAGGGGGTGCATGGGAGACAGGCTGCTGTTGTGCCATCCTTTCCATTACATAATGATAACAACTGTTACTTGGAATGCTTTAATGCTTGATGTTATTTATGTTTAAATATTTGCTGTATTCCTGGCTCTGTGCTAAATGCTATGCCTGCATCTTAAAAAATCCTTAAAATAACTCAAGGTAGGTACCATTGTTGCTTCCATTCTCCAGATGGGACACTAAGACTTTAAGAAGTTAAATAGCTCACCTGAAAACACACAGCTAGTAAGTAACACAATGGAGACTTGAACCCAAGTCTATTCTACTCTAGACCATGGACTCCAAGATTAATTAATTATGCAAATAAGGAATGTGGAGAGTTCAGCCTTGAGCAAAGGGAGATTAGCTTGTTTTGCACCAACTCTTCTGCTGAGGAAAGGACAAAAGCCAGAATATACATACCTATTCAGGGATCAGAGGGCTGTTGAGAAAGCAAGGGCTAATATTCGAGAGACCTACATTTGATACTGTTCGTTTCCCCCTCAAGGGACTTGCTAATTCAAGGGCAGGGGCTGAGAAACTGAACAGAATTTGTAGAAGACTAATGCAGACCAAAAATTAGAGTTGGGGTCCAAGTAGAAGCAGCCCTGGAAAACACCCCAGACTTTCTCGTGGGACCCCAAAGAGCTACTCTTTGATTAAAGGTGAATTGGTTATGGGCCTGTCCTCACAAGGACTGAAGCCCAGCCTCAGATCTAGTGGATAGCCAGAAGCAAAAACAAAGCCCCTCTGAAGGAGGACATGGTCTAATTTCTCAAATTTTCTCTATTAATTGTTTTCAAAGTCTGCTTAAGAAATAGGAATGCAAAAACACAAGATTCGACCAACAATGAGAAAGTGAACAATAGAAACAGACCTCCAGGAAATTCACGTAGTTAACATTATCTGACCGGTGTCTTACAATAACTATGATTAAAATGTTCATGAATTAAATGACCAAATGGAACAACTTCAGGAGAGAACTGGACACTATGTTTAAAATTCTAGAATTGAAAAATAATATAACAATTTAAGAAATCAGTAGATGGCTCTGATAGACACAACTTAAGAGATAGGTAATGAAATGAAAGATAAGAAAATATCCAGACTGGTGCTGGGGGTAAATAGGAAGACAACTATTCGAAGAGTTAATGGTTAAGGTTGTTCCCAAATTAATGAAAGACATTAAGCCACATAAATAAGAAATGCTGTTGACCTCTAAGCAGGATAAGTTACAATGAAAGTTATACTTAATTACTTCATAGTAAAACTACTGGAAAACAAAGACTAATTTTAAAAGTAGCCAGAGGAAAAATATATATTACTTTCAAAGGAGCAACAGCAAGCCTTGAGAGGGAATTTTCAGCAGAAGTAATGATAGTGGAAAATGGAATGGTGTTTTCAAAGAGCTTCAAGAAAATAATAGTCAACCTAGAAGACTATGAGGCAAAAATATCCTTCCAAAGACACGTCCAGACAAAGGAAAATAGAATTTGCCACCAATGAAAAGTACCAAAAGTATGAAAGGAAAGTACTAAAGGGTGTTGTTGGAGCAGAAGGAAAATGATCACTGACCACAGCTGGAGGTGCAGAAAGGCATTGAAAGGCAATGGAAAGGGTAAGTATGTGTATAAAACTAAATAAATATTGAATGTGTGAAACAACTTTTTACTTTCTGGGGTCTTAAATATATAAAGAACTAAAATACATCACCAAGAGAAGCACGTTAAGTGTGGAGGGAGGTAAATGTAGGGGTCCCCAACATTTCTGGCACCAGAGACCAGTTTTGTGGAAGATAATTTTTTCCCAGACAGTGGGTGGAGGGGTGGAGGGATTGGGAGCATGGTGTTGGGATGACACTGTCCCACCTTAAATCATCAGGCATTAGATTCTCATAAGGAGTGCACAACCTAGATCCCTCACATGCACAGTTCACAATAGGGTTAGCGCTCCTATGAGAATCTAATGCTGCTGTTGGTCTGACAGGAGGTGGAGCTCAGGCGGTAATGCTTGCTGGCTTGCCACCCATCTCTTGCTGTGCAGCCCAGTTCCTGACAGGCCACTGACCAGTACTGGTTCACAGCCTGGGGACTGTGGACCCCTGGGTAAATGGAATTAAAGTATTCTGAAGTCCTTGAATTGTCTTGAAAGTGAAAATGGTGGAGGCACTGATTTATATTAGAAATTAATAAATCAGGGGTACATGTTTCAGTTTCTACGGTATTTTGTAAAAGAATAAGAGTATGTAAAACTAACAAGATAACAGAAGGAGAATATGAAATAAAATAATCCAAAGGAAGGCAAAAAGAAAAAAAGGCGCATAGAACAGATGGGAACAAATAGAAAACAAACACCCACATGCATCAATCTCTACATCAAGCATATGTGGACTAAATATTCCAATTCAAAGGCAATATTATTATCACCCTGGATAAAGAACAAATATAATTCTCTGAGACTTAAAAACAACATACCTTAAACAAGGATACAGAAAGATGGAAAGTAAAAGGATGGAAAAAGGACTATCATGCAAGTATTAACCAAAAGGAAGCTGGTGTATTTAGTACACGAAGTGAACTTTCAGGTATTACCAGAGTATGAAGGATATTTCATAATGATAAAGGGCTTGCTTTACCAGTACTATACCGATGGCTGAGGTATTTGGGCTGTCTGTGAGGCTCAGATGGGCTGCCTGTGGCCCTGCCTCACCTTGGAGATGGCCCAGGAAGCTAACTGAGACTTGGAGTTGGTCGAAGAGGAGCCAGACTCTAAATATTTGAAGATTGTGTGCGTATGTGTGTGTGTGTTTAGGGGAAAACATGAGAGGTAGAGTACTATTCAAAAGGACAAGAAGTGGAACATTTTCTTTTATAAATCAAATAAATGGTGGCTCTGAGCCTTCCCCCACCTCCTGCCTTTTTTGGGTCCAGATTGCTAAGAAATGTTATTAATGATAGCTCACACTTACGACATTATTGCCTTCTAAGTGCTTTGTAGGTATTAATTTATTTAATCCTCACAACAGCCTTAGGAGACAGGCATCATCACTACCATCGCCATTTTACAGATGGAAAAACCAGCAACCATCAGAGCTGGTATTCAAAATAAGCCAATTCAGATTCCGAGTCCCGGCTCCTAACCATGGAGTGGCCTCAGGGTTTTATAGTTTGTCCGGCTCTTTGGATGAACATCACACCTCATGGAGGAGAGTCCCTTCCATTTTAACGGCTCCAGGTTGTCATGGAAATCCTCTGTATACAAGAGGGTAAGGAGGAGGATGAGAAGCAATACATGCTTATTGGGACTTTCTATCATCCCAGGACTTATCCAGGTACATTATAACAATGTTGAATACAGTATTAGTCCCATTTTAACTATGAGGAAAATAAGGTTTGGACTGTCAGAGACAGAGCAAGACACATTGGTAAGGGCAGACAAGGGATTCATCTGACTCCAATGCCTCTTCCTTGGTAAACCAGACTGGCTTGTCACACCGTGAAATTAGAGTCAACTTGTTAAATCTTGACAGGTTGCTAAATTATTAATTACACCCCCAGGAGCTGTGACTGGAGCAGCAGGGATGCTATGGCTGCACTGTACTATTTTTAGCACTAGATGGTGCTGTAACACTGCACATCTCTTCCGCGGTGGCCCTTGGAGGAAGGTTACTTCAGGGCTTGGAGACCCTGGAGGGAAGGATGCTACCTTACCAGAGCGTGAAAAAAACATGGAAGACAGGATACTCTCGGGCCCTGAGAAAGCTGGAGACTGTAGCCACCAGGTGGCTCCAGGATGTGCAGTACTGGCGTCTGGGTTTTGCTCACACAACCGTGAACTCCTGGTCCCACCGAGCCCTAGCGAGTGGATTGGAGCACACACCCACCCACCTCCTCAGAGCTCCTACGAGTAGAGGAGGTACCTAGGCACGTGGGAGCTTGGCGCCTTGTTAGGTGCTCAGGATACTGGTTGTCCGGAATCCCAGTGAGGTGCAGTCCCGCCCTTGTGCCACTTTCCCATGCGCTTCCTGCCCCTCTGGGGGCTGCAGAGGCTGCAGAGTTGTCCAGCTTGAGAAACTGTATCAAGGTTGCTCCCTGACGGCCTGGCAACTCGCTGAAGAGCTGCCTTCAGTTCAGAACAGTTTTAGGGAGATTGTCATAAACTCAATGAGTTTAAATGATTTTACACTGACTCTTCAAAAATGTCAAGGTCATGAAAGACAAAGGCCGAGGAACTGCCCCAGACTGGAGGAGGCGGGAGACATGGCAGCTGTGAATGCACCGTGGGTCCTGAACCAGAAAAAGGAGCTCAGTGGGACGATTGGTAACTTTTTGATGCAATCTGTCGGTGAGCTAATAGTATTGCTTCGATGTTAATTTCTTGGTTTTGATCACTGTACTATAACTATGCAGAGTGTTAACATTTGGGGAAGCTGGGTAAAGGGTATGTGGGAATTCTTTGTGCTATTTTTGCAACTTTTCTCATCAAGTTGGAAATTATTTCAAAATTGAAAGCTAATAAAAATTACAAAAATGTTCTTAACATTATTATGGAATATTTCAAACATATAGAAAAATATAGAGAATAAGCCTGGCCACTTTTACAGGTGGCTCAAAGGTACTGTTGGCACCAGACAGAGGAATGAAGTTCCTGTAGGAGTTAAGCATTGAGCTCTGCTGTCTCGCTTTCTGTGTCCAGAGGTGGCTCCTGGTAGTTGAATTAGACCATTACATTTTGGGCAAGAGCTATTTAAATTTTTGGCAGCCTCTACTTTAGAATAAATCAGCAGACAATCCACCTCTATGGCCATAGTATTTGCTTAGTAAGATAACACCTTATTCCAACGCCCTACTTAGCAATTCTCTTGGGAGACTTTTTTTTTTTCCAGACCTTGTCTTTTATTACAGGGATCTAATCATTACTGTCTAAAACAAAAACATATAGATAAAGATGGCCCCAATTGCTTAATGCTGCTTTTGATATTTTTCTTTAACTTCTTTAACTTTCAAAAATGAACTTTTAATTTTAGAACAGTTTTAGAGTTTCAGAAAAATTGCAAAGATGATACAGAGTTACCATATTCTCTGCAGCCAGTTCCCCCTATATTATCAGCTTACCTTAGTAGGGGATATTTGTTGCAATTAATGGACCATTATTGATACATCATGATTAACTGAAGTCCATACTTTATTTGGATTTCCTTAGTCTATCTAATGTCTCTTTTCTGTTCCAGAATCCCCTCCAGGATTCCAAGATATCACATTAAATTTAGATGTCATGTCTATTTATGCTACTCTAGGGTGTGACAATTTCTCAGATTTCTTTGTTTTTGATGTCCTTGATATTTTTGAGGAGTATGGGTGGAGTATTTTTATAGGATGTCTCTTGATTTGGGATTTGTCTGATATTTTTCTCATGATTAAACTGGGGCTATGTGTTTTTAGGAGGAAGACAACAGGGGTAATGTGCCATTTTCGTCATATCATATCAAGAATACATAGTATCTCTGGGCATGGTGGCAGTCCATAAAAATTAGCTGGGTGTGGTGGCAGGCTGCTCAGGAGGCTGAGGCAGGGGAATTGCTTGAACCCAGGAGGCAGAGGCTGCAGTAGGCCAAGACTGTGCCACTGCACTCCAGCCTGGGTGACACAGCGAGACTCCATCTCAAAAAAGAAACACATGATATTGACCTTCACCACCTGGCCACCTGGTAGTATTTGTCAGGTTTCCCCACTGTAAAGTAATTCCCACCTGCCTTCCACACTGAGCTCTTTGGAAGGAAGTCACTGTGTGCAGCCAAGAAGGAGCAGGGAGTTATGCCTCACTGCTTTGAGGATGGAGTATCTACGTAAATTATTTGGAATTCTTCTCTATGGAGGGATTTATCTCTTGCCTCCCAATTATTTATTTATTCAATCCATTTATTTGTGTTAGTATAGACTCATGGATATTTATTTTATACATTGGGTTTTAATCCAATATGACTTTATTTTATTGCTAAAATTGTTTCAGCTTTGGCCATTGGGAGCTCTTTCAGGTGGCTCCTATGTTCCTATTTAATTGCTGTATAATAATTGTACATATTAATGTGGTACATGTGTCATTTTGATCCGAGCATATAATGTGTACTCAAATCAGGGTAATTGGGATATCCATCACCTCAAATTTATCATTTCTGTGTGTTGGGAACATTCCAAATCTTCCTTTCTTGCTATTTTGAAATACACAGTAAGTTCTTGTTAACTATAGTCATTGTACTGTGCTATCAAACACGAGAACTTATTTCTTTTATCTAACTGTATTTTTGTACCCATTAACCAACTTCTCTTCCTGCCTCCCCCTCACCCTTTCCTGGCCTCTGGTAACCACCAATCTACTATCTTCTTGAGATCCACTTTTTAGCTCTCCCATGAGAGTGAGAACATGTGATATTTGTGTTTCTGTGCCTGATTTATTTCATTTAACATAATGTCTTCCTGTTTCATTCATGTTGCTGCAAGTGACAAGATTTCATTCCTTTTCATGGCTGAATAGTACTTTATTGTGTCTATATGCCACATTTTTTAATCCATTCATCTGTTGATGGATACTTAGGTTGATTCTACATTTTTGCTATTGTGAATAGTGCTGCAGTAAATATGGGAGTGCAGATATCTCTGGTATACTGGTTTCCTTTCTTTTGGATAGATACCCAGTAGCAGGATTCCTGGATCATATGGTGGCTCTATTTTTAGCTTTCTGAGGAACCTCCACACTGTTTTCCATAGTGGTTATACTAATTTATATTTTCACCTATGTGTACAAGCTTGCCCTTTCTTCATGGCCTCAAGCATGTTATTTTCTGTCTTTTTGATCATAGCCATTTTAACTGGAGTGAGATGATATCTCATTGTGGTTTTGATCTGCATTTCCATGCTAATTAGTGATGTTGTGTTCCTTTGATATATCCCCATCATTGAGACTTTTCTTTTGAGCACTTGCTTATTTCCTGGCATAATAAGATGTTCCAGGCTCATCTTGTATATTTTCTGCTCCAGTGCTAGAATCAGCCATTTCTCCAATGAGCTTTTGGGAGATATTTGCTTTCTTGATTACAGTTAGGATTTTCTCATAAGGGAAGTTTGTTGATGGCCTGCAAACAAATAGTAAAATAGTATGTGATGTCATGAAAATTAATTGTATTTTTCCTTCTAGATTTTGCATATAGAAGACGGTAATTTTAAAAACAGTGAAAGAAGAAATGTATCTGAGAATTCAATCAGTCAATAGACTTTAGAGTGAGTATGATTTTTGTGTGCTCAAAGGCATCTTTTCAGTTTGGCTTTGTAAGGTTTCATTTTTTTTTTGGTAGGAAAATATAAATAAAAGAGGAAGGAGCAGGGGAAGTGGAAAGTCACCTGCAGGACCAGCCATACCCGCTGTCGCTGCCCTCATGGCCTAAGGTGTCTATAATAGCGTCAGTTTTCTTTTTTTTTCCTTTTTTTTTTTTTTTTTTTTGGTTTTTTTTTGAGATGGTGTCTTTCTCTGTTGCCCAGGCTGGAGTGCAGTGGCATAATCCCAGCTCACTGCAACCTCCGCCTCCTGGGTTGAAGTGAGTCTCCTGCCATGGGCTCCTGAGTAGCTGGGATTACAGGTGTACACCACGATGCCCAGGGAATTTTTGTATTTATAATAGAGACGGGGTTTCACCATGTTGGCCAGGCTGGTCTCGAACTCCTGATCTCAGGTAATCCACCTGCCTCAGCCTCCCAAAGTGCTGGGATTACAGGCGTGAGCCACCGCGCCCGGCCAGCATCAGTTTTCTTTGTGCATCTTTTCCACAATCCTCTCACTGCAGATGTTTTCAGTCTTTCCCTCTGCTTGGTATACTTTTCTCTACTTATAGCTTCTTAGTAACCGCTGCCTGTTATGATCCTTCATCCTCCCATTTCTGCCTCATGTCTTGGTTCTATGCATTTTTCCAGTTTCAGCCCTGTTGTTGACTGCTGGATTCCTATCTGTGTTTCCAAGTTAAAATTCTCAAAAGAAGGAACCTGACTGTCTCAACACAAAGTTTCTTGCTAGACAATATCATGTGTCAAAAGTCAGCATATTGACGGGTTGCCTGGGCTTAGTGTCAACGCAGTTCCATCACCTGCTGCCTGAGAGTGAGGTGGGATCAGTTGCCAGGCTCATTTGGTCCTGCCCCTTCAGCAGAGGCTTTAGCATCAGTTGTCTTTAGAAGAGGCTGTGGGTACCAAGGCTGGCCTTCTGCTTCGTGGCTTGGTGGGGAGGAACAGAGCAAGAGTAGTTAGAGATCCCTGAATAGGATCAGGAGTGCCCAGTACTAATAAAGCCAATATTTGTACAACACTCTAACATTTGCTAAGCACTATAAAGTCATGATCTCATTTTGTGCATACCTGGGAAACACTTATTCTACTATAGTGTGATTGCCTCTTTCCTTGGGTCTCTCTTACAAGCAGACCACAGGGACCCTGAAGGCAGGAACTATGTCCTGTTATTGTGATATCCTTAGCACCAACTCTACAGATAATATTCTAGAAATATTTATTAAATGTAAGAATTAAACAATAACATGTCTTCAAGGTGGACAGCTGTTATTACTGTTTTACAACTGAGGAAACTGAGTTTCAGTTAAGTAATGAGAAGTAATTTGAATAAAAGACTGGGTTCCTTGTAGCCCAGTCCTTTTACAAAGTTGTGTTCAGAGAGAAGTGTTTGACTCTCTCTTTTTTCCTGTCATCCTGTACTTCCCGCCATTTTTCTTTCCCATGCCAGTCACTGCTGGGGCTTCTGGGCCCTCTGGGTACTCTGAACCCCTCTAGAATGACGAAGAGTCCTCGCTTACTCCTGTCAAAGGGCAGAGGGCAACAGTCCCTTGGTAATACTTTAGCCACCTTCGCTTGTTTTTTTGTGAGAAACCTCCACAGAATAAAAGTCTTCCACCTAATTAAATTGGCTGATATCTGGTAGATTTATAATGGAAATAGAATCTTCATATCCTAGGCTGGAATAAGGGTTAGAGGCAGATCTGAGGTGGATCGGGGATGCTGTTTCAGTTCTAAATACGATGAGTTGGAGGCAAAAGGGAGGAACAGCGGAAGACAGACTTCCAGGAGGAGGGGTCCAGGTTTGGATGCTGGACTGGAACCTGAGAGATGGATTGTATAGGGCACGGATGTGGAGGTTTCAGAGAAGTAGCAACTAAAATTGGTGCCACAGATGAGGTAACTGGTAAGTAATTTAAAAGATTATTATTCAATGTCAAAACCATCATGATAATTATGGATTAAAACGGAAAATTAGCATGTGTAATTAAGTCACACACAAAGACCTCAGAGAACTTTAGTTTTTGCCGGAGGGCATTTTGTACCCCAGACTCTTAGGAAAACATAATCACATGCTTCTCTGTTAGGCATGCGTGTGTGTGTGTGTGTGTGTGTGCGTGTGTGTGTGTGTGTAGATATATACTTGCTTCCCTTTGCTGTCATTTTCTTGTTTTGTGCCCACTAAACTGTGTCCTTACTTTTTCTCCATAGTGCCCACCAGGTTACCTTGTTCATGGAGGGCATCCATATGTGGAAAGATGCTCATTGCAGCTTTACTAATAGTAGTGAAAAATGAAAAACAATATAAAGTATCTTTAAAAAGGGCATGGTATGGTAAAATAGGATGTATCCACTCTGTATTAGTCCATTTTCAGATTGCTACAAGGAAATACCCGAGACTGGGTAATTTATAAAGAAAAGAGATTTAATTGACTCACAGTTCTGCATGCCTGGGGAGGCCTCAGGAAACTTACAATCATGGTGGAAGGCACCTCTTCACAGGGCAGCAGGAGAGACAATGAGAGCCAGCAGGGGAAATGCCAGACACTTATAAAACCATCAGATCTCGTGAGAACTCACTATCATGAGAACAGCATGGGGAAACCACCCCATGATTCAATTACTTCCCACTGGGTCCCTCCCACAACACATGGGGATTATGGGGATTATAATCCAAGATGAGATTTGGGTGGGGACACAGCCAAACCATAGTACACTCAATGGAATGTCATGCTGCCATTCTATGATGGTTGTAAAAAACATGTTGCAAACTCAAAAATGCCTATGTATTTTCTCAAAAAACGTACCTGTCACGCACCATTTCTTAAGAAGCTGCTGGACGGTATGTTTCTGGCAGAAAGAATGACAATAGAAAAGGCCGTCAGGACTCCAGACATTGGAGTTATGAGTTACAACTTTAAAATAATGAAAGCTCCCTATGTTCAAAGAATAACAAATGATAAAGAGTAAACCAAGGAATAAAGAGCTGGGGGCACTGGAATCTGGAGATTCAAAGCAGGAGAGAGGTGAAGGAAACCCATAGGCTGATGATGAAGGGAGCTCCCAGGCTGGTGGCCAACAGTGGAGCTGGAAGGCAGCCTCTGTGAGTTGAGGGCCATCATCGCAAGATCCCTGCTGTCTTAGTACTGTCTGTGAGACCCGAGGAAGAATGCCTGGGGGAGGCTGGTCCTGTTTCTTCTCTTGGCTCAGTGCTATTAAAGCTACTGCTCTCCCCTTGATGCTTGGGTTAGCTCTGAACTCCTCCTGAGGGCTGACAGAGGAGCGCTGTGAATTTAGAAGAAAATGCCGAGCAGCCTCCTCCCTCCGAAGCTCTTTCTGACAGGTGTCTAGTAGGTGGTTCAAATTATAGTTCTGTCTGATGCTCCAGATGTGTTAATTTATGGTTTCCATGACTTAGCCATAACCTTGCCTGCAGACATCCCTAGAAAGGGCTCTCATAGATTCTCAGGGAAGCGGAAGCCAGCCTGTGATGCCCATTTTTCCACCTTCTCTTCTGTTGGGAACCCTTGTAGAATAGCGTTGATATTTTCCTTCTCTTACACAGACTTGTGCTTCCTAGGCAATTTTTACAACACTATTTAAAGAAAAGCAAGGGAGTGACTAACACAGAAGGCAGGAAGGGGTTATCTGTCGGGGATAAGGACACTGTGGCAGAGGCAATGTGTGATGGACAGTATTGTTCAGACATAAAGGAGGCCACATTTCCAACCCCCTTTAGAGTTAAGTCGAGGCCGTGTGGCAGCTCTTACCAAAGAAGGCAGAGATGTGTCACTCCTTGAGAAAGGCAGTTAAAAGCAGATGTAAGTTCTCTGTGTCCTCTCTTATTTATTCTACTTAACTAAAAGCAAAAATTCCAAGGTGGTGAAATGATGAGTCTTAAATTACTGTTAAGACTCTTAACAGTCCTAAATTTGTTCCAGAGCTTGTGTTTCAATGGGGCCAGAGCCAGGGTCTTAAATTACTGTTGGAGGTGGCAAGGACAGCTCCTGAGCCTGCATGGACCGTGATGTGAGAGGGACATCAATGTATGTGTGTGTGTGTTTTACATCAATGACATTTTGAGATCTGTCTGTAGCTGCTGTGATACACTAATGCAGGCACAAGAGGGGCTGCTAATGTGGTCATAATATTCTATTTCTTAAACTGGATAGTGGGTACATGGGTGTTAATTTTATTATTATTATTATTATTTTGAGACAAAGTCTTGCTCTATCACCCAGGCTGGAGTGCAGTGGCACAATCTTGGCTCACTGCAACCTCTGCCTTCTGGGTTCAAGTGATTATCCTGTCTCAGCCTCCTGAGTAGCTGAGATTACAGGCATGTGTCAACACGCCCGGCTTATTTTTGCATTTTTAGTAGACACGGGGTTTCTCCAAGTTGGCCAGGCTGGTCTTGAACACCTGACCTCAGGTGATCTGCCCACCCTGGGCCTCCCAAAGTGCTGGGATTACAGGTGTGAACCACTGTGCCCGGCCATTATTATTCTTTAAACCATATAATTTTTATATACTTTTCTGTATGTACTGTACATTTCATAATAAATATTTAAAGTCAGTCTCTTATGTACATTGTGACCACCTGAAACTGCAAGTTCATTGATCTTTTTCACTTTGGTCCAGCTGACAGTATATGTGGGAACATAAAGTCGAACAGTGTTTTGGAAAAGCTATTTCACAGCATATCTCAAAAACCTAAGTATTCTCCTTTATCCAGCAGTTCCACTTAGAAGAGCTGAATCTAAGGAAATAATCCTAAATATCAGAAAAGCTTTTTACATAAGGACGCTTATTGCACCATTATTAACAGTAGTTAAAAAATGGAAGGAAAAGACCATGGTTTATTGAAATAGAGTGTATCGACTCGATGGAGTGCCATGCAATATTTCTAATTGATGTTTGTAGAAACAATGTTATAACCTCAAAAATGTACATGACAGATGAGCAAGAACAGGATACAGGATTGTGTCTCTTGGGTGATTATAGCTATGTAAAAAATGTATGAAACAAAGAACTCTGTGCCTGACATCTGCAAAGCCTGTCCTATGCCTAACTGTTCTTTGAATCATTACTTTAAAATACAGTAATTTAGGCATAATCCAGTGTATATACTTTATGTCTAGGAGGAAAAATTCAAACGTGTTTGAAGTTGTATATGAGATTCTTTTCTTCTTCCAGATTAGGCTTTTAAATTCAAACATAGATTTAATAAATCTGACTTGGTTCAGCAATACAGTTGGAACAATTGAACACATTTGTATGTGAGGATGGAGGAGGGAAGAATGAAAAGGAGGGATTGGGAAGGGGATGGGGACAAAGTTCATAGAAGCACAGTGGCTAGACCTGTAACTCATGGCAGTGGCCAGCTATTTGTCCAATGAGCAGGAAATGGCCTCTAAAGTTTCTCCATTGTGTCTATGACCTTGCATTTCAGCATCTGAAAAGAAAACACAAGAGGTTCGGTTGGTGCAATGTTCCTTTCTTCCCAGGACTTTCTGGTCTTCAAGGCTTTCTCATGAGACAGAAGACTGATGGATGTAGAAGTTTCTAAGAGGACAGGTAAGTCTGTCTTCCCCAGATCCTCCTCTTTCCCACTGAAAGACCAAACCACCATGGTCAGTTCAAGCCTTCACTGTTCATTGTTTCCTCTCCAGTTACGCTGCCATGTTTTGAAGCAGGAAGACGTTACCACTTCTCAAAGGTCTTTAATTGCCTGACCACTGCTTCTCTTTGGAAGGCTGTCAGGGTGATGGAATCTCAGATCACAGCACAGATAAAATGGACAAAGAAAGAAAGATACAAGAAGGATGTAAAAATGTCCATAATGAACTCATGTATCTTGCGGAAACCTCTAATCTAATGAGAATGGATTTTGTTGAGAAGATTGTACACCAACAATTAATTATTCATGGCAGAGACATCATTAAGATTTCATTTTGTTTAAAGGCCTCTAAGTGACTTAGGAAATTAGGTTAAGCTAGAGAAGAATTTCAAGAAAGAGACAAGGGAAAGCTTTTCGTTATATTGACTTTTTCTAATATTTTCCAGATAGATATTTTGACTTGGTACATAAATTATACTCTGACTAAAAATCTCCAATGATTTGTCTGAGTAAGAGTCTTCACATGGGTGGATCATATACCAGTGTGGTCAGATGGAAGCAGATGGACAGAGATTTGTGAAAGGATTAGGAGGTTCATTCCAGAATTCTATAATAATTCAATTTGGCTTTTTGGTTAGGAATGTAGTGAGGAGTCTCCTTGAAATGACAATGGGATTTGTGCAACCTGTGACATTTTGCACTCAAGGATCCTTTTCCCAGTGCCCTATGGGATGTGAGCACCTGTTCACTTACAGTACATGTAAGATAAGACACTTTTAATAAAAACTCTGGAGACCTGGTGTAGTATAGGCCCTATGCCTGCTTATCTTAAAGACAAACACCAGAAACTGGTGTCACGTTGTGAGTTCAATGTGAGATTGATTCAAAACATAAAGCTAGAGATCTAGTGTAAATTTTCAGAGGGATATTGATTACAGGATCAATTTCTATGGGCAATTAATGCAGGGGTTTGGTTTATGTTTGAATTCCAAGCACCCAGTGGTATTCAAAAATAGCATCCAATTTTACATAAAATGTAAAATTACATTTTGTGTTCGATTTGGGCACCCTGTCATGATTTACAATAAAGGTTTGGGCTTTTGTTTTCTTGTTCCTTCATTAGAAAGGTTAGAACTTGCCTTTCCTCCATGATCACTATTCCAGTGTCCCGGGTGCTTGGGATTCAAAACTAAACTAAAATTTCTTAGTGGTTGAGAAATGTTAAGGTTGAAATAGTAGATCAGGCCATGTCTGCATGGAGAACATCACAGCAACTGAGAACTGCAATAGAAGAGGCTTGGTAAAGGGAGAATCTCTTCCCTGTTTGTGAATTAAATAGTCCTGTAACACCTTTAGGGTAATAAAGAATTAGGGTTGGCGCCCTGCACCTACACGGCTAGAGTTGGGGAGAAAATAGACCTCCAGATGTGGAGCCAGGAAGACCTGGGTTGAGTTTTTAGCTGTGTCCTGGGCCAACAACCACAGCAGCAGCAACACCCACCACATGCACCGGTCTCCATCTGCCTCAAAGAACTACACACTGTAGTAGAGGGAAAGAGTCAATAATCAATAAATGCACCAAATAAGTAAATTATGTAAATTTATATAAAAGAGTCAATAAATAGTAAGTGCAAAAAATAAGTAAATAAGTACATCTATTATGGTAAAAAGTGATCATTGCTATAGAAAAAAATAGAGGTGTGCCTAATAATTTATTTATGAAAATCTGCTTTAACATTTTTCGGAAAGCTGTCTCCTGGAAAAACAAGTAGTCTCTTAACTTTATACATTTCCAGGACAAAATATTATAACCACTGCTTAACTGATGGTGATATCAAGTCAAAATGTATGCAGCTTTTATACAATGGCAGCTCTAATTTCCAGCAGCACAGAAATTCTCCCAGTGATTCCCTTATTTTAATATCACAGCTAACCACCTATTTATGTGTTTCTTTATCTCAGCCTCTCTGTACCTCTGTGTTACGTGGAGAGACGAGATGGCATGTTGTTTATGTAGCTTGATACATACCATAGCCAGAATTCCAGAACACAGTTTACATACTTTACAGTTAAATGTTTAGGCCTCAAGAACAGGAATCAAATACTTTGCTTTCAACACTGCTTCCTTCATGAGAAGGAGAAATCTCATCCCTGAGGGTGGCTCCAGGGCCCTGGCCCCAGTAAAACACAAGCCCTGGAACAAAGCAGAGGCCTGGGTAGAAGGAATTGTTTGCTCTGTTAGCTTAGCTTGAGGCCAAATAGAGGGAATTTGTTTTCAAGCCAGACAGGTGCACTTGAGGGTACAGAAAGGAGACTGGCATTTGGGATTGAGCCTCAGGATGGGTCCATCTTGACCTGTTTTTTTTTTTTTTTCAACTGATTAGTCAATCATGGCTTGTTGCTTCTTAAGTCCTAAGAATTTTAGAATTCAGGCAGCCAGTAATGGTTTACAATAAAGACTTGGCACTTTGGGAGGCCGAGGCAGGTGGATCACCTGAGGTCAGCAGTTTGAGACTAGCCTGGCCAAGATGGGGAAACCTCATCTCTACTAAAAATAAAAAAAATTAGCGGGGAGTGGTGGCGGGTGCCGGTAGTCCCAGCTACTCGGGAGGCTGAGGCAGGAGAATGGCGTGAACCCGGGAGGCGGAGCTTGCAGTGAGCCAAGACTGCGCCACTGCACTCCAGCCTGGGCGACAGAGCGCAACTCCATCTCAAAAAAAAAAAAAAAAAAAAAAAAAGGTGAACAGTAGCTTTTTTTTTTTTTTTTTTTTTTAAGACAGAGTTTCGCTCTTGTTGCCCAGGCTGGAGTGCAATGGCACCTTCTCAGCTCACCATGACCTCTGCCTCCCAGGTTCAAGAGATTCTCCTGCCTCAGCTTCCCAAGTAGCTGAGATTACAGGGTTGCGCCACCACGCCTGGCTAATTTTGTATTTTTAGTAGAGACAGGGTTTCTCCATGTTGGTCAGGCTGGTCTCAAACTCCCGACCTCAGGTGACCTGCCCACCCCGGCCTCCCAAAGTATTGGGATTACAGGCATGAGCCACTGTGCCTGGCCAATAGTAATTTTAAACAACAGCCAAGGAAGCTAGAGCTACAAACTCTTTCGTTCCCTATAGAAACTAAAGGTAACATCTTCACATATGTCTTTGAGTTGTTTTTTATAAACCTGGACCCCCAGCAAATGGAAAATGCCATCTGCCGGCCTGTAGACCTCAGATAAGGGGGAACAAGGACTGAACTCTGCCTGCCACTTATTCTAAATTTCTTCCTGAGGTGCCCAGAGGAAGTCATGCCCACAGGCCAGAGCTCAACATTCCTTTTGACTGACCCCAAGTTTTTAAACAAAGCTTAATCAATCACAAGTCAGGAAATCTTTGAATTCACCTATGACCTTTAGTCCTCCCAACCCCGTTTCAGGATGTCCTGCCTTTTTTAGGCCAAGCCAATGTATAGCTTCATTTTGTTGATTGATGACTTTGCCTGTAACCTCTGCCTTCCTGTCTATATTAGGCAGTTCTTGCATTGCTATAAAGTAATACCTGTGACTGGTAATTTATAAAGAAAAGAGGTTTAATTGGTTCACAGTTCTGCAGGCTGTGCAGGAAGCATGATGCTGGCATCTGCTTGGCTTCTCAGGTGGCCTCAGGAAGCTTACAGTCATGGTGGAATGTGAAAGGGGGGCAGGTACCTCACATGGCAAAAGCAGGAGAGAGAGAGAGAGAGAGATTGAGAGAGAGGGATTGGTGGGGGTAGGTGCCACACACCATTAAAGAACCAGATCTCATGTGAACTCAGGGCGAGAGCTCACTCAGCACCAAGGGGATGGCCCAAGCCATTCATGAGAAATCTACCCCTACAATCCAGTCACCTCCCACCAGGCCCCACCTCCAATACCTGGGATTATAATTCAACATGAGATTTGGGCAGGGAGAAATATACAAACTATATCACTGCCTTAGAAAAACCCTTATCTGTCAGCCAGTGGGGAGTTCTGGTGTTAAGCATGAGCTGCCCAATTCTCCTTGCTTGGCGCTTTGCAATAAATGCCTCACTTTTTCTTGCCGTAAATCCTGATATCAGTGTTTGGCTTTGCTGTGCCAGGTAGCTGGGCCCAAGTTCTGTTTGGCAATATTCTCATCTGGTTCCTTCCTCTCGTGCTCAACACCTCGCAGTGGCTTCCATTCCACGTGGAGTAAAAGCCAAAGCTCCCCTATGCACCTCTCTGACCTACCCCCAATCATGCCCTCTCCTCAGCCCCTCCTCTCCAGCCACCCTACCCTCCTGCTGGTTCCTGAACACCTTTGGCAGGCTCCCACCTCAGGGTTCAGGACCTACTCTTATTTCCCTGAGCTTTCCTCCGCACACACCCACCCCTACATTTCTCTATTTACCCGAGTCCCCATCACCATCTAGGAGACTGTATGTTTTACTTGCAGATTACATTTAGTGCTTAATCCATGGCTCTCCCTGCTAGTGATGTCGCTGTGGTCTTTTATTTGCTGATGTATCTCCAGTGTTTAGATCAGTGCCTGGTACAAAGTAGATGCTCAATAAATATTTGCTGAGTGAATGAGTGACTTTTGTGACTTCATCAATCATCTTTGAATTAATCTGGGACCTGGAATCTTATGAGCTCAAGAACATGGCTGGGAGAGGCCTGGGATCATGAGCATTCTTTAGGCACCACCTCCACTACTGCGGGTGGAGCCCAGGTACTCGGCCTATGTTTTGGCACTGTTGTTTAAGTAAGCTCACAGCAAGCTAATTGTAGGGACATTCCCTGTCAACTGCTGGCCTGGCCACAGGACTCCTCATGGCTGTTCTCAAGGTAGAGGGCTTAGGTTCCAGCCTTTTTTAGGTTCCCATGCAGCTGTGTCCATCTGGGGTCTGGTCACCTCTGGGAGGCTCCTGTCAGAGACCTACAATATGGAGAAGGGAGGAGCCCTGTTTCCTGGAGGAGGAAGGGCCCCCAGGCCTGTCCCTCTCAGCCTGGCTGCTGTGAGAATCCCCCAGAGACTTAAAAAAATAACCTGTCTGGGCCCCACCGTAGGCCAAATGAAATTGGAATCTCTGGGGATAGAGCCTGGTAATAGGTATGTATTTCAACTTTCTAGATTATTTTAAATGCAGCCAGGATTCACATCAAGTGTCCTAGGACAAAGGCCTCCTGGGAGAAAACACATGTCCTTCTTCTCCTCCCAAAGGCAGCCAGAAAGGATAAAGAAATGAGCAAACAAGGCACTAATTTCTTCATTTCTCAATGTCTAAGCCTGTTGTCGAAAAGATGCAGAAGATACCATTTTGCTTATTTCCTTAATTAAATCCTTAGGTTAAAATTTTAGATTTGAAGTTACAGGATATTTTGAGACTTAAAAAAAAAGTCACAATTTCACTAGAAGTGAAAAAGGTTGTGATTATTTGGGCCCTTTCAATTCTGGAAATTTTCAGTTTAAAAATCTTTCTCCATTTGGTAGATGAACATGTAGTTTTTCATGTCTGCGATACATATTTCTTGAGTGTTTCCTATATGCCATTACTCCATTGGACAGTGTTACTTTAATTTGAAAGTGTGTCGCTCTTCATTGAGATTCAGCATATTTTCATATACCTGGTAGCTAATTATAATTCCTTTTTTTTTTTGAGACGGAGCCTTGCTCTGTTGCCCAGGCTGGAATGCAGTGGCGCAATCTCAGCTCACTGCAACCTCCACTTTCCAGGTTCAAGCGATTCTCCTGCCTCAGCCTCCCAAGTGGCTGGGACTACAGGTACGTGCCACCATACTTGGCTAATTTTTTTTATTTTTAGTAGAGACAGGGTTTCACCATGTTAGCCAGGATGGCCTCCGTCTCCTGACCTCAAGTGATCCACCGCCTCGGCCTCCCAATTCTTTTGTGTAAAGCTCACTCTAGCTGTGGTGAGAGTGGATGGTTGGAGGGGGAGGGGGCCAGAACGGCAGACAGATATGTCCAGAGGCCATTGCAGTGGTGCAAGTGTGAGAAGTGGGGACCATGAGAAGGGGTTAGGTTTGGGATGTATTGCAGAGGTGGGGCTAACAGCATTTGCTGATGGATTGCATGTGAGCTATGAGGGGAATCAAGGATGACTTGGAGGCTTTCAGGCTGAGCAACTGAGTGGGCTGTGGCCTTACTTTCTGAGCTGGAGAAGGCAGGAGCCTGAGGTATAGTGGCTGGGAAGAGGGGGTGGTGGCTGGTCTTCCTCTGCTGGAAGCTCAGGAATGCTGGGCCAAGTTTCCAGGCCTGCCCGTCTTAGGGGCTGGGAGATATGTGCTGTGTTGTGGACGCTGGTTCAGGGGATCAGTCTCTCTCTGCCGGTAAGGAGGGACTCACAGCAGCAGAAGCCTGTTCTTTCCACAGCCCAAGACACTATCTTTCGTATATGTTTTGTGAAGATTTTTCCCTGCTTCTCTATTTTCTGATTTTTAAAAGTGAATCTTATAAGCATTTTTCTTTATTTAAATACATACAAATTATACATTTAAAATAGAACATGGCATGATGGAAAAGTATAAAGATTTGCTAATTTATGTCTATACTCTTGGACTTGTATGACATTTCTAAATCTTTATAAATATATGTTGCAATGAACATTTTTGTGTATATGTGTGTGCTTATATATTTGCTAAATTATCCCTTAGGATAGATACATTTCCAGGATTTCAACTGCTGCATCAGAATATAAAAGGTATAAAGCCATTTCATTGATTCTTTTGTTTTAGTCCCTGATGCCTCATCGAATCCGGAGTCAAGTTCAATCCTCCTTCTACTGTTCCAGACAGCTCCCCTTTCTCCCTCTCCCACCAGGACCCCTAATCTCCCCCATTTCCCCAATGCTCTTTCTCAGAGCCACGTTTCCTCTCACTACCAGCCAAACCCTACCCTTCTGGAAGTCCACCAGTAATTTTAACACGTCTCTTGTATTTGCACTAAAGCCACCATTGAGGATATTCAGAATTTTGCTGTGGACTCTGGTTAGAAAACTAACAAAGTAACAATAATATTTAGGAGAATTATGTAATAGAGGAAAAGTTACGGGGGATCAGAGAGATTTAAGTGTGTATTTTAGTCTTACCCCTTACTAGCTAAAATGTAAAGAAATTTTAAGCCTGTAGGCATGTGCTTTAAAAATCACCTTGGGCAAGTCATTTATACTCTGTGTGAGCCTCAGGTGCTCACTTAAAATGGGTAGAATAATCACCATCTCCTAGGATTAGTGTGAAGGGTGCATGAAAAAGCATGTGAAACACACAGGCTCATATCTGGTATGCAATACCGTTTATTTATTTGGGTTTGCTTTCCTTCCATTCAATTTTCCCTTGCTTGTATCATCTTAGAAATTATGGCTAAATATTAGAGCTCTTTGTATCCTCAATAAAAAAGACATGGACTTAGATAACACTTTACCACAAAATCAGCTGAGGTTTGTGTTGCTCCTCAAATCTAGCAAGCACATTAGTCAGAGACTGAATGCTAACCCTCTTTTCTCTGAGCCACAGTGGAAAAAAATGGAGGTTTTCCTGTAACACTCTGATAGTATTCTGTTTCCTACACTGATGTAATTCCGTTATTGCAGCGAAGGAAATGCACTATGATACCTGGATGAAGGGGGACTCCATGAAATATGAACTTGTTTGAAAAGGTGTGAGTGGCATGCATTAAGATGCCAGGTTTTTATTTTATTTCTCTTCAGCTTGTAAACACTTCAGTAACCTGCAAAGATGCTGGAGCTGGTGGGGAAGAGAGTCCAGCCAGGAGGTCCAAATGCCACTTCCACATCAGGATTACTAATAGGCATGGTCATCTTCTAACCGCTGAGCTTCTTTAATTTTGGGGAGACAACAAAAGTGAATCAAAAGAATAATGTAGTTCTAATGTCATCTCTGAGAAAAATGATGTCATCTCTGAGAAAAATGATGTCAGCCAAACCCTGTATCCTTAAGCCAGGCTGACCTGCCCAACACCATAAGGGCAGATGGCAAATAGGGCACACAGCAGTGCGTTAGCTCAGTGGGCTCAGTTTTGGATGCTAAATTCCAGTTTCACTCTCGTTGCTCTTGGCTTTTGCCAGGGATTTGGTCTCACAGTGTCAGCCCTACTTTTGCCACATGGATTTTGTGTTCGAACTTTGTTTTTCTAACTTTGATGCTCAGATGGCCTCAGAACTCAAGCTCTGGCCTCCTCCTTCCGGACTGCTTTAAGTAGACACAGACCTACTTTTTGTCCAAGGACAAAATACTTACCTGGGCTCTGATCATGCTACCTTAGTCACCTAAATATCATCAACGCTGATTCCTAACTACTCTGACTATTGTCACCAGAAAGTGCCCTGATAGTGTTGGGAAGTCTTGCTCCTTGTCTGGGGCCTGAGGCCCTCTTTTGAAGTTTGAAGGCTCATCTGTAGGTAGGTAGGCAGGGTCATCATTTGCTTAGCAGCCAAACCAAAATGTTGTATAATCCCTGTGGTAGGTAGAATGATGACCCCCCCAACAATCTCTATATCCTAATCCCCTGAACCTGTGATATATCATGTGACATGGCAAGGGGGAATGAAGGTCGCAGAAAGAATTAAGTGGCTAATCAACTGACCTTATGATTGGGAAATTATTTTGGATTACTGAAGCAAGTCTAATGTAATTGTTAGGGTCCTTTAAGGTGGGAGAGGGAAGCAGAAGAGGAGGTCAAAATGAGAGAGAGGTTTGAAGATGCTCCACCGCTGGCTTTGAAAATGGGGAAAGGGACCACAAAGAGCTGGAAAAAGCAGAGAAAGATTCTTTCCTAGAGCCTCCAGGAGGACACAGTCCTGCTGACGCCTTGATTTTAGCCCAGGATGATCAATGTCTGACTTCTGGCCTCTAGAATTGTGAGACAATGCACTTGTGTCCTTCAAAGCCTCTAAGTGGGTGCTAATGTTATAGCAGTAACCGGAAATTAATATACCCTCTTTCTATTCAATAATGAATTTTTATAAATGAAACAAAAAAAATCCATCCTTGAACGTGGAAAGGTTAAATTGTCACTTAAAAGGCCTGGATTACTGAATATAAATTGGTGTTTTTCTAGCCAAAATACTGATGTTTGGGAACAAGAGAGGAGCTGCTCCTTCTCTTACTGAGATAGATGGGGTCAGTAAGAGGAAGTCCCCTTTGATTTTAGACAGAGGCTCTAGGAAGGTCCAACATCTGTTCTGCCTTGATCTTTTCTCTGGTCATCTGATGGCAAGGAAAGGTGAACCCAGAGCCAGCAATTGGTCCGGAAGATAGTGTGCCCAGTGCCTGGGCAGCCTGGCCTGTCTGCCACCCCAGGGCTCTGTAGAGCCCAGAATAGCCCACCTGAAGCTGTCTCCAGATCCCTCTCAGAAGCCTGAGGGAGAGCAAATGACCACAGGCAGAGATGTTTGTTCTAATTCAGAGTGTCCATGTTTTTCCTGCCAATGAGTCACCGTGCTCTTGTAATTGACCCCTGCATGTCCTTGGGGGAGAAGTGGTAATGGTGGGAGAGGCCAGGGGAAGATCCAAAGGAGGAGCTGACTCAGGCTCCCCATCCTGGCATTCATCCTGCAACCTCTGCAGGTTGTGCAAAGCCCTGCCTTACATCTCTGCAGGCAAGATCAGGCTGCAAAATGAAGCAAGGCAGGTGTAGCAATGGGGAAAAGAAGGCAAGGGGAGGAGTAACTGTGTAGCTTGATTTCATACTCTTCTTCTAACCTGAAAAATGTTGCCAGCTAATATGGATAAGGTACTTTGCAATTTGTTATCCCATTTTATTCCCCACCCATTTTATAGTAGAGGAAAGTGAACTTTACAATGTATCTTAGTCCATTCAGGCTGCTATAACAAATATACCATAAACTGGAGGTCCTAAAGAAAAATATGTATTTATCACAGTTCTGGAGGCTGGGAAGTCCAAGATCAAGGTTCCAGCTGATTCGGTGCCTTCTTCCTGGTTTCCATATGGCCATCTTCTCACTGTGTCCTCACATGGGGAAAACAGATCAAGAGAGCTGTAAGGGCACGAATCCCATTCCATTCGTGAGGGCTCCAGGTTCATGATCTAATTACCTTTCAAAGAGAGTCATCTCTACCAACACATTAGGGGGTAGGATTTCAACATGTGAATGTTGGGGGTACAGATTCAGTTCGTAACACCATGTGACAGGCAATATTCTAAAATATGCACAGAAAGTCTAACTAATTTAGGTACTAGATTTTGGATGTGGTGGCAATTTGGATGGAGTCTGAAAAAAGTTCCCCTTCAAATAATATTGCTTTATGGAAAAGAGGCTTGTTCTATAAGCGAAGAGTGCATGAGGCTTTCCCCTAATGACTGATGATCTGGCCCAGGATTCTTGGTTGCTCCTGTCAAGTCAGGGGGGCTTAGGATGTAGCCCCTTCCGTTCCCACATAGCCATGCCCATCGCAGGCAAGGTCACTGGGGGGGCTCCTCTCAGAAAACTGCAGTGTGAGGAACAACCCTTCTTGCTGTGGGTGAGGAAAATCCAGGTCAATGCTTCTCAGTAGACTACTTTGAGAACTCTGTAAGGAACTTTAAAAATATCCTTCCTAGGCCCCACCCCAGACTAGTGAACTCAAGTCAGGGTTGTGAAACATTGACCTCTCTTAGGACAAAGGCCTGGAAAACATTTCTGTGTCACATGACAAAAATCCTTTTTATTAACCCTCAACCCATCTAGAGTGACAGACAAAACAAGCAAATGGACACACCAAGACACCAACTGGTTTCTAAAGGTTTCATCTGGTTACATCAAAGATGCAGTAGTTACAACTTTGTGCACATCCTTAGTCAAATTCTTAAATTGAAAATTTAGATATGAAAGTAATTGCTCAAAATATATGGGCATTTCTGAGACTTTTGAGACAAATTTCCTGAAAAAAAACACACGGTCTCTCCAGAAGTGTGAAGAGTGCCATTTCTCTGAGCCCTTGCTAATACTGTACATTTATACTTAAAAAGTTTTGCCAATTCGTAAATGAAAAATTGTTTTTCATGTATACAATAAATATTCATTGAGAAGTCACTTTGTGCCAAGCACTACATTGAGCAATGTGTTATTTTAATTTCAAAATGTTTAGTGGCTTGCTGAGATTGAACATCTTTTCATAAATGCAATATTATACATATATATTTTCTATTTGTAAAGCTCACTCTAGCTGTGACAAGATGATAAATGCACAGTGGGAGGGTACTGGGGGGCCAGAATGAAGATAGGGAGACACATCCAGAGGCCATTGCAGTGCTGCAGGTGGCATCCAAGGGTGGCTGGGCTGAGTGTGAGAAGTGGAGGTGGTAAGAAGGGGTCACACTTGCGACATGTATTGTGGGGCGAGAGCTGATAGTGTTTGTTGATGGACATGGGCTATGAGGGGAAGAAGAGAAACAAGGATGACTTGGAGGTTTTCAGGCTGAGCAACTGAGTGGGTGGTGGCCTCATTTCCTTAGGTGGGGAAGACAGGATGGAATAGGTTAGAGTGGGGAAGGGTGGATCAAGATTTCTTTTAAGTGCGAGATGTCTATTAGACAAGTGGAGATGCTGAGTCAACAGTTGGATTTACAAGCCTGGAAATCAGGAGGGATTAGGTTGGAGATATAGATTTCAGAGCCAGAGTGCAGATAGTTTCTAAGGCAGTGAGAATGGGTGAGATTTCTTAGAGAGAGAGAGAGGAGATAGATAAATGAAGACCAAGAACGTGGCATGTAATAATTTAAAGTTCTGGGAGAGGAGCAGAGTCTAGCGAAGGAGAGAAAATGAACAACTGGTGAGACAAAATATCTAGTGAGTTTGCTATCAAAGAAACCTAAGGAAGAAATATTCTAAAAATGTCACCAGGGTGGGGTGGCTTACACCTGTAGTCCCAGCACTTTGGGAGGTGCTAGGTGGGTGGATCACTTGAGGTCAGGAGTTTGAGACCAGCCTGGCCAACGTAGTGAAACCCCATCTCTACTAAAAATACAAAAATTAACCAGGTGTGGTGGTGTGTGCTTGTAATCCCAGCTACTTGGGAGGCTGAGGTGGGAGAATCGCTTGAACCTGGGAGGCAGAGGTTGCAGTGAGCCAAGATCGTGCCGCTGCACTCCAGCCTGGGCAGCAGAGTGAGACTCTGTCTCAAACATCTCAGAAAAAAAAAAGTGTCAACTGCAATCAGTGAGATGGGGACAAGAAATTGATATTAGCTTTGACCATATGTTTGATAAGAGCTGCTTTCTTGGTGCAGTGGGGACAGAATCATGATTACAGTGGTTAAAGAGGAAGAGGAGATGGTGACAAATCTCTTGAGGAATTTGTGTTGAAGGGAACAGATAAATGGAATAAAATATATATCTGTTCTTGGAATTTAGGAAAGATTTAAAAACAATATGTTTGTAGGCTCATGGGAATGTTCTTCTCTGTGGGAGAAATGGATGATGCCAGAAGGAGAGGGAATAATGGCAGAAGATTTTACTTAACAATGAGAAGTCAAGAGAGAATGAGGTGCAGACTGCAAGGGGAAGGATTATCTTTGGTTTGTTCAGGGATATTTGTTAGGCCGTGAAAATGGAATATAGAGTACAAATGCAGACCAGTTCATCGATTTAGTGGGAGTGAGATGTGAGCATCCACCTTGCACTCACATATGTTGACTGCTTTGTCTTCAACAACCTAGGTACCTCAAGACATGGAGATCAACTTGCTCCTCAATGCCACTTCCAAGCTATTTCACCTTCAAAAACCTCAGACTAAAAAATCAAACCTTTTCTCTTATCCACTGCAGCCATCTACTCAACACCTTCCAATGCCCCACACCCCCCGTCTTGAATTGGTGCATTTAGTACTTGGATCACTGGCTTTCTCTACATGGTTGTTCATGTAGAACTTTGGGCAACTCACTGTGCCCTCAAGTTATGAGTCCAATAACCTGTTGCTCCAGATGCTTGATTTCCTCAACTCCAGTGCCCTTCAGGTGAGGTCCACCTCACTTTGCTGATAGTGGCAGAGGCAGTCAAATGCCTAGGCCGATGGGGCGGGTCCCCAATGAAACCCCCCTTCAAACCAAAGACAGTTCAAAGCCTGAAATCCAAGCTACAAGTCTTGGATAAATCCATGGACCAAATTGAGAACCTCTCTTTTCGTTTGGCATGCTTTCCTCTGATTAATCCCCACCTTCCACCTATTTTACATATACCTACTCTTCCCTAAGTGGTTTCTTGCACTGTGTTTCTTACCTACCTTTGAGTGGTGCCTTTGTTTTAGCCTTTCTTGCATACTCATAAACCAATCAGCATGCACTCCCCGATTCTGAGCCCAGAAAAGTCCTGGACTCAGCCACACTTGGTGGGGACTGCCTGCCTTCAGGTCAGGGGAGCTACCCAACTTCAGGTAGGGGGCTGCCTTCTCTGGGTCCGCTCTCTGCTGAGAGCTGTCACTCAGTAAAACTCTCTGCTGTGCTCACCCTTTGGCTGTAGCATAACCTCATTCTTCTTGGACATGGAACAAGAACTTGAGACCCACCGAATGTGGGCATGAAAAAGGCTATAGCATCCCCTTTGGGGCTTCAGGGTCACTGGCATCCCTTTTCAAGTGCCACCACATTCCCCTTGTTGGGATGCCAACGCACAGGGCGGAGGCAGGTCAAGGCACCCCCAGCCTGGCCCAGCTGTGGGCTGAGTGTGGATCCTGTGGTGAACACGGGGTCCAGTTAGAGTACAAGCCAGGTGTGGCCTGGCTCATCGAATGGCCAGGGTGCCTCCTGTTGTGAGCCCAGGGCTGAGTGAGGCTCAGGTATGTGTTTTGCCAGCTGTGGATATATCCAGCTGGCCAAGCAGCACTGAAAAAATCCTGCGTCACTGCCACTTGCTTGCAGGGTCATAATGGAAATCAGAGAGTGCATCTTTTAAGGGAGCTCAGGTAAAGCATGTCCTCCAGTGCCAGCCAAGTTTCAGTCAGAAGAAAAAAGGGAAAACAGGCTGGGAGTAGTGGCGCATGCCTGTAATCCCAGCACTTTGGGATCTTGAGATGGGCAGATCACCTGAGGTCAGGAGTTTGAGACCAGCCTGGCCAACATGGTGGAACCCTGTCTCTACTAAAAATGCAAAAACTAGCTGGACGTGGTGGCACACGCCTGTAATCCCAGTACTTTGGGAGGCCAAGGCAGGTGTATCACCTGAGCTCAGGAGTTTGAGACCAGCCTGGCCAACATGGTGAAACCCCATCTCTACTAAAAATACAAAAATTTGCCAGGAATGGTGGTTCACACCTGTAATCCCAGCTACTTGGGAGGCTAGGCAGGAGAATTGCTTGGATATGGGAGGCAGAGGTTGCAGTCAGCCAAGATCACACCACTGCACTCCAGCCTGGGCAACCAGAAGGAGACCTCTCAAAAAAAAATAACTTTTATGGTATGGGTGGAGATTAAAAGTGATTTTGCTGATGAGAGGTGGTTAATTTGGGAGGATGAAGAGAGTAGGAGATTAGGTCCTATTGGGGCACTACAGATCAGATCAGTGTGGGGTAAGCACGTCTCTGATTATGCTGAGGACTGAAGCAAATGGGATGTGTGGTATAATGGAATTGGTCCTTCCTTTGAAGAAGGAGGGCCATCAGAGGAAAGCTGTAGATTATTTAGCAGTTGAGCATGTAAGGTGTGGGCCCTTCTCAGTAGCAGTTGGAGAGGCAACTCCCAGAGCCCTGGTAACCTCGGGGAAGGACCATGGTGGCTGATCTTTCTTTCAGATGCCCTCAAGCAAAGTTCTTGGGGCTGGTTCCAGGTGTCCTCTTGTGGCAGCTAAGCATCTGGTCCAGGTGGCTGATGTCTCCCTTTAGGGTAGGGAATGACTCCTTAGAGCAGATGGAAGG
The DNA here is from genome assembly GCF_000001405.40 of Homo sapiens. Taxonomy (NCBI): domain Eukaryota; kingdom Metazoa; phylum Chordata; class Mammalia; order Primates; family Hominidae; genus Homo; species Homo sapiens. The sequence continues at coordinate 35,600,569 of NC_000007.14, read as the reverse complement.
TTTCTCCAGCAGCTTTGTGTGTGACTCTCACATATATTTTATTTTTTCCTGCTTATTTGTTTTCTGATTTGTGTGTAATTGAACCTTAGGAATTAAGCATTTTTCTATTCATATATTATTCACAATTATATTTTTATGTTGTATAATATTGCATGGTATAAAGCATAAAATGTGCTATTTTATTTCCTTATTGTTGGATGTGTATGCTATTTCCAAATCTTTGCAAATATATGTTACAATGAACATTTCTACATATATATGTATATTTTATTTGCTAAGTTATTACTTAGGATAAATTTCCAGAATCAGGATTATTGGATTGAAATATGGGAAAGGGGCCAGACGTGGTGGCTCATACCTGTGATCCCGCACTTTGGGAGGCCGAGGCAAGTGGATCACCTGATGTCAGGAGTTAAAGACCAGCCTGGCCAACATGGTGACACCTCGTCTCTACTAAAAATAGAAAAATTAGCCAGGTGTGGTCGTAGGCACCTGTAATCCCAGCTACTTGAGAGGCTGAGGCACGAGAATCACTTCAACTTGAGAGATGGAGGTTGCAGTGAGCCAACATCATGCCACTGCACTCCAGCCTGGGCCATAGAGCAAGACTCAGTCTCAAGAAAAAAAAAAAAAAAGAAATACAGCTATTTCCATGACCCATCAGTTTTAATCCTTAATACATCATCTAATGCAGGAGGAAGTTTAGTTCTCCTTTCATGGCTCCAGGCTGCTCCTCTTTCCTTTATCCATCTCCCAATATAGTTCCTCAATTTCCTCTGACCCCCAAACACTTCTCTTTAGCACCGTATTTCCTCTTACCAACAGCTGTCACTCTTACCCTCCAGAATTCCATCAGTAAATTTAACAGGTCTCTTGGATTTTTGTTGAAGCTGTCATGAACATAGTCAGAAGAATTTGTTCTTGAATCTGATTAAAACAATGTAATAGTATTTGGAGGTATCATGTTATAGAGGGAAAGATTTGAGAGCTGGGGAAACCTAAAATTGAATTTTAGCCTTAGCATTTCATAGCTAAAAATGCTATACAATATATGCAAATGTAGATGTGATATGAAAATTACCTTGAGCAAGCCTTTTATACTCTCTGAGCTTAATGTGTTGAGCTATAAAATTACTCTAATGAGAACGCTTTCATAGAATTGATGTGTGAGATAAAGGCAAATGTGAAAATACCTTCTGGCACATGTCTGGTGTGTGAAAATTATTATTGCTGTTTCTCACTTTTTTTCTGTATTCACTGGCTTTTGATCATTTTTGGATCAAATGTCTCAGTGTAGCTGTTGGTGGTATCATTGCCTGTCAATCAAAACTGCGAAGGAATACATCTGCAGTGGAACAAATTTGCCTGTGTTACTTGCTGCAACAAAGGAGACCACACACCATGAGGAAATCAGGAAGCATTTCAGGATTTAAGCCTGTTAGGTGATTTTGGGGGGTGTTTGAAGAAGCAGGGTACTCTCCTAGGTTGGATACTCTCAGGAAGTAAAATTAAATCTATGCATGGACAACTTAATATTTTACCTGGAAGTGGGAGAAATGGAATGGAACTGAAGATGTAATTGGCAAAAAGGCAATGGCCACTCATGTGAGCTGAAAGAGGAAGAAATTGGATTGTTTTTATAGTAATTCCAGTATTCTTATGTTTGTACTAAGATATAATTTCCAAGGGATTTGACTTTTTTCCTACTCTATCATGGTCCCACATTGAATTCATCTGATGTCGGTGTTCTGTGAAATTGTTTATCTCCAGTAGAACATCATGGTCTCGCTGTTAGTGCAAGCTGATGGCTTTTGGATATGTTTTTCTTGTAATTCTCACTTTTGGCCAACAGCAGATGAAGTTAGACCACAGGTAATTAATCCATGATATTGAGGTTTTTTCACCATTACTGAGATTCTGCCTGTTGGGAGGCTGTCTAGAGAACATTCTTTGTATTTGGACAAATTAGTACCTCTTATTCCTTTTGTTATCAGATGAGTTGTTGAGTGATCTGACATGACAATGGTTATGCATTTTAGACTCAGTACAAGATGCATCAGTCAAGTGGTTTCTAGGCAATTATGAAAGACAAAATGACTATTCATTAGTTTTCCAAGGCCAGGGGACCAGGCGACTAACCCCAGGCCATGAAAACATGAGTCAAAGTCTGAGTGGGTCTACTCTAGGGATCTAGATCATGCCCCTTTCTTTCAGTCTAATCACAGACTATTCCATCTCTCCAATTGTACATATGTTGATGACACAAGGAGTGTTGACTGTAGCATGAATTCTCCATTAACTAGTCAATTTAACTAGTTTATTTGGGGCCTTCTCTGTAGAGGTAGTTGTACTTAAGAGTAATACTGTATGGGGCACAGACCTTATAGAATGATAGTCACTTTTAGAAAAAAAAAAAAAAAAGAAGAAGAACCCAACCCTCTACTTCTAATTTTACTAATTTATATATTATTTATGTAACAATTTGCAGGGAAAGATAAATAAATCTTCATGGCTGTATTTAGGTATATGCATGTAAATAAACATAAAAATAAATGATAAATGTAAATATTTTAACTATAACTTTAAAATATAATTGATCTGTTGATATATGTTAAAATAATATATATTATACTATATCATCTTAATACATTGTAATGATTTTAACAATCAAATCACATCAATTATCTTATATACCTAGTCCTTTTTTCTGTAATTATTGCACTAGTCTACTCAACCATTTATATTATTATGTGTAGCTAAAGTAACCTGCTTTTTTCCCCAAACACAAAAGAAAACTAGAAAACTGTTGAATTGTTTTAAAATTTTAGCTAATTTCAACAAATTTAAGATAGCAAAACAAATGTATGTAATCATAAAAGTCATTTGCATACGCTGTTAATTTGTAGCCATCTCAAGAAATAAGGGTAAATTAAAATTATATTAAGTCTTATAAGTCTTTTGAATCCTGTTCTTAGGAATTGTCTAGGTATCAAAAATTATTTATTGATTCAATTTAATATTGGTCTTAGGTCTTAAAGTTGCTAAAGTTTATGATTTTAATTAATGTATTAGTTCTTTCTGTTTTGTTTGTAATATTAAAAGAAGTTTTATAAGATTAAATACTTTAAAATAGCATCTGTTTTTACAATTCTATTTAATTACCATACAATGACTCTCTTGATGAGAGGTTCCCATTACTAGCTCCTTTTCACAGATACGTAAACTATCTACTAAGTATTTATAAACTATTTAGTACTGTTAGAAATCATTCTGAAGGCTTCACAACTTAATCAATTTCATTTTGATAATGTGTTTTATACATTGTGGCTATTTGGTCTGGATCTGTACAAAGATTCCCTTTTGTAATTTCGTTTTATGGATAAGTTTTGTTACATATGCTGAGTGTAAGTGAGCTGCTTTGAGGAATATTAGAAAGGAATGTTTTGAAGAAAAGAATTCATGTAAGTGTTTTTTAAAGCCAATCAATATTTATATAGGTATGAAACAGTTTTTACATTTGCCTTTTAACTATAATATAGCATTTGGGCAAACAAAGACAACATTTAAAGTGAAAAATATTTTTTTTCTATTGCTGATACTCATACTACTCACGTTATTGTTAAGGTTATAATGTACACATAATTAAAATTAAAATACAGTTTTTATACTCTCTAAAGGGCAAAATAAAAAGTAATTATATATAATCATTTTGTAAATGATATCATTTATAAATCTCTGAATATTATAGCTTCATCTAGCAAAAATATAATCTCTTAAGCAGCAGCAGCTGCATAAACTAATAAGGAAAGAGGCAAAATTAATTTTTTTTCTAAGCAAGACAAAGGAAAGCTCCAAGTTTCCTGGTATAGTTTTGGGAAGTGCAATCGTTGATTTGTTTGAAGACTGAATTAATTTTGCAGGCACACATTTCTATTTTCAGGCTGTGAAGTCTGGGTGAGATCTTGACAGTGGTGGCAGTGGTGGGATCCATGCATGGCGTCTGGAAGAAGGAGAGAAAGGAAGAGAAAGAGGCAAGGAGGGAGGAGGAAAATGAGGCCTTGAAATATCATACACAGTTCCTTGGATGGAAGGAGGAGCGGGGTGAGCATAACCTGGCAGCTTAGGTGGGAGAGAGGAAGAAATTGGATGGTTTTTATAGTATTTCCAGTATTCTCGTGTTTGTACTCAGACATAACTTCCGAGGGGGAGCTCTGTCTTCAGATTAGGGAGGCCCCCTTGCTGTGAGGGACCAGCTGTGTACCAGTGCTCTGTTTGGAAGAGCTATTTCCTGTGGGATGACTCATAGTTCCTCTTCCAGAAACTGGACCTTTCCCCTGACTTCAGCTGTCTCCTCTTGTTCTGGGCCTGGACTTCTCTTCCTACAGGTCCTCCTAAGGAACTAAGTTGACCCTCTTCAGCTCTCAGGGTTTTCTGGCAGGTTGCAAGTTCCTGCTGACATTCTAAAGGCCAATGCTCTTTAAGGAAGATTCTAGCTCCACAGCCTCCCTTTTGTCAGAGCTGAGATTATCAGTGGTTTTGCATTTCTCCTGAATCAGTGGGACGTGTTTTTCTTTTAGCTGTGTCTCTCTTTTAACATAAGGTTGGATTTCAGCAGATTAATATATCTTAAAAAAAAAAAGCTATGAAAAGTCTACATATGGCTGCACATGTCCCAGACTCTCACAAGAGGGGGAGGAAGTCGAGGTCAGGCTCAGGTTGAGTTGGGTCATGGCAACCTCCCTACTCACTTTCCTAAGGACATTCTCCAAGGGGCGCTGCACAGAGGGCACCCTGAGCACCATCCTGTAGCCATGGCTCCACAAGGCCACACTCCACACACACCACAGAGCCACCCCAAGGGTTCATCCTGGAGCCCACATCAGCGACTGGGAAACAGCACAGAGCCCTGGGACCTTGGGAGATGGCCGGACAGATTCAGCGAAGAATACCTTTGCCCTGGGACTGCCCAGCACATCCAGCTCCCTCCTTCCTTTCTCTCATAGTTGCATACATGGGGACATAAGGAAACGCTGAAAGACTAGTACAGTGGACGTCCCTATATGTACCTGCTAGATAGAACAGTTGACATTTTCCTATATTTACTTCTATCTCTGTCTCTTTTTTTCCTGAAACATTTCAAAGCAATAGATGACTTGACATTTCAGCGTGCATTTGAAAATCGTATGCACATTGTACTGCATTTCCATATGTCACTGTGGTCCTTTGTTAAGCTCATTTTCCGGATGAGGAAAGGAACTGAAGCACAGAGAAAGAAGTTACACATGAAATTGCAGACCTAAAATTTATATCCAGCTCTCCCTAGCTCTGAATGTTGCAAGAAAATTTTACAGTGATCTTTCTGACTGCGTGGAGGAGAAGGCCTCAGATCAGTGCCTATCCTTTCTCACATCTCCCTGGCATTCTCTTATCTCCTTTTTCAGCAAAGAGAGGGTGTTTCTCAGGTGTAGAATGATTGCAGGCACAAGGTCTCTCTCAAACTTAATAATGTATTTTAAAATTTATATTTAATTTTATACTTATCTGTCATTTATGGCTATATTTTTGCATATGCCCATATTTTATATTTTAAAAATGCAAAGCAGTGGATATAAAGAAACTTTTAATACACATTTACTTAAATAAAAGTGTTATAATATTGGTAGTACATGGCAAAAATTATAGCAAAAATTGTCCCTTTGATAGGTGAATTACTGAAGCCTTAGCAATAATGTTGCAAACTCTGTGAAAGGGCTGCTGTGGGTATAAACCACCCTTCCTCCAGCTGAGTCTGAACTTTAGGGGGCATTTCTGATTCCTAGTCCTGTCCCCGCTTGTCTTGGCTGTCTGGAGGAAGAGGAGAACCAGTCATTGGTGTGGCCTAAGTCGAACGAGGAACTGTGGTGAGTCTTCTCCCTGACCCCCTTTTCCCACCCATCCCGACATATTTCTTCTGTTTTGCATTCCCAGTGCCAGGGACTGTTTGTGTGTCAAATATGCCATGAAATGTGCATCTTTCCCATGAGCAAATGAAGAGGTGGGGGTGCTTACTCATCCCTAAGCCCTGGTTGCTTTCTCAGACACATTCTAAATAGCAAAGCAGTCTCCTCCAGGGGACCTTTCAGGGATGGGCTTCAGGGCCATCCTGGGCCGTGACCCTCTGTGCAGCTATCCTTGGAAGTAGTCCTTGGGAAGGTGAGCAGGGAGGGACTGTGACATCTAAAGTCCAAGCTCTGACTACTTCTGTCCCTGGGAATCAGTGACATGTGAAGCTATGGCTAGATTTTTCATAGATCTCTTATTTGTATTCAAAAAGCATTCAGAAGTTTTTATTTAGCTAAAAGTTGGCTTTATGTTAAGCGGGAGGCAGTTGGCACAGAACTAGTCTGTTGATTAAGGAAAAATGTAAATCCACTGACAACCTCAGGTCTGATAAAAGGGAATATGAGACGCCGGAGTCTCCTCTAGGGGGCGCTAACCTCCAGAATCAGCTGTTGGAAGTCATGTGCAGGAAAGCCACCCTGAGTTGAAGAGGACTCACTGAGTGGTGCGCTGCCTGCCCCCGGCCATCTCTCCAAGGCAAAATGAACAGACACGGTACTTATAGTCCTGCGCACTGGGAGGATTTCCTTTCACTACTGCCTTTCAGAGCTGTCTCAAAGTGGGGTGGAAGTGCTGCCGCCCACTCCTAGGTGGTGTCTAGATATCAGGCAGAACTGCCAGTCCGACAAGCCTGTTTCTTCCCCATCAGTCAAGTGATCATAGAGGACTCCCCATGAGGCCATACACATGGGTTGAGAGAGAGAAAATGCAGTGTAGAAAGGGGAGGGGGCCGGGGCTTCTGAGGGCCAGTGGAGCCGGGGCGAGGGCATAGGCACCTGCTGGAGCTCGGTCCATATATACCACTTCCGCTTAATGATGGAGCACTGCTTCGTATTCTCAACTTTATGGCTTGGTGGGTTAGAAAGCACCCAACACATGACATGCAGCTCAAGGCACATGGTGATGGGTGGCCCATGAGTAACTTTGTCTCTACTAAGGCCCGGCAGAAATCTAAAAGCTGTTTCTCTAAAGGAGAGTAGTTATCAGCAGAGAACCACAGATTTTCCCCCAAATCCTTTGAGTCTTCACTATGATTTACCCTAGAGAGATCTGCCAAACACTCCACGCAGAATCCCTATTTGCCACTGACCCTTCAAGTAGCGTCAGTTCTTATGGGTTCTATGTCCCAAATGAGAAGCCTGCACATCAGCCTGGACCTATTGCAGAACTCTCTCTCTTGTGGATCCCACTCAGCACTGGAAGCTTTGTGGCTCACTAGGTAGATGGGTGGAATAACATGCCTGAATGAGGAATATATTGCTTCCCAAACCCAGAGAGGTTCACCAGGGGTTGTGCCTCTTTCTTAGTGGTAGGAGGGGCCAGATACAGCAACATGCCCTTCAACATGGAAGGAATATGTTGATATGCCTTAGACCATTGAATCCTTCAATTTTTAAGATAGAAAGCTTCTGATTTTTTTTGTAGCATAATTGTATGATTTTTTTTGTATGCTATTTGTGGATTTTTTGGTGATATCTTACCAATGCAGCTAGAAGTCATTTCTTCCTCTTCATCAGATCCAGTCAACATAACATCATCAATGCAATTGACCAGAACAATGTTCTGCAGCATGAAAAATATGATCCACATCCTATACACTAGGGCTGGAGAGTTGATATACCCCGGCAATAGGACAGCCAAGGAAAATTGCTGGCCTTCTCAGCTGAAAGCAAATTACTTTTGGTGATGTCTACTAACAGCAGAGAACAGAGAGTATTCGCCAGACCAATAGCAGCATGTCAGGTGCTAAGGGATGTATTGATTTACTCCAGCAATTGAAACTATGTTTGGAATAACAGCAATTGTGTCACCATCTAAGTAAACTTCTGAAAATTGGAGTCACCATCTGATTAAATTTCTGATAATTCACTGCCATTCTGTTTACCGCACAGGTCAAATCAGCAAGTCAAATGGGGATTGGTAGGAATAATCACCTCTGATCTTTCAGGGGTCCTATGGTGGCACTAATTCTCTACAGTCCCTCCAGGAATGAGACACTGCTTTTGGTTTGCTTAAATTCTTATCGGTAGAATCCGTTTAGTGGCTTTTACTTGGATTTTTCTATTATAATAACCTAAGCATACAAATCAAAATGGCTGCCACTTCACTTTCACCCTCCAAATCTCATGTAAAACATCTCTTGAGGCCCACCTGAACCAGAAAGGAATTCTGGGAAGCATGGCTCAGCCTAGCCAAGTTGACAGGTAAAGCTATTTTAAACCGTTTCAAACTATGGTCATCTTTACACTTCAGCATTATGACATTCTACTATGTAATTGTATGCTGTTGTGGTACTGTGTTATCTTATTTCAAAGATAAGGAAACTGAAGCATAGAGATAAGAGAACTTGTCCAGGTTACACAGTAGGTGGGGTTGCTAGAGTTAGAGTTTATATCCAGCTCTGTCTAGCTTCAAAATCTGTGCTTGCTCTTTTTCTTTCTTTCTTTCTTTCTTTCTTTCTTTCTTTCTTTCTTTCTTTCTTTCTTTCTTTCTTTCTTTCTTTCTTTCTTTCTTTCTTTCCTTTCTTCTTTCTTTCTTTTTTGAGACAGAGTCTTGCTCTGTCACCCAGGTTGGAGTGCAATGGCACCATCTCGGCTCACTACAACCTCCGTCTCCTGGGTTCAAGCGGTTCTCCTGCCTCAGCCTCCTGAGTAGCTGGGATTACAGGTGCGCACCACCACACCAAGCTAATTTTTGTATTTTTTAGTAGAGATGGGATTTCACCATATTGGCCAGGCTGGTCTTGAACTTCTGACCTTGTGATCCACCCACCTTGGCCTCCCAAAGTGCTGGGATTACAGACATTAGCCACTGCGCCCAGCCAACCTGTGCTCTTTCTGCTACACTCATGCCTTAGGGTGTGCGCATCTAATGGTATTTGCAAGGACTTCACATGGTACATGGACACAATGTTCAATCATATAATAAGGAAAACATAAGTTATCTTTATTATTGTGTCAATGAAAAAGTCTCAAGTTAGAACCAGTATGTTTCTAATACCTGTCACCTCACTAACCCTTTCTTTTTTCTTTTTTTTCTGAGACAGAGTCTCACTGTGTCCCCAGGCTGGAGTGCAGTGGCGTGATCTCGGCTTACCACAACCTCCACCTCCCAGGTTCAAGTGATTTTCATGCCTCAGCCTCCCAGGTAGCTGGGATTATAGGTGCACACCACCACACCTGGCTAATTTATTTCATTTTATTTATTTTTTTAGTAGATGGGGTTTCGCCATGTTGGCCAGGCTGGTCTCAAATGCTTTACTTCAGGTGATCTGCCCACCTCGGCCTCCCAGAATGTTTTTCTCAATCATGCATCTTTTCCTGGGCAAGACCACTTTCCTTGAGAAAGAAAACATGTTTTATCCATAGCTTCAGTAATGAGGCCACTAAAATATTAATTTTCTGAGCATTCTTAAACATAACTGAATCAGCTTCAATTTGCCTGGATAGATAGACATTTTAGTGGCTTATAGCAAAATGTAATAAACTGAATAACTGTAGGCTTTAATGTAATCTCACACAATCCTATTACATCCCAATTACTTATTTGACCTTTTTAAGGATAATTCCTGCCTAAACACACACAATCCTGCAATTCCGAATGTCTTCTTCCCGTGTTGTTCCAAGGCAATCAATAGATCAGAAAGAATTAATATCTTGCTGTGTCCTCCATTTGTAATATACACTGTCCCAGGAAGGTATAATGCATCCCTCCCAGGCATAATAAATGTTTATTGAGCACTGTTTGTGAATAGCTCTCCAATTTTCATTCCCACGAGTTTCAGGGCCATCATAACATCTTTTATTTCCCTTAAAGTAATGAACAAAGCCAGGATCAATCCTACTGCTGCTTACAAAGCATCAGAAAGGTGGGAGGGTAGCTGAGTTCAGCATAGCTTTTACACTGTAAAGAAGCTCCTTTTGAAAGTTAAACTTCAGGGACTTAGGGGGAAGGGTGAGAGAGGGGATGAGCGATAAAAGACTACAAATAGGGTGCAGTGAATACTGCTCGGTGATGGGTGCACCAAAATCTCACAAATCACCACTAAAGGACTTACGCATGTAACCGAATACCACCTGTACCCCCATAACCTATAGAAAAAAAATAAATAAATGAAAAGAAAGTTAAGTGTATAATGTATTTAGAGGTAGATGATAGGAGCAGTGAGTCTATATACAATTATGCAGATTTAGGTCTGTGGATAGAACAATCAACATGAGGTTCAGTTGTCCCCAGTCACTTCCACATAAGTGATGAGTTTGCTAAATGATTATGATATTAATGATTATGAGTAAGTGAATGTATTTATCCAAAATTAAACTACCTTTTGTTGAACATATATTATGTACCAGGTTCGGAGCCGTATCTGTGGTAAACAAAGCTACATAAAATGTATCTGTCCGTGGAGACTCTTGGTTTAGATAGGATGAAAGGTAGACTAAATGAATCATAGTACAATGAGATGGGGACAAAAATAAAAGTGAGTGCCAGTTGTGAAAGTGGCACCAAAGAGGCTGTGATGGGCTCTACTTGGAGGAGTCAAGACAGAGGGGCATAAGTGGGGTCTTGAACACTGAGTGGGAGTTATAGAAGCTTGAAACAAAGGTGAAGGGAAATGGAAACTGATTCCAAGCGGTAGGATTCATTTTAAAGTGTAATGAAGTCTTTCTAAAATTGGTACTATCCTGGAAAAATAATTGTGTTTAAGGTTTGTTAGGGCTGCATTCATTTGCAGCTTGCAGGAAGCCCAATTAACAGTGCTTTCAACAGGTAAATATTTATTTGTTTCAGGCAACAAGAATGTGATTGTAGGCCAGCTGGGTCTGGGATGACGGTTCAGTGGTGCATTTGTAAAGTAGGCTCTTTTCATATTTGCCCTCCACACGCAGTAGAGTCCAGCCTTAGCCCTCACATTTGTGTTTATGGTCAAAGATTGCTGCTGAGGCTTTGGGCTCACGGTCACATCACAATCAGGAAGATGGAAGAAGAAATGAAAGGCAGAAGGGATGTCACACCACCAGGTCTTTTTTTTTTTTTTTTTTAACCAACAACAAAAAAGCTTTCCTGAAAGTTTCTCCAAGAGATTTCAACTAATGTCTTTGGCTAGAAAGAACTTGGCCATCCCACTTAAGCACAAGGGGGTCTGAAAACCAAGAATGTTAGCTTTCCAGACCATCACTGAGGAAGGAGAGAGAAAGAGAGAAAGAGAGAGAGAGAGAAAGAAGAGAGAGAGAGAAAGAGAGAGAAGTTGTTGGGGGGCTGTGGCTTGTGTGTGAATAGCTGGTTCACAGAGTATAGCAGAAGGTCTTGTGAGACAGTTCTAAGCCAAAATCACATAATTTTAGCACTAGATGTTTAGGTCTTATATTAGTCACGGTTCTCCAGAGGGACAGAACTAACAGGATATATGTATATATGAAAGGAAGTTTATTAATGAGAATCGGCTCACATGATCGCAAGAGAAAGTCCCACCATAGGCCATCTGCAAGCTGAGGAAGAAAAAAGTTGGTAGTGGATCAGTCTGAGTCCAAAAGCCTCAAGTGTAGGGAAGCCGACAGTGCAGCCTTCAGTCTGTGGCCAAAGGCCCTAGATCTCCCAGCAAACCACTGGTGTAAGTCCAAGAGTCCAAAGGCCAAAGAACCTGGAGCCTGATGTCCAAGGGCAGGAGGAATGGGAAGAAGCATCCAGCATGGGAGAAAGATGAACGCCAGAACTCACCAAGCCAGCTCATCCCACCTTCTTCCACCTGCTTTGTTTTAGCCTCACTGGCAAACAAGTGGATGGTGCCCACCCACATTGAGGGTGGGGCTTCCTCTCCCAGTCCATTGAATCAAATGTTAATCTCCTCTGGCAATGCCTTCACAGGCACACCCAGAAACAATACTTTACCAGCCATCTATGCATCCTTTAATCCAATCAAGTTGACACCTAATATTAACCATCACAGGTCTAAACATCTAAAAGAGGTAAAAACATCTTCTGAGTTCTTCATTTTATAGATGAAATAACTCACTTGCTCAGGATCACACAGGTAGCTAGTGATACGGCTGGAACTTGAATTCAGGTCATCTGGTTTCCAGTCCTGGTTTTTTTCTCATTGTATTAGTCCGTTCTCACACTGCTGGAAAGAACTACCTGAGACTGGGTAATTTGTGAAGAAAAGAGGTTTAATTGTCTCATACTTCCACAGGCTTAACAGGAAGCATGATTGGGAAATCTTAGGAAATTTACAGTCATGGTGGAAGGTGAAGAAGAAGAAAGCACCTTCTTCACATGGCAGCAGGAGAGAGAGAAAGAGTGAGGGGGGAAGTGTCACACACTTTAAACCATCAGATCTCATGAGAACGCACTCACTATCGGGAGAACAGCAAGGGGGAAACTGCCCCCGTGATCCAATCACCTCCCACCAGGTTCCTCCCCCAACACTGGGGATTACAATTCAACATGAGATTTGAGTGGGGACACAGAGCCAAACCATATCACTCCTGTACACTAAACTGCTGTGCTGAACTTAGATTATGGTTTATGTTGATCTCAAATCAAATCGTTAGTTACAAAATATTTAAAGTTTCTATAATTATTATAATCTGCATAGAAAAACAATAGCTGTAAGAAATAAAAAACTCTGGAAGAACCTGAGAAGACACCTGAGCAAATATTGGTAAAATAGCTCAACGCACTGCAGGTATCTGGTAACTTACTTATCCCTGGAAGGGAGATAAAAAAAATTCCAGGCAAGAATAAAGCTTCCCATCTTTTGAGGCACAAAGATTGAAAACAAAGTTGGTTCTTCTAAGTGGAATTCAACTAGCCTAGAAAGTGATTGTCAATTCTTTCTCCTAACCCTTCTTCAGATCTTTAAAAACAAGGTAATATTCCTCTGCAAGAAGGCTACTTTTCAGACCTGTGGAGCCTGTTCCTGAGGAAGTGCTCCTGCTTATCACAGAATGTCTAAGTGTCTGTCAAATGATAGCTTGCAGAAAGGAAGAAAATAGATGGGAAAAAAGCCCCCAAAGACACTTCTTCCCTTTGCAGTAACAAAACCTTTTGCCAAATTATTGCCTCTTATAATAATAAGAGAAGGCCACTGAAGATTCATGCTACAATTTAAACGACGGAGAACGCAGGTTATTTTATTAAAATGTGTGTAAATATTGATTTGGAAAGAAAATTATATGAAAATATTGCAATGACTCAATAAGGAAGCAAGTGTGCCAAATATAACCTTCCACTTCTAAGCATTTTGAGAGAGAAACATAATAGAAGCAGAGACACAATTCCTGTATACATTTCTGTACATTCTATCCATCATCACACATTCATGCAAATGGTTAACCAGATTGTCTGAAGTCTGTCACCTTCATGAGTCAAGGGTGTTGGTGGCTTATTCTTAAATGTATCTTTAATGTCTTTGCACCCCAGTTGCATTTTGCACTTTCAAGTAATATTTTAAAATTCGTTTAAGTTACTGTAATGTCCACTCTGAATTCCAACATTTTGAATCTCTACTCTTGAATCAACGTGGCAATTCATGGTTCCTGTGACATACTACTGATGCAGGTAGAACTTTATTATAATTCCATAGTAAAATCATTATATTTTACTTACTTGTGCTTAGCATATTTTTAAGCACCCAGAGATTGATGGATTGAATCAATTTATACATGTCTTTTCAGCATTGAAATGGTGTGCCTTGCAGTGAAACAAAATGATTCATTTTACTGAAACACTGTGTGGAACTCTAGGTAGACTTTGAATGTGGCTATATTCCTCTCATTTCATTGAGGTGAAGCCACTGAATAAATTTAAAGTGTAAATAAATTGCATATAGAATATGTATTATATGCACAACAGCAAGCATGAATCACTGCATTGATCACAATCCTAGGAATTTTACACATATTGTCAGTTCTTATGCTTTGTTTAAGTCTCTGATTTCTGGTACAGTCTTCAGTGCACTGAATGAAATGAAAAGCTTGTTTTGAGTCTCTTCATCAGGTTGGAAGGGGATGGAGTTGAGGATGCGATAGAACAGAAGCTGCAAAGTGACATGGTCCACACTGCCTGCACAAAAGACCGGGCTTTTGGAAAATGAAAAATTCCAAACATATGCATATAGAAACAGAATAATAAAATCCCAGTACCCGTCTCCAGCTATGACTAATATCCACTTATGGTCAATGTTTTTGCATTGATATTTCTCCCCACCACATGTTTTGATGCAAGACTATATTTACATTCATAGCTTTTCAGAATGTAATTCTAAAAGACTCTTAATGAACATAATCATAGTACCAACATAAAATCTGTCAAAATCAACAGTCCCTTACTATAATTAAATGATTATCCAATCCGTGTTCCAATTTTCCTGATTTCTCAAATTATATTTTGTGGTTTGTTAAAATCAGGATATGAGTAGTATTGCAATCCATTGCTGTGCCTCTTAAGAGTCATTTAATCTAGATTCTTCTCTTCTATTTTTCTCCTGCAATGTATTTGTTGGAGAAGATGGGCTGTCTGTCCTGTCCCACAGTCTGTATTTTGTGGAGTGCACCTGTGGCATTGTTCCCTTCTCCTCCATATTTACTATAATCTAGTAGTCAGATCTGATGCTTTGATCAGTTTCAGGTTTGATTTTTGCTTGACAAGACCAGTGTGCAGGTGCCACTGTGTTCTTCCATCATGGGCATGGAAGTGGTCTGTCTTTTTGTGATGGTGCCATAACTCTTTTTGACAAGTTCCCATGGTACATCACGGGGATGCAGGGTCTGATGGACAATTAGTAGCTATTAGTAAGTTATAATATACCTGAATATCACAGATTGTGTGTGAGTTTCAGTCCTGAAAATAATTGGTATGCATCTAAAAAAAGTTTAGCATATTAATCACTGTCATATCTCTATTATTTTTTCTGTGTGATTTTCTAAGGTGTCCCCCAGTCCTGCTAAGCAGAAAGCACAGTTTCTCTGGGTCAAAGCCTCTTCCATGTTGCTGTGCAGAGGTCATCTCTATCTAACAGCCTCTAAGCCAGCCCAGATTCCCCTCTGCTGTCCATGGACCTTGGCTAGGACTGTATCAGGTCTTTTGAACCTCTAAATGGAAAGTCAGGGCTCCATCTCTTACTGTCTCAGGTGGCTTCTTGGCACTTAGACAAAGAGACACACTTTCCCTGCAAACCAGCTCTGCACACCAGAGAGAATCAGTCCTTCAGGCCAGAGGTCTTGAACTCTTTTCTCCCAACAGGAGGCCTCAGCTCTTTATGTTTACATACGGATAAGAGACTCCTCAAGTGCTCAAAGTTGCTAAATGAATATCTGTTCCAAGGTGACTTTCTGTTCTTCTAGCCTGAGAAGCTGCTGCCAGCTTTTTTTTTTAACCCACTAAAACAAATAAACAAAAATTCAATTCTAAGAATTTTGACTTTAACCATTTAATCCATAAATATTTATAGAACGCTGTGACACACAGAATACTGTTCTATAGCATGCATTCCAAACCTTTTAAATGAAGAAAAACATTTTACATCAAGACCCATTTTACCTACCTACCTAACTATACACACACACACACACACACACACGCCTTTGTTTCATTTAGCAAAAAAAAGTATCGCTAAATGAAACTTATTCTCTGTTTTCTTTTCCTTTCTTTCTTTTATTTTTTCCTCTTTCTTTCTTTCTTTTTCTTTCTTTCTTTCTTTCTTCCTTCCTTCCTTCCTTCCTTCCTTCCTTCCTTCCTTCCTTTCTCTCTCTCTCTCTTTCTTTCTCTTTCTTTCTTTCTCTCTCTCTCTTTCTTTCTTCCTTTCTTCCTTTCTTTTTTTCTTTCTTAAGGTGGCCTTACTTTGTTGCCCAGGCTGGAGTGCAGTAGCATGAGCAGAGATCACTGCAGCCTCGACCTCCTTGGTGCAAGCATTCCTCTTGCCTCAACCTCCCTCCTGAGTAGCTGGGATCACAGGCACGTGCCACCACGTCCAGCTAATTTTTAAATTTTTTTTGCAGAGACAGGGTCCCACTCTGTGGCCCAGGCTGGTCTTGAACTCCTGGGCTCAAGCATTCCTCCTGCCTTAGGCTCCCAAAGTGTTGAGATTACAGGCATGAGCCACAGCACCCAGCCAAAACTTATTCTCACTATGCGAGAAGCATGCTGCTACTTGCTATTCCTTCCTATTTGCTTCCATTTTATACTATGTCATTAACAAAAAAGGTGGTTAGGCCACTAAGTTGATTTTACTACTGAATAACAACTTGTAAACTGCAAATTGAATAGTACAGCTATGGGAAAACTGAGCTAATATAGATCCAGGCACATAGCAGATGCTCAATAAATATTTGTTGATATACATGATCCTTTCTCTTACAGGTCTTTGTGAGATAAGACACACACACATTAAAAATAAGGATACCATACAAGAATAAATTACATAAAGCAGCTACATGCATGAGATCTCAAGGCAGTAGCCTAAGATTAAAAAAATGAAAAGTGATGTAGATGGTAATTTTGTGAGTTAAGCTAATAAATGCTTATCCTTTACGATTGAAATCTAAGCAATTTATTTTTCATGATGAAATATCTGATATTTAGTATCAATTTGTATTTGATCTTTAGTTGTGAAACATTTGTGTCATAACTAGAGAAGTCAGCTAACTACAGTAAAGGGAGAAAGAAGAGCCCACTTATAAACTATAAAGTATAATTTTGTTTAAGCTCCAAGTCCAAAGGGTAATAATTCACTGAAAAATTTATTGAAGAATATGTTCTGATGTGTTCTGTTTTAATTTTAAAACTTAGCAAATAAGGAGACATTTAGATTTCTCAAGTGCCTTACTGTGCAACACAGTCTATTCCAGTAAATGAACTTTTATTTGCAAATATCTCAAATCTGAGTAGACTTTTTTTTCTTAAAACAGCTTAGGGATGTAGAAAATTATTTCTTCTTAAAGATCTGTAAAGATTTAGCATAAAGAGTTAAGACAGTAGTTTCTAAACTTTGTGGTATGTAGGCATCACCTGGGAAACTTTATCAAATTCTATAAAATTCACAAATGCCTGTCTTGTGCCTCTGGTGATTCTGATTAAACTATATGAGGTGCAACCTGGTGAGGGAACTTTTATTAGCTGCCCGGGTAATCTCTATGTGTGATAAAATGTGGGAACTGTGTTAAGGGAACTGCTGCCATCCTCTACCCCTAGAAGTCTTCAATATCTTATGGTGATGGCCTGTCCTTGCCTTGGCTAAGGTGTACAGATGAAAACGTTTCCGTTAAAAATACCACCCTTTTAAAAAAAGGAACACTTATACACTGTTGGTGGAAGTGTAAATTAGTTCAACCATTGTGGAAGACAGTGTGGTGATTCCTCAAAGACCTAAAGACAGAAATTCCATTCAACTCAGCAACCTCATTACTGGGTATATATCCAAAGGGATGTAAATCATTCTGTTACAAAGACACATACACATGTATGTTCATTGTAGCATTATTCACAATAGCAAAGACATGGATTCAATCTAAATGTCCATCAATGACAGACTGGATAAAGAAAATGTGGCACATATAGACCATGGAATACTATACAGCCATAAAAAGAATGGGTTTATGTCCTTTGCACAGACATGGATGGAGCTGGAGGCCATCATCCTTAGCAAACTAACACAGGAACAGAAAACCAAATACCACAGGCTCTCACTTATAAGTGGGAGCTTAATGATGCGAGCACATGGACCCATAGAGGGAAACAACACACACTGGAGTCTTTAAGAGGGTGGAGGGTGGGAGGAGGGAGAGGATCAGAAAAATAACTAATGGGTACTAGGCTTAATACCTGAGTGAGGAGATAATCTGTACAACAAACTCCCATGACACATGTTTACCTATATAAAAAACCTGCATATGTACCCCTGACTTAAAAATACAAGTTAAAAAAACTTAAGATGTTTTTATGTACGATTTCAAGAGAAGTTAAAAGATATGAACAACAACAATAGCAATAACAAAACAATAATAAAACCTTTTTTTCACATTAAAAAATCTCCCTTTTAGGATAGATGTGATATTTGAAAGAGGAGTGGCATTTTGATATTTAGGTTATCGAGCTAATCTAAAAATTCCTAGCTACTAACCTAGGAAAGTAAGTGTTTACTATGTAGGTATGAGAAGACTGTTTACTGAAAAACTATTATAAACTCCCAGATCAGCAGAATTTTATGTTTGCTTCAGGGTGATCTTATGTTTTTGTGGACCTGGGATGATTATAGAGGGATATGAACATTGTGTGAAACAGAGGTAGTTCTGGAGGTGATTCTGAAAAGTGTGTCAAAGTCTCATAAATGTGCAAAATAATTGGGTTTTTATTGAATCAGATGGGTTGGTTCATTTAATGGAAATGCCCTGAGGAAGGGCAATCCAAAGTCGAATTGAGATTGACATTTTGAAAAAGAGCAGTAAGTGTTGAATATAGCCTGGGGATTCATCACTCTCTAAGTTCTATTAATATGCTCATTTAACCAATTACAAGGTGGCAGAGTTTAATGATTGCACAGAGAATCACTTATGTGGCAATGAAAATGAAGCGCTAAGTCAGTTGTTCTCAGACTGGCTGAACATTACAATCACCTGGGGAGCCTTGAAAAGTCCCCCGGCCTCATATCAGTTACATCAGAGTCTCCGGGATGGGGACAAGGCCTCTGCACTGGCGATGCCAGTGTGCATCTGTGGGTGACAAACACTGTACCAAGTAGAGAAAACGGCAGATGCTACCCGCAGGCCTCTCTTCCTGTCATTAGAGGCATAAATGACATTACTGGGGTGGGGTGAGAGTGCATAATTACAGTGGAGTTCTGGAATTGAGAAGACCTTCTAAAAGTTAGAACACGAGGTTTCCTAAAGCATTTTCCTTTTTAGAGAATTTTTGGGAGAGGGGTTTATTATTACAAATCTTGTTTTATAGAGTGTCTCAGAGGTGATTCATAAAATTAGGGACTCTAAGATAATGAAATTTAACGTACCTGTAAGTTTCTCTCTATAGCTCTGGTATAGGCAGGAATGCACTAAATTTCTACTTGTGTGCCAGCTCCATCTGATGGGTGGTGACTTCCATGGGGATGGCACGAGAGAGATTCTGAGGCCAGGTCCAGCTGTGGCAGAATGAGTTCTGGGGTTGCTCATGACATCTGCTATGGAGGTGGAAGTGAACTGTGGAAATAGTGATGCCACATTTTTCCTGCCTTAGATATCATGAAAAGTCCTGGAGTTCTAAATTAGAAAGGGATAAATGAGAATTCCAGTTCTGCCTCTGAGATGATTTAAAAATATGTCGTAAATTCTCTGATGTACTTCCCCTAAAAAAATGGAGTCGACTTCTTCCATTGAAAGTGGGCTGGACTTAATGATTTTCTCCTAAACAATAGAATGTGATTGAGGTGACACTATGTGGCTTCCAAGGCTGAATTATAGAGGGATATGAAAAAGGATATCTAAAAATGATATCTATTAGTTTATCTAAAAAGGATAAACTTCTATTTAGCTCTCTGAATTTTGGATCATTCACTCTGAGGGAAGCCAGCTGCCATGACATGAGGATACTCAAGCAGCCTGTGGAGTGGCCCATATGGAGTGTGACTGAGGCCTCCCAGCAACAGCCAGTGTCAGCATGCCAGCTATGTGAGTGAGCTACTTTGGAAGCAGATCCTCCATCCCCAGTCAAGCCTTCCAATGACTGTGGTCCCAGTTGACATCCTGACTGCAACCTCATGAGAAATCCTAAGCTAGAATCACCCATCCAAGGCATTTTCAAACTTCTGATCCACAGAGACTGTGTGATGCAATTAATGCTTATTATCGATTTAAGCTAGAAAGTTTTGGAGTAATTCATAATACAGCAATACATAATGAATTCAGCTATTTGGTAGCTTTGTTCTCTAAGTTTTGGGTTCCCCTTCTGTAAAATGGAGATAAGTATTTTATAATGTAGTTTTGAAGATAAAATGAGTTAATAGTAAAGCCTATCATTGACTGAGTCCATGTAAATACTATTACACGATCTTGTACTGTGCTAGCTTGTGAATTAACGAGGGTGTTACAGACAACAGCCTTTGGAACTCAGGCCAACCTACACAAGCAATCCCTAAGGATTGGGAAAGGGTGGTGTTTTCAGTGATGGTTGTGGTCTTCTTGCATTGTGTAAAGTCTGTTTCTACCAATGTGGTCTTTCTTAATAGGCATTAAATTTGAATGTTATCTTCCACATGTGTAGAAATTCCTTCATTGTGAGAATTCAGAGGGGTGGCATTTAGGGCAGTTCGATCCCCTTCATTATGAGAACAAGGAACCATCATGGGATGACTCAGGATCTGGGAAGCAGTGTTGTCTACAGCCTTGGTTTATTTTTTATTTTTTATTTGGGAAGACCAGGATTCAAATATTAGCCTTTCCCATTGTCTATGTTGTTTTGGCCAAATTACCAACCTCTCTGAGCGTCTAGTATTTCATGTATGAAATGTGACTAGTAATACCTACTTTATAAGGCTGTTGTGAGTTGTATTGAATTTAAGTATGAAAGAGTATCCAGTACAGTGTTGGTATTTAATAAATGGTCAATAGAGGTGAGTAATGCTTCTTTTTGAGCCTCAAGTTGAGTTCATTCCACACAACATTCCTATGAGGTAGGTGCTATTATTATCTTTATTTTACAAATTAGGAAACTGAGGCCAGAGGCATTAGCCCAAGGCTATACAGCTGATTTATGGGAAGAACAGAATGTGAACCCAGGCTGTCTTGCTCCTAAATCAAATATCTTTCCTTGTCACTATTCCTTCCATGGAAAGAATATGCATATATGTGTATGTGTCCTAAATCTCTTTATTGGAAGAAGGTGAGATCTAAATATATAGGCAAATAGTAGTTAAAAAAAAATATATCCACATATATATTTTGAGTCAAGGTTTCACTGTCTTGCCCAGGCTGGAGTGCAGTGGCACAATCGTGGCTCACTGCAGCCTCGACTTCCTGGGCCCAAGCATCCACCCATCTCAGCCTCCCAAGTAGCTGGGACCCCAGGCATGTGCCACCATGCCTGACTAATGTTTTTTATTTTTGTAGAGATGGGGTCTCCCTTTGTTGCCCAGGCTGGTCTCAAACTCTTGGGCTCAAGCAGTCCTCCCACCTTGGCTTCCCAAACTGTTGGGATTATAGACATGAGCCACTGCACCCAGCCAAAAAATATTATTTCTTTTTTTTTGGGATGAAGTTTTGCTCTTGTCACCCAAGCTGGAGTGCAGCGGCATGATCTCGGTTCACTGCAACCTCCACCTCCCGGGTTCAAGCAATTCTCCTGCCTCAGCCTCCCAAGCAGCTTGGATTACAGGCACCTGCCATCACATCTGGCTAATCTTTTGTATTTTTAGTAGAGACGGGGTTTCGCCATGTTGGGAAGTCTTGTCTTGAACTCCTGACCTCAGGTGATCCACCCACCTCGGCCTCCCAAAGTGCTGAGATTACAGGTGTGAACCACCCATGCCCGGCCTTTATTTCTAATATTTGTAGTTTCTGAGTAGTTGGTTCCTGACCATGCTTTGGATTTACTCATGCTTGACTCTTTTCTTCATTCTGCCCACTTGAAACTTCTAAGGGAATCTGCTTTGAAATTAGACCAGTTCATGAAGGCTTGGGAACTATTTCACAGCAGTTAGAGGGAAGAAATGCATCCATCAGTTACATTCCATGAATGCTTTCTAGACGTTGAACTCATACCTGCAACAAGGCACCAGGCATGAGTTCAGTGAGCTAACAGCTTGGCCACATGCTTTGGCTTTTGTGAAATACTTTTCTCCTAGACTTTTCCCTGTGGGGTTAAGTGGACAATTGGAGGTCACAGGGCCTTTTGTCCAGATTTCCAGCTTCTTCTCTGAGGAGTGGGCCCATATTTCTTGTGCAGGTGCAGAAATGGCTTCTTGGTTAGGGGAAAGCTGTGTTGTTGAAACTGGTGGTGTTGGTGCTTAACAAAGAGGCATAGGTGTCATCCTGGGCTGCCGCTGGCCACTCAGGTAAGCCTCCTCCCACTAAGGTGGGGTCAAGGTTTGTAAATCTAGAAACTTCAATCTCTGGACGCACTAAAAAAGATTTGTGTACACATGTTCTCACTCATAAGTGGGAGTTGAACAATGAAGACACATGGACACACGGAGGGGAACATCACACACGAGGGCCTGTCGAGGGATAGGGGGCAAAGGGAGGGGGAGAGCATTAGGACAAATACTAATGCATGCGGGGCTGAAAACCCAGATGATGGGTTGATAGGTGCAGCAAACCACCATGGCACATGTATAACCATATAACAAACCTGCACGTTCTGCACATATATTCCAGAACTTTAAGTGAAAAAGAAAAGTTTTGTCTATTCATATACTTCAACAAATATTTACTGAGAGCCTACCACATGCCAGGCATAGCCCTAAGCACAGGGTAGAAACCGGCACAGCAAATTAATAATTTAGAGTGCAAAATATGATCTCAACAGATTAGAGTGTGTCAGTGCTGGACTCCTTTACAGCAGCAAGGACTCCTTACCCATCCCTTTCCTCCTCTTCTTCGCCGTTGTCATTCCTCTGTTTTCTCTCCAAAGGCATCAATGCATATGCAGTATGGATTTGGAAGGAGTACCCTACTCCAGATAATGTGGGTATGGTGGGCAACCAGTGTCTACCATGTGGCAAATGCCCAGTGACATAAAGAAGATTCTATTGTAAAGTCCTTAGATTTTCAATGCATACAAAAATAAGGAGTTGACTGCGTTTCAACTGCGTCCCCCTTCTCTGGTCAAAGTGACTATTCTCTCTCTCCTTTTTTTTTCTCTCTCTTTCTCATTTTCAATCTCTTTAACAATGTTTAACACTTTCTTCAAGACCTTTTCAAATCCACCTTTTCATTTCAAGTCTAAACTGGACCCAGCACCTCTCACATTGGATCACAAGTCCTGGCAAGGAAAGGGGGTCAAGGAAAGGGACACATGACCCTGAGCAAGAGAGACCCCCTGTCATTCCCTGGGCTACAGGAGCAGAGACCATTGAGCCTGTTGCTGTTGTCAAAGCGGCCTGGCTTCCTCCAGGGAGCGCCTGGTGATCATCATGGCTGGGCCCTGGCTCAGATGCACCACCTCTGGGAATTGGCTGATTTGCTCTGATATTGCTGTCTTCCACCTTTCAGCAGCATCACATGCTAGCCTGAATCTAGCAAGTGAGGACAAAATGAAATCAAGGTAACCTAGGGACCTCTATGCCAACTTCTAAAGGTATTGCTCTGAAACAGTTAGACTATGTCCCCACCCAAATCTCACCTTGAATTGTAATAATCCCCATGTGTCAAGGGCAGGGTCAGGTGGAGATAGTTGAATCATAGGAGTGGTTTCCCCCGTAGTGTTCTCGTGGTAGTTAATATGTCTCAAGAGATCTGATGTTTTATAAATGGGAGCTCCCCTGCACAAGCTCTTTTGCCTGCTGCCATGTAAGATGTGACTTTCTCCTCGTTCACCTTCAGCCATGATTGTGAGGCCTCCCCAGCCACGTGGAACTGTGAGTCAATTAAACCTCTTTCCTTTATTCCTTTACAAATTGCCCAGTCTCGGGTATGTCTTTATTAGCAGCGTGAGAACAGGCTAATACATGCTCATTGTGATTACAGGGTGAGATGGCAAAGTCAACACCATCGTTTTATTGTCCAAAGGGGCTTCTTTTCTTTTCTTTTCTTTTCTTTTGAGATGGGGTCTCGCTCTGTTACCTAGGCTGGAGTGCAGTGGTGCGATCTTGACTCACTGCAACCTCCACCTCCCTGGTTCAAGCAATTCCCCTGCCTCAGCCTCCCGAGTAGCTGGGACTACAGGCACGTACCACCATGCCCGGCTAATTCAAAGGGGCTACTTTTCTAATCTGCAAGGAGAAAAATAATGATATTTTTGAACAGACAAAGAGAGAAAATAAGAGGCACTGGCATTCTACAGTCTGTCTGTTCTTTGGCCATCCGGCAAAAAAGGGATATCTTAAATTGATCAGCAGAGCAGGGTGTCCTGGAAATGGCATGGGAATGGTAAACAGCCAGGCTGAGTCTGGACCCAGTTCTGTGGCTTGCCACCTGTGTGACTGTAGCAGGCCGCCCAGCCTCTCCAAGCTTCTCTTCCTTATCTGCAATAAAATGACTGTGACATCTTTCCTTCAGAGCTGCTGTGAGAAGGAAGGAGAGGAACGTGAACATGCCCAGCTTTGTGTCTGATACACAGTTGGTGTTCAAGTGCCAGTTTCTGTTCCCTAAACCCCGTCGGAACCCATATTTCTTCTTTCCAGACACCATGCCAGCATAGATTTAGAAAACAAAATCACTGGCTTGACTTTCTGAAAATATTTACTTTTTCCAGACTCAGCCAGGCTAACCAAGGGAGAATGTTTAGCTAAGTGGGGAGAATTCAACGCGACCCCCATTCCTGCTCAGCTGGCTCTGGAACTGCTCTTCTCTGATCACTTCTGGGGAAAATCAAAACACAGCAGCCCACAGTGCTCCCCACAACCCACGGAGGGCACCTGGCTATTTCTGGAATGAAGGACATGGAAAGTGGGACAAGTTCTGTTTTTGCAGGTGGGTGGGGGCCAGAGCTCCCTTCCCCTTGAGGCTCTGCTGTGCACCTGGAGTGTCGCTGGCCAATGCCTGAACCCCTTAGGGTGGGCTCCTGGTGTCACTGGGCCTTTCTAGGCTGCAGTGGGAGGCAGTGGCATGGTTAGAAATCACTTCCCTCATTCTCACTTTGTGGGTTTCAGGACCATCATGATGGGAGCAGTAACAATAATCCCTTATATTTGACATGACATTTTAATTTCCAGAATATGTTAGTCTGCATGGTCTTATGATCATCTTGCCAAATCCTCACAATTTCCACTGGTAGGAAAGTGTTAGTCCCATTTTACAAATAAGCAGAGTCCCAGCAGTGGGAGGTTTGCCTTAAGTGAGGTTTCACTGCAGAAGATTGCCAGTGCTCCTGGCACATTTGCATCTGAGCATGGTGGGTGAGCGAGGAGCTGGGCCCCTGACAGAGCCTGATAGACCCACATTCCCACTCAGCCCTGCTGCTCCTTGGTGTGTGCCCTGGGCAGGGTGGTTAGCTTTGCCGAGGCCCTGGCTCCTGGCTTCCTGGAGGCCAGTGCTGTGCTAAGGGGCTCTCCTTGGCAAGTCAAGGGCAGGCATGTGCAGGCCCGCAGGACAGCCATGTTTACACAATTCCCACTCCTCACCCAACACCCACCACGAGCTTCCTACAGATGTGCGGAAGTCAAGAAGAGGGGGACCTCCAAGAACCGCGACCCTGCTGACAGCTTGGCTATAGCAGGGCAGAGATGCAAGGGGGCAAGAGCCCTGGAGAGTGGGTCACAGGGCCCGCCTGTGCCTTGTTATGGGTCCTGCTAGATCTGCAGGTGGAGGGAGGACGGGAGGCCTGGACTTGGCCTCAGACCTCCAGGACCAATGGATCAATTGAGAAACAAATGGCAGGGAGCGTGTCTCAGGGGAGTGTGGCAGGGAGGCTGAGGGCAGGCAGGTGGCATCTGAGATCCCACCAGCTTCCGCCTGGCTGGAGGCTTTGGGCAGGGATAGAGTACTTCTGCTGACTCTGTGTTTCCTTCCAGACTCTGCCTTTCTCTCTGTCTCCCCTGGAAAGGAGGAATGACGATGTGATCGGTGAGACACAGCCCAGCCGAGACCTCCTCTCCCCTTTCTCTGGTGAACAGGAAGGACATATTTCTTTCAATTCTTCTAACTGGAAAGTGTTGCTTCTGCAGGGGAACCCCTGTCCAGGCCAGTCCTGCTCCTGAGTGCATCTGTTTACTTGCAAGACTCAGTATTCAGAACCCACCTACCCATGGGGGAGGCTGTGTCCTCCAGTATCAGGGGTTTGTGTGTGTGTGTGTGTGTGTTGTGGTTGTTGTTGTTGTTGTTGTTGTTTTGAGATGGAGTCTCACTCTGTCTCCCAGGCTGGAGTGCAATGGCGCAATTTCAGTTCACTGCAACCTCCACCTCCGAGTTTCAACTGATCCTCCTGCCTCAGCCTCCCAAGTAGCTGGGATTATGTATGAGCATGTGCCACCATGCTCGGCTAATTTTTGTATTTTTAGTAGAGATGGGATTTCACCAGGTTAGCCAGGCTGGTCTCAAACTCCTGACCTTAAGTGATCCACCCACCTCGGCCTCCTAAAGTGCTGGGATTATAGGTATGAGCCACCTTGTCCAGCCTCCAGTATCAGCTTTACCAGAAATAAAGCAATATTGCACCCTTTATAGGGAGTAAATTCCTTCCTTCCTTCCTTCCTTTTCTTTCTTTCTTCCTTCCTTTTCTTTCCTTCCTTCCTTCCTTCCTTCCTTCCTTCCTTCCTTCCTTCCTTCCTTCCTTCCTTCCTTCCTTCCTTTCTTTCTTTCTTTCTTTCTTTCTTTCTTTCTTTCTTTCTTTCTTGTCTTTCCTCTTTCTTTTTGAGACAGAGTCTCACTCTGTCACCCAGGCTGGAGTGTAATGGCACCATCTCGGCTCACTACAATCTCTGCCTCCTGAGTTCAAGCGATTCTCCTGCCTCAGCCTCCCAAATAGTTGGGACTACAGGTACGCACAACCACACTTAGCTAATTTTTGTATTTTTAGTAGAGACGGGGTTTCACCATGTTGGCCAGGATGGTCTCAATCTCTGGACCTCATGATCCACCTGCCTTGGCCTCCTAAACTGCTGGGATTACAGGTGTGAGCCACTGCCCCCAGCCGGTATGGTGTGTAATAAATACATGGCATATGCACTATTTTGCCGTTCTAGCATCAGAGAAAAAAGCTGGTAAGCCAAAGAACATCTGGCTTCAAAGATTTCAAGCCCTGTGTAAGAAGAAATTTTAATATTTTCTTTATGTGCCTGAATAAGTCTTCTTGCATGCACTCATTCTGGAGGCCATTGCTCTGCAGAGGTATGGCTCCAAGCATGGCTTGCACACCAGCTGCAGGTCTGTGATGGGGTGAGCATGGGCTGAAATGTAAATCACTTCTGTTGCTAGGCCAGTTCACTTGTTTCTTAGCCAGACTATCCTAAGAAAAGGATCAGCAGGTTGCTTTTCATTTCGGTGTGTGCTCCTTATCGTGGATGGGCACATTGAGAAGCACTGCTCTAAAGCTTGAGCCCCTCAAGGCCAGGAGCCTCGTCTTCATCATCTTTGCTTCCTCATTGTAACCCAGGGCTTGGAATATTACAAACACTGGACACTCTCTTCTCCACGCTTGCTGTGTGGCTTCCTGCCTAGTGATAGACTGTCCCTTGCTTTTCACTCTGCCTGCCTTTGGAACTCCACCCCTTAACCCCTGGTCACCAAGTCCTTTCTTTATGTCAGGTTTAAATGTTCCCTCCTCTGAGAGTCTCCCAGTGTCTCTTGTGCAGAAGAAATTGCTCCAAACCTCTAAGGCAGCATGTCCGTGGTTCATTTCTTATAGTGGCATTGCTTACCTCTCAGTTAGTTTATGACTCCTCTCCCCTGCCAGCTGTAAATTTCTTGCAGACAGAGACTGTGCTCTGCTTGGTGTCTTTAGGACCCAGCCTACCCTCTTTCTCATGATATGTGTTTAATAAGTATTTATCCCATAATTAATATAATGTAATACATTCATTGCTAAGTTGTCAGTGATCTCTATTGCCAGGACATACATTTCAATGTGAGATTTACAGAAATAACACTGCCTATAAGGAACCTCCCTGTCTGTACAAACCAGCATCCTTAAAATGCTGCACTAATTGGCTTAACTCTGATGTACCCTAAGCTCTACAAGTTATCTAACATATTAAACACTGAATCCAATGGGTGGCATGGGAGAAGCACTCAATAAATATTGCTGTTATCATTTTTGTTGTTGTTAATGTTACCAGGCATATACTTTTGTGCATGTTCTTTCAGACTGAGAAATGTCATTCTTTTTTTTTTTTTTTTTTTTTTTTTTTTTGAGACAGAGTCTCGCTCTGTTGCCAGGCTGGAGTGCAGTGGCGCAATCTCAGCTCACTGCAACCTCTGCTTCCCGGGTTCAAATGATTCTCCTGCCTCAGCTTCCTGAGTAGCTGGGACTACAGGTGTGTGCCACCACGCCCAACTAATTTTTGTATTTTTAGTAGAGATAGGGTCTCACCATGTTGGCCAGGATGGTCTCAATTCTTGACTTCGTGATGCACCCCCCTCGGCCTCCCAGAGTGTTGGGATTACAGGCGTGAGCCAGTGCACCTGGCCAAATGTCATTCTTCGTTGAGTGGATCAGTAATGATCCTAAGCCCTAGAATAGCAGGTTCATTGGTAAGAATTTGCTCATTCTCCAGCCTGGCTGTTTTCTAAACTATTCTTAGGCTGAATCATGTGTGATATTCCTCTGTTCCAAGACTCAGCTGGTGGCTAGCTGGGGATGGGCAGTCCTGGCACAGCTGGTGTGCCCACTGGCATGCATAGTGCATGCTTGAACACTGGCATGAAGAAAATTTTCTAAAACTCTGGGAGCAAGGGAAGAGAGGACAGACCTGAACTGTAAGCCTAAGTTCCATGGTCACTAAGCTCTTTGGTCTGGCAAATCATTTCAATTTCGCTGCAGCTATAATCTTGTGGGAAAGCAGAAGTTGGTCTTTTACTCTCACTTTTCCTTTCCTCAGGACTTCCTCTATTTCTTTACAGAGAACCTCCTACCAGGCATTCAGTGAGCCTTTCAAATGTGCTTTCAGGAAAGCAGACACCATCAGGAATTAATACTTCAGTGTGACATTGATTCTGAGAGTCTGTTCCTAAGGTGCTACTGTTGATTCTTATTATTTACAGTAGTTACATCCTTCAAAGTTGCCACAAACACTGAATTAGGGAATACTTACTCCTGGGGAAATACAGTGTGAGGGTCTCTTGAGTTTCTGGTCACAACATTTTTACCAGCTGATCAATACGTAACCTTGTTGTATGTTATGTTTCTATCTGAAGACACTTTTAAAAATATGTATTTCTTGCCAACAGGTAATTAAATGCAGTGTTTTGAATAATAAAATAATATTTTAATTATGATAATGTGATCATAAATTTCTTTGGCTTTCAGCCTCACAGCAATGCTGTCTGTCCACTACACTTTTTTGTGGTTGGTTGTCATTTCGTGAATCCACAGACGTTGTGCTTTTCAATGTTTTCCGTAGATTCAGCATGCAATGTAGATGTTACTTTAGCACTTTCCAGAGAGGACTCATACACAGTTGGGTGTGTTTCCTCTTCCTTTTCTGGATGTACTGCATTGTTGACTCATTAATATTGAATTCACGGCCAACAGTACTGTAACTCATGCCCTAATGAATCTCATCCAACACAAGTATTTTCACCTTCCTGCATTTAGGAACACTAGACAGCAGTTCAGCACCATGCAGGAGGGCCATCTCAAACAGCGAGGCCACCAACAGAAAGCACAAAAATGTGAAAAAGTGGCACTAAACAGACCATGAAAAGGATGCTCATTTATAGCATAAGAGCTGAAACAGGAAGGCAGAGGGTTGCTTTGCTCCACCTTAGCTGGGAGCACGAGCGTCTGCAACTCAAATTTTGTTGCCACTCTATGCATGTCTGTGAATGCACTTTGAAAGTGCCCAAGTTTTAGGACTTACAAATAAATTTCAGTAAGTAGTCAATTTCACAATGAGGATATACAGTACTTGCATTTTAAGCTCTCTCACTGTACAGGAAAATGTGTGTTCCCTGTAGGGAGAATTTCCAGTGAATGGGTGGGAAAAGTTTTGGGGATCAGGAGATTTTTTTCTGGACCAGGATGTTACTTCTAGGGAGGTTCACTCAAACCATGACCTCTAGCACCTGTCCCGGGACTCATGAGGGACACTTGCAGGGACTCTTGCAAACCACTCCACTGGACATGAGATCTCAACATCTTATTGGGCACTGCTCTAGCAGACTTCTCTGTTCAGGGCTTTGAAATCTCCCCCCTCACCACTTTCTTCCTAGCCCTATTCTGTAATGATTTTGAGATGGAAAAACATATGTTGCCCTCAGAGGTGGCATGAATGCTTCCAAATGAGACAAAATAATATTCATGTCTTCTGGCCTCCCAGGAGACCAGCAGAATGCTGAGACACAGTGCATGATGTGCTAGGCACTTTGCATGCGCCTTCTCATTCAGTCCTGATGGCTCAGAGGAAGCCTTCGTGATCTCATTTACAGCTGAGAACTCTGTAACTCAGCAAGGTTAGGTAAATCACCCAAGTTTGCATGGTTTTTAAGAGGGAGGATCAGGACTTGAATTTGGGATTGCTACCTCCAGTAGCCCTTAATCAAAGCAGACTAAAAGGCAGGCAGTCCCTATTTCCTCTAATCCCAAGCCGGAGTCTTGATTTTACTGCTTTGATCTAAGGAAAGTCCATGGACATGAAGGTGCACAAAACACACATGCATATGCACACACATGCCAGCGTGCCGCAGAAAGAAGCACAGAGACAGGAGTGCTCCCAGTGCCAAAAGGAGAACTGGCTTCTGCTTCTGCTCCTGCCGCAGACCTTCTCAGGCCAGAGCAGTAGTCTGACTTCAACTTGCGAGAGATGAGAATATCCAAAAGGGAAAAAAAGATGGGCTGCTCGGGTAGCCCAGAAACATTCATAATTCTGACTTCTAATAAAAAGAGAGAAAAAAGGAAAGAGCAAGAGAAGGCTGAAGGTGCTCTGAGGAAGTAGGCTCTGGGCCACCTCACTTCTGCAGACATGTGGCAGGAAGGGCCTCAAGAAGAGGAGAACTCAAAAGGGACAAATCCACATGTGCAGCGATGTTGAACTTGGTGCAGTGACTCCACCTGCCTTCCCAATTGCCAACGACGCTTTCCTGACCCGAGCACCCATTCTTTCCCTTGGAGAAGAAGAAGCTGGGATATAACGGGCTGCAGGGCGTACAGTGGAGTAAGAAGGGAAAACAGGACATAGAGTCTTTAGTTCATTGGAGGCCCAGATGCATAATACAGAATCAGGAACTTAGAACTAGGCCATAAAACTGAGTAGAAGCAGGGCTTGATGGCAGAGCACTGGCCCTGGAGGAAGGGGTTGCTGTAGACATTAGTTATATTGGTGGACACTAGTATCTTTGGAACATCTTTCTTGTGTTTGGAGAATTTTCTACACTATCCGTCTTGCCTCTTCAAGACAGAAGCTACAGCTCACTGATCCGTCCTCTTGCATCTGGGCCACAGACATATCACCCAGTCATGTCTACCCATCAGACCCAACTCTGTGAGACTCCAATTCAGAAGCAGGCAATGAGAGGAATAGGCGCTGGGTGGACTTAATTTTTTAGTAGCGGAGGTGGCAAGGGCACCATTGGTGCCTACGTGGTGTCGGCTGGATTGTGGTTTGGCTATCGCTCCAGCTGTTTCACCTCAATGTAAACTCTCTGCCTCCCTGGAAATTCTATGAGCTACTTGACATCCTTCCATGGATTTATTTTCTGTTTAAATTAGGTGGAGTGAATTCAGTGCTTTGCAACTAAGAACTGACAAGTGGAGAGTCAGGGAAGCTGCTGTCATTTCAAAATTGCTTGCTTGTTTTCACTGGTGGCAGAGCTGGAAGACAGAGAGAGACCAGACTGGTGAAATGTGGAGCCAGATGATGAAGGAAAAAGGATCAATGTCACGATGCTCAATTTGGGCAGTACCGACATTTTGGATGGAATAATTCTTTGCTGGGAGGGGCTGCCCTGTGCATTTTAGGCTGTTGAGTAGCATCCCTGGTGTCTACCCACTAGATGCCAGTAGCACCCCATCTCCAAGTTGTGACAATAAAAAATGTCTCCAAACATTGCCACATGTCCCCCATGGGGCACTGGTTGATAACCTACTTGGTCTAATCACACCAGGCAAAGTTCTCTAGTGAGAAGCTTCTAGAAGCACAATGTTGTTGACTTGTATTTGTAATTTGTGAATGTATGTATTTATGCTTAAGTTAACCTTAAATATGTTATATATAATATTATATATATATATATATATATATATATATATATATATATAATATTATATATATATATATATATATATATATATATATATATGCCATTGCATAGTGTATATTTGTGGTTTCTCAATCAAGTTGAAAGAACCACTTTAGAGGTGATAACTGAACAAGTAGACAAATTACGAGTCAGGCCTTAGCATCCTGGGCCCTGTTTGGGCATTAAATACATCAAGAACTTACATATTTAGTGCCTTCTCATGGAATAGCCACATTAACTTATTTACAAAATGGTACAGAAGAGGGACCAGCTGTTTGGGTGTATTTGTGTCCAGTGGTTCCTGGGCGTATTTCTTTAAGTGGTCCGCCTATCTTGATTCTCATCAGGAACACTGTGATTTTCTAAGTTTTAAATGGGTAGAAGAGGCCTGCAGTTAAGGTCTCCCTTTTAAGCGTGAGCACTCAATTAACTCATCTTGCATCTTTGGGAAACTCAGTTACAGCTAATAAGTGTATCGGGCTACTGCTTTAGGGTTACATATTTCCTGTCTAGATTTTTTTTTTTGACATTTTCAGATAAAAGGTTGCTTGGAAGAAGAGATTTATTGGTTTGTGTTGGCCGTCCCTTCCTTATCGCCTTGCTGCCCTGAATTGGAGCTAACTGCTGGCCAGCCACCCACAGTAGCTTCTGCTGGAGGAAGAGTCTGATCCTTCTTCCATCCCCCTATTCCTGCTTCTTCCCACATTCAGGCTTGAACTGAACATTTTCCAGAAACCAAACCAGTGCCTTTTGGGGTGTTTATCCCATGATGGCGGGAACTCATTTCCCCATGGCTATCTAATTTCCACTGTGTTATTCTTGGGGAGGCCAAAGACATAACAATTTGGAGAAACCAGAGACTGATGTGAGCACAGGGGCTAGCTGAGCATGAGCCGGAAACCCGCAGGTAGGACTGAGCGTATGAGAGGAACTCAATAGTCGCTAGTCTAGTCTTCTCCCCTCATTCTACCGTTTGACATCTCCCTCTAACAGCACTGCCTTCGGATATGCTGATATGCCCTCCAGATCTTTGTCCTGAGCTAAGAGAACTGGCACGCTTTCGGTCACACAGACAGAATTTATACATTTGGAAGCTATGATAGTCACCCCTGAAGCACCTTACTGATAGGTGTTTTCCTCTGGATTCTAGGTTCTTGACTGGCCTCTATTCTGGCTTCAGGCAATGCCCTTGTTGTCCTTGATAGGGACAAAACACTGCCATCAGGAGGGACTAAGCTGAATTGTGTTCCGCAATGTCTACCAGCTTGGAGGAAAATTCTCCTCTAGCCCAGAGAAGAGGTTCTTACGGTAAACTACGTAAAATCCAATCCTGACATTTCACTATATTAAAAAATGTGCCTTAATTATGCCTGTGCACACAATGTTTTTTAATCACAAGTCTCTATCATCTGAGAAAGACAACCCTTGAGGTTTCTCAGTCAAGAGAAAGAGAGGCAGGGAACAGATTATCCCTCAAAAACACCAGAAGACATCAACCCTGCTGACACCTTGATTTCAGGCCTCTGGTCTCCAGGACTGTGAGAGAATAAATATCTGTTGTTTTAAGTGGCAGGTTGTGGGAATCCAAATGGTTGTGGCCACCATTTGGATGGTGACCAGTTAGCCATTTGTGCTGGTTTCCTCTGGTTGCCATAACAAATTCTCTTCTTCCTCTTACCTCTGATAGATACCAATCTGTTCCTAGGAACCATTACACACACTGACACACACACATATTTAATTTTTTGAGGGGTAGGCAAGAGCTGTAAATAATTAAAAAAATTTTTTTCTGACTTGAAAAGAGATTTTGTCTACGATCCCTTTTCTATTGATCCTCCCCTCTTTGTTGTATGTACTACCTGGGAGAGTTTCTCCTTCCTGTAGCTGGCTTCTTGTGCTGGTGGAGAGTCTGCTGTCTCTGATAACAGAATGACCCCATGCTGCTGCTCACTCTGCAGGGTCAGGGTGGCCTAAGTGAATGGAAGTTTGACTGCAAATGCTGCATTCCCAGAACACCTTCCCTTGAGGCTTTTGATGTAAGGTTCACAGTCGGACCCTGTTCTCTTTGCCCATGGCATCCTTCTTTTTAGGGCATGCTTTTTTTCTGTTTGTCTGTCACACACAGACCCCTTGTTAGATATCAGTTCAGGTTGCCTCTTTCTTTCTTTGGTGTGCCACTAGGGACCTCAGATCGAATTTTGCGAATACCCTATATCCCATTCCAAACATCTGCTTCAGATTTGGCCACCATCCAGCTAGCCATTTGTATTGGTTTCCTGTGGTTACCGTAACAAGTTACCACAACCTGTGGCTTAAAACAACAGATCTTTGTTCTCTCACAGTCCTGGAGACAAGAGGTCTGAAATCAAGGTGTCAGCAGGGTTGATGTCTTCTGGAGTTTCAGAGGGAGAATATGTTCCTTGCCTCTCTCCTGGCTTCTAGTGACTCCAGGCATTCTTGGACTTGTAGCACATAACTCCAATCTCTGCCTCCATTTTCACATCTCCTTCTCTATTTGTGTTTGTGTCTTGCTTGTCACTGGATTTAGAGTTCTCCTGGATAAGCCACGATGACCTCATCTCAAGACTCCTAATTATATCTATGAAGATCCTTTATCCAAAGAATGTCACAATAGCACGTTCTTTAGGGACATATCTTTTGGGGGCTACCATTCAATTCACTATACATTTTTTTTTGCATTTTGAAGAGACAAAAATCAGAACAATTTTATTTCTGTAGCTATACATGATGATCATGGTATAGTATACTGGAATCCACTTGCATTTCCATTTGTAGATCCCATAAAACTTTGCCAACCACTTTTATATCAGGTTTCTCATCTGACTCTTGCAACAACCCTGCGAGATAGCCAGGGATGCAGCTGCCATTTTATAGATGAGGAAATGGGGCCCATGCAAGGTCGCCTGCAGCAAGTCACAGAACATACGAGCACCAGATCCTGTCCCTGGAGCAGCCCTACCAGTCCTGCTACCCGGCTGCTTTCTGCCCTTCCACATGACCTCTCATCCTTCATGGATGCTGGCTTTGAAAATACCAAAGGGAGCTACCTTCCATTGTTGTTTAGGTGCAAAGACCTTGCTCCAGCGGCGCTGATGGATCTGGGCCTGCCTGCTGGTTGGTGGGCTCCCACAGTGATGGCTGCAGACCTCTGCAGGCTGGCCGAAGCGTTAAAAGTGCAGCAGTTTCCATGAACCAGACAGAAGCAAATGGACCCTGGAGGAAAACCTTATGATTTTTGCTGTCTTAACACAGAGGCAGTGGTCATAAATTAGCATTTTAAAAATTATCAAGTGTTCCTCAGATAAAGAGGAATGTGTGCCTCTCTATTTGTAGCCTTTTCTTCTTGTTCCTCAGTAACGTTTTATAATTTCCTTTTTAAAATAATATCATGTATATTTATGAGATGTGATGTGGTGTTTTGATACATGCATACATTGTGGAGTGATTAAATCAAGCTAATTAACATGTCCATTGCTTCATATACTTATTTTTTTTGTGGCAAAAACATTTAAAATCTACTCAGTTGGCCATTTTCAAATATATAGTACATTATTATTAATTATGGTCACCATGTTGTACAGTAGATCTCCACAACTTATTCCTCTTATCTACTGAACCTTTGCACCCTTTGGCCAAGATCTCCCTGTTCTCTCCCACCATCTCAACCTATGGTAAGCATTATTTTACTTTCTGTTTCTGAGTTCGACTTTTTAAGATTTCACATGTAAGTGACATCATGCAGTACTTTTCTTTCTATGTTTGGCTTATTTCGCTTAGCATAATGTCTTCCAGGTCATACATGTTGCAAACATCAGGATTTCCTTCTTTTTTTTAAGGCTGAGTAGTATTCCATTGTGTGTGTATACCACATTTTCTTTATCAATCCATCCATTGTTGAGTACTTAGGTTGGTTCCATACCTCAGCTACTGTGAATAATGCTGCAATGAACACGGGAGTGCAGATATCTTTTTCAGGTACTGATTTCATTTCCTTTGGAAATATACCCCAAAGTGGGATTGCTAGATTATGTTGTAGTTCTATTTTTAATTTTTTGAGAAATCTCCATATAGTTTTCCAAATGGCTGTACTAAATAACATTCCCACCAACAGTGTACAAGGGTTCCCATTTCTCTGCATCTTTGCCAACACTTTTTATCTTTCGTCTTTTTGATAAAAGCCATTCTAACATATGTTAGGTGACATCTTACTGTGGTTTTAATTGGCATTATCCTGATGATTAATGATGATGAACATTTTCTTCATATTCCTGTGGGCCTTTTGTATGTCTTCTTTTGAGAAGCGTTGATTCAGATTCTTTGCCTATTTTAAAAATTGGATTACTTATTTTCTTGGTATTGAGTTTGAATTCCTTATATATTTTGAATATTAATTCCTTATCAGATGTATGGTTTGAAGATATTTTATTCCAACACATACTTTGTCTCTTTACTCTATTGATTGTTTCCTTTGCTGCACACAAGTTTGTTAGTTTAATACAATCCAATTTTTTATTTCTGCTTTAGTTGCCTGTGCTTTTGGGGTCATATACAAAAATATTTGCCAAGACCAATGTCAAGAAGCATTTTCTTTATGTTTTTTTTCTAGGAGTTTTATAGTTTCAAGTCTTATATTTAAGTTTTTATCCATTTTGAGTTGATTTTTGTATATGAGCTGAGATAAGAATCCTATTTCATTCTTCTGAATGTGAATGTCCCATTTCCCCTACACCATTTATTGAAGAGACTGCGCTTTCTCCATTGTGTGTTCTTGGCAACTTTGTCAAAGATCAGTTGACTGTAATTGTAGGGCATTTATTTCTGAGCTCTCTATTCTGCTCTTTCGGTCTATATGTCTGTTTTTGTGCCAGTACCATGCTGTTTTGATTATTATAACTTTGAAGCAGGTTTTGAAATTAGAAAGTGTGATGCCTTCAGCTTTACTCTTTTTGCTCAGAATTGCTTTGACAATTGAGGGTCTTTTGTGGTTCTACATGAATTTTAGGATGCTTTTTATTTTTGTGAAAAATGTCTCTGTATTCTCATCTATAAAATGTGATAATAAGTTGTTTCACAGGACTCTTTTAGAATTAAATGACTTGGTATATGCAAAGCAAATAATTCCTGGCACACTGTAAGTGTGATCTAAATGTGTGCTATTTGTACCAAAATGATTATGTTTCATTCTCCTTTGATGTATTGCTCTCATAAGTTATATCAATAATTTCCTGTTGCTGGACTATTCTCACATTTCTAGAATAAATCCTACTTGTTTATTGCATATGATTTGTTTGATATAGTGCTTAGGGTATGAATACTGAAAGAAATACTAACTAGGTGTAAAGGATGGTGATCATTCCATCATCTTCCATACCAAGGGTATGAAGGTTTGATTTTTAAGTTTGCTTCGGCTCATCAGAGAATTGACTCAGTCTCTGCAACAGTCTTGGCCTTTCCTTCACAGTTGGAAGATGGCTGCAGCAGCTGACTGTAAGAATCATTTCCTGTGAAACTATGTCCAAAACAGCCATAAATGAGATAGACATAAGAAGGGCTTTTCCCACATCTCTGTTAGAGAGCACTATCTGTCTTTCAGATTCCAAACACACTTTCTTCTCATGTCTCACTTGTCAGAACTGGTTCTACTTGTGCCCTGAGCTGCAAGTGAGGCATGGAAAGAGGGAATCTGGCATTTTCACCTGCTAGTGTGAGAAGTGAACTCTGTGAGTAGGAAAAGGAACAGGCATGGATGTTGGGGAGGAAAGAAAGGGCACCTACCACAATGCACATTTTATTTAGGATTTCTGAATTATAAGTGAAAATGGATGTTGGTTTTCTTTATGCACTATTGTTTTCTTTTTCATTAGGGATATGTTCATATCGTTAAAATGTATTGGGGATATTTTCCCTATTTTTCCTGTCTTGAAATGATTTGCCTAAGATTACCTTTGAGCCATTGCCTATCAGAGCAGGCATTTCTGTTGCTTTTGCACATGAAAAGAAATTGGCCAGATATAAACTGTTTGGATCTCAAAAAGTTTGCCTCAAATGTTGTATACACTGCTTAATTATTTTTGAACATCGAGTACTAGATATATTTATTCTTTGTATTTAAAGGTTTTTAGGGTATGTATAAGGAGGGTCTATTTTTCATTAATTTTGCTGGAAAATTAAAATAAAAATTCTTACAAGATGCATAGTAGTGTCTTCAGTTTAGACATACTTTTATTAGAATATGTGTCATCATTTTAGTTTTATTTGTATTTCTTTTTAAGAAATATGTATATATTAGCTTTTTGTTTTCTATGCTTCATATCACTTATATTTTCTCAATTTTTCTCATGCATTTGTATCTTTTTCTTTTTGATATCCAACTAATTTGTTTTCTCCATCACTGATTCAATTTGCTACAAATCCATTCTTCTATTTGCTGCCTCTCATGTGGATTTAAACTTGGGTATTACATTTTTTCCCCTTTCCATTTTTCTTATCTTATCTGGTTCTCTTTTCATCTTATCCATGTTTCATTTGCAGTCCAGGGAAGCCTGTGAACCACTTATTAGAATAATACTTCTAAATGCATAATATAAACTAATAGACTTTCCAAGGAAACAAATAAAATGGAAATCTATTTAGCAAAATATTTTAAAACTATTGTGATACGGAAATATAGGTTCTTTTTCCTACATATATTAAATAAAAATATCTTGCAGCAATTCTAGTAACTACTATATCTGCAAGTAATGAGCTGTATAAATGATTCTTAGCAATATCCTCCACTTGCAAATATTTTCTCCCGATCCGTAGGTTGTCTCTTCATTCTTCATAGTTTCCTTTGCTGTACAGAAGCTCGTTAGCTTGTTAGTTTGATACAATCCCATTTTTGCTTTTTCCTTTTGTTGCCTGTGTTTTGAGGTTATATCCAAAAAACTTTGCTAAGACCAATGTCAAAAATCTTTTTCCCTATGTTTTTTTTTCTAGGAGTTTCACAGCTTCAGAATCTGATTAAACACTTCTCAAAAGAAGAAATACAAATGACCATTTACTATAGTAAACATTCGTGATTTCTATTAAAGACTATGTCACAGGTATAATTATTACTACTTTTTTTTGCCTACATTCATACTGAAAGGAATGGCTAAATTTTAGTTGGCTGTTGGTAAAATGAAGATGTAATATTTTCCCCATTGAATTCATGAATGCCATGAATTCTGTCTGTGGACTTCAGGTTAAGAATTCCTGATCTAATCTTATTACCTTCCACCTACGCTGGTGCTATCCTTACTGCTCCTGTCCTAGAAAAATTACAGTTATGAAGGATACCAAAGAGTCTATGACATTGTCTCTTGGGTATCACAGGAGTTACGTTCAGGCTTATGCTCACCTGTGGAACCTTCTGGAAGCTGGTCCTTTTCCTCATTTTTCAGTGATTTCTCAAAGCAAAACTCTTTTTCATGTCTATGTAACCCAATTTCAATACCTTATTTGTTGGTACCACAGTTCCCAGAATGCAAATCACACACATCTTTTCTTCTCTGTCTTCTACTGTTGGATTTATATCTACTCCGTAGCTTTGAAAAGGTGGTTAAGGATTTTTGGGTAGGGGGAAGGTAGGGTAGGAGAGAATAAAAATATTCCATCCTTATTTTACCAACAGCTAACTGTAATTTAGCATTTCCTGTAAATATGAATGCAGATAAAAACAAACAAACAAATCGTAGCAGTAATAACTACCTATGACATGGTCTTCAATAAAAATTATAGATTTTTTTCAACAGACTTTATTTTTTAGAGTTTTAGGTTCACAGAAAAATTAATCAGAAGCTACAAAAATTTCCTATATTACACTTAATGCAGCTATTTATAAAGT
This sequence comes from Homo sapiens, assembly GCF_000001405.40. Taxonomy (NCBI): domain Eukaryota; kingdom Metazoa; phylum Chordata; class Mammalia; order Primates; family Hominidae; genus Homo; species Homo sapiens. The sequence continues at coordinate 35,560,543 of NC_000007.14, read as the reverse complement.
GTATCTGGTGGCAGCGCATATGGGGCTGGAACTGGATTCTGGCGCCCCACACCCCAGTAGCTGAACAGGACACTGATGGCTGCACAGCCTGGATTTAGAAGTCCAGGGGTTGGGTGCAGTGGCTCACACCAGTAATCCCAGCACTTTGGGAGGCCGATGCGGGCAGATCATCTGAGGTCAGGAGTTCAAGACCAGCCTGACCAACATTGTGAAACACTATCTCTACTAAAAATACAAAAATTAGCCAGATGTGGTGGCGGGTGCCTGTAATCCCAGCTGCTTGGGAAGCTGAGGTGGGAGAACTGCTTGAACCCAGGAGGTGGAGGTGGCAGTGAGCCGAGATAATGCCATTGCACTCCAGCCTGCGTGACAAGAGCAAAACTACATATATATATATATATATATATATATAGTTTTATATATATATACATATATATACACATATACACACACACACGCACACACACACATATATATACATATATACATATATATGTATATATATGTGCACATATATACATATATGTGTACATATATACATATATATGTATATATGTACACACATATATATACATATATATGTATGTGTGTATATATATATATATACACACATACATATATATATATAAAGAAGTCCAGGGACAGACAGTGGTGGGTGTACAAAGTTTATTAAGAAACTTCCTGTTTTCATGTGATTTCTCTCTCATTAAAGTCTGAGTATGCCATTAGGTAAAGTGTACATGTCTCTCAACCCAGCTCTACCATTTCTTACAGTTAGTGGAAATTCTTTCTAGATTCTAGGATTAAATTGTAGGTTGTCTCTTTGCCTTCAGTTTTCTTTTCTTTTCTTTTCTTTTCTTTCTTTCTTCTTTTTTTTGCTGTATGTTTTCATAGAAGTTTTGGAGAGAAGTTTAAATAATTTGCTTTGGGGATTGCTAGAAAATTATCTTTTATTTTAATAAGTAAAGATTCTTTGGATTATTTATTCTTGTGTTATGTTAAGCTGTGTATCTTTTAGATTTGGCATTGAGAACCTTGGGGCCATCTAACTTAACTTAGATTTTTGAAATGTTTAGGAGACTTTTCATTGATGAATGTGTAGTTTTTCCCTCAGAAGTTTATACCAATACAGTCAACATCGCAAATATGAAGGTAGTAGACAAAAAAAGCATAAAAGAACTTGACTTTCACACTAGCCTGTTTGCTTTGTTTGGCATTTCTTTGACAAATAAGGAATAAGGATAACTTTTTTTTTAATTCCAAGGGAACAAAAATGACTTTCATTTATTCCTCCTTCCCTTCATTTTTCCCTCACTCACTCAACAGATGCCAAGTTCTTGCTCTGGGCAATGCACTGTGTTAGGTTGTGGGGAAGCCTAACCCCTCATCTGAGTCAGTGGGGTAAAGGCCTTGGGAGAGCAAAGGGGCAGAGCAATGAGCCTTGCTGGGGATGCCAGAGGAGTTGCACAGAGGAAGTCCTGTTTAGAACTGGGCTTTGAGAGTTGTGTAGGAGTTCGACAGGGGGGTAGAAACGGGACAAGGCCAGGGTGCTCAAGGCACAACCAAGGCAATGCTTGAGGAAGGGAAGATGTCCTTCTGGGCCGGGGTGGCCTGTGTGCCATGGTGTGGTGGAAGGGGAGGCTGGAGAGGAAAGGAAAAGTGGGGTGGGGGGTGGGGTGCAAACGTGGAAGGCCCTTTAAGTCCTGGTGAGGAGGCCAGGGCTGCTTTATGCAGGGAGCATGATCAGATCAGACTTTTTTTGGACAATAACTGTGACAGCTATGTGACAGACGGATGTGGGAGAGTCAGATAGGAGAAAGCTGCAGAAGTCCAGGTGAGAGACTCGGAAGGCCTGAATTTAGCCAGGCCTCTGGTGGTGAGGAGGAGGGGCCTCGCTCTAGACGCATGTATTGGTCCATTCTCATGCTGCTAATAAGAACTGTCCGAGACTGGGTAATTTATAAAGGAAAAAGGTTTAATTGACTCACCGTTCAGCATTGCTGGGGAGGCCTCAGGAAACTTAGAATCATGGTGGAAGGTGAAGGGGAAGCAAGGCACTTTCTTCACAAGGTGGCAGGAAGGAGAATGAACACAGGAAGAACTGCCAAACACTCATGAAACCATCAGATCACGTGAGAACTCACTCATTATCACGAGAACAGAATGGGGGAAACCGCCCCCATGATCCAGTCACCTCCACCTGGTCTCTCCCTTGACACATGGGGATTATGGGGATTACAATTCAAGATGAGATTTGGGTGGGGACACAAAGCCTAACCATATCAATGCAGGTGTGAGGAAGATGTGAGAGGCCTTTGTGACTCCGAGGCATCCCCACTAGATGCCTCAAACTCACCTGCACTTCCTTCCCCTTCCTACCTTCTCTCACACCTCTCAACTTCACAAAGGCCTCTCAACTCTCCCTCACAAAATTATTTACACAACAACTACACACACACACACACACACACACACACTCCATGCCATTGCCTGATCCACAATACGTGAACCACACAATTCCAGCTACATGAACAAACTGGTCAGTATCAGGTGCGGGAGGGAAGCCCAAGGAGAAGCAGTCAGATGTCTCCTATGAAAAAAATTCAAACAAAAAACACACAAGTCACGTGTGTCTGCAGGGTGGGGTTCCAATGCCCCCTAGGAACTCCACATGAACATCCACTAATGCAAGGGAGGTGCCACGGTCCAGGGTCTGAGGTTAGTATCTGGTTACACTAACCTGATACTGGTTAGTAATCAGATGCACTTCCAAGCTTCCTGGTCAGTATCAGGTTAGTGCAATCAAGTCTGCAGGTGCAAAGAATGGGGTGAGTTTGCTTATGTCGACTTAGCTTAGGGTGGTAGAGTGAGTGCAGGAATTCAGCTGCTGCCTCCAGGATGGGTTTCTGAGGAGGTGTGGGGCACTCTGGTTCCCAAGCCTTCCCATGAGAGAGAAGATAGATGAAAATTTAGAGGCCTTTGTTTGTTGAGAGGCATGAGAGAAGATGGGCAGGGGAAGGAGGACTCTGAGGCATCTAGTGAGGGCCCTGAGAAGATGGTAGCCCCACTGGTCACAGTATGGAATACAGGGGACCATAGAGAACACAAGTCTAGTTTGTGAAGATTATGGGGTGGTTTGGCTCTGTTCTATTTCTTCCAAACCTACAGCCCCACTTCCTCTTTGTACAATCCGTGCTTCCTACAGCTCAACTTCCTGTTTGCATAATTGATGCTTCTCCATGATTACCCCAGTGCTGCCTGCAGGCGGGTGACAGGAGGATGCCTCTCGTCATTTGCTGCCAAAGGCCAGGATCATGAAGAGTAACTGATTTCCTGGATGTGGACTCTTGTCCAAGGGGCTTTGCTGCAAATGATTAACTTCTGATTCTGTGTTGTTTGCAGATGGCCGGGAAACCTAGTTTTCAAAATGCAACCAAGTGTTTTAAATTAAAAGAAATTCTCCTGGTTTTGGGATGTTGGATTTCTCCCATCTTATTTGCAATGGCTCCTGCATGGAGACATTCAGCATGTGAAATCCATTGAGCTGAAAAGGGGCTTGAGTGTAGTCGGAGCCCCTCCAGTGGCTTTCAGGTGAGTTCTGGCAAAGAAGGCCATGGCTGGGCTGAGAGGAGGTGGATGTAAGTGGCTGAAGCAAACTCTAAAGCTGTCAAAATGTAACCAGCAAACAAGCTGGGGTACTTCCTGGAGCACCACATTCAAGGGAAAAGTAAGGCATGAAGCAGGGAGAAATGGGCAGCTGGACCCTCTCGCGCTGGGCTCCCACTGTGGGCTTCAGCCTCTGAGAGGAGTGGCAGTGGCTCAGGACTATGGTAATTTGTTTCTGGAGGCATAGTTTCCCTGAGGCTGTTGAGGTGGAGCTTATTTGTTTATACGTACTTTAAAAAATCCACACTGGACTTAGCAGGAGAAACACTAGACTTGTATTGTGCTCATCTTCTGATATTTTGGGGTTATTACTAGGTTAGCCTACCCTGACAAATAAGGGAACTTTTATCCACCTCTTCTTTGCAACATCACTTTGCACTGTCAGGGATCTTTTCTCAACACCCTGGCCATCTTTTCTCATGATTTGACTTTCTTCACAAACTACCAGTGAAGGATGGAACAGATTTTAATTATTTTTGGTTTTTGGACTATGTTTGCTCAAACCAAATAGTAGGCAGAACCTAGATCATTTGGACATGAGCTATCTATTGCTGTGTGAAAAATTACTCAAAAACAACCACCTTGAAATAATATACTTAGTATCTTAGAGTTTCTGTGGGTCAGAAATCAGGACATAAACACACACACATATATGTGTACAACACGCACACATACAGTCATGTAGGGAATACTAGGCGAGGTTCTGTGAAATGAGTCATTAGGTGATTTCATCATTGTTGAAACATCCTATAGTGTATTTGCACAAACCTAGATGATGTAGCCTACTACTCACCTAGGCTACAAGTTACAGCCTATTGCTCCTAGGCTACAAACCTGTACAGTATGTTATAGTACTAAATACCGCAGGCAACTGCATAACGTATCTGAACTTAGAAAAGGTACAGTGAAAATAGTTTTATAATCTTATGGAACCACTGTCATATACGTAATCCGTCATTTACTGAAATATTGTTATCTGGCATATGACTGTCCATATATATATCTGTACACATACATGTATATTTACATAGACATATGTACTATGTATATGTATCTATTTCCTATTTGCTCTGCTTCTCTGGAGTACCCTGACTAATACACTTTCCAACCAATGTCATCTACTGTGTGTACAGCAAAGAGTCTTGAGGCTTACGGAGCATTTCCCAGGCATGAGCACAGAAGTGCTGAATGTGTTGAGTGCTTGCCTGGTGCTGGGCACTGTTCAGCTTTGAGAGCAACATAAAGCTGAATGTAGATCCTGCTCCCTGAGGCTGACACCCACAGAGGGGACTTCCTCTAATCCTAAGACAACACGCGCACACAACTTCGACAGTCCAATGGCAAGACAAATCACGCAGGCTCTGCAGCCAGGACCACCTTGGGATGAACCAGACCACCTGGCTCTGCCACTTACTGATCATTGTCACTTACCTCCTATGAGCCTCTGTTTCCTCCTCTGTTAAATGGAGTTAATAGTCCCCAGCTTAATAATTGAGGTTGTTGAAACTATTTATTAAGTTCCTGGCAAATAGTGTGTACTTGAAAGATATTATTATTACTATAAAAAGCCTTATTATATACTTGTGAACAGTTGCCACAAATTGCTGAACCTCTGAAATGTTATTAAGTTTTCCCATCTATAAAATGGCCATAATTATAATCATGGTTATTTATATATAGTTAACTGTTAATTGATTATAATTAATAATTATGTAACTGATATAGTTATATGTCAGTTATATGGTTATATATCAGTTATATAGTTATATATAGTTAACTGTTATTGATTATAGTTATGTAATCAATTATATAACTGATCAGTTACATAGTTATATATCAGTTATATATAGTCAACTGTTAATTGATTATGTAATCAATTATATAATTATGTAATCAATTGTATACTTATATAATCAATTATATAACTTTTTATATTATGATTGACTCTTAATTGATTATAGTTACATAATTATATAACTTTTATATATAGTTAACTCTTGATTATATAATTATATAAAACAGTTAACTCTCTCTCTCTATATATATATCAGTTATTTTCACTACATTAGATTTCACACCAGTAGAACATATTGCAGAAATACTGTTTTTCTCTGCTATGTATTTTGATGTTCTCTGTCTATGGAAAATGGTGTCTTATAGATGGCACACGCAACAATAGAGATACATGTTTCTGGCTAATTTATGTCCATGATTCCTCTTGCAATAGTCTCCTCTTCATTATCAATTTAGGTATGTGTATAGTGACAGGCTGCCGTATGCCAGGATTTGTTTTAGGAGCTCTATGTGCATGATTGATAGTGTTCTCTGCAGCTCCTAGTTTGTATCATTACCCCAGTTTTAGAGATTAGGAAGTGAGGGCTTAGATTAAAAACAGGGCAGCTTGGAATATGCTCAGAGATGAAGGATACCATCCTTGTCCTTGAAGAGCTCAGTATCTTCCTGAAAATGACATGAGAAAATCCTTGTTTAAAACCAAAGTGGTGGCATTTAGGCCAACTAATGGCGGTGTCCTCTATGTACAGACACTTCTGAGGCTGAGCCTTGATGTACATGAGCCTTCTCTGGTCCCAGCAGTAAAGAGGTTCCTTTGCTATCCGAGCCTATCCTTTAGGGCCAGATAAGCACTGCATTGAAGGTAATGGAATTAGCTCATTTACAGCAGCCTTCTTGCCTGAAATAAGCTATTTAATTGCCTGCTCTTAGAACCGAATCTCCTTGGGGTGGATAATGACTCCACACAGCCTATTGGAATACCTCACAGTTATCTGCATGCTCCTAAATTAGGATTGTAGTAAATTGTCAACAAAACACTGCCTTGCAAAGCTTGAGAAGTTCAGTCTTGGTAGATTCACACTCTTTCTGCCTGAGACAATCTTATTTTTAACAATTTGGCTGTAGGATAAAGCACTTTCCTAATTCATGAGTCTATAAAATATCTGTAGCTCAAAAGATATCTGTAGTTCACTCCACCCACCTCTTTCCCAATATAATTACAAGTAGAAAGAGAAATTGTAAAATGCTTTTAGTGGAAAATTTCATTCCAGAAGCCTTGATTTCTCAATAAGTGGTGCTTGACACTCCCAGAATTGTCCACTGGCAACTGCTACTTCTCTAAAAGACAGATTGGTCTATCGCAAGCTGAAGCCTAGACACTGGGATTTGTGCACGTTCACAGAGCAGCCCAGCTCATTGCCCAGACTCACTGTCAGTGTTGACAGGGTCATTCACCCCAAGTGAGCATTCACCAACTTTCCTGCACCCCACTCTCTAAGGCAAACACTGTCTTTGCCTTCCCTATCCATTGGCTTTGTTAGAGCCATAAGAGGCAGAACTGAGAAGGGACCCTGGTGATTTGTATCAAACACGGACAAGATTTACCTGCCAGAGAGAAGAAGAGACACACTTGGAAGGAAAGGGAGGATGGACAGCAAGATGAAGACCACGAGGGCCGGATTCTGGTGGGGAGTTTTCAGTAGGCAGGTGGGAGAGAGGCATGAAGAGAGAAGCTTCAGTGCAGACTTTGGATGTGAGAGAGAACAAATGTAGAGCAATGGGAAAAGGGAATTTTGGGTGTGGCAGTGGGTTGTAAAATTGTATTTGCTCAGGCTTCCTTCACAAAACACCAGCAAAGCTTAGAATTGAATTAAATTACCTTTGATTTCTGGCATCTGTTTACTCAAATGAGAAAGTGTGCAGAGCCTAGATAACTAGGTATATTTGCTATCTATTGCTATTTATTGTTCAAAACCCAGCTTGGATATCATCCCAGCAAAGCCTTCCCTGCACTCTCCCTGCAAAGTCAACTATTGCCCACTCAGCAGCATGCCATAGCAGACATGCACTTTTACCCAGGCACACATATGGCATTGTACTGTCTTGTTGGTTTACACGTCTGCCTTTCTCCCAAGACTGTGAAATGCTTGTGTTTTTCATCCTGATATGTCTGGCAACCATCATGATGTCTTGTCAGGGTTATTTGTCTAATAAAAGTTTATTGGCATCAACTTAATGTGCATGCCTTACTGTGTTTTCCCTATAGGGACTTCTACATACAGAGTAATACAGTTATATGGTAAGATTTGCTGTCATATGTTGAGTTACATGGGATCCAGTTATCAGTGATGAATGTTACACGGGGGCATCTTTAGTCTGAGGCTTGGATCAAGCCCTGAAGAGAAGCCCAGAGCCTCAAGTCCTGCCTGGCACATTTCAGACTCTTAGTAAATTCTTGTTGAATGAATGAACCACTCTGGGTCTTAGCTTCCCCCAGAATAAAAAGAGGGATAAGACCAGATTGCATCTGAGCCTTCTTTCTGCTCCCATATTTTATGATCCTGCCTTAATTCCAGTCACAGATCAACTCAGAAGGAATGGTACGACCACTTATCATCAGAGAGATGGCTCTATTCATAAATGGACATTCTCTGCTGTTTTTTTTAAACTTTATTATTATTATCTTTTGCTTACAAATGTAATACATGCCCTGAGGTACTCTTCGTAGTTTGATGTATAATCATTCAGATATTTTCCTCTGCACTCACCAATTCACAATTAATACTTGATTTTTTTGTTTGCCATAGATTGTTTTAAAAGAACATCAATACAGCATGGACATCTTTCAAAGACAATTTTTGTTTTTTATGGAAAAAGACAGTGAAATGCTTTGGTGGCTGTTGTCAGTGGCTTCAGTTAAAAATAGAAATAATACTCCCTTCTTTCTGCCATGCCTTTGGCCAGAAAATAGGTCTAGTTCTTGAGGGAGGGAGAGACCCTAACCTGGAATTTTGTTTCAAATACAGATTCTCATCTCACACCCCATGAAATTCCTGACAATCTCTTGGAAGTTCTGTTCATTTTTAGGCCCTGAAATGCCTCCATTAGCATCTTTCAGCTGCTGCCACAGAGAACAAAGTAACTTTTGGGACCCACAGGAAATGCCATGAGGGGGCACCAGGGAGCCCGTGTCCTTAAGACTCACGTGTCCCCCCCTTGCATGGGAGACGGAGCTCTCCCAGGGGCAGCCCAGCCAAGTAGCCTGAAACACCCTCCTCTCTGAGCCCCCAAATCTCCCTTCAGGAGCTGCTTGATATGCAGCCAGCATCCACTCAACATAATGTGCCTTACCTGCCAATGTGCTTTGAGGGATATTGTTAGCATTAAATTTGCCATTTACATTTTCATGTTTGACATAATTGAGGAATGAATGCTCTTATGAAAATTAAACTTGTGGTTCTCCTGGGCTGCTGTAACCCTGTTAAAATGTAATGTGATTTTTGATGCTTCTTCTTGAGGTTTTTTATTAAATAGAATATCAGGATGACTAATTCCCCAGGCCTAAATGCAGGCTGGGAAGCAGCATTATTGATAGGGTTGTGTCCAAATGGTTCTCTGTGCTCAGCCTCTAATGGCCTAATAATGCATTAGACTTGAATCAGAAATACTTTGGGTTGTAGTGCTTATTGCCATTAGTGAAAACACCTGGATGCTCCATTCATCAAGGTTACATCCAATGGGGCCCATTTGTTTATTAGGCTGTCAGTAAACATCTTTATCTGGTCCCAGTTCAGCCACATTTGGCCACGCCTGAAGGGGCTCAAATCCAGCCTGGGGATCTCTGTGGTTTCTCATTATTAGTTTTCTTGTTAAAAAAAAAAACAAACAGCAAGGCAAGCTAATGAAAAGTTAGAGGCGGCTTTATAAAGAACACATTTTACCTCACATAATCTGTGGTGATGGTCCAAAGATCAGGGAGGCAGGCTCCTGGGTGGGCCCCCAGCAGCTCTTCTTTCAGCAGCTGCCACACGGCCGCTCTGCCTCCCCCACCAGTGCCAACATTGACCACTCAGATCCCTGGGTCCCTCCCCAAGCCATCTGTAGCCTGGCTCTGCAGCCCTTTGGATGTGGAGACATGGCCCACACGCCCTGGAAGGGGTAGATCTCCCCTGGACGTTGCCCCCCACAGAGCAAAATCAAATTCCTCTTTCCTTCAGAGAGCTTGCCATTTGCCTTCCACAGACATTTCCTGACATACACACTCCATTTCTTTCAGGAGACCTTGTCTTTTTCTTAAAGCCATGTTTTAAAGAAAATTAGGAAATACAAGAAATGTCCCACATTAGGCATAAAACATAAATGTATACCTTAATAAATTTCGGTTACGTAAAAGAGCGCCTGGGTAACCTCACCCAGGTTGAGATGGAAAATGTGCCAGTACCTGGGGGTCCTCCCCCAAAGCCCCATGGATCCCTTCTGCTGCAGAAGTAGCTGCCTGGCAGCCTCAACTCCCAGATCATATGAATCTCACAGGAGACTTGAATCTGTAGACCACCCAGGACTCACCATGAGATCCGTCCAACTTTTCCTTTCAGAAACATCTTTGAGCAGACTCCTAGCCTTCACTTTCCAGTCCTGATTAGAGTGCACTGCGGGGTGGATGAGGGAAAGGACAGGCAACACCAATGGCACACATGGATGCATCCAAAGTCTACCCAGTAGCAAAAGCCCGAGACTGCAGACTGAGAGCTTCCCCAAATTGTTCACATTCATGGCGCCCACTGCCCTCCTGGGGCGCTGGTGTTGTGGCCTGCATTCAAGCTCTGGGCTGGTGGGCAATTCTGATCGTAATGTAAACATTTCTACTTCCCTAAAATTGTATTATGTATCTCCTGAATCAATGCAGGGAAGCCTGAGTTTGCATCAGTGAAAAATTAGTCAAGGTGTATCCCATAATTGCCACCCCAGAAGTGGTATAAAATCTGCCAGAGGTGGGTCATGTGTGGGCCTTCTAGAAAAGCCTGTGCCCCTGGCTTGGGCAATGTTGATGCCATCTTGTATTGGGCCCTTTGGGGATTGCTCCTGTGGGGTGACAGTTGGCTGAGGGACGCAGGGGGAGGTGGGGCTCGGCCCGGGCCCTGGACCTGCCTCCAGGGAGAGGACAATCTGCCCAGAGAGAGGAGCAGGTGCCTTATGTTACCTGGCAAGGGACCTCTCCATTAGCAGTCTTTATTTCCCAAGTTTCTGGTGCCAGGAGGGGAGTTGAATAGAAAGTCATTCTCTCCAAAAGCAGGACCTGCCTGAACATCTTCTTACTCCTAAGGCCTCAAGCTCTGTGTTTGTACTTCTATCACTAGGGGTAGAGTGAGGCTGAGGCTTCGTCACCTGCTGCTTTCAACCCCCTTCTTGCTTTGCAGGGCATGAAGGGGCCTTCACGCCAGATCCCATCTCTCAGAGTCTCCATCCCTCATGCACCACAGAGACTTGACCTGACTAAAAATCGGACCTTTTTTGTCCCTCTCCTACCTCACTGGTTTACAGACATTTTGTCTTTATCTCCAGGGAATCTTTTTTCAAAGTTTCGTGGGAAAACATGAGTGGGCAGGATGAATATAGGAATTGGTCCAGGTGAGGCGCTCATCACTAGGTTTGAATCCATCCCCTGCCTTTTACTAGCTTTACAGCCTAAGACAACTTTCACAAACTCTCTGGGCCTCAGTTTCCTCATCCATACAATAGGGTGAGGATGGTGATGGTGCTTCACCCACAGGCTTGTTATGTGGAATAAATGAGACAATGTGCACAAAGTGCTTAGCATGGACCTGGCATACATAGAGTAGGCACTCAATGAATGTCAGCTCCCTCTGTGGCTTGCCTACTCTAAGCAAGATGTTTTCTAGAACGACACTGCCTTAATAGGGACAGTAATTCTAAGAGGAGGAATTTTGGGCTCTGTGTAAAAAATCAGAAAATTCTGGGCTGTCTGTCAAAGCTGTCCAGTTGGTGGCCCTGTTATGGATCTGTCCCAGCAGGGTGAGTGCCCTTGAGCCCTCCTCCCTTGCTCAAGAAGCTTCAAGACCTCAGTCAAAGAAACTGTGACTGTGTTGGGCTCAGCACACAGGCAACTGAGCTCATCGTCAGATTTGCACTCACTGCAATAGCATTTGACAGTAATCCCAGGGAGAAGCAGAGTATGGCTGACAAGGTGGCAGGTGGAGAAGGTGAAACGTGTTTTCAGAGGAGGAATGGCTCGCTCACAGCCTGTTCCTCATGGCAGTGGTGGCCTGCTTATTTTTAGAGCTAAGCACCATTGCTGGATAACTCACTTCTAAGACATGGTGGGTCTGTTGGATATAAGCTCTGGATCAGAGTGTGTGCACGGCTGGGTTTTATTCCCTTATAAACATGCAGTGAAAACAGAGTCTTGGTGAGAGAATGGCCTGGGCTTCAGAAAACACGCACCCTGTGAAATATTTCCTCCGCCAGTCCTAGTTCTACATGTATTTATTTCTAAACAGGACCAGACACAAGATTGTTTGTCTTGGATGTTGGGCCATGAGCTTGGACCCCTAATCCAGGTGGTGATGAGAGAGATAATGGGTGGAGGTCATAGTCACACCTGCAGTTTAGGCAGACCACTCTGGCAGCTACAGGGAGGCAGATAGGAGGGAGATTCGAGGCACAGGGCAGTCACTGGGAGGCTTGCAATGGCCCAGGTGAGAGACCATAGGGGCCTGAACCACCCGAACTCAATGACAGGTGACAGAGGGAATGTAAGGTTGGTTGTTGTTGTTTGGCTGGGAAGAACAGAGGCCATTCAAGGTCTCTCAGAGAAAGGGTTGTTCTGAGGACACCAGAAAGCTATGAAGAACCAGGGTCACAACCCTCTGGCTATTGGAGAATGTCAAATGTGCTACCTTCTTGGAGGCAGAAAAAGGACAAATTGCCAGAGAGACAATCCATCAGTCAGGACAGGCTAGGTGACAAACACCCCAAATCTCAGTGGCCTCATGCAAGAGGAGTTTAGTTCTGCCTTGTGCTACCTGTCTAGTGCAGTTTGCCAGGGGGCTGTGTTTGTCGTGGCTGAGGTTCCATCTCCAGTTATGCTCCGTGACCATGGCAGCAGGATAAGGACACGTGGCTAATCATGTCTGCTCTTGAAGTTTCTGTGCAGGAGCATGCACACGCAGTTGCTGCTCACATTCATTGTGAGTTTGGGAAAGGAAGGGAGGAGAATGAGAGGAAAGACCTGCCTGAGGAGATATTAGAAATATTTCAGAGTCCCTTCAGCTGGGACAATGCCTGAAGCAGGAGAGTCACCCAGGAGACCCATGCCGGAGGAGTGAGCAGCCTGCCGGCTTCCCTCTCCACAGGTGCCCAAGGAGCCTCTTGTCCCTCTTGTCCTCTCCTTAACCCAAACTCTGCTCTGATCATTGATTCTGGATTTTGCTCCTGTTTAATTTGACCCCTATGGCCCAGAGAGTTAGGCATCCTGATTCCTGCTCTGGCATCCTTTCCACAGACAATCCCTGACCAGGAAAGTCAGGGTCTGACCTGTGCAATGGCTAAGATCACAGTTTTACAACAATATATTACTATTCTAAAAACACACATACATGCACAAGCAGTAGAGGACACAGATGTTGTTAGGTGGCACAGCATCTTGTTAAGAGGTCAGACTTTGAGTCAGAGGAATCTAAACTTAATCCTGGTGCTGCCACTTCCAGCTGCTTAACCCTGGGACACTGCATAGCTTTTCCGAGTCTCAGTTTGCTCATTCTTCAATAGGGGATAAAGATGTTATCTAATTCACAGGCCTAGTGTGAATATTAAATGAGACTGTTTTGCACAGTGCCTGGGGCATAGAAAGTGCTCACCAAACGTAGACTTATCATTACCATTGAACAGGGCAGGGCCCTTAGTCTCACTCTCCACTCTGATTCGTAGAATCCGCAGAGCATCTGGTGCTCAGCAAATGTGTGTTGAATGAATGAAAGTGTCTTTTGGGGGGAGGGTGCCTTGCAGTCTGGTAGGGAAACAGAGGATGCTTGTTGTAAAGCCTTTCCTCACCTCGAACTGATTGGATTGTGCTGCAGTCCATCCTACCCACTCTCCATTCAGCCCAGGCCAGTTGTTTGAGAGAATCAAGGGATCGGCCAGGATCTTCCCTACTTTCCAGCTCTCAGGGTCCCCCTTAGCAGCTGTGATGTCCTGGAGCTCAGGGCAGGGAGAGTGCAGAGGGGCAGGGGCTTTAACAGTGGGCAGATGTGGTTTGACACCCAGCTCTGTTGCCGGCTAGCTGAGACCTTGACAAAGTGACTTGCCTCCTCACACCTTGACTTTTCATTTTAAAATGAAGACAAGTCTTCTAGGGATGTTGTAAGGCTTCAAAGTGAGCCACTCCACAGATGTGGGTTGCCCTCCTCTGCACATATAATTAAATCATAGCCTAGGGTAGGGCTTAAAGACACAGGATATTTTCTCCAGAATGTGGGCTTTTAGGCTATTAAGCAAAATAATTTAAAGCCGTCATATTGTAGTCGTTAAAACATAGATTGCCGCCCCCACCTCTCAGAGTTTCTGATTCAACAGGACTGAGGTGGGCCCAAGAACCTGCATTTTTAACAAGTTCCCCAATGTTGCCGCTGCTGGTCCTGGGACCAAACTTTGAGAACCGTTAACATAAAGGCTGAGATGCCAGGAAAGTGGGCACCTAGAAAGCCTAAAAGAGAACAACAAAATAAAACAGAACACTTAAGTCTTCAGGATGCCCATCTCTAAAGCCACATCCGAGAGACAAGAACACGGCAAATGCTTTATAAAAGAAAATACAAATTTACGATATGGAGAGCTGACAGGACTGATTGGAAGTGAAACCATCCCCAAACCAATCCATTTATTTAGGAAATAAATGAAAGGGAGATCCTGTGAAATGGATTGATTGTGAGAGACTGCAATCCTTCATCCTGTTTCTGGCTTTTGATGGGGTGAGTGAGGTCTCTGGGAGACAGGAAGCTACTTTGGCTTAATGGCCCAGCTCCGATGAAGACAGAAAAGACACCATTTTCTGCCTGTTCCTCATCCTGCCCTTGAAAGAACCACCGCTTCTTGTGGTTAGAGCTGTTGAAGGCGAGCTTCCCCGCCAGAAATCTGAAGCCCATAGAAGGTCTGTCTTCTGCAGATGGGGTCTTCTTGGGGGTTCTCTCTGGCCATATGAGTTGCTGTGTCTGAGGGACACTCGGTGTGATGTAATCAGCCCCGCCTCTATGGTTCTCACAGGCTGCATACTCTCCTCACCTGGGGAGATGGACTCCGTGGGATGCCTGGACCCTCCCTCTACTTAGAGTCTCTGAGGGTGGAGGTTGGTTTTTCTAAGCTCTTCAGGGGATTCTGATGTGTATCCAGGGCTGAGGACCCCTGTGAGAGGCCCTGGTCAGGATGCTCCCTGGAGTTGTCCTGCAGCTCCCTTTGCCTCTAATGCTGCAGGTTTTTCTGCAGGTTCTTTCTCCTGATGTTTCTTTCTGAAGTGGCATCATTCATCTTGGGTAATACCTGAAGTTCATAGCCTCATGCCAAGGAAATTAAGGATGCAGACACACAAGGAGTGAGTTTAACAGTGGAGGTTTAATAAGCAAGAGAAAGAGAAAAAGCCCTCTCTCCTGCAGAGAGAGAGGGGCTCCTGAGTGGTCTTCTGGTTTCGTGGTGAAATGCACAGGGTTTTATAGATGAGCTTGAGGAGGCAGCATCTGATTTAAGCAGGGCCCAAAGATTAATTGGACCAGGTGTGCCATTTACATAGTACATGAAGAAGCTGGCCACCCCACCCTAATCTTTTATTATGCACATGGGTTCTCTATCTGGCCAGTGCCATGTTGCCTGTTCCTTTACTCTTCACATGGTTGGCATGGAAAAGGGAAGATGGAACCTCCGTGTTGAGCATACTTGGCCCCCAGGTAGCCTTTTTCTGTTGGCACAGCTGCCGACATTCACCCATGTGAGCTTCTAGTTTGCTTTTCTCTGTCTGCAGCTTGATTTTTCAGGCAGCTCTTTGTTAGAAAAGAAATGATTTGGGGACTGCTTTTTATTAAAAGGGAAACCTTGCTGAGGACTCTCTTACCCTCACTAACTGCCTAAATAATTTCTTTCTAGCTCCTGTGTAATTTCCCCTCAGCTGGTGGTTTGCTCAGCAGAGGCCTCTCTGGCTTGATGGTTTACCCTTTGAATGCAGCAATATCCACACTGTATTCCCAGAAACACTAGAGTCCCCTGAGATGTTAAGAGAAGTTCTAAGAGAGAGAAAGAGAGAAGAACACTTTTTTATTTTAAGTTTGTTAGGTACCTTGCAGAGTCAGCGGGCAGGCTAGAGATCAAAGCCTGCTCAGAAAATAGACAGGAACCAAGGAGGCCAGAGTGGTAGGAACAACAGCAAGGCCACTACCTAGCTAGGAAGCATCACCACGCTGGGCCTGGGACATTTGATGTCACCACCATGGCAGACAGGATGAAGTTTAAACCATCCCTGAATCTGGTTTTCACTTGCTTAAGAGTCAAAGTCCAGGGCAGGTGCACTGAACCGGCTGAGCTTGGGTCACACGTTGGTGCCCCATGTATTGGTAAGAGCTGTGGTGTGGCTCTAAAATTTCCTCTGGTGTCCTTATTTGTGTATTTTTTGTTGTCTTTGTGTTTCCCTAGAGAATTCTCCTTGGATAAGATCTGAGACATGCAGCTCTTTCTGTTGTAGTTCCTCGCTATGGTGCAGGAGCTCAGGGGATGTGGTGGTGAGGTGCAGGGAGGGGAGTGTGCTGTAGACAATTAGGTCTCAGTCTTTCAGTGAGCCTGTGCCCTGGGCTGTGACCCTCACAAGTGCTTCTCCCTGCACACCCCCACCGCTCCCATATATGATGCAGACAGGCTAGAGGGGGCTGGAGTTGGGTATCTCTCTTACCCTAGGTCGACTGGGCTTTGGTAAAACCCTAGTCAATTATTCTGTGGTAAGATAGTTTATCTTACCAGACCTGTTAAGAAGAACAGAATGATCTGGTATGCTTCAAAATATCTCCTCTTTTCCTCTCCCTGTTGGGAGCATGAGGGGATTTTTTCCCCTAGCTTCACTATCAGAACGTGGTAGGGCTCCCAGAGGTAAAACTAAGTGTGGGAGCCTCCCTGAGGCTGGGCCCCTTGGGGTTTTTAATCTCTCAGGCTTGTCCACCCTGAGCCCCCAGCAATTCATCAACTACAGTTCAGGTTTCCCTACCCTGGCACTGGTTTGTGTAGAGGTTTGTCCCTGTGATCCTCCTGTATCCTCCTGGATCCTCCTGGATCCTCCTGGATCCTCCTGGATCCATCTGTATCCTCCTGTCTGTTTCTGCAAACCTCAGGACAGTAGTTTGCCCTGTGACCTCAGTTCTCTGGTGGGATCTAAGAAGAGTTGTTGATTTTCAGTTAGTTCAGCTTTTTTCTTGTGTGGAGAGGAGTGATGACTTTTAAACTCTTAACATGCCGAAAGTCACGTAGGGATTTTGTAAGACGTTTAGATTCATGGTATTTTCTATCACGCAAATCACTTCCTAGGACATTGTATTAAAAATTCTGTCAAGATGGATGGGTGAGATTTGTGTATTTGATCAAGCAGATACTTCCAGGAGGGCTGAAATGGGATATGTTGAGCAAGGCTGGCGTTTCTAAAGTCTGGTGCCCTGTGTGCTGCCTAGGAGAGATGGTAAAAACCTTTGCCAAATACTTGGAGGCAAGGTTGTCTCTGATAGGGGTGAGAGTGAGGTGGGGCAGGGATAGAGTTTGTTGGGGAGCAGATTGATGTCTCCTGGGTTGGAGGCAGGAGGCATCGGTTCTAACTCTTCCCCCTCCTTTTCTCTATCTCTTCCTCCCTTTCTTTCAATTGCCACATTCAGAGATGTTCTGAAAAATAGCTCTGGGGTGGGGTGTGGTAAATAAGTGTTAGAAATGAGGAAATCTCACTGGCTGTCTTGCTTTTAAACAGGGTCTCCTAAGCCAATGGTGCAGACTCCAAGAGTAGAATGCTTATTGTAGAATATAGCTCATATATGTCCTGAAAAAGGCCCAAGGAAAAAAAGTTACTTAAAAAATATATATGTTTTACTTTTTTTGAGAAGGTAATGTATTCACACAGTTCAAAGTTCAAAAATTCTAAGTACAACACTGAAATTTCTTCTTTCTTTCTCTGAAAGTCTGCTTAGTTCTTGCTCTCTTAAACAAGTTACTACTATTGTTTGTTTCTGGTATACCCTTCCAAGGTTGTTTTTGAAATGCATCTCCAAGCCAATACAGAGAGTATTTTCCTCCCCTTTTACAAGTGGTTGTTGATAACTACTTCGGTTCTGTACTTTGCTTTTTCACTCAACAATATCACTCTTCAGAGCTCGGAATGCAGTTTTTGCCCACAAAAACGTGGGTTCTTTGGCTTGAAGCATGTATATATATATATATATGATTGGCTTGAATCATATATACCTTTATAGTATATATCTTTTAAAAATTGCAATATTAGTACATATTCATTGAAAAAAATATAAAATATAAAATCAGTTCTAATCCTATAATCTAGTGATAACCAGCATTAATTTTTTGGTTTATATTCTTCTAGACTTTGTCTTAAGGATGTGTGTATATTTTTTTTTCTATAAAAATGAAATCATATGTGACATATTGCTTATAGCTAATTTTAGGAAATATCCTTGTTTATTTCCTTAGAGTAAGTTCTTTGAAGTAAACTTCCTTAATGAGTGGGTATGCACTTTGCAAAGGTGTTTAATGCATATTTCCAAGTTGTTCTATGGGAAAGTTGTACCACCAGTGGAAAAAGGGAGGTTCTTTACCCAGGAATCTGCACAAATACTGCCATCTTACAAAAACATAAACAAACTTAAACATTGTCAGTGTAATGGTCCAGTGAATCTCATTTTAATTGGTGTCTTGGTGATTCTCAGGCAACTTTAGCATTCTGCATATGTTTAGGGCCATTTATGTTTATTCTTTTTTTTTTTTTTTTTTTTTTTTTTGAGACGGAGTCTCGCTCTGTCGCCCAGGCTGGAGGGCAGTGGCATGATCTCGGCTCACTGCAAGCTCTGCTTCCCA
Source organism: Homo sapiens (assembly GCF_000001405.40). NCBI lineage: Eukaryota > Metazoa > Chordata > Mammalia > Primates > Hominidae > Homo > Homo sapiens. The sequence continues at coordinate 35,541,970 of NC_000007.14, read as the reverse complement.
GGTTCATGCCATTCTTCTGCCTCAGCCTCCCAAGTAGCTGGGACCACAGGTGCCCACCACCACACCCGGCTAATTTTTTTGTATTTATAGTAGAGACGGCATTTCACCATGTTAGCCAGGATGGTCTTGATCTCCTGACCTCATGATCCGCCTGAATTGGCCTCCCAAAGTGCTGGTATTACAGGCATGAGCCACCACGCGTGGCCTATTTATGTTTATTCTTTTGTGGATTGCTTTTTCATCTTACTTTCTTGTTTTTCTGTTGGGATGTTCTTCTTTCTCTGATTAATTTGAATTGATCAATCAGATTATCAATTAATTTGAATTTATTAAGTGATTAATTTTGCTCCCTGGTTAATTCAGGCCCTGCAGACAGACATTATATTCATTCCTCCCATTTTGCTTGCAGGGCCCTGGCTGTGAGGGTGGCGAGCAGAGCTAACCTGTGCTCCTTTGGCCAATTCACTTGTATTTGGCTTGTTTTCAAGGTTCCTGTGATACCCCATGATCTATTGAGATGAACACTGCATAGGATGGTAGGAATCAGGAATCAGAAAGTGTAAACTCTGTGTTAAGAAATATTTCTTTAGTAGAAAATCAAATTCTCAAAATAAAACTCCTCCCCCTAAAATTTTAATGTTCGAGATACAAAAAATGCTTGCTTATTAAATGCTGTTACATCCCTGTAATAGATGTTGTAATTATAATATAACTGTGTGACTTCCTGCCACATGTCAGCACAGCTCTGGCATTGCATAGGCTTTTGCTGATGTGGTTCTGGATAGACAGGCCAGACTTGGAGTCGTGTCCTACCACTTACCAGTTATGTGACCTCAAATTAGTTACCTGATCTCTCCAAGCCTCAGTTTCTTCCTCTGGAAAATGGAGATGACCATCGGAGCTAACTCATAACAGTATTTCAGGGATTGAATGAGAAAATGAACTTCAAGGCAAATAGTAAACACTGAATTATTATTTCTACTATCTGTTATTATCATTATATTTTACTATAATCATGATCGGTCTGAGATTTCCTCCAGGAAATACGTCCTGAGGTCCAAACAATTTATTCACAAACTCTCTTTGAGAATACAATTGATTGGTTGGCTTTTCATTCCCCGATATATCATTGACGTTCTTTTTTCTTTTTCTTTTTTTGACGGGGTCTTGCTCTGTAGCCCAGGCTGGAGTGCAGTGGTGCAACTTTGGCTCACTGCAGCCTCCACCTTCTGGGCTCAAGCGATTCTCCCGCCTCAGCCCCCCAAGTAGTAGAGGGGACTACAGACATGCGCCGCCATGCCTGGCTAATTTTTGTATTTTTTTTTTGTAGACCTGGGGTTTCACTATGTTGCCCAGGCTACTCTTGAACTCCTGGGCTCAAGTGATTCTCCTGCTGTGGCCTCCCAAAGTGCTGGGATTACAGGCGTGAGTCACTGTGCCAGCTGATGTTCTTTATATTCCCCAAATTGTATTGAATTCTCTTAAACTCTTAAAACCAAGGACATGAAAAACAATGAACACACCAGATCTTGCACACAGAATACTTAAAAATGTCTGCTGAAAGAGAGAAAGCTAGGATGCAAACACTAACAATATAAAAATTGTCATTTGTTCACTAAATGTATATTGAGTGAAAGAATGGATGTTGTCCTGTCTTGGATTCTTCCCTCAGAGGGAAGCCTGGGCGACAGAGCAAGACTCCGTCTTGGATAAAAAACAAAGAAACAAAAAACAAAAAAACCAAAAAGCTAGATATCATCTTGGTATCTCCTCCCTTGTGGTTCATTTAAGCAGCCTCCCTGTTCTTACTTTCCAGTGAGGCGTTTACGGCCATAATCATTGGGAAAAGAGGCCCATGGGGATTTCTGCGTCACTAATGTGGATCCACAGACCAAGAAAGTGGAAAGCCATGCCACGAAGGGTGGCAGCAGAAGCAGCTGCCATGCTGTTTCTGGCTGAATAAACCAGACTTAAAAGCTGGAACTTGATAGAGCCCCTGTAGTTGAGTGTTATTGAATATTCAATTATTTATTAGATTTACCATCGCCACGCACAGGACCAGTGCCATCCTGAAGATGTCAGAGCCACCCACACTTCACAAAGTGAGGGGAAAAGTGGTGCCGTGGGTTAGAGTTTCTGTGGGACTCTAGTCTGGTACTGGACCCCCTGAAAAGAAGGTTCTGGCATCACGGTTGTTTGAGGAAAAGGCACCTGCCCCAACCCCCTCACAGGGCTCTGAATACACATTAGCTTTGAAAGACGAGAATCCCCACCATCAGGGCCTCTGTGGATGTCTGTTCACTGTGATTACCTCCTCACCTTTATCTGCTGATAGAAGCCCACGTTTGACGCACATTTATTAACATCCCAAGACAGTGCTGTTCCCAGAATACCTTTGGCAAATGATGTTTTTGGCCATTCAGTCTATTCATCTGTGTAGAAAGAACCTTGCTTTCATATTATCGGGCCTGGTTTCAACAAACAGACATATACTGAATCTCTACCGTGTCAGCCACTGAGTGATGTGCAGAGTGTAGGGGATGGGACAGAGGGTGTGAGGGGCTCTGTCTGGTGGGAGCTCCCTGGAGGGAGGTGTTGTAAGTACAGTGTACTGGTGAGGCAGGTGCTATAATGGACAGGCAGGGTATATAGAGTAGTAGCTAGGAGTACAGGCTTTGCCATCAGAAACCCCTGGGTTCAAATCCCAGCCCCGCTTCTTCACAGCTGTGAGCTGTGACTCATCCCCTTTGTCTTCCTTTGTGAAATGTGGGTGATCTCCCTTTTACAGTTGCTCTGAGATGAGGGAGAGGACATGGTTAAAGCACTTCCACAAGGTTCAACTCAGAGCAGGTACCCCATAAACATGGCTATTATTCTTGTGGAATGCCACAGCAACTGTGGGGTAGAAGATGAACAAAACCCAACCTGGAATGTTCAACCCTGGCAGGGCTTATGTTGGCCAAGTAAGAACATGAACATGTGCCATGAAGGTGCCCAAAGAACCTCCAACAGGGTGATCTGGCCCTTTAAGGAGGTCGGGGAGGGCTTCCCCAAGGAGATGTGACCAGGCGGACAGAGGAGGGAAGAGCATTTCAGGCTGAGGGCTCAGAGTGTACTAGACTCTTTGGAGGTGAAACCGAGGGTCCGAGCGGAGGTGGGTGGGCTGGAGAGCAGAAGAAAAGAGGCCGTGGAGTGAGGGAGGGGCTGGGAGGCAAGACCAGACCAGGAAGGGCCGCGGGGGTGGCTTTGGTTTCTGTCAGAGCAATGAAAGCCATGCGAAGGTTTCAGCAGAAAGCTTTGTTTGAATTTTACTACAGGGTGCTGTGGGAGGAAGGAGAGGTTGGGGGGGCCACCATGCTGTGCAGGGGCGAGCCAGGGAAGATGTCTTGGAGGCGCTGGCCTTGAAGATTGAGGGCAAATCTAGGGAAAGAGCATTCCAGTCTCTCTAGCCTCAACAGAGAACCACAGCACAGCAAAAGCTTGTTCCTCTGCCTGGATTCAAGCTGTCTGTTCCCACGGAGGGAGTATGTGCTGACTGGTTGGAATCGCAGTTCACCTTCCTATGGAAAGGATGGCTGTCAAGCAGTGACTTCTAAGGCAAGTTCTGAGAGCCTAGGCTTGGGTGGATGGTTGCCTGATGGTTCTCATTGTAGGAGAGGGCCGCATGGCATAGAGCAGGGAGCTTCCACCTTCCGGAACAACAGCTCGGCAACGTGTTGGCCCATTGGCAATTGGTCATTAGTAATTGCTAAAGGACCAACGGTTTGTGGACAATTCACTTGTCTTATAAATTAGCACATAGGCAAAGATTGCTGTATGATAATTGCACCCATGCACATGTGTTTCCCCTTCATCGTTCCAGAATAAGGGGTAAAGAGGGTGAAATGAGAAGTTCAGGGATGTGCATGATTTGCAGATTTTTAGACTTGCGGAGGCCTCAGGGAGCAATCTTACTGCTGAAACCTTATTTAGTTGTGTCAACTGCAGTTAGGGCTTGTGATTTCTGATACTGCTGGAAGTTTTATTTTCTTTTCAATTGTAACCTAGGGATACATTTTTCATAAGATGAAAGGAGGGCACAGCTGGTGGCCGAGGGAGGGAGCAGACCATCTGCCTGCAACTGTGGCTCTGGTCTGGGAAGGTCCTGTCCCTTGTGTTGCAGCCCACACACAGTTGAGAACCAAGGTGCTCCGTAGGGGCCCCAGGACTGGTGATTAGGAGGCTGAGCTCCTGGCCCATTTCTGCCCTATCCTTAAACAAACCACTTGTGCTCTCCAGGGCTCATGGACTCCGCAGAGGTTGTGTGAGGCCGCACTATAGACGCGCGAGTCGGTAAAAGGGCCATTGCCGCGCTGCCAGCACTAGGTGGCGCCAGTGCCCAGATGATCCGCACTGGCGGCGCGTGGTACCGCCCAGCGCTAAGGGCTGAGTCCGGATCAGTAAAACGAGCAGTCCTTAGCGTGAAGTTCGATAGGTGTCTGTCGCGGTGGTCTCTGCCTTCGGTCTGTCCCCTCCCCAGACCCCCCGCGTGCTCCCACTTCCCCTACACCCCGCACCTCTCATATGTTCCAGGCAGGGATGCGGCTCACCCGGCAATGCTCTGCCCCGGGGGGTGCTCGAGTCCTATCCCCCAACTCCGCCCCCCCGCCCCCCGCCCCGCCCTGCCGCGGGCCCAGAGTCAGCCTGGGCGGTCCTGAAAGCAGGTCCCCAGTCCGCACTTCTTTCTCCTTCGGGGTTTGGGTGTGTCTGTGGGCTTTGTTTTCCAGGTGTGTCTCAGTCCTCCAGTTCAGAAGGCGGTGGCTGGGAGGAAATGACCTTGGCCTTCTGGGGGTTCACTTGGCCTAGGGCCCTTAACATATCCTGCAGGTCCCCGGCTGTCATGTGCCCCTTATCGGAGTGACATGGGCAGGTTAGCCAGCCTCCTTGGGCCTTGTTTGGGGCCAGACTACATCTACTTTGCGGTGAGGATTTACTGAGGCAGCCTGTAAAAGGCCCCTTCCCAGTGCCTAGTTCAGAGCAGAGATCAATGAGTATCATTCATTCACTCACTCATTCACTCATGCCAGGATATGAGCAGTTCCCACCCTTACTCCGGGGTGTGCAGGGAAGGTGCCACCCACTAGACTTTCCTTTGGTGGCCTGGGAGAGTCTGACATCTCACGGGAGAGAGCGGCTCTGCTTCCTTCTCCACAGTTTGGGAAGGTGCTGCCGAGGCCTTAGCTGCCACGACGTCGTGTTTGGCTTGGCAATAGGGAGGATTTCTTGTCCTGGACTTGGCTTCTCTTCTGATTTCAGTCATGGGTTTGGGCCGTGCAGCCACTGGGAGCAGCGCCCTGTTGTCTAGAAGGTTGTTCTGTGTCCCATCTCCCACTGGCACACAGGCAGTCACTGCGGCAGGTCAAAGGGCCAGGGCCAGAGTCCCCAGGTTGCTGTGGCCTAACTATGAGAGTGTGCTCAATGCGAGGGATGGCTGACCTTTTAGACTGATTGGTTTCAGAACTGCAAATAATAGGAGTGATTCATGACCCTCTAGTGGACTCTGCTATCTGTAACTAGAACGTGGATTTGGGTAGGAGGAGCCCTTGGTTGGTGAAATAGAATCAAGCTCCTGTGTGTCTTGGGGTGGAGGTTGGAGGGGAGCCCCTGGCTGGTGCTGTCAGTCCTTGGTGGGCCTCAGAACTTGGCCCACCCAGTGGTGTCTCCAAACAGAAATGGAAACCCAGCTTCTTGCCTGGACTCTTTACCCTTACATTGGAGAGGCCCCCTGGGGGCCCAGCAGGGGAGATGGGTACAACCAGACCCACCACTCAAGACCATGGTGTCCCCATATGCTGTGAGGATTAGAAGAGATGGTACTTGGGATGGCTTCCGACCAGGTGCATGGTGTATAGGAGCTAATCAAGCAGCTCCCGGCTCCCTTCCCCTTCTCCCTTCAGCGCTGCTCTAGTGAGACGGATGGAGGCCACAGAATCCTTTCTTCCCCTGGAGAGGGCCTGGGGACATCTGCACCTGATGGTCAAAAGTATGTTCTCACAGGTTTCCTAGAGGGAGCCTTGGTCTGGGAGGTACTGGGCCTTCACCTCACTCCTGGTGTGTTTGTTTCCTGGCAAAGTGACTGCAGGGAGGTCACAGGGCCCTTGCGGGCCTTGGTTTGGGCTGACTGCTGCCTTATGGGTCCCAAATTCCTTGCCAGCTGCAAGAATGCATGATGAAAGGAAAGGCTGCCCCATGCTGCGTGATGGCATGACTGGGGGTGGCGCCGCACAGCCCAATCTCCCTGTGGGGTAAAGAAAATCACTCTCACCCCTGCTGAGCTTCAGTCCTTGCAGGCAGAGTAAGGAGACAGCCCATCACGAAGGACACCTGCATCTCAGCTTGCCAGCTCGGAACACACAGGTGAGAATCAGTGCAGGACACCTGTTGTCAACTCTGGGTGTGCATTAGAATTATCCAGAAAGGTTTTCTAAAAATTTTTGACTGGCCATGGTGGCTGACACCTGTATTCCCAGCACTTTGGGAGGCCGAGGGAGGTGGATCACCTGAGGTCAGGAGTTCGAGACCAGCCTGCCCAACATTGCAAAACCCCATCTCTACTAAACACACAAAAAAATTAGCCAGTCGTGGTGGCGTGCGCCTGTAATCCCAGCTACTCAGGAGGCTGAGGCAGGAGAATCGCTTGAACCTGGGAGGCGGAGCTTGCAGTGAGCCGAGATGGTGCCACTGCACTCCAGCCTGGGTGACAAGAGTGAAACTCCATCTCAAAACAAACAAACAAAAAACAAGCAAAACAAAACTTTCTATGCCCGGGCACCTGAGATCTGTTAAATCATGATCACTGGAGTGGGGCCATAATTTTTAACCTACCCTGGAGGGTTTTAATGAATAGCCAATGGTGAGACCCACCTTGGAGCCCCATCTCTGCTTGCAAATACCATGTATTTAATGCCACAGGTCCCCTTGCTTTCCACATCCCCTGGGAAGGGCTCTTCACCCTTTCTCACCACTCAGAGTTGCCTCACCTAGTGTATCTATTATACTCAATGGATCTGATCTGTTGGAGCACACTCACACCTTTTTGTAGTGTAGCACTTTAGGCCTTTTAGAAAGTAGTTATTTTTCATTAAAAATAAAAATTGTGTATATTTATGGTATACCACTTGATATTTCAAAATATGTATACATTGTCCACTATAGGATGCTATACAGCTACAAACAAGAACAAAATCATGTCCTTTGCAGCAACATGGATGCAGCTAGAGGCTATTATCCTAAGTGAACTAATGCAGAAACAGAAAACCAAATACCGCATGTTCTCACTCATAAGCTAAACATTGGGCACACATGGTGTATTAGTCTGTTCTCACACTGCTACAAAGAATTACCTGAGACTGGGTAATTTATGAAGAAAAGTTTTTTTTTTTTTTTTTTTTTTCTGGGACGGAGTTTCACTCTTCTTGCCTACGCTGGAGTGCAATGCAAGATCTCGGCTCACTGCAACCTCCGCCTCCTGGGTTCAAGAGATTTTCCTGCCTCAGCTTCCCGAGTAGCTGAGATTACAGGTGCCCATCACCATGCTTAGCTAATTTTTTTTTTGTATTTTTAGTAGAGACGGGGTTTCACCATGTTGGCCAGGCCAGTCTTGAATTCCTGACCTCAGGTGATCTGCCTGCCTCGTCCTCCCAAAGTGCTGAGATTACAGGCGTGAGCCACTGCACCCGGCCAGTAAAGAAGTTTAATTGACTCACAGTTCCACAGGCTTAACAGGGAGCATGACTGGGAGGCCTCAGTGACTGTAAGAGTCATGGCAGAGGATGAAAGTAAAGCAAGCGCATCTTCACGTGGTGGCAGGAGAAAGACAGAACAAAGGGGGAAGTGCCTCACACTTTCAAAAAACCAGATCTTGTGAAATCTCATTCACTATCATGAGATCAGCAAGGGGAAGTCTGCCACCACTATTCAGTCACCTCCCATCAGGCCCCTCTCCTGACACGTGGGATTACAATTTGAGATGAGATTTGGGTGGGGACACAGAGCCAAACCATATCACAAGGACATAAAGATGAGAACAACAAACACTGGAGTACAAAACAGGGGAGATGGGGGGCAGGCAAGGGTTGGAAAACAACCCATTGATACTATGCTCACTACCTGGGTGATGGGATCAATTATACTCCAAATCTCAGCATCACACAATATACCTTTGTAACAAACCTGCATGTGTACCTCCTGAAGCTAGACTGTAACCTAAAAAATAAAATATGTATACATTGTGAAATGGCTTAATAAAGCTAATTAACATAGGCATTGCCTCACATACTCCTTTTTTAGTGGTGAGAATACTTACAATCTACTCTCTCAGCAATTTTTAAGTATACAATGCATTGTTATTAACCGCAGTCACCATGCTGTGTTTGGCCTTGCTCCTGGCAGTGTGCTGCTGCTGGACTGGGAATAACCTGGGAGCTGGCTATTCTGCGCCCTTTCCCCCATTCAGAATCAGTGTTTTAAAAGATCACCAGATGATTCATAGGCATATTAAAGTCTAAGAAGCACTGGTTTAAAAAACAGATCTTTCTTCTTTCTCTCTCACGTTTTTTTTTTTTTTTTAGTGAAAAATTTCAAACGCATGGTGGAGCTGAAAGGATTTTTACAGTGAATATCCCCAAGCAATTCCTTTAGCCCCAGCCCAGCCTTTGTAGTGGGCAGAGTTCTGGAGGAGGCCCATTGAAGGCAGCTGCAGGCAGTGCTTCTCTGCAATGCCTATCACAGGTCCTGGTTCAGGAATTCTGGGATCTGGGTGACTATGTGTGTATCAGGGCAACTCCTGCTAAATGCATACTTTTATGATCTATGCAACTCACTTCCATTGCAGAAGGTGGCCTATGCCGTTCTCTTCTTTGCAGCTCCGGTAGTCTGATGAGTGTGCTTTCCATCTTTGAATCTCCAGGTCTCTACCAATGCCTGGCACATAGTAGGTAATCAAAATATATTTCTTGAAATGACTCTCTATCCCCCTGATTCCAGGGGCATGAGTAATTGATTCCAGGAGCAGAAAAGTTAATTAGTTTCCCCAATAACAGTTAATACAAATTTGGTGAACTGGAGAGAAACGGAAATTGACTAAATCAAGATAATTTTGTCTTCCTAATGAGCTGTCTGTGCCTTCATTTTCTAAGGGAAGCTGGCAGGTATCGCCCTTCCTGGCAGATTCAATCTTTATCAGAACATCAAAGGCAAGTGGAGGCATTGTGCTTCGACTTTGGGTTTGCAGATGAAGAAAACAGCTCCCTTTACCACTACTGGTCTCATGTTATATTTTACTGGGGTCATATTAGGGAAGGATGGAGGATGAAGAATCCTGTGAAGGACTCTTCTCCACAATCCACCTCCTTTCCATTCCTCCTTCCACCCCGCACGGGGGAGATGAATGGGCTGTGGTTATTCCGAGAATTGTCCTTGGCACAATGGCTGTCCCTCTGACCCCAGCCATGAAGAGATGTCCTCTGCTTGAAGTCTTTTTCATCCTCTAGAGCCCATAGCACTTGTCATCTTCTCCAGAAATCATCCTGCAAATCCCCACTCCCGCCTGCCAGATCCTATTTGTTCCCCTCTCCCTGGGGCTGCAATGACGTCCTCTACTTTCCTCTCACGTCTTCCCAGTCTGCATGCAATCAGTGCTCGTCGTCTGTGCTACTTGTTCCAGAGTCAGAGCTGCTGAAGGCAGGGGGAACATCTTTTTTCTCTCCAGGTTTGGAAAAGGGCAAATGTGGTCCTACCACCTTCCCACCTTCCATAAGTGTCCGATGTGCTCCCTCCTCACTTACCTGAATCTCAGGCACCTTGGAACTTGCTGGATTGCCTCCCACAACCCCCGGCAGCAGCTAAGTGCTCATCTTGTTCTTCCTTAAACCCACCATCCACACTTGGCATTTCCTGGATGGAGCTTTTGCTCATTTCACACAAACTCGTTTACAAAAATGTCATAATAATTGTGGCCATTGAAAAGAGATTCTGACAGAGACAAAAGCCTCTGAGATGCGGTTTATGGAAGGGCACCCCCCTTTCACCACGTAGAGCACCCAGGTCGACCACTCACCCTCTTCTCTACATAATAGTCTAGGTGTGGCTGGATAACTGGGGATATATTTCCTAACATAGGTATCAGGCTGCTCTGTTTTGTTTTATTATATACATAGTTTCTATAAATTATAGGTGTGTATTTCCCTCCATACCCCATATAAATACACTAAGGGTGGATAAAGACAATTACAAATCTGCCAACTAGATCTGTGCAGGCAAGAAGTGCACTAAGAATGGGCAGGCGAGATCGGCCCACAGGCTACTGTGGCTACAAGGCTACAGTGGTAGAGGGAGCTGCAGTACAATGCAGTGAGGGGGGACACTGGCCAGAAACCCTAAGAAGGATGACTTGATTTTCCTTCTTTTAAATTTAAAATTTGTGTGGGTACATAGTCTGTGTATACATTTATGGGGTACATGAGATATTTTGATACAGGTAGGTAATGCATAATAATCACATAAGGGAAAACGGGGTGTCCATTCCCTCAAGCATTTATCTTTTCTGTTACAAACAATCCAATTATACCCTTTTAGTTATTTAAAATGTACAATTAAATTATTTTTGAGTATCATCATTCCATTGTGTTAGCAAATACCATGTCTTATTCTTTCTAACTACTTTTTTGTGCCCATTAACCATCCCCACTTCCTTCTCCCCACTCCCCACTACCCTTCCCAGCCTCTGGTCACCATCCTTCTACTGTCTATATTCATGAGTACAATTGTGTTAATTTTTTGCTTCCACAAATAAGTGAGAATATGTGAAGAACATTTGTCTTTCTGTGCCTGGCTTATTTCACTTCACATAATGGCCTTGACTTGGCCTTCTTGATCCCCCATCTCCTGGCAGGTGAAGCCTCTGGTTTACCCCCTAATTATAATGCAATGCTAGTAGGACCTAGTAAAGAAAATAGCAGAGCAGGGTAGGGTGTGATGTGGAGAGGGCAGAGGCTGGGGAGGAGTAAGGAGGAGGAAGCAGGTGGAGGAAAAAGGGAACCGAACCTGTTCGTTGATGTGAGCAAGGCGTCCCCTCATGTCTTTGAGTCTTGGCCAGAGTGCTGCTGCTTTTCAGGCCCCTGTGGAGTCAGGGTTCTCAGAATAAAGTGAAAAGAGTCCCTGCTGCAGGACTCAGCTAGGGAGTGAGGAGTGGGGCTGGGAATGGTCCTGCTGGTAGGGTCGAGTGAGGCCTTGCATGCTGCTTGGTCTGTGAATCCTGGCCAGGGTTTGGGGAAGCAGAGAGCCAACAACATTCAGTTATGTTTTCCTTATCTCCCTGCATGTTCTCATTTCCCTTCCTCCTAGTCCAACAAGTAGCTGTCTCTGTGTCCATTGTTTCAGGGAGATTCGTGGCAGGGAGGGAAGTGATCAGCAATTCTTTTAGACTTGTATTCTAAAAGTCCCTGTCCTTAGGGAACGGCAGAGGGGCTGAAAGATGATGGCGAGGAGTCTTGTGGGAAGCTTCTTGCGGCATTGGTGGTGGCGGTCTGGGGGCAGGCCTCCGGGGCGGCTCCCCTGGGCTCTTGTGGAAGCCCCAGGAAGAATGTCTGCCTTCCACGCTACTTGACCCAAATGCCTACAGGACCCTCGCATCAGTGGGCAGAGGGGCCCGCAGCACCCCTGCTTGCCTGCTGGTTCTTCCCACATGGGTGCTACAGGTGATGCTGTTATACACCATCCAGATCTCCCTTCCCACTGAAGGATGGACTCCTCGGGTGCTGGGGGTGCTGGGGGTGCTGCTGGATACTGCCGTCAGCTGAAGAAATCTTCCTGGTTCAAGGTCACACTCCTTTCCAGGGACAGCTGTATCCAATGACAGGTGGGTACAAGAGTATGAATCCCAGGATCCTTTCCCCACAACTAAAGGGCCACGTAGCTTCCCAGCTCTCTGTGGGTGGGCTGAGGCTATGGTTGAGACTGCATAGTAGCACAGCTTCTCTCTCTGCTCAGTTCTGCACCTTCGTTTCTCCTTTCTCAAGAGTTGACCCAGTGAGCACTTCCTACTTAACTTCCTGCATGTAATCTCGCTCGAGGTTGGCTTCAGGGGAACCCAATCTACGACAGGTACAGAAACTATTTCTCTCCTATGAGAAAAACAAAAGTGCAGGGCAATGATGCAGGGGTGACCATGGCTGTTGATGTCCATGGGCATCCTAGGAACAAGACGGCCTGGGGAACACAGCCTTTTCTGATGGGGATACCTGATGCTCGGCCCCCACTGACTGGTGCCCTAAGAATATGTGGGTCCAGGGTTGGCACATCCTACAGGTCTTACAAGATGCTAGACATCTGGGTTTTTAAAAAATGTGAAATCTCTTAATAATAATTAAAAAAAATCATGTAGGCCAAAAGAGAACAAATGCCTCTGCAGGCCACATCGGAGGTGTGGGTTTTTAGTTTGTGACCCTGAGTCTAGGCAGACATGGCCAAAGGCAACCTCAGAGGAAATTCCACACCCAAATGCCGCATGGACAAGGCCCTGCGGACAGTGGTCAAAAACCACATGGGTGACCTGTACCAGTGAGACTCCTGTGTCTCACACTTGGGAGGTGCAGGCTGAACACCCAGAAAGACTGAGCTTCAATGTCCCTGAGTCAGAAGTCAAGGGGAGTGATGGGAAACAGAGAAAGCAGTATTCTCATTCACCTGAGTGTGTGACTCAAGATTCCCTCTACGTAGATTGATGCTACCGGAAGATTTCCAAAAGCTGAAAGCTGCTCCCATTACAGAAGTCTCCACTCCAGAGGGGCTAAGTCACTATGTATAAAATATCAGGGTCTATGAAATCTTATTCAGTTAGATTTAATTGCATTAATACTACTATTCAATTCTGCCAAAGGTATGTCTGAGATTGTTTTTTCTAATAACACAAAGAGCTCAAGTCTGGATGAGTTTAAAATAATAACCCTTTAAAAAATATGATTGAATGTGGCCCTGTATGACACCAAGATCTGGGACAGGGAAACTCAAAGTTGATGTTGATGGCATTAAAGAAATGGAAATAAATGGTTTCTTTCTTCCTCCCCCACAATTTGTTACAGCATCTAGATATTTTTGTGAATGATTAGAAACCAACTGTTGTCTAACCCTTCGACTTCAGACCTTCACCTCAAACGGCATGTTTGTGTCAGCCTGGAAGGTACACATGCGACCTCACCATCCTGCACTTCTCCATCAAGTGGAACCCGGTGCGAGGTGGTCTGGTCATGAGCCCACCCAGGAGTACGTCAGGTGAATCAGTTAAGAACTCAGGCTTAATTCATCTTTGCACCCTCGGGCCTAGCACAGCACTTAGTACAGGTAAAAGGTCATCCTTAACAGAATCCCGTGGGTCACTGAACTTAGGACCCTGGTCTAGGGCTCTTATTGATTTCTTTTTCTCCCTTGTCTCTCACATCCATCCATTCTGCTGTGGAGCCCAGTGATACCACTTAGGACAGGTTTCTTGGGTCTCCCTCCCTAAGCTTCTCTACCTGGACTATCTCAAGCACCCACCCTGTTGCAGGGCACTGCCCCATAACCACTCCCATGGCTGCCAGCAGGATCTTTCTGGAACACAAAACAGGCCTTGTTACTTTGATGCTTAAGAATCTTAGAAGGTGCTTCATTGCCTTCCAGGTGAAGCATAAACTTCTTAACAAAGCGTCAATGTTTTCTCTGCCCAGCCTCAGTTCCTGCCCTAACCATCTGCTTCTCTCTACCCAAGCTCCTCCAGGTCACCTGGAGGCCCAGCTGGAACTGGGAATAGGACTCACCCTCTGTGGAGGCTAAGAGCTGGGCTTTGCAGTCAGAAAGTCCTGGTAGTGTGTCCTGCCACTTCCCAGCTGGGCAACTGGGCAAGTTAATGACCTTTCTTAAACCTCTCTGTCTCCTTGCCTGGAAAACTGGGTTGACACTCCTGTCAATGCCCATATCAATACCACTTTTTCTAATAGTACTTGCCACCCAGCTTTGTGGTGAGGATACAGTGAGATTAAAAAGCCTTAGCAGAGTGCCAGGCACAGGGTCAATGATGAATGAATGTAGGCTGAGCAGGGAGGTCTGGAAGGGGTAAGCAAGAAAGAGGCTAAGAGTGGTTGCCCCTGGTGGCAGGATTTTGAGGAGTTTTTTTTTTAAGTGCCTTCATCATATTTTATGTTAGAATATGGTAGGATGTCCTACAACATGCAGGTCTTATCAAGCAAGCACTAAGAACGTAACCTGGCCAGCACAACAGGTAATCCTTCATTTGCCCTGCCTGCAGTCCACACTGGGCAGTACCCAGGAACCGTGTTTTTGTGGGTCTCAGTTTTTCCAGGACTTTGCACAGCCCAAGGCATCAAGTGCATGCTTGTTAATTTGACTTGAATTGAAGCCTCTCTCACTGCTGTCAGGTTTTGCTTTCCATGGTTTCAGTTACCCACAAATCTCAGTCTGACAATACGAAATGGAAAATTCCCCAAATAAACAATTCATAAGTTTCAAATTTCATGTCATTCTGGATCGTGTGGTGAAGTCCCATACTGTCTTGCTTTATCCTACCCGGGACACAAATCCTCCTTTGTCCAGGGCGTCCATCCACAATGTAGATGCCACCCACCTGGCAGTCATTTAGTAGTAGCTTCTGTCAGGTCAACTGTCAAGGTGTTGCAGTGCTGTGTTCAAGTAATCCTTATTTCATTTAATAATGCCTCAAAGCGCCAGAATAGCACTCTTCTCTCCCTCTAAGCCCTCTAGTCCTTTGTGTGTGGCGGGGGAGTTCCAAGTGCAAGGAGGACTTCCTTGATGCTGGCAATTCGGATATGCCAAAATGAAGTTGCAAAGTGCTTTCCTTGTGTAAAAAGGTGAAAGTTCTCAACTTAATAAGGAAAGGAAGAAATCCTGTGCTGAGATTACTAAGATCTGTGGTAAGAACAAATCTATCCATGAAATTGTGAGGAGGGAAAAAGAAATTTGTGTGAATTTTTCTGTTGCACCTCAAACTGCCAAAGTTATGGCCACAGTGCATGATAAGTGCTTAGTTAAGATGAAAAAGGCGTTACATTTGTGGGTGGAAGACTTGAGGAGAAATATGTTGCAATCGATGGCAACAGGTTGCACCAGAAAGCATTGAGCTGATACCAAGACATGAGCAAGGGATTCGCTGAAACAGGTGACGCCAAGCCATTTACTGCAAGTAAGAGATGATTACACAGATTCAGGAATAGGTTTGGACTGAAAAATATAAAAATTGCTGGAGTTGCTGCATTTGCAGATGAAGAAGATGCTGCTACATTTCTGGCAGAGTTGGAAATTAATTAAGGAGAAAGGATATCATCTAAAGCAAGTTTTCAACTGCAATGAAACTGGGCTCTTCTGGGAGATGATGTCCCGTAGAACCTACATTCGTAAAAGTGCAAGGGAGGCACCAAGACCATAAAACATGGAAGGACAGATTGACTCTGGTATTAGGTGGCAATGCTGAGGGCATATGATAAAGCCAGGTGTAGTGTACAGAACGAAGAATACACACGCTGTCAAAAAACAAAACCAGGCTAGGCATGGTGGCTCACGCCTGTAATTCCAGCACTTTGGGAGGCCGAGGTGGGTAGATTACCTGAGGTCAGAAGTTTGAGACCAGCCTGGCCAACATGGTGAAACCCTGTCTCTACTAAAAATACAAAAATTAGCTGGGTTTGGTGGCACGTGCCTGTAGTCCCAGCTACTCAGGAGGCTGAGGCAGGAGAATCGCTTGAACCTGGGAGGCGGAGGTTGCAGTGAGCTGGGATTAGGCCACTGCACTCCAGCCTGGGCAATGGAGTGAGACTCCATCTCAACACACACACACACACACACACACACACACACACACACAACCAAAAATAATTTGCCCGTGTTCTGGCAACATGATCAGAAAGTGTGGGTGATGACCATCTTGTTTATGGAATGGTTCCACCCATGCTTCATCCCAGAAGTGAAAAAATACTTGGAAAAGGCAGGGTTGGAATTCAAAGTCTTATTAAGAATAGACAATGCGATCGGGCGCGGTGGCTCACGCCTGTAATCCTAGCACTTTGGGAGGCCGAGGGGGGCAGATCATGAGGTCAGGAGATCGAGACCATCCTGGCTAACATGATGAAACCCCGTCTCTACTAAAAATACAAAAAATTAGCCGGGCGTGGTGGCGGGTGCCTGTAGTCCCAGCTACTTGGGAGGCTGAGGCAGGATAGTGGCATGAACCTGGGAGGCGGAGCTTGCAGTGAGCCAAGATCACGCCACTGCACTCCAGCCTGGGCGACAGAGCGAGACTCTGTCTCAAAAAAAAAAAAAAAAAAAAAAGAATGGACAATGCACCTGGCCATCCTGAATCTGATTGCTACGAAAAAGAAAATGTCGATGTTGCATTTTACTTCCAAATACAACCTCATTTCTTCAGCCCCCTGACCGAGGCATCATTCATTTTGTCAAGGTCAAGTACACCTGCCTGGTACAGTCATGTACTATGTGATGACATTTAGATCAACAATAAAGCCAATACATGACGGTGGTCCCATAAAATTATACTGGAGCTGAAAAGTTCCTATTGCTTGGTGATGTTGTAGCCTTGGTAACATCATGGTGCAATGCATTACTCACATTCATCAAAGCTGTAGTGCTGTTGGCACAAACAAACCCACTGTGCTGCCAGTCATAAAAGTCAGGCACAGGCAACTATGCACGGTACATAATACTTGATAATGATAATAAGTGACCATGTTACTGGTTTATGTCTTTACTTTATTATACCTTTTATCATTATTTTAGAGTGTGCCTCTTCTACTTATTCAGAAAAAGTTAAGTGCAAACAGCCTCAGATAGGTCCATTCCAGAAGAACACATTGTCATCTAGGAGATGACAACTCCATGCATGTTATTGCCCCTGAAGACCACCCAGTTGGACAAGATATGGAGGTGGAAGACAGCCATGTTGACAATCCTGACCTTGTGTAGGCCTACCTAGGCTCATGGAGGTGTTTGTATGTTAGTTTTTAACAAAAGAGATTAAAAAGTAAAAAACAAAAAAAGAAAGAATCTTATAAAATAAGAAAATATTTTTGTACAGCTGTACAATGTGTATTTTAAGTGTTAATACGAGAGTAAAAAAATTTAGAAAAATTAAAAGTTTATAAAGTCAAAAAGTTATAGTAAGCTAAGGTTAATATATTATTGAAGAAATAAAAGTAATCTTAAAATAAATTTAGTGTGGCATAAGTGCACAGTGTTGATAAAGTCTGCAGTAGTGCACAGTAATGTCCTAGGCTGCACATTCACCCACCACTCATTCACTGACTCACCTGGAGCAAATTCCAGTTCTGCAACCTCTATTCATCATAAGTGCCCTCTTCAGGTGTGCAACTTTTTTTTATCTTTTATGCCCTGTTTTTACTGTACATTTTCTATGTTTAGGTGCACACATACTTATCATTGTGTTACAATTGGCTATAGTATTCAGTACAGTAACGTGGTACAGGTTTGTAGCCTAGGAGCAATAGGTTATACCATACAGCCTAGGTGCGTAGTAGGCTCTACCATCCAGGTCTCTGTAAATGCACTCTATGATGTTCATTCAATGATGAAATCATCTTATGACACATTTCTCAGAACGTGTCTACAGCATTAATCGGTGCATGACTGTATTTGATCAGCAATTGATGCAGAAGTTAATCTAGACACACTGCAGCACAACCATTCACTATTGCTAATGGAACAACATTCATCAAAGCTACAACAGATGAATTAAAGCCAGAAATTGCAAATGCCTTCTGGAAGAACTTATGGAGTGAAGTCACGAATGATTTTAAAGGCTTCTCTGGGATCAATGGAGAAGTTAGGAAAATCATTTGTGCAGCAGGACAAGTTAGTGGAGATGGGTTGCTGACATGCTTGCTGAAGTGGAAGAAGATATTGAAGGCCATCAAGAAGTGTTAACAGATGAGGAAATGGATGAATTTTGAGTCATCTGCAGAGAAAGATGAAGAAAAAACTGAAGCAGAACCAGCAATGTGGTCATAATTGAAATTTGCTGAAGCGTTTTAAATTACACAGACATTAAAGGACAAAATTATGGAATATGATCCTAGGATGGAATGCAGTGTTAAAATTCCTCATATTCTTAATGAAGGATTGCAACCTCTGCAGCAACACTTCGATAAATTGAAAATAAAGAGAACAACTGATTGCAATGTTCTTCCAGCAGGTTATGGCAAAAAAACAAAAAACAACAAAACCCGTCAACTATCGAGGATCCCCAAACATCAGCATTGTCTGCTCCTGATGCACAGCAATCTACATCGTCATGGCTCAATGCTCTGTGATCACCCAAAGCAGGTGATCCTCCTTCTGATGTATCTTCAGAAGGGCAGTAGTAGCCTAATGATATGTCACAATGCCTATGTCATTCGCCTCACTTCATGTCATCCCATAGGCACTGTATCATCTCACGTCACCACAAGAAGAAGGACGAATGCAGTACAGAAAGACATTGAGAGAGAGAGAGAGAAAAAGGGAGACCACATTCACATGACTTTTATTACAGCGTGTTGTCATAATTGTTCTATTTTATTAGTAGTTATGGTTGTTAATCTCATATTGTGCCCAATTTATAAATTAAAGTTTATCTCAGGTAGTATGTATAGTAAAAATACACAGTATATATAGGGTTGGGTACTGCCTGCAGTTTCTGGCATTCACTGGGGGTCTTGGAACTATTCCCTGCAGATAAGGGCATACTACTATGTACAGTTTCAAAAGACACATTTTCTTCCATAAATTCACAGAAAATCAAGATGTTCATTGTTGAAATGCCTTAAGGGCTCGCAGGACAGCAGTAAAGAACAGACAGCTGCACATTTTGGTGAGCCTTTGGAGGGGCTCTTCTCTCCCTCTAAGCTGTCTGGCCCTTTGTGGGAGTTGGGGGCGAGGGGAAGATTTCCAAGTGCAGCAAGGACTTCCTGGAGTTTCTAAACACAAAGCTCTGATGTAGGGCTGTCAGGACACCTGCTGCTCCTGTGGCTCCAGCTGCTCCCACTCCTTCCTGAGGAGAGCCCCCAGTAGCCCAACTCTCTGCGGCTCAGTGTCCAGCCCGGGGGCGCTCATCTGGGAGCAGAGTCTTAGGCTGTCTGTGAGGGATCCTCACTTGGGGCAAGATGTGCTGATTCTTTCCAAGCAGGACACACTTTGGTTTTAATCCTTAGTCTCAGTGGACACTTTTAAAAAACATGTATTCATTTTCCTATTTTGGCAAATAGATTATATGTAGAATATAATGAATGAATTTTAATCCCTTAAAAATTCTCTTTGGGTTATCTTATGATTCAATAAGTTTCCTGAAATTAAAATCCTACATAAATATGTATTAACTTAATACATATTAAGGTATAATATAGTAAAGCACGTTTAATTTTATTAAGGCGTAACACAGTAAATCTAATTATTATAAATTTAATCAAGACATAACATAGTAAAAGTATGTCAGTTGTGCCAGTCTTAAGTACTGGATTGTAAACTAAGTCATCACTTGTGCAACCACCACTCAGATTGAGCTATGGGACAGCTGAGCATTCCAGAAGTTTTCCTCATGCCCCTTTCCAATCTATCACCCCAGCTCCAAGGTAACCACTCTTCTGACTTCCATTTATGAATGGTAAAAGATATTTAGACTTGAACGTTTTTCTCCAGAAAGTGTCTTGTCGTCTGTAATTGTCTTGTTTTAGAGCCAAAGTCATCTTGTGAGTTTTATGGCTTTTGACACTAAGAGCCATGTTGCTTTTCCACAACTACAGGAATAAGTGGTGCTTTGAGGTTTTGGGATTTGAATGTTCTTTCCAGCTTTTATTTGGCTGTATCTGTGTTACCGTTGATCTGGCTACATAAGAATGCTGGAATTCAAGGTTTTTCTGTAGATTCTTCAGCTAGATGATCCAAGATAATACAAGTAAGCCCCTCTTCTGACAATAGGTTTTAATATTAAAACATATATTTTATTTATTTATTCTATAAAGGATTTAAGATAACTTATACAGAAAAATAAAATATGTCATAGTGGGAACACAAAATAGATGTAAAAGAAGAAAGAAAACAAAACAAGGCATAGAATGGGTTAAGAGCCCTCCAAATGATAAGTACCATTTTGAGATTCTTCATATTTGGATTTCCAGATAATACTGTAACCTTTATTAACTTATTTAATTATAAACTATCAATCATCAAGATAATTGAAGTTTGTCTTAAATGCACAAATGGCTTAGAGAAAATGTTCTTATAGAAATAGACTAAATTTCTCTACAAATATTCTCAGATGGGAAGTGTTCAGAAGGCACTGATCCCACCTTCTGCTGAGTTGTTGGAAAAGACAAATGATAACTACTTTGGGTACAACTATCCCTCATAACAGAAGGCAACAGGCCCCTTTGCTTCTTGTTGGAAAATTCAACTTTAAATCTGGAAAGACCTCTGTTACGAATGGAATGTTTCTCCCTTCCAAAACTCATGTTGAAACTCAGTCCCCAGTGGGGCAGTATTGAGAGGTGGGACATTTAAGAGGCAATTGGGTCATGAGTGAATTAATCCATTCATGGGTTAATGAATTAATGGGTTAATGGATTAATGGGTTATCGTGGGAGGAGAACTAGTGGCTTTATAATGAGAGGAAGAGAGACCTGAGTTAGCACATCAGCATGCTCAGCCCCCCAGCATGTAACAGCTGGCACCATCCGGGGATTCTTCAGAGAGTCCCCATCAGCAAGAATACTCGCCAGATGAGGCCCCTCAGTCTGAGAATCCTCAGCTTCCATAACTGTAAGAAATACATTTCTTTTCCTTATAAGTTCCCCAGTTTCAGGCACTGAGTTATAAGCAACAGAAAATGGACTAAGACAACCTCTTAATCAGAATTCCTCATAAGATGATCTTTGAGATTTTTCATACTTGGAAATGCTGCTCCCACTCTTGTGGGTTGCTGGGAACAGGGGACGGTCTGTCATCCTCATCATGCTATACCTGGCATGTATCATAGTGTCTGGTATGTACCAGGCCTCTGGTGAATAGTGTTGGATGTTGGGTGAAGGCAGGCTCCTCATTCCTTGCAACAAGAGGAGCCGGGAGGGATCTGCCCCAGCACATTGCTCTTCACCCTCACCCCTGAGAGCTCTGTGAGAGACTTCTCATCAACATGAACACATTTGTGCACATCTGTTACTAAGCACATTAACGTGCTTCTCATTTTGTTTTTTATCACAAAATGTGGTCCAACAGACAGAGTTCTTATGACATAAATGCTATTGCCCTAACTTTTTTTGGAGAAATACCTGTTGTTCCAAATACTACACAAAATACATATCTGGGAAATCATTGTGAAGTTTCAGTTGCTCTAATAAAGAGCTTCCAAACTTTTGGTGTAGAATGTCCTGTAATCATCTTTCAGTTCCTTTGCTCACCCGCTCCTCGCAGCTCTTGTTGTGCAGTACCAAACATCTCCTGTAGATGGCTCTACCTCCCTATTATCGCCTTGTCTCCGGAAGCGGCTGCCAAGTCTTTCGGCTCCCGTGGTAGTTCTACTGGAGTTTGAGCCAGGGGCTGTGAAATGTAGCTCCAAACCTCACTGGCCTAAGTGTTAGTGGATGCTATTCATGCAGAAGGGTAAGCCATGGACATTTAAATAAGGGGAGGCCGGAAAAGGTCCACTTGGTGGGATGTCCTGATGGGTGGCATGGTCTAACCTCAACAGAGATGCACCGAGGTGAAGTAACTCTGGGTAAAGCTGTAGACTCTGTGCTCTCTTTGGAGCATCACAAAACGTTTAAAAGCTCTGAGAAGTTCTGTAGGAAGAAATCTGGTTAACTTTGCTTAACTCGGAATTTTATGAACTCAGGACCTGCTCATACCAAATCAAACGGTATTCTGTGGAATAAAACTCCTGGAGGTGATGTCTACAAGATTTCTGAGGTTTGGGACAAGAAGCTGGGGCTTCTTTCCTTTTCTGGGGTGAAAGAAGGGTGTGGCAGAGGCTGCCCACCTTTGGCAACTCTGCCGAGTGGCCAGGGATCATAAGGGGTGTGTGTGTGTGTGTGTGTGTGTGTGTGGCTTGCCCAACACAATTTTGTGGAAATTGCCCAATCCACCTAAAGTTTGGAAAAAAGAAAATCCCATTTATTGGGTGCCTTATCTGTGCCAGGCACAGGGCTAGATTCTTTTATATGTTACTAATATATTCTTTATGTCATCTTCTGCATAGATACAATCTCCACTTCACAAATGAGAAGACTGAGGAACAAAGTGATAGGGTAACTTGCTTCAGTTTGCAAGATTTAAACTTGTCAGCCCATAAGCCCCTTACTTTGTATCTTGCTGTGTTTTCAATACATCCTACTAGAGAATTATTGAGAGCGTTTTAGTAGGGAGGTAATTCAGATTTATTTCACTGCAACAGCCTGTAGAGATGTACGAAAGAAATGCAGGAGACCCAGGGAAAAATCCCAGCAGTGCCACTTCCTGGCGGTTTAGCCTTGGCCAAGTTGTTGAACATTTTTGAGTTCTGATCACCTCTTCCATAAAATAAGAATTTCTTATGGAGGATTAATTAGAACTAACAGTATGGACTAAATACACCATCAGTGCTCCAAACCATCTGTGTAGTTGGATAAGCCAGTTCTTGGCATCTCCACTAGCCACAGGCAAGTGTGGCCACTCACATTCTCTGTGGGGCTCTGAAGCATTAGGCGTGGAAGCCAGTCCTGGGGTGACAGAACTCAGGTGGTCTCTTTTCACAACCCCTGAGGGTGTCGGAGCCTTGGATGCTCGCCAGAAGCAGCTCAGAAAATAAACCCAAAGTAGTGTCTCAGTTATCAGAAGTCAGAGCTAAATTTAGGATACAGCTGTGAAAGTGAATGCTTAACAGGCTCTGTGGAGTAGGGCTAGCAATTATCTGGCAAATTTGATTAATGTGGACAGGCTATGCAGATAATTTTTTCAGTTCTCAGCCAAATAGCCCCTCTTTCTCCTGAATATTTTTCTTCCCCAAACCATCATGAACCTCACCTCTGGGATCCTTCTCATATTCATTGTCTTCATTTGCATGGGTTTTCTTTTGTGGGAATTATTAAATATGTGCTTTGACTGTGCCTTTCGCTGAGAATGAAGCTTATAAATTGGTGACCTTGGGGTGCTGTTCAGCCCCTTGAATATTCCATTTGGCCTGCAGAGGTTAAAAAAATTGAGCTTTCAGTAGGAAATTTGGAGATTTCACACAAAAATTTAGATTCCTGCTTTCTCTTGAAGAAATAGGAGGATGGAACCAGGCAGGGCCACACACAGGTAGCTGCTGCCTCTTCTCAGTGTCCCCTGGTTCTTTCTGTCTCAGCATGCCTGCCCCCACATTCCTGCACTCACACTTCCTGGCTTCTCTCATCTGTGTTCTCCTGTGCAGATTGCCACCCCTGACTCCAAATGCATCCACATGAATGAGCCCAGATATGTCCTTCTCCATGATCCTGAAATGAAAACCTACATTGAAATAGATCCTTGGCATTTATCCCTTATTTTCACATGTCAGTGGTTAGTGATTCCCCAGTGAATGGAATCTATAATTTCTGAGTGACTATCACACTGCTGCTGAGATTTTAGCCTTTGGACTCCAGCTTGTACTGACCACCACCCCTTCATGGCCACTCACCTTGGGAAAGCGCTCATCTCATGTACTCATCTACCCCGCTGGATGCAAGAGGGTAATTGGGCCCTTCCCCTTCTGTAGTCTTTGCTCACATCAAATAGGGTGCACCTTTCCTGATGGGGCTTTATTCCAGAAGCATCTGGATAAGGTAGAAATCAGGTTTCTTAAGGGAAGGAACTGGTTCCTATGGTCTTTATATCCTCACATCTGCACAGGGATGCATACTAGTGTTCACTGAAAGATGGATGAATTCAACTGGTTTGCTCTTAATCCATCTAATTGCAAATGAGAGTGGGGGAAGATTGCCAAATTTAAGACCAACTCTGCAAGTCTTCCTGGGTTTATGTGGATAAAATAAAATACAGAATTTGAGGCAGCTTGATATAGAGTAGTGGTTCTCAAAGTGCATTGAGACTTTATTGCAAAGATGATAATTATTTGCAGCATCTAATCATAGTTTGAGGGGGCCACATTGAATTTTGAGATAAAAATAAAGCAGGCTGTAGATGTCATTGTAGTTCTGGTCACTAGATGTTTCTTCTAGGCCAGTGGTTCTCAAAATATCCTTCCTGGAACAGCATCATTAGCATCACCTGGGAGCTTGTTAGAAATGCAGATTTGGTGGCCCTACCCCAGACTTAACTGAAACAGAAACTCTAGGGATGGGGCCTAGCAATTTCTGTTTTAACAAGCCCTCCGTATGATTCTGATTTACACCCAAGTTTGAGAACCTCTTGAATAGATAGATCCCTAAATGAGAGGCAGCAAATATGGGATTTTGCATTAGCTTTGGCATTAGATTTTAGACAATCCATGGTCTTATCTATTCAGCCAGACATTTAATACATAGATATATGAAGCACTTATGTGTAACAAACACTGTGCTCGCTGCTGATGTTGTAGAAGTAAATGAGACAAATGCTGTCCCATTCTCACAAAGCATGGAGTCCGGTGAGGGATAGACATGGACCTCAGTTTTGTCACCTGCACCTGGATCAGTGGTTTTGAAGCTGAGTTCTGCAGAGCCCCAGGCGGTGGGGAAGGGTCTTGAGCTCTACAGGGTTTGGGGGTAGAGAAGGAGGCTAGGGATGGGGCTGTGTCCCCACCTTTGGATTAACCAGAGCACCTCTACTTTTATCTCTTTTATATTTTAGAGTTCCAACTAAGACTGAATTTGGGGGGAAAAAAGGAGTTCTGCTGTTAAAACGCTTTGAATGCTATGAGGCTAGACAATCTCTTAAGCACCCTCAGGTCTAAAATGCTAAGAAACAAAATGCGGCACTAGCAAATATTTTTTTCTTTTAGGTCATGAAAAGTGGAGAGAAGCATCTTGAAAAAGCTATTCAACATTACACTCATTAGATGGCTATTATTAAAAAAAATAAAGCAACAGAAAATTACAAGTGCAATGGTTAATTTTCTATGTCAACTTGACAGGGCCATGAGGTCCCCAGACGCAATCATGATTCTGGGTGTGTCTGAGGTGTTTCTGGATGTGATTAACATTTGGATCAGTAGAGTGAGTAAAGCAGATTGCCCTTCATAATGTGGCTGGATCTCATCCCATCAACTGAAGATCTGAAGAGAACCAGAAGCTGATAAGAGAGAACTTCTCCTGCTGGACTGCCTGGAGCTGGGACATTGATCTTTTCTTGCCTTTGGACTTGAATTGAAATATCAGCTCTTCTTGGATCTTAATCCTCCTGGCTTTTGGACTGGAACTTAAAAACAAAATGGGGCACCAGCAAATATGTTTTTCTTTTAGGTCCTGAAAAGTGGAGAGGAGCATCTTTAAAAACTAGTCAACATCACACCCATTGGATGGCTATTATTAAAAAAAAAAAAGCAATAGAAAATTACGAGTGTGATGGTTAATTTTCTGCATCAATGTGCCTTGGCCATGAGGTCCCCAGATGTTTGGGCAAACATTATTCTGGGTGTGTCTGAATAATGACTTCTATTGTTGTATTTATTATTATAATGGCTTTTATTATATGTCCTGCTGGCTTTTAGACTGGAACTTACAAAATATGGCACATTGCCTTTCCTGGGTTTCCAGCTTGCTGACTATAAATCTTGGGACTTTTCAGCATCCATAACCATGTAAGCCAATTCCCTATAATAAATCTTTTTCTCTGTCTTTATGTATGTATGTATGTATGTATGTATGTATGTATGTATGTATCTATCTACATATATATGCATACAGAAAGATAATGTGTATATATATATATACTCTTTATATGTATATTGTCTCTATACACATGCAGACACACACACACACACACTCTCTCTCTCTCTCTCTCTTTCTCTATATTAATCAGAGCCCTAACTAATACAGATGCATTGCTGGGTGTGAATGTAAAATGGTGTAGCAGCAGCTATGGTTCCTCAAAAAGTTAGAGAATTACCGTATGATCTAGCAATTCCACTTCTGGGTATATTTAAATCCACAAAAAATTAAAAGCAGGGACTTGAACAAATATTTGTACATCCACATTATAGCAGCACTACTCATGGTAGTCAAAAGGTGGGAACAACCCAAATGTCCATTGATGGATGAATGGATAAATGAAATATGGCATATATAATAGAATACTACACATTCATAAAAAGAAAGGAAATTCTGACACATACTACAACATGGATGAACCTTGAGGACATTATGCTAAGTGAAATGAACCAGTCACGAAAGACAAATACTGCCTGATTCCACCCACATTAGGTATCTAAAGTAGTCAAACTCAGAGAAACAGAAGGTAGAATGCAGTTACCAGGGGCTGGAAAAAGGGGAATGGGAAATTATTGTTTAATGGGTACAGTTTCAATTCTGCAAGCTAAAAACTTCTAGAGATGGATGGTGGTAATAGTTACACAATATCGTGAATGTATTTAATGCCGCTGAACTGTACCTTAAAATAGTTAAAATGTTATATATGTTATGTATATTTTACCAAAATAAAATAAAAACCCATCCTACAATTTGCCTGAAAAAGCCAGTTCTTTGTTCCTCCCCCTCCCACCCGCTCCCCATTTCACTTTGTCTGTCTCCGTCTAAGCTTTTTCTTGGAGATGTTTTTTTCCGGTATTTTTAATAATTTACCACTGAGAAAGTCAATACAAATGAAATAACCTCAATCACTAGATGGATGTGACAAAATACTCTAGGCAGTGGCTGAGAATGGCAGATCATCTCAGTCGACCAGAAGAGGCCCATGTCCTTGCCTGAGTTCGTGCTGCTGAACTTGATGAGGGGAGGGTGAAATTTGTCTGAAAGACAAATTTCCAAGGAAAATCATTGTAAACATGGCCAGAAGAGCCAGACAATTATAATCTTCTAGGGTCTTAGGTATTTTCTCATAGAAACCAGAGAGAACTGCTTCATAGTTTGGTAATATCAGCTACATAGTAGTATGAACAATTTGGCCCAGTGGTTCTCAAACTTTGGTACATGTCAAGCTCTTCTGCAGGGTTTTGTTAAAACGCAAATTGCTGGGCTGCACCCCTGATTTCTGATTCAGTAGGACTCTTGGATGGGGTCTCATAATGTGTATTATTATTAGATGATGTTGATGTTGATCTGGGCCCACACTTTGAGAACCACTGCTTTAGGTGGATTCATTCATAGCTGAGAAGGAAGTTCCATTTATAGGTGAGGAGGAAAAAGCCAAGAAGGAGGATGATGTATGCACAGTGCAACATGGAGGGTGAGGGTGTGATCAGCCCAACCTGGATGCCAACGTCGTTTCTCTCATCACTGCTGTGGTTTAGGGATAAGTAACCTAATTTCCTCATCTTTAAAAATGCAGAATTTCTACATAAAAAATGTAGAAATTTTGTATGTCTGTGAGACTCCTGGCACCATGTTCAGTTAATGGTACTCCACGAATGGTGTCTACCATATTGCTAAGTTACCCTTGGGGGAGCTATGAAGACAACATATGGGGATGACCCGTGAAGGCCCAAGGGCAGGGAGACCTGGAAGCAGAAGGGGAACAGTGGAAGGGGTGGGGAGAGGGGAGAAAAAAATCAAATCCACAGTTTTTAAAGGATCTGAACTTGGTCCAAGCTCCCTAGGTTTTAAAGCTCCAGAAAAGCTGGCAATTGGACTCTTAAAGAGGTCCCTCTAACCACAAATGCATCCCACTAGCTCTAAATCATCTTTAATGTTTCAGCTGGGCAGAGCACACCATGAGTCATTCATGAGGGTGCTGACATCCTGAGACTTTCCTAAAGGCCCTAGAGGTACAACCTCTTAGACACAAGGCACTCTTGGATTGCACATGATGGGGGCTAGGTTACTGTGTGTTACTCCTTGCCATGCACCCAACCACTAGCTCCTCAATCCCCACCAGTCAGTATCTCTGTCATGGAGAATTAGCACATCTTATTGGTTGGTATGGATGCATCAGGGGGAACTCCATGGCCCATTCTCAGGTCTGGTTTGCAAAGAAAAGCCAAATGCCGGCCAACATCACCCATGTTGATGCAGAATCTGGTGAAATGTATTTTCATCAGGATTATGCAACAGGTTACTGGATGGGATTTGGGGGCCCCCAGGCTGACAGGGCCTTATTCTGCTCTGCTGCCATGGCAGCAAGGGCCATGCTGATGGATCACAACAATGCTGGTGAGTGACACGGCCAGACACACATCACCAGCAAGTTCCCAAGGAGAAGAAATGTCCACAGATATTAGATTCTTGTCGTTGTACCAAAACTCATTTATTTTGAGCATCTTGTCTAAGAGGAGAAAATGTTGATGGTAACAAGAGCAGTAGTTAAATAACTGTGCAGAATGGAAAGTGATGAAGCCAAGGTCAACTTCATCGGGGGAAGAAAAATAAACAGCTCTGCAGCTGGGGAAGGCCCCAGCCCAGATGCCTCCCTTCTGTGTTCCACCTGCAAGACGTTACTAGAAGCACCACATGAAAGTGATTTTAAAAGTTTGAGAACTTTTTCTCTTTAGACCTGTGGTCGGCAAACTCTTATTGTACAGGTCAGGTCAGGGAAGGGAAACAATTCAGGCCCCATTAAAAAAAGAAAAAAAAAATTAAATCAGCAATCACAATATCCACAACTGTGCTTGCATGTTCTTTCACCGTCCTTCTGCCCAAGTCGAGGAGAGGAGGCTTTTATTCTTTCCCATCGGGTCAGTGGCTGTTTTGTTCCTTCAGGCTATTTTATTCCGTGGGCCCAGCATTTGGAGTCCCCCCCTCCCCAGAGGCAGCCTCTGTTCAGAACCCAGCCCTGGGATAGCTACCCAGCCCTGGCTGGAGGTGGCCCAGAAAAGGAGGCAGGGCTGGCCAGTGCTTGGCCAGGGAGGCCATTCGAGGACACCACACCAGTGAGTGAATCAATTTCATTGATTTTAGTTTCTTGTTCCTGAAATTTCATCAGGAAACAGATCACAAAGTCAAGTGGACCACGGGTCACTTATCTCTCTACTAGACTGTAAATTCCTTGAGAGACTTGCCTTGCAGCCTGGTACATGATGTGACACATGATATGTATGTTTTATGCATATCTGAAAATATATTCTCTGATTGTTGACATGGTTTATACATATCTAGCTTGTTCACAGGATGTCCAAATCTTCTGTGTACTTGCTGA
Source organism: Homo sapiens (assembly GCF_000001405.40). Classification (NCBI taxonomy): domain Eukaryota; kingdom Metazoa; phylum Chordata; class Mammalia; order Primates; family Hominidae; genus Homo; species Homo sapiens. The sequence continues at coordinate 35,512,618 of NC_000007.14, read as the reverse complement.
TTTTTTGTTCATGTGTTCTATGTATTTCTTCAATAACCATGTTAAAATCTTTTGCTCTGATAGTGGATTTTGATGTTTTTCTTTCTGTAATTCTCTCAATTGTTGCTTTGTATGAGTCAAGACTACATCATTATGATCATACAGTTCAGGATTGTTATATCTTGCTGGAAGGTCTGTTCCCTTCATCATTATGTAATGGCCACTTTTATCCTTAATGATGATTTTTGCCATAAGTTACCATTGACTCCTTCATTGCCCAATGCTTTCTCAGATGCATGGAGAAGATGTATAGGGGTGCATTTAGGCTCAGCAGCACACAGACCTGCCGATTTATAAAGCTCCACTCTCTCTTGGCTGCTGATACCACATTCTCCTGGTTTTATTTTTTAAGCTTTTCTATTTTAGAAAAAGAAAATATGAAAGGCAATAACAAAAATAAATGCTATCATTTAAAAGCCAACCAAATTGTTTCTATTTCCTTTGAAAATCATTTATCTCTGAATAAAATACAAGCCCTCTCATTGTTCTTCATCAACTTACTTCTGCTCATCTTTCAATTCTCAGTGTAGACATCTCGTCCTCCAGGAAGCCATCCATGAATACCTCCCCTGATCTCCATCACCACACACACACTAATTAGGAGGCCCACTTTTGTGATCTAAGATCTTTCACATTACGAATGCTATCCACCTGCCTTGCAACTGTACCTTCAGGGATGGGACCACATCAGCTTCTTTGCTGCATCACTCTCCTGGTCTGGCACGCACCAGGCAGTTCATACATGTAGTTGAGCTCATCAGAAGAGGTTTTGCCTGGTATTTCTCTTGCCTAACTTTGGGTATTTGTCAACATTCAGTCAAGTTTTCTCCTGATTGTCCCTCCCTTGGTTCCCTTATACCTCCTTGGCTTCAGCTCACACCTCTAGACTGACAACTTCCTATATCCTTGAATCCCGTCCTTTCTCTGAGCTTGACAGCACATCTCAGAAGATCCAACAGATGATCACACTTGGTGGTCAGCACCCAAACACACACGATCTCAAACCACGTGCGTCCATCCTCATGCCTCACAAACCTCTTCTTTCTCCCAGTGTCGTTATTTTTTTCTCCAAAGGCACTACCATTTTGAAGTCATTCAGCCTTATCTTTAAAAATCCCCTCATTTGTATTTATTTATTTATTTTGAGACGGAGTCTCTCTCTGTCACCCAGGCTGGAGTGCAGTGGCGCGATCTCAGCTCACTGCAACCTCCGCCTTCCGGGTTCACGCCATTCTCCTGCCTCAGCCTCCCGAGTAGCTGGGACTACAGGTGCCCGCTACCATGCCCAGCTAATTTTTTTTTTATGTTTAGTGGAGACAGGGTTTCACCATGTTAGCCAGGATGGTCTCGATCTTCTGACCTCATGATCTGCCTGCCTCAGCCTCCCAAAGTGCTGGGATTACAGGCGTGAGCACCGCGCCTGGCCAAAAATCTCCTCATTTTAACCCATTTCCAACCATGCAGTAAGCTCTGTTGATTTCTGCTCTTTAAATATTGTTTTTGTCTGTCTCTACTTCTCTGGTCTTACTGCCAGGACCCTACTCTAGGAGTTCATCCCTTGTGCCTGGAATGTGCATGCCTGCTACCTGCACTGCTCTCTCCAGACTGTTTTTATGGACCCTAGTCCCAACCACATCACCTCCTAACATCCCTCTCAGCTGCTTTCACCTCTCCCTGGTGCCGCCTTCTGCCCTATCTGGCTTGTTTTCCTGCCAACCAGAACCCTCATTCCCTCCTCTGTGTTTGTTCCTTTACCTGGACTCCCTTGCCACATCTGTCCATCAAGGAGCAAACTAAGCTACCTAATGGGCATGGCTCTGACCAATCACAATGGACACCAGCCAGTCAGTATCCTAACAGTGTCAGGATTCACCCTGCTGCATCCTGGACAAAATCTGCCCAGTCTCCAAGATCCTGTCCAATCTTATCAGAGGTATGGCCACTCCAGCCTTCACTATTCTCACTCTCTCCCCTGAACCCCTCCTGCAGCCATCATCTGGGTCCCACCCATCAACCCATAATGAGAGAGGGGGCTTTGCTATTTGCTAGAATGTCTTGTGAGTTTTTCCTTATTTCCTCAATTAGACGAAGAGCTCCTTGGGGCAGAGACTGCACTTGACATCAGTGGTTCTCCTAAGTGTGGTACCTGAAGCAGCAGCATCAGAATCACCTGGGACGTTAGAAATGCAAATTCTTGGGTCCCACTTCAGATGTATTGAGCCAGAAGTTCTGGAAGTGGGCCTGGTAATCTGTGATGTAACAATCACCCTCTGGGTGATCATGATCCATGCTCAAGTTTGAGAACCATCATGTTACATAATGGGAAACTAAGGGCAAGTTCTCATGGTAAGATCTCAGTAAGGACTTACTTTGCTGATTGTTGATTCCATTATGCATCCTCCACAGTGCATGACATTAATTATGTGTGGCATGAGTACTTGGATTTGGATTCTACATTTTGTAATCACTTGGTGTATGACAGATTTGGGGCTAGGAAAATTTGTGTGGGTTTGTGATTTTATTCTTACAACAGTCTTGTTTGGTAAATATCATTATCCCCATGTAACAGATAAGGAAATTGAAACCCAGGGAGTTTGCAAGCCTGGCTTAAGTTTGCACAGTAGGAAGTGGCAGGGCTGGTATCTGAACCAAGGCTTCCTAATTCCACATTCAGTGCTCTTTATTTCAGTTCTTGCTGTGTGACTTGAGGTAGGTGCCTTGCTGTGGTAATGGTGATAACTTCCACGTTCCTGTGAATGCAGATGACTAATAACAGCACTTACAGAAAGTGTCATTTGAGCCCTGTTCTGGAGGAGAATTTTAACAAAATACTGTATTTCAACCGGGCTTGGTGGCTCACACCTGTAATCCCAGCACTTTGGGAAGCCGAGGCGGGTGGATCACGAGGTCAGGAGATCGAGACCATCCTGGCTAACACTGTCTTTACTAAAAATACAAAACGCTGTCTTTACTAAAAATACAAAAAATTAGCCGGGCATGGTGGTGGGCGCCTGTAGTCCCAGCTACCTGGGAGGCTGAGGCAGGAGAATGGTGTGAGCCAGGGAGGTGGAGCTTGCAGTGAGCTGAGATCGTGCCACTGGACTCCAGCCTGAGAAACAGAGCGAGATTCCGTCTCAAAAAAAAAATACTGTATTTCATCAACTGACATTTTAATATCCTTAAGATTATGGTGCATTTTATAGTCAATACCACATCATAGTTTAATGCTATGTCTTATAATCAGGAGTGTCTTAGATGCAATGCAATTCAATTAAAAACATATGGTCCTGTCTATTCGGATAAAACTGTGTGTGTGCTTGTATTTCTCTGCATGCGTGTGTGTCCACTGCCCTCTTGCATTTATTTACTTGTAACAAACATAACTGTTTAACACTGAACTCTGAGTTCACAAGGGCAAAAATGTTGCCCTGCATGCTGGGCCTTTAAGATTCTCCTTGGACACATAAGAGACACTTTTAGAAGAGAAGAAAGAGTAATAATTTACATTCTCCATTACACAGAGGAATAACACAGATCCAACCTTCTCAATGCCATTGTCCACTCTCAGAAATGTCAAAATATACAAGGAAAAATGTGAAGCTGAGTCCACCTTTCCAAACAGTGGCCTGAACCACACCATGCTTAGTCAATACTTAGAAAAATAAGAAGTTTATTTGGTTAGGATTTAAAGCAGCCGTGATGATCTGTTATACATTTGCCACTTTGGTTGTTGCCCTCTGGAGGTGAGCATATCACTCTGCACTGTATGTTTGTAAAAGCAGGAAGCAGAAAGGAATGAACTGAAGCTCAGCCACCCCCACCCCACAGCAGGCCCCCACAGAGAAGTGCATGGCTTTCTGAGTGCTGGTCTTGGTTTTGGCAAACATGTTATTAGCCATGCCATGTCCAAGCTTTATAGTACTTTCTAAGCAACATTAGAGAGGATGGTATTAACAAATGGGGTTTATTCTGAAATGGGGATTTGAGCTAAAATGCATAACACCAAACATGTCATTCCACTTGGCAGACTCCATCAATAGTTCCTTTGCTTGCTGACTTACATACAAACCCCAGCATTCAGGACTCTGCAAAGCAAGACCTCATCTTCAATTTCACTACTTTACACCTCCCTTTCCCTGATCTTATTCTTCAACCAAGCTGGACAAGTTGGTATGTCTCAGCCGTGCCCTGCCTTTTCTTGCCTCTAGGGTTTAAAAGAAAATTTCAAATCTCATGCTATTAAATTCTGTCCACTCTTCGATGTCCTTAACTCAGACATCATCCCTCTCAGGCAGACTTCCTTGTTTTCTCCTATTGATCCAATATGTCTATTCTTTGAATGTCTCTAACTTTTTTGTGCCTAATATTTATTGCTTTCTTATTAATCTTCCCGTAATCGTATAGTGATTCTTAAGGCCTGGTCAGTTCCACTCAGAATCCCCAGGATCCCATTCTAAACCTGCTGAACCCAGATAGATCCTCAAGACAGGACTCAGGAAATCTGCATGTTTAATATGCTTTCTAGTAATTCTGTGTCCCCTGAAGTTTGAGGATCACTGGTGTGATGGAAGGCACTCCCACCTTATTGATAAATTATAAATCATTTCATGCATATTTCAGAGCAGAGGAGATAAATAATGTATCATTATGAAGCTGCCACTCAGGCTAACAATGATCCAAATAGGGCTAACATGCTTCACCTACTCTCTCTGACCCCCATATTGGGTATTTTAAGCAAATCTCAGTTAATTTATCATTTCATCTCTAAATGTTCCTAATACCCACCCCACAAAGATGTCCACAGCATATACCCTGAAAACCGTAAATACCTTCTAAGAGGGACTCTGCAGATGTAATGAAGATTGGGAACTTAAAGACAGGCAGATTATTCTGGGTTATTTGGGTAGGCCCAATCTACGAGCCCCTAAAAGCAGACAGCTATCTCCAACTGGAAGAAGAGGAGGAAGGCAGGAGAGAAGTGCAGCATGAGGGGAAGTTGGAGGGATGCTGAGTGTGGGGAAGGTTTGCTGAGTGGCTGCTGGCTCTGAGATGGAGGGGCCGAGCTCAGAGCCAGAGGAGGCCTCGAAGAGCTAAGGGTGCCAGGAAGCGGGCAACTCAGACCGACCAGAAACTGGATTCAGCCAACAACTTGAATGGCTCGAAACGATTCTCCCCTGGAGCTTTCAGAAGCAAACACAACCCTGCTGACACCTTGACTGTGGCCTTGTGAAGCTGTAGGCAGAGGCCCTGCCAAGCCATGCTGTGCCTGCACTTCTGACCTATAGCACTGTGAGATAACAAGCGAGTGGCCAGGACCGGTGGCTCACGCCTGTAATCCTAGCACTTTGGGAGGCCGAGGAGGGCAGATCATTTGAGGTCAGGAGTTCGAGACCAACCTGACCAACATGGTGAAACCCTGTCTCTACTCAAAATACAAAAATTAGCCAGGCATGGTGGCGCGTGCTTGTAATCCCAGCTACTCAAGAGACTGAGGCAAGAAAATCGTTTGAATCCTGGAGACAGAGGTTGCAGTGAGCTGGGACCATGCCACTGCATTCCAGCCTGGGCAACAGAGTGACACTCCGTCTAAAAAAACAAAAACAAGTGGGCGCTGTTTTAAGCTGCTAAAATTATGACCATTTGTTATGATGTCGATGGAAAACTAATACATTTGGTGTCATCGAATATCCAGCCAGTATGCAAATATGCCCTATTGTCTAAAAAATGCTTTTATCTAGTAGATTTGTTTGAATTGGCATCTAAACAAGGTCTACACATTTCATTTGGTCGATGTTTCTGAAGCTTCTTTTGATCTATAAGTGGCTCCTTCTGTCTTTCCTCCTTCCTAGCAATTTATTTGTGGAAGGAGCCAGGTCGTTTTGAACTGAAGAATTGCTCATATTTTGGATTTTTCCATTTATCAACTGTGGTGTAGTTTAAGATGTTCTTTTGTCCCCTGTGGTTCCTTATAAACTGGCAGTAGATTTAGCATCTTGTTTAGATCCAGGTCTGATTTTTTGATGATTGGTAATTGTGCATACCTCCCCACTGTAGTACATTGGGAAGCATCTGGTAGTTTCTTCTTTCGTGATATTAGGGTTGATCCATCCAATGTAAGGTTCCCCATCAGTTTTTATGCCTAATAGTTTCTTTAGTCATTGATGATTATTGCCTAGAACTATTTCTTCATTAGGGGTTGCAGAGTGGTGAAATCCTGATATTCTAAATCTGTCATTTCTTTTTTATGTATTAGCTGGAATCTTCTAAAATGCACCAACCCTTTGGGTATAGTTTATACAGGAAAGTTAGAGTAGCTGCTTGATTCTGCAAAGACGCTGAAGACAGACAGGTCTGGGTTCTGATCCTGCTTCTGCGACGTAGTTGCTGGCTTGACTTGAGCAGGTTATTGTATAGCTTTGATTCTCAGGTGCCTTATTATAAAATTGAGACAGCATTGCAGAGTGGTTATGAGAATTCTGTAAATAACTTCATGTAAAAGCCTGGTGCCTGCTGCAGAGTAAGTGTCCAGCCAATGTCTGCTATGTCAGGAAAGCCCTCCTAGGACGGACTCAGGATCCAGTGCTCATGGGGATCTTCCAGGGACACGCTCCATCCACCTCGTCCAGGGGAGCCTCGCTCCTGGTGCATTTGCCCCTTGGAGGACCATCCTTTCTTATTGGCCTCTCCAGGCCTTTCCTGGCTCTTCACACCAGCTTCTCAGGGGCAGCCCTGAGGCTCTTGTCAGTGTCTCCCTAGAGCTTGCAGTGTGCAGTGGGTTTTATGTTCCACTGTGAGCATTTTCAGCAGGGAGCAGCAGAAGTGCAAGTGGCCCGGTAGGAGCAGGTGGCCTGATTGTCCTTCCAACCTGGCTGTTAACTGGCTGTATGGCAGGTAGCTGCAGCACGGCTAAGGGACAACAGAGGTCCTGAGGCCCCTTCCATCCCAGCACCCCCTCCTCAACCATGTCACAAGCTCAGCGAGTGGGCTGGGGGTTCCCCTGCCTCTGTTACTTCCCACAGGCCACCCGGTGGAACATTCTCCACTCTCAGGACTCTCCTACAAGGCTTGTTGTCCCTTTAGCCTGGCCAGGCTGAGTGACCGTCTTTCTAATGGCTGTGACCCTCTCAGACCTGTTCTGCATAATCAGAGTAAATTGGAGGCTAAAATATTTGTCTGGCCAATTCCGATCAAAAATGCCCCTTGCTTTGATCTTTCAGTCAAAACAAGGTCTTCTCCCCGAATTCTGACGATATTGACCTTGAGCCACTTGTTCAGCTCGGAAAGCAGGATTCTCAGGGCTCATTAAGGCCCTTTGTTAGCCAAGCAGCCCTGAGAGGCCCCGGGCTTTGTGCTTTTGCTTCTGTAATGTAAATAGTTATTGGCAAGTGCGGAGTTTGGCCTGGAAACCCAGACTTCAGTGGTGCCAAACTTCTACCTGCCTTCTGTCTGCACATTCAGGATTTGGGTTGAGCACCCCTCAAAGGGACACCTGGAGCAAGGGGCATCGAGGGGAGGGGTAGGCACCTGAGTGACAACACTCTTTGGAGAGATTATGGGGATAAGCAATCTTTCTTTCAGTTTTCCTGCAAAGGAAATTAGCTCAGGGGTTTCAGCAGCTGGGCTCAGCTCTGTAAGTGGCTGGTCTCAGTTGACGGTGCTGAGAGAGGCCCACCTTACTCCCTTCCCTTTTGCTTGTGCTACCTGGGGAATCCTACAAAACTGTGATTGTAAAATCAGAGGCATGGGTGTATGCTGAATAATCTTTCCTGCTTCTATCAAAGGGCAGTGAAAGACGTTGAAGATCAATACAATTTTTTTTTTATCATGAGTGTTATTTTTCAGTTGTCTCAGGACAGTTGGATAGGACATCTATTGCTGTTGCTTTATCATCTGCCAACAATCCCCTCAATTGGATTGCATGGTCCTGCAATGCTGCTGACCAGAACCACTTCCACTCACCCTTACTCCAGCCATTGGGGTGGGCACGTGACCAGGGCAGGCCAAGTGCAGTTATCCCACCCCCTGGACCCCATGATTGGTTCTGAGACGGGCGCTGGCCTGACCCAGGCCAATCAGAATCATTCAGTGGACTTCCGGGCCTCTCAATTTCCTCTGGGCTGTTGAGGTGGTTTGATGTAAGATTGAGCTATGCCCCTGTTGGGACTCAGAAAACAATACCTCAAAATAAAGGCTTCAGCAGCAGCCTCCGAAGCAAGAGTTTTTCTCTGACCATCTCGTGCTGCCTTGTCTGTTAGTTTCATTGTTTCTCAAGGACAGTCATAGAAACTAGAATCCCTCTTCCCCAGGGCGGGTCATAGAAACCAGAACTCCTTTGCCCCAAAGCCAGGCACAAAACCTAAAAGTATTACTCTAACTTTCCCCTGCTTTTCTGTGCAAAACTGGCCATAAAGAAATTATCTCATCTACCTTGTTTGAGTGTAGGTCATAAGACCCCATTCCAGAGAGGTTCCTGCCCCACATCCAGAAGGAGGGAATGTGTGCTCAGAGAGGCCAGGAGGAATCTAGACAGGCAGGCCTTGTGGGTTTCCTGGCTCTGTCTATTCACATTGAATCTACCCTTTCTGTCCAATCATATTTCCACACATCTGTCCATACTTTGTTGAACCTAAGCATAAAAATGGACCATTTCCCCTGTATCTTTGAGTCTTCATTCTGAAGGCTCCCATGTTATGTAAAACTAAGACCAAGTAAATCTGTATGCCTTTTCTCCTGTTAATTTGCCCCTTGTTAGTGATTTTCAGGGAACGTTCAGAATGCAAAGGGAGAGAATTTCCCTTGGCCCCCATAACCCCTTCTCCATTGTCCCCACCGTACAAAGGGAGCCATCAGCAGCCAGAGAGGTCAGAGGGAAGCTGAGTCAAAACATGGTGATGTGTCACTGGGGCTAGCTTTAACTCCCCCAGTTACAGGAGCTGAGTTTTTTTGGATCTATGTTACTTGCAAACAAGTGAGTTTTGACTCAGATAGGGGTTGTAAATCCAGACCTGGATTCAAATTCCAGTCCTCACCCATTTCCTGGGGGCAACTTGTTTGACTTCTTTAAACATGTTTCCTTATCTGTAAATGGGGAAAATAATACCTCACAGGGTTGCTGTACAGGTTGCTGTACAGGGTTGCTGAATAAGATAATATAATAGACAGTAAGTGCTCAGGGCAGCAGCTGGCACACAGTAGGTACTCAAGAAGCATTTGTTGAGTACATAAAGTAACATTTGTTGGATTAATCTGAGGAATGCTTTAATTCAGAGATTAACATTTTCTTCTCCAAGGAGGGCAGGAGTACTATTGGTGCATAGTACATAGGTGGGCTAGGGCCACCAGCAGCCATGAAGTTAATAGCATGCAGCTCTTCTTAGATCATTAATTTTTTTTTTTTTTCCAGATGGGATCTCACTGTGTCACCCAGGCTAGAGTGCAGCAGCATGATCATAGCTCACCATAATCTCCAGTGCCTGGGCTCTAGTGATCCTCCTGCCTCTGCCACAGAGCCGCTGGGACTACAGGCATGAACCACTCTGCCTGGCTAATGTTTAGTTTAGTTTTTTTTTTTTGTTTTTTTTTTGTAGTTTTGGGAGTCTTGCTATGTCGCCCAGGCTAGTCTTGAACTTCTGGCCTCAAGTGATTCTCTTACCTTGGCCTCCCAAAGCACTGGGATTACAGGTGTGAGCCACCATGCCTGACCAATTTAACTGATTTAATACATTTTCTATTAAAAGAAAATAGACACATCCTGGAGTAGAATATAAATACAAGACTCAAAACACTCTTTGCATGGAGAATTTCGCCGTCCTTTTTCACCATGTGTGCTCTGACGCAGGGTTTTCCAGGTGCTGGAGAGGAGCCCTGTGGCCTAGGAGCTGGAAACAGTGGCTCCAGCCTGCCTCAGTGACTATGTAAGGTCTCAGGAAGCCATGTAAATTCTCTCATTTTTCACTCCTCATCCAAAAAATGAATTTGTTTGTCTTCAAAATTTTCTCTGAGTTCGCACCAGTTCTAACATCCCATCTTACCAGGTGTTAGTGAATTCCTTGTTAGCGAGTGTTAAAGAGGGGACTGAATGAATTAATTTATTAGTTATAGGGTTTAACTAGTTTAGTTCTAGGTCCAATTCTGTGATTCTGCTCTGAGCTTTCCCCATGTATAATGCAATAATTTATGATTAGGACAGATATTTTCCAAAAGTATAGTATGTCTAAATTTTTATATTAATTATATATGAATTATTTAATTATATATAAATTTTATGTTAATAATTGAATTATATTCATTCAGTATTAATTTTTAATACTGTAGCATATGTAATAATATTGGCTGCAATCACTTTTGCACCATCCTAATACATATATGCCATAATGCTGTATCATTAATACTATGTTATATGATAATACAATATCTGATCAAACACTGATTTTAATACAAATTATATGTATTAATTTGACAATGTGTTTAAAGCCAAAAGAAAGTTGGTGGGGCATAAACCTAAGCAGGGCACTTCTCTGGGAATTTATAGGGAGAAGATGAGAGTTTTCTTAAACATGGAAGGTCAGCATAAAGCTTTGCCTGGCAGGGTTGGAAGGAGAGAAGAGGGCTGTGACAGAGACATTTATGCTTGCCAAATATCCTCCACACTTCCCAGCCTCCTCTGAGGTCGGACAAGGCCTTGTGTCTAGCTGCAACCATTCAACTGTGAGTGGAAGTGACAGGTGACACTTCTAAGCTGAGGTCAGAAGAAACTCCTGAGAGAGCCCCTGGCTGTCTTCTTCCCCTGCCTTAGGGATGGTAGAAGTATGTTTTGAGATGGTGGAAACGCAAGATGTAAACCACCGACATCTTTGAGACACTGCTTACAGGGAACTGCCAGATGCATGTGCCAGACTAACCTTGTTTTTTACATTTTAAATGATAAATACATAAACTTTTAAATCTAAGTCAAATTAACTTTTAATATGTGCATGCACATTTTTAAAGTTTTATTTGTGAATGTATTTTTTTTTTTTTTTTTTGAGATGGAGTCTCACTCTGTTGCCCAAGCTGGAGTACAGTGGTGCACTCTTGGCTCACTGCAACCTCTGCCTCCCGGGTTCAAGCGATTCTCCTGCCTCAGCCTCCTAAGTAGCTGGGATTATAGGCACCTGCCACCACGCCTGGTTAATTTTTGTATTTGTAGTAGAGATGGGTTTTCACCGTGTTGGTCAGGCTGGTCTCGAACTCCTGACCTCGTGATCTGCCTGCCTCAGCCTCCCAAAGTTGCATTAGCAGTCCAAATTGTTGATATATAATGGCAGTAAAAGAAAAAATATTAATTAATTGAATTTAGATCAGACTAACTGATTCAAGTTTTTATTTCAAGATTTACTGTATGTTTTACACCAAATTTTAATAGGTAATTATGTATTACAAAACAATAATCATTAAAATATGGTTAGTTGGTTAAATTTCCCTATATAATCATATGCAAATAATTTCAGGGAGTAATCCCATGGAAATCCACTATATAAACAAGATAACAATTACAATTCCCTAAGAAAATTGAATAAAAATTTAAAACATTCTTTAATCCTATGGAGAACAAAGTAGGTATTAAATTCAGGAATCATGACAAGTGACAGTGAAAGCTCAATCTATGATTCTTTTTCAATAAATTATGTATCTTTGTCCTAATCAATTAAATAAGGCCAATTCTCTCCCATTTTGGCTTTAACAGGAAAATGTTGAGGACGCTTTAATTGTATTTCATGCTGTCTTTCATCACTTGGAGGTATTTCCTATGTATCAGCTGACTTCTAATATGTCTTTTCCTCCTTCACATCTTGGTCCTTTTCATCTAGGCATGTCAATAAGGACAAAGTGTCCATAAAAGTGTGATCTTTGAGAAAATAGCAACTTTGACTTAGAAATAATCTAGTGTGTTACATCACTGAGATTTTGGGGTAGTTATTACCACAGCATAATTGAACCTATGCTAGCTGGTGCATGGACTGATGCTTATTGTTACTCTTACTGGCCACAGATCAAACTGTTGACTCACTAGCTGCAAACAGCTAGAACCAAGAGAAAAGCTGAACTTGTGATTTCTGCCTGACCTTCCCCAAGTCTACATAAAGTCTCTTCTCAGGCTAGGAGCGGTGGCTCACACCTATAATCCCAGCACTTTGGGAGGCCGAGGTGGGCGGATCACCTGAGATGAGGAGTTTGAGACCAGCTTGGCCAACATGATGAAACCTCGTCTCTACTAAAAATACAAAAATTAGCTGGATGTGGTGGTGGGTGCCTGTAACCACAGCTACTCAGGGGGCTGAGGCATGAGAATTGCTTAAACCCGGGAGGTGGAGGTTGCAGTGAGCCAAGATTGCACCACTGCACTCCAGCCTGGACAACAGAGCAAGACTCTGTCTAAAAAAAACAAACAAAAAACTCTTCTCTTTCTTCCTTCCTTTTCTTTGCCTTTCATCACTTTTCTCTTCCACTTCCCAGTCTTATGTATGTTAATTTAGAAACAGGTTTTCAGGACTAATTACTTGTTCATAGGTCAATCTTCCTTACTAGTCTGTGAGCTTCTTAAAAGCACTTTTGTTCCTTGAGTGTGGGGCACAGAGCAGGCACTCAGTAAGTGTCTACTGAATGAGTGAGTGAATTAGGGAATGAATGAATGCAGCTTTACAAAGGAGAAGATCAAAAGGTAAAGCTGTGGACTGGGCGCTTAGGCTCTAACTTCTGCTGTGGACTCTAGAGCAAGCCTCAAGCTGGTTCTTCTGCAGCTGAGCCAGGGGTAGCCCCATAGTAGGCTGAGGGGCCCATGACTCATCATGGGGCAGCTTTTCAGCCACGTAGGTTCTCCAGTGGTGAATTTGCTCTGAAGTCCAAAATGTGCCTGCATTGACTTGACCAGGGAGAACAAAGCCTTCAGGCATGAACTCCCCTAATATGTTCTTTTTCCTGCAGATTCACTCCCTTCACCCATTGAAAACTGCCACCCCCTCTTTTTTAAGACTCCCAAACCCAAACTACAGACCCCAGTCCGTCCAACCTCCTTTGAGATCTTCCATCATTTTCTCCCTGTCTGTGGGTGAAATCTGGAACTTGTTCTCCTTACCAGCACACATACTTAAATGCCCTCTCCCTAGTAATAGCAGCAAGGGCTGGCGTTTGTCCATCACGTCCTGAGAGACAGGCACTCCCGTGTGTTGTCTCATGTACCCCTTGGAACAACGAAGGAAGCAGGTACTGCACTGCCCTCACTCTGTTAATGTGGAGTCTTGCTGAGAAAACATAGGTGACTTTCCCAAGGAAACTCACCTAGTCCCTGGCAGCCCAGGGATTGGAATTTAGAAATCTGAAAACACATTTAAAACTTTTTCTTTCTAAACATTTTTGAAATGGACAAATGATCATTGTTCACCTTAGTGGAGTACATTGTGATGTTACAATACATATAATGTATAGTGATCAAATCAGGGTAATTAGCATATTCATAATCTCAAACATTTATCATTTTTCTGTGCTAACCTTTGTACCTATGGCCTTTTATAAATGTCCTTAGCAGGCCCCACCTCCCCTGGAGTGCTGCCCGCAGCTCCCCTTGACTCTCAGCCCTGCTCTGTGGCCCGCAACACCTCACCTCCCACCCCTGTCCATGCTCTCCTGTGTGGCTTCTGACCCATGGCTTCACTGAAACAGCTCTGTCCATGGGCAGTGGTGACCACAAATGGTCGAGGTTGGGTCTGGATCCTATTGGGTCTCTGTGATCATCCAGTCCTGCTGGAAACTCCCTATGCGGCTTCTGTGGCAATCAATCCTCTCTCTCAGGGGTTCTCCGACGCCTCCAACCTTGGGTTCCATGGGTGGGTCTTCTTCAGCTTCTCGTCTGCCCTAAAACTCCTGACAGTTCACAGAGTCACAGCCCAAGCCTTCCTCTTTTCTTTCTCTAGATCTTCCTGGGCCCGTTAATTCGTGGTTTCCATTGCCCCACTGAGCAGAAACTCCCCCACACCCAGGAGTCTCCTCAGCCACACCTTCCCACTGACTACCTTGACCTGTGGAAACCTCAGACTTGGTATATGCCAGGTGTAGCTCATTGTTCTTTGTATGTGTGTATATTTTATTATTTCTCATCCACTAAGTCCTGTGCCACTGCTATATTTCCTCTCTTGGTGTTCATGGTGTCCCCAGCCACTGGGCCAGACTTGACTCCTTCCTCTCCTTTGCCCTGTACTTCGGGGTGCCAAGTTCCATTAAACCCACCTTGGAGACGTCTGTTGAATCCAGCCTTTCCTCCTCATTTTCACTGCTGTGGTTTATTTCAGGCCACCATTCTTTCCTGTCTGGGGTATGGCTGGAAACTCCAAAGGCTTTTTAGAATGAGATGGGCATGTAAATAAATGCACAACAAACAAAGGCTAGTATTTATTTAATTTGTTTGTTTGTTTTTGGGACCTGGTCTTGCTCTGTCACCCAGGCTGGAGTGCAGTGGTATGATGATAGCTCACTGTAGCCTCGACCCCCTGGGCTCAAGTGATCCTCCCACCTCAGCCTCCCGAGTAACCAGGACTACAGGCATGGATGACCATGCCTGGCTAATTTTTAAAAAATTGTTTTAGAGAAGGAAGGTCTCACTATGTTGCCCAGGCTGGCCTTGAACTTCTGGGCTCAAGCAATCTCCTGCCTCAGCCTCCCAAATTGGAGGCATTACAGGTGTGAGCCACTGTACCCAGCAAATATTTATATAAATAAAATTATTGCTGGCTTTCCTTTGTCCAATCTTTCTACCCATGGAGTTCTCTTTCAAGGAGGCAATACTGGTCAGAATGCTCAACGAACTCTTAGAGGGAGTGCATATACTTTCATGCCTGGCTGCCTCTGTCCCTCATATATTTCCCCTCTGCACCACAAACAGGCCACAGCTCGGAGAAGCAGGCCCTTTCCTCGTGTCCCTGGTCTCACCTTCCTGCTGGTCCCTTGGCTCACACTCCTCCTGCCTCTTCTCTACCAGAAGATTCCTGGTCCTCCTTCCAAACTTCCTGCCCCAGGTAGCCTCCTCTCTGAAACTTCCCTGTTCCCTGACTTTTCTGGCTCTCTCCTCTGCTCTTATGGAACACTGGACATTTAATATGGTTTGGCTGTGTCCCCACCCAAATCTCATCTTGAACTGTAGCCCCGTAATTCCCATGTGTCGTGGGAGGGACCCGGTGGGAGGTAATTGAATCACATGGGTGGCTCTTTCCTATGCTGTTCTTGTGACAGTGAATAAGTCTCATGAGATCTGATAGTTTTATAAAGGGGAGTTCCCTTACACAAGCTCTCTTGCCTGCCACCATGTAAGACGTGACTTTGCTCCTCGTTCACCTTCAGCCATGATTGTGAGGCCTCCCTAGCCAAGTGAAGCTGTGAGTCAATTAAACCTCTTTCCTTTATTAATTACCCAGTCTCAGGTATGTTTTTATTAGCAGCATGAAAACAGACTAATAAAACATGTATCTCTTATGGCCCTCATTACACTACATTGTAATTTTTGATTACGTATCTGTCTCCCAAGTTGGACTATGCCTTAGTCTGCTTGGTCTGCTGTAACAAAATACCTTAGACTGGGTGGCTTATAAACAACAGAAATTTATTTCTCACAGTTCTGGAGATTGGGACATCCAAGATTAATGTGCTGGTGATTCCGTGTCTGTCAAGGGCCTGCTTTCTCCATAGACAGACGTCTTTTCACTGCAACCTCACAGGGCAAAAGGGGCAAACAGGCTCCCATGAGCCTCTTCCCTAAGGGCACTCATTCCATCATGACCTGACCACCTCCCAAAAGGCTCACCTCCTAATACCATCATTTTGGGGGCTAGGATTTCAACATATACATTTTGGGGTGACACAAACATTCAGTCCATAGCAGACCACAAGATTTTCATGGGCAGGGACTGAATCTAATTCTCCTTCCTGTTCCTGCATGTAGCATGCTCCTGGGGAGGGAGAGAGGATATGAGCATTTCCTGTGATACTCTTACTTCCTCAGTTCCTGGTCCTGGCTTCTTTGAGGCTCTCTGCTTCGTCCTCCCTCCATTCTCATGAGCAGAAGAGACACTGAAAGCAGGAGAGAACAGAAAGCACCAGGCTGCAGTGCGTCAGGTGGATGGATGGGGAGGGCCAGCCTACCCAAGACCTCCAACCACCCAGGAGCCATGTGGGATATGCAGTGAGAGCAGCTTGGGAAGATGCTCAGTTACAACAGAAGCTTCACCTTTGTTGTGTCATTTCCAGGGGTGTGAGATGGACTTAGAAGGAATCCAAGATGATTTTTCCATTAGAAAAATTGTCTTTGGTGACTTGGGAAAAGGTTTAGTCCAGCATCGAACAAGATTTTTCTTTTCTCCTAATTAATTTATTTCCTGCCAAAGAAATTGACTGTGTCCCTTTAAACAGCACCAACCCCAAAGCAAAGTGTCCCTGGAGGGAATCATGGGATCAATTTTCCAGCCGGAGACTATGCAGCCTGACTATACAGGCTTCAGGCTTTTAATTTGCTTATACATAGAGTGGCTTGAGCTCTATACATCACCAAATCAATGCAAATCAGTTTACTTGAAGCTGGTTCAATTTTAAAAGAATTTCATTAACCAGCAATAAAAGGCCCGGGTTAATATAATTACTATAGGATCCCAAGCTCATCAGGAAGGATTCCTTTTCTATAATGATCTTAACATTTATATTATGGCATTTTCTAAGGAAAACAAAAAAGCATACCAGAGGAAGATGCTGAAAATAATGCTTTTTACTTATGGAATTCAGTGTTGGAACTACCATTAAACAAACTTCTTTTCCCAAATGTCAAAGACCTTGGAGAGGAAATGTATTCATTTAAACATCCATATGTGGATGTCTATAGATACCACCCCTAGACACATGTTCACTGCATTATCTAATCCACACAGGATTGTAACCACTCAAAGGCAGAAGAGACCTTAGTGGCATTTAATATAATCGCTTAATTTTACAGAAGAAACAGATGCTCAGAGACCATAACTGGTGATCAGAGGTCAGCCATCTGGTTAGAGGGCCTGGAAAGCAGACCTTCACTCCCCTCTCCGTTACTCCCCACTGGTGGCCATGCCTACTTCACAGCAGGTGGTCAGAGGTGCAGTGGGAAATTACCTCCCTGGAAGTGCTTTTAATAAAAAAGAAGGAAATTCTGCAATACGCAACAACTTGAATGAACCTGGAGGACATTATGCTAAGTGAAAGAAGCCAGACACAGAGGGGCAAGTGCTGCATGATTCCACTTCTATGAGATATCTAAAGTGGCCAAACTCATAGATGCAGAAAGTAGGATGGTGGTGGCCAGGGGCTGGGGGCAGGGGGAAATGGGGCGTTTGCTAGTTGATGGACATCAAGTTCTAGTTAAGCAGATAAATCCATTCTCGAGACCTGCTGCATGACATTGTGCCTATGGTCAATGACACCATGTAAAACACAGATTTGCTAAGGGGGTAAATCTCATGTTAAATGTTCTTACTACAGTAAGATAAGATTTTAAAAAATTGTAAAGGGCCATTTGGAGGTAAGACATTGTATATTTTTATACTGAGAAGTGGGCCATCTCCTTTGGTGACTTGGAAAAAGGGTAGTCCATCATTGAACATGGCTTTTCTTTTCTCCTGATGAATTTATTTTCTGCTGGAGAAATTAAATGTGTGTCTTTAAACAGCTCAAGCAAGGTGCCTCTGGAAGGAACTGTTCTAAAGGGAACTTTAATTCTGTCTTACCAAGATTTCACCCCAGTGTTAACCCCCATACTAACTGCATCTCCTGGAAAAACGTTAACCTGATTTGTCTCAGACCTGAGTTCCTAGTAGGCTCTTATTGACTTTAAGTTGGGGTTGGTGGCTGTAAGGGTCAGCACTCTGCACCATGCTCCCAGTTTCTAGGTCCTGTCCCGTATAGTAATAGTAAGCCCACTGCATTCCCTGGGTGGACCACCCACATTGTCTTTCTGTGTTTCCTCCTCTGCTGACCATATGACTTGGTGGCCAAGGCAACCTGGGGTCACCCTGCAGCCCACTCATCTTCGATCAGAAGACAAGAGAACAGGAACTGAATGAATGGCCTAAGCCTCAGGGTCAAGCTCTAATTCAGCTTTTTCCAAAGAGCTCTGGATTAGGGATATCAAAACCTGGCCCCATAATCATAGAGCAGGTCCTTTGTTTCCATCTGATTGGAAACTTGGAGGGGAAGAGGAGTGAGCAGTGGGGCGGGAGCCAGTCATTCCCAGGATTTATGATGAAAATCTAAGCAGCAGCCCTTATCCAAAATGCCTGAGGCCAGAAGTGTTAGAGAATTCACAATGGTTCTGCGATCACTAAGCTATAGAGTGGATTCAAACTGTTGAGTCAGGGTTGAAAATCAGTGCGGCCTGAGTTAGACAAAGTTGAATTTATATGGGGACAATATAGGATTTAACAAGGTGTATAGATTTGCTTCTTTTAGATACTTTTATACAGAGCTAGAGGGCTGGAGTATGGACCACTGATGGGCAGACAGGGATTTGAGCTGAGTGGCCTGCCACGGCAGCCTGTGCCACCTGCTCACATTAGCCTTCCTGTGGTATGGTGTGATGGTGATGGGCCTGTGCTCTGCATGCATTTGAATAGTTTGAAATCCTACTTGCTTCTTATTCCTTACCAGTAACAAATTGTGGGTAACAGCATTTTCTTCCTGTTCCTTCAGAGCTGGGGCTGACCATGGCTTCTGCCATTGCTGGTCCTGCGCGGCCTCATAATCTGCTTGGGGTCCCTTCTCTCTACCTACACCTGTTCAATTGAAACTCCCAAAACAGAATTGTCTTTGCTGCAGGGGTTCTGGCTGAGACCCCCAAAAGCAGTTCTTTTAGGAGCTTCAATGTGCATCTTTAGCTTATCGATATCAGTCTGTAGCACACTTTTTAAAAGAGAAAGCAAACACCCGAAGGATAATTTGGGTCCTTCTGCTATATCTTGAAATTTCAGTGACTTGTGTTTGCTGTTCACAGGAAGCAAGTCACGGGCATCTGCAGCGGGCACAGCGCTACAATGCGGTGGTAGCAACGCACCCATGTGTACAGATGTAGAAAATGAAATTTTCAAGCGTGGCCTGTCTCATCCCAGACTAGCTCCCATTCTGTCTGCTGCTTATAGTACAAGCAAAGCCCAGTGGGACTTCTTTCCTGGAAAGCCTCGCTGGGCCAGCAAGAGCAGATTTGGGATTTCAGTTGTGGAATGCATTTTTCTGGAACTCCACTGGACATTTCCGGCCCTGGTAATGTTCTGTTTTAGCAAGGGCTTCTTCAATTCTCCAGGTAAGAATGACTTTTCCCTAAGCCAGCAAGAGCCACAGAAAGGAGTGGCTTCTCTTTCTTGAACCAACCCTTTGGAATCGTCTTGGGATGCCAGCAGCGCTCTGGAACAAACAGAGAGAGATGCTGGGCTCTGAGGTCCGCCCCAAGCATTGGTGGAAGCCACAGAAGACAGGGTCTGGTGGAGACAGATGTGGGGGCGGGAGGAGCCGTCTGTCCTCAGTTCAGCCAGCCCTTCTGTTGTGTCTGCCGTTTGCTGCCTCAACCCCCACGACCTGGGCTAGCGCCACTCTATTTTTAGTTCACATTTCACCTTTCTGTCAGTGGGGCTGCTTTTCTTAGCTTAGGAAAACACACTGCAGCGATGGTCTCAAGGGCCGGCCCCCTCACCTCCTCAAGCTCCTACTGACCTGGGTGGAGGAGAGAGGCACACACCAGGATTGAGCGGAGCGGGTCCCGGGGAGTCTATGGCTTATGAGGAAGGTACTCATGGCTTGTGGATTCTTCAAGGACGCTCAGTGAAATTGTTTGCCAGGAGATCCTAGGACACTGTCCTGACCACAAAGGAGGACTCGGGGCGAGGGAGCCACTTGATTGGATCAGTAGCCATCCAGACTTTGTGGAGGAAGGAAGGCCTGTGGCTTTCCTGCCGCTAGTGCAGGACCCATTTGAAGACCCCGAAAAGTGCAGCTCACCCACATCGTCTTCATTCTTGATGCTCTTGACCAGGATAGAAAAAGAAAAAAAAATCCATATGTTGAATTTCTGTTATTTATTGCTAGTATTGAGAATTTTGAAATATGGAAATGTAGCAGGAAGAAAACGAATTCAACCTGTATGTTGCCACCTAGATATCATTGCTGTTAGCACATTTGTGTACTTATTGCTAATCCTTTTGAGTTACATATTTTTTCACATAGTTATAATTAGATGAAAAATACATTACAAATAATAGTTATTAAAAGCTTATTTCTTTTTGATTATAAAGCTAAAGGTACATTGTGCATGTCATTTAGAAAATGTACTGAAAGTAAAAAAAGAAGCAAAAGATTTCCCATCTTTTATCACTGATGTATAATCACTGCTAATTTATTGGCATATGTCTTGACAGCTTTTTTTCTATCCATTTTTAAACATAGTCAAGATTATATTGTGTATTTGATTTTCAAGCACACTTAATGAAGGAAATTCACAATTTCTGGCAGGAAGATTATATGATGAGGATATCCGTTCCTGATCTTTATTAATTAGAAAGCCCAGTGATTCAGTTCATTAAACAAATAACTCTGAAAGATGCAAAATCACTCCAGCTCTTGGACGATAAGCATTGATCATCTATGCTGCTACACAAAGCTGCATTTAAGCATTTATTTGAACGCTTCTCTTGACAAAGTATTCCAACTGTGTAAAACATTTTGTCATTGTTAGAAAGTGATGGAACGGAACCCATGGTCATGAAATGCAAGGGGTTTCCCTCTACACGAAGGGAAGAATGTGGAGTTAGAAATACATTTTCTATTATTGGAAAGAAGCAGGAACTTTAACAGGCCAGGTTAATGCTATTACATTGGTGCAAAATTAATTGCAGTTTTTGCCATTGAAGTAATGATGAAAACCACAATTACTTTTGCATCAACCAAATAGTTTGCAGAATCTACCTGCAACACATAATCCAAATAACTGCCTGAGTCTTGCACCCAACTGAGTGAAGGAAAATGCTTTAAGGTTGCTAATTTGATTGCTGTCTTTGTTAGTGCATGCCTTCAATCATTTTGCTCTGTAAGGACACGTGGATGCTACATAACTGGAATGTCTTCCCACATGAAAGACACTTTGTCTGCATTTTCCATCACCCTTTTCCTGCTTGGAAATTTGTAGTGGAATTTTGTATTCTGGTCCTCAGAATTGCACAGTTGCTTGAGGCCAGCTTAAGTGTTACTCTTTTGCATGCAATTTAGCTATATGTGGGACTTTAAAAATTTGTTATTGAAATTAAAATATTTTTCCAAAAATATGTAGACGTGGGCTTATTTTCATTGATTTTGGACTAGTGAAGACTCCTTCATCCTGAACAGTGGAACATCCTCTTTCCCTCAGGAAATGTCTTTAAAAATTATATCATTAATTAAAATGTTTTAATTTTTTGTACCTCAAAGACACTTGTAATGTTTATAGGTGATTGTCAATTTCCTGTCCTCCTGACTTCTCATATCTTTTTTCATTTTCATCTCTTTGTGGGCCTCTGCATTCTGGGGGTAGTTTCTCTAGTTTACCCTTCATATATTGGTTCTGTTTCTTGCAGCCTCTAATCTACTCCCTGCTGCCCACAATGAGGATTTTAATTCTTTCATTGTCTTTTTGGGTTTCCTCTATTGTCTTTTTCATCTCCCTTTATAGTTATCATCATGTTGTCTTTTTATCTCAGCCTGTCTTTTCCTTATTTAGCTTTCTGTTTCATACACATGGATAATCTTTTTTTACATCTAATTAAGAAGGCCAAGCACTCTCTGAAAAATGCCCTCTTGTTCAGACAGAAGATTCCTTTCAGAGGTTCACTCTTCCTCATAGTATTCAATGCAGTGTTTCTTTTTTCTTGGTCTCAAATATTTGTTTCATGTTTTTCCATAATGGTCTGTTTTAAAATGCACTCACCCTTCATCATGCAGAAATCTAGCGAAATTCAGTGTTTTTCATCAAACATGTGGAATGTGTTTTCCTCGAGTTGAATTTCTGTCCCTTTGGGTGGTATCACATCTACACCCAGTGGGTACTTGGTTTGCACACTTATCAGTCCCAATCCCAGTAACTTTATTCATGGGGGATTGGCCACTGTCAGTCTTAGTTTTTGCTAGGACTCTCAGTTTTCACCTTCTAGATCCCCAGGTGATTCAGCAGAAATTGAGAACAACTAGGTAATATGTTCTTGCTACAGAAAATATTGAAGGCAGGAGTACCTATTATGTGCCCAAGTCTTTGGTAGTTGGAGTGTATACACATCTCATTGAATTCTTTCAAGCTCCATTTGAAGTCAGTATGATCCCTCTCTTAGAGTGAAAGAAACGTGTTTCACTTTAAGAAAAATATGAGGCATTAGGAAGGAATACCAAGCTTTTTGACCTATAGCAAAATTACAAATGAAATGTCTCATACCCAAAAGATACTTGCCAAAAAATATACAAATTGATTTTTCAATGATTAGATAATTTTGTAAGAAAGTAAGAAGATGTTTTCACCAACTGTTTAGAAACACGGAAAAAAGTAGGAAATTAACTAAGGTCTAAGTAACACAGCTATCACAGATGGTGAAATAAGAATTTTTTAAAATCTAGATTTAAAAGAGGCTTTTCATCCTTTAAAGAAAATTAAATTAGTTTAATTTAAAAAATATATTAGAGTTCAAAGTCAGAACCGTTGTGGAAATTCCTGGCCTTTCCAATTCACACACATAAAAAACACTTTTTAAAAATGATCATGATGGTTAGACTTTAGAGCCAGAGACTTGAGGAACATGTACATAATTTATAGTAGAAACTCAGTATGTTTTCTCTCAGCCACATGGCCAAAGCCCAAAGGTATAATGCTGTCAGCAACAAGGGATGGGCTGCACATGGTAATTCAAACACCAGAAGATTCCAAGTTAGGCCCTATAACCTGGCCTATGAATGAAAGTCTAGGGACAGCCACACCCACAGGAAGACTCAACTAAGGGGACTTTATGAACTCTGGGGCTTCTCTTCCCTGGTGGTAGGCCTACTTTGAAATCCTGCATCCCTCACTGTCAGGAATAGCACCAAACTTACCCCCAAAGGCTTTGCCATGAAAATAATCTGGAATTTGTACCAGGATGCTGAGGGGCATGGAAGCATGGTTTTCACACTAGCCCTGCAGGTGTTAGGAGTCTCAACTCCCTAAAATGAGGTGGTGATGCCGTGTGTCAGGGAGTCCAGAGGTACCTGTGTAGGTGCTCATGTTTGATCCAAAAGTTGGACCCTAAAAGTTGCTGGCTACCCTTTAGGGAGAAGTTTGAGGTCAAGGTAAGAAAATGCCTACCAGGACTTTAGGGGAATGGCAGAAAAAAGATGTATACAGCAGAAATGACTACTGATACAATTTCCAAATCCTTACCTTCACTTTGTGGATGTTTTCTTGTCTCCAAGGGGGAGATAAATGCACAGGCCAGTCTGCAGAGCAAGGAAGATTATCTATGTGGATTTCACCTGATCTTGTCATCTTACTATTTAATAGGAGAGGTCACCTTGTGAAATGGGCATAGTTTTGGGTTTCCCTCATGGAAGCGTGTCGGCAACATCAGATAGTTCAATGCTGGTAGCTATTGAGGTCTGACAGTCATTTTACTACAGAGTTATTGGAGCTTGGCAAGAGATAGACTTTATTTAGCTGTAAGTTATTTATAATTTATCATAATATGATAAAAGCTGATGTTAATTTACTTCACCTGGTAAATGAACCAATAATTTGTGATGCTGCTAATAAAGATTTAAAACACAGGGTTATATTTGTGACTCATCACAAGATCCTACATCCTGGGGTATTGTTATTGAAAATGATTTCATTAAATATGAGACACAAATACTTAAGGAAATTGGTGAACGATTGATGCCAAAGCTAAACTAAAGCATTAAAGGACCAAATAAAAATGATTTCACCTCTGCCTCAGGGTTCCTACTTGAGAAAAGATCTGCAGGCTGCCAGGTTTGCAGATTCTATGCCGCTCTCTAGGTTTCCCTTCCCAGGTGTGTTATGCTGTGGAAAACAACCTTTTGGCTGGTGATCTTCCTAGGCCTGGTTCAAGTTCATTCACTGAATCCCAGAGGAAACAAGCAGAGGAATAAGCATGGCTGTTTGTAGCAGCTAAGAGCTGAATTGTAACTCCAGTGGCTCTGCTCCTGACTTGCTGTATGGACTCTGTGAATCTCATTTTGCTCTGTTGTAAAGCAGAGGTATTAAATCAAGTCCTTGAAGGAGCCTTGTGTGAGCTGGTGTTTGGGCGGGTGGAAAGCAGCACATGAAGACCAGTCAGATGACTTGAGATGGTCCCTGTGATTAAGCTAGACCCACACCAGGCTTCATCCAGAGTTAGTGGCTTCACTGCCAGTTGCAGGGTGTGGCTGGGCAGGCTTTGGCATTCGCAGGTCAATGCAAGAAGATGGTTCTAAAATGCTGAAGACCCAGGCTCTTTGTATTCTATTCTCCTTCTCTCCAAGGAGGGAGCCTAGGCATGGGGAGGGCCCACTGGGCTGCAGAACCAGGAAGGTCTCCCCCATAGTTGCAACACTGGAACAGGTGGTGCATAGTATTGAACTGAAATAGACAGCCAAAAACAGATAATTCATCCAGGGAGGGGGAAAAGGAGCAAGAGCCAAGGACAGAATTAAATGGTGCCCAGAATGTCATGGAGCTGAGGCATACTGGCATGAACAGATGCCTGGAGGGGTCCCTAGGAGAAGAGCAGGTGCTTGTAGCACTTTTATTCTTTCCCATAGCGCTTTTTAATGCCAGTCTTATGTTGTATCATGCAGACAATCATGGGGTTTGAAGCTGGCCAGAGATATAATCCAGAGACATGGACACTTTGCCTTGTGTTTTCAGCACCCACTTAATATCAAAGTCAGAATTCCCCAGCTTCGAAATGTCCATGTCCTGACTACTCAGGCTTCACGAGCCAGTGAGTAGGGAGGTGGCTGCATTAAACGGGCCCTTGAAGGCTATGAGTTCCAACCAACTGATCTGTAAGCATTTCAGTCTTGGGAAGAATTTCCCTCCCTGAGCTGCATTATCTGGAAAGGCTCGAGGGGCGCATGCATGCATCTGAGAATCAGTTCTGGTCATTGCTGGCTACCATGGCTGGTAAATAGATGGCCCTGTAGGTATCTCAGAGATGCCCCTCTGAGCTGAACCCTACCCTGCTGCCCACACCATTGCCCAAGGGTGGAAGAGCTGGGCCACTGGGGCTTTCTGAGGCTCAGGGTCAAGGAAACCTGACCACCCTCAGGGGAGTTGCAGCTGGCAGGCCATCCCAAGTTTCAGTGCTAGAAAGCTGCAACTCTTCTCAGGCTCTGCACATGGAATCCAAGTTGCTCTCCTGGGAGTGCGAGCACCTCCCACTCCCACACCTACCCCCACCTCCCTTGATGTTAAAATCAGCTGAGAGCAGAGCAAGACTCTTCAAGCTCCTTCGAGTGACACACCTTTTTTATCCCAGGATATATACCTGACACTTAAGTAGCAGCATGTATATGTCAGGGATTTGGGGTCATTTTGTGCCCAGAATCTCACTTACTCCTCGTGTGGGGTCCCACAGCTGGGCTGGGCCGCAGCATCAGATTCCTTGCCCCTCATGATGAAGTTTTGCTCAGGGGATTCTGCTGTCTTTCCCACGGTCTGACTTCAATTCAGACCAGGATTCCTACCAGGCCCAAAATGCCATTCTTGGATCATTTATTTTTTTCTACTATCTGAGCGACTTGGACTCACAAAACTCACAAAAACTGCTCCCACAAGGAAACCAGGACGCCAAGTACTGGTGAAAAAGGAGCAAATTGTCAAAGGGGCATTTGGAGCATTTGACCTCCTGACTTCATTGGGGCCAACTCGGTCTGTCAGTGTCTATAGACATTTAAGTCTGAATTCTGGCAGGATTCAAGTTTGTTGTTTTTATTACTTTATTTTTATATATTGCTAGGAAATGCTCAGCACCTGTTTAAGTCAGAAGATGTAACTGATCACAGGGTAGGCAATTTTTGTTCTTGTTTTTTTTGTTTGTTTGTTTTTGAGACAGATCCTTGCTCTGTCACCCAGGCTGGAGAAAAGTGGTGTGATCTTGGCTCACTGCAACCTCCGGCTCCCAAGTTCAAGCGATTCTCATGCCTCAACCTCCCAAATAGCTGGGATAACAGGCATGTGCCACCATGCCTGGCTAATTTTTATATTTTTAATAGAGACCCCTGGGTTTTCTCCATGTTGGCCAGGCTGGTCTTGAACTCCTGGCCTCAAGCGATCCACTCTCCTAGGCCTCCCCAAGTGCTAGGATTACAGGTGTGAGCTACCGTGTCTGGACAGGTAAGCAGTTTTATCACCAGCCATGAGGCTTGGCCTTGGGGATGTTAATGGAACTAATGTGGGGTGACCAGTACTGGAAGAGGAGACTGGATTGAGTTTGAAAAGATATAATGTAGTGGTGAAGCATCTGGCCTGCCCATGTTCAACTCCCAGCCCTCCCACTCACTGGTTTTGTGATCTTGGGCCAGTCTCTTTGCCTTTTGTGCCTTGGTTTCTTCATCTACAAAAGACAGACAATACTAGTGTCTACTTTATGGGGTTATTGTGATGATCAAATGAGTTAATCTCGTAAAACGCTGGGCCTGGTATCTTAAACGATAATTAATCCTGTAATTATTATTGTGTTTTAAAGTCATCAAACACATCAAAACTCCCTGAACATTAAATCACCAAGGTTGGGTGGGGCAAGCATCTCAGTTAGTACCCAACAGAAGCCTCCTGGATTCTTCGCTGTTCCCTGACCTGTGTAGCAAAGCAGACAAGCTGCCCTGACTGACAGCATTCCTCCCGGTGTGGAATTTGAACCAGGATTCTTACCAGGCTCAAAATGCCACTCTTGGACCGTTTTTCCACTACCTGAGTGACTCGGACTCACAAAAACTGCTCCCACAAGGAAACCAAGACGCCAAGCACTGGTGGGAAAAGAGCAAATTGTCAAACGGGCATTTGGAGCATTTGACCTCCTGACTTCTAATTATTTTTCCTGTTATTGATACAGCTGAGTCAGAGGTTTCAGGAGAGTGAGGCAATTCCAGGGGGATTTGGGGGAAGGGAGAGTTAAAGGAATGAGAAGAGAGAAAGAAAGAGAATTGGAGGGAATGTTTTAGCTTGGAGTAATCAATTGATTCAAGCTGGTTTGGCACAGAAATTTCAATTTACTGGACATATCATAGGAACTTTCCAATACCTTTATAAAAGGATGTATTGTCTATACCATTTTGGCAGTTTTTACTCTTGGGTTTAGCCAAAATTTAAAAGTTTGAAGACATAGGAAAGTCAATAGTGAGATCACAAAGTGTTGAGGCTATGACTGTAAGCTTTGGATTGAAATTTGTTCCTTCTTTTTATTAACGTCAGTAATAGTCAGAAAGACTACTGGAAGCGAAGTGTGTTTATATAGACTGGAAGCAGGGCTTAGAGGATACAGATTGATGCATTATGCTTGAAAATGTCCAGGAGTCCTCTCAGAGGTTAAAGGGGAACCTCATGTATTTTCTTTTATTTCTTCCTTGACTAAGGGCTCCTGTGTTATTTAAGGATTTTTTTAATTATAAAAAATTTATCATGGCAGTTTCAGATCGCCTTCCTTGTTTTAGTACAATATTGATATTATATGGAATTAATGTTAGTGGAATTAATGTCATCTTTGTTGTTTTAACCTAGCAGAGTTTGTGTTTCAAGTGGCTATTAATATCACCAATTATTTTCAAGTGCTCTCCATGCCCCCTTTTAGGAGAACCCGCATTTATTAAGTATCTACTACATTTCCAGCCTTCTCCTAGTACAATTATGTGAGGGATACTATTGAAAAGAACACTGTATGGTATATTCTGGACCTTCATTTTACTATGTAGGAAATGGAGGCTCAGAGAGATCAGGTCATTTGCTCAAGGCCACACAGCAGGTTGAAGAGGCACCTACACACCTACATTAGCTGTGTCCCAGCTCACAACTGATTCCACTTACTCCTTGATGCCCGAATGCCCTTTCAAACAAACTTTCTGTTGTCTTTTCCCATTGTAATTTCCCATTAAATAGGAGGCTCTTTAATTTCATGAGTCCCCTCATCCCTGGCCACCTACTTGGTCCACAGCCCATAGCCTGTGGCCACAGGCACCTCCCGGTACCCACTCTGTCTTCCAGTGTGTCCCCGTGCAGCAGCCAGAGCGAATGTCTCTTTAACACTTTATTATGAAAATTTTCACACAGAAAAGAATAAATTTTTTAAGGAATATTTTTATACCACCTCTAGATTCAACTACAAACATTTTACTGCATTTGTTTTTATCATAGATCTCTCCATCTCTTTGTTCTTCTCTCTGTCCCTCAATCCATCTTGTTTTTTGACGCATTTCAAAGTAGATTGTAGACATGAGTACTCTTCCCCCTAAATACTTTAGCATGTATACAGAATGAATTTTTTAAAATGAGCGTCAGATTATCTCCTTCCCTTGCTCATAACCTCCAGAGTGCTCCTTACCCTTGAATAAAAGCCCAGTCCTTGTCAGGGAGTATAAAGTCCTGCAGGATCCAGCCTTGTTGCCCTCCAGCCCAACTACGTATTCCCTTCCCCTCACTCATTTGGTTGCAGCCACAATGGCCACCTTTCTGCTCCTCAAACCTAGCCAGAACTTCCCTGCCTTGGGGCCTTTGCACCTGCTGCCCCCTGCCTTGCCTTCTCCTTAGAGAAGCCTTTCCTGAAGCCCTCATCTAAAAGACTCTCTCTGTGCCCCACTCCATCCATGTTACTGTGCTCCATGTTTCTTTGTATCGCTCATCACTACCCAGTATGATGTCCCATATTTGTTTATGACATGTCACCCAGAGTAGAATGCAAGCTCAATAAGGACATAGATTTTTGCCTTATTCTATGCCCAGGCCCTGGAACATTTCTCGGTTATAGCAGGTGCATAATAAATATTTGTTGAAAAAATAATTGGAGAAAGGAAGGAAGAAAAGAAGGAAAGGAGAAGGGAGAGAGTGATGGAAGGAAAGGGAGGAAAGAAGACAAAATGAAGGCAGGAAAGAAGGGAGGAGAAAGGAAGAAAGGGAAGATTGATTTTCTGCATGTTTTTCAGGAGCTGCCCTGTACCACGTGAATGAAAAGAACAGGGTCTTTATCCGTGTGGTTCTTTCCTGAACGGTTTTCCCGGAATCCAAGCCTGAATAGAATGTGCACAGTGATGTTGTGAGTGTTGAGAGCAAGGCAGGGGCAGTTTTCAGCTGCTTCTGTGCCAAATGCCTTCCCCAGCAAGGACTGGTCTCACTACTGATGAGGGGCTTGCAGGGGCCATGGGGGAGCTTCACAGTGGAGGGGTAATTCCAGTTCAGGGTCTTGAATGTCTACTCCTTTGGCTCATGAGGCAGAAAAATATTGCCTCAGGAAACTCTAGACCATCACAAATTATGTCTAAAATGCCATAAAGTCCAAGATATCCCCAGACCATTTCCCTGTGGGTTTTTATCATATTCAATAATTGTGATGGGCCCAAATCTCTCTGGTTGCTTCACTCACTGGCCACACACAGGCCCTCCAGAAACACTCAAAGTCTCATGTAGTTTGTTCTTGGAGTCTCTGGGCAGTGCTCAGTAGATGATCAAGCATGTTCTTAGGGCAACCAATGGTTGCAGAGAAAGAATTTGGTATTGTAATAAAAGCATTTGATAGGTCATCTATGGGAAATGAACTTTGTTGGACTTACTGATTTGTTTGAATTGTTCAGTATTGCTTTTAGCTTGATTTACACAAGAGATCCGCCTCGTCTCACCTCGTCCTTGCCTAAAGGGCTGGTATCCATGGAGCTCAGATGCAGGTCTGTGTGTCCTCACTCTCGCCCCTTCCAGGCCTTTCTATGGGAAGCTGCCCCACCTCCACCTGGGCCTCCCCCACCCTCATGAATTCATGTCAGGGGAGACCATTATTTGGCCTGCAGCCTCATAGCTGGGAACTTAACCATTCTCGCGGTGGGACCTCTGATTCCCCATGCTCCTGACTGTGGCATGGGAAACAAGTGTTGTGCATTCTGGGAGTAACTCCCCAGGGCCCAGCCTCCAGCCCACTCCTCCACATGCTTTCGTGAGTGTGTAATTCCCTGTCTTCAATCCCTTTCTGGCTAGTGTGGTTTCTGCTTCCTGCTCTGAACCCTGACAGATAGGACATGCCTGTTCCGTTTCATTCCTACAATACCTTTGAGGTAGGCATTTATGTCCTGCTTCCAGAGGAGGAATCTGAGCCTCAAATAACATACAGACACAGGCCATCTGTGACAGAATTCAGTTTCCAAAGGGTCAGCTTGTAACTGCCCAATTGCTCTGCTTCACCTGAACAGAAAGAATGAGGGAGGCAAAAAACATCAGGACAGAAGGAGAAAGAAGCTCTGCAATGCTAGGTAGTCCCTTTATCAAGCAGAGGGGAAAGAAACTCTGCAATATCTAGTTAGTCCCTTCGTTCTCCCCACAACACCGGGCTTTCTTCTCCCTAAACTCCAGCATGACCAGACTGCCTGAAAGCACGCGCACACCCCAGCTGTCAAATTCATTCCCTGCTCTAGGAATACAAGAGGGCAAACAGGGACCCTAACATCCCAGAGAGTTCTAGAAAATTGCTTGTGGAACTTCTACATCAACTCTTATGGCTTTATTCATGTGTGTCCTTCACTTACTCACCAGGCTCAGATAATTTCTCTTATCCTCTGAAATCTGATAGTTGTCTAGATAGTTCACCTGTGGTTTCATTACATTTTCCTTATGGTGTGGTTACTTGCATATGGATCATACCTCTTCTAACAAACTGGAACTACATCTTACCCTTGTGTTTCCTATTCATTTATTAGTGCACATTTAATGAGTATCCACCATGTGCCAGGCACTGTGCTCGGCACTGAGAATTCAGAGATGAGCAAGACATGGTCCTCAGAGTCAAGGAGCTCCTGGTCCGGTGGGGACAGGTAGATGCTGTATAATACAACATAAGCGTAGAAATAGAAAGATGCTGAAGGGGCTGGGGCAGGGGCTGGTGATTGCAAGGTGAGGTTTTGAAGTGTGGGTGGGAGTTTTTCAGACAAGGTAGGGGAGGGCATTGCAGGCACAAGGAAAAGCATGTGCTTGGAGGAATTTGGGATGGCCTGAGCTCAGGTTGGGTAGGAGAAGCATGGAGAGAGGAGGCAAAGGGAAGGTCACAAAGGAGGGAGCCAGAAAGGGCTCAGAAGGCGTTTGGCATAGGTAGGTGCTGGTGATTGCTTTTTGCATGATAAAATGAATTATTTTATTATTATTAATGTGTTACTGCTCCTCTTTTGCAAGGCAAAGAAGCTTTAGCTCTGTGAATTGCCTGAGCTCTGTTGAGGGCAGAGCCTGTGTGAGCCATCCATCATGGTGAGAGCATGTCCATGAATGCTGGGGGAGGGAAGGGGTGAATGAATAGAGTCTAGAGAGGGAGAGGGAAGGAAGACTGCCACCCACGAAGCCTCCAGCAGACAGCCAAGCTGCTCTTTAATTGGGGCTCCATTTATCACGCTTTCTATGTATTCAATTTGTGGGTCTTGATTTGGCTCTTACGGAGCTTGCCTCATTCCTAACTTCAAAGCCTGTGTTTTTATTAAAGCCTCTGAAATTTTTTTGGCCCTGCAATTTTGGTTTCTTCCCATTGTCCTTTATCATCCTGGCAAAGAGGCTGAGCTGTGTGTCCTACTTTGGGCTCCGAAATGTGAACCACATGCTGCCCCTTACAGCTTCCCAGGCAGGCAGCAGGGCTCCGTGGCCTTGGTGCAAGCCACTGAGATACTGTCTTTCTACTTTATTTTTTATTTTATTTTATTTTATTTTGAGACCAAGTCTTACTCTGTCATCCAGGCTGGAGGGCAGTGGCATGATCATAGTCACTACAGCCTCAAACTCCAGGGCTCAAGTAATCTTCCTGCCTCTGCCTCCTGATTAGCTAGGACCACAGGTACATGCTACCATACTCGGCTAATTAAAAAAATAATTTATAAGGATGGGGTCTTGCTATGTTGTCCAGGCTGGTCTCAAACTCCTGGCCTCAAGCAATCCTCCTGCCTCGGCTTCCCAAAGCACAGGACTTACAGGGTGTGAGCCACCATGCCCGACCTTCTACTTTTTGAGATAGGCGTGTATTGCTACAAACTTCCCTGTTAGTATTACTTTTGCTTTGTCTCATAGATTTTGATATGTTTTATTTCTATTTTTATTTGTTTGAAGACTTAAAAAAAGTCCTTCTTAATTTCTTCATTGACCTATTGGTCATTCAGGACCATGCTGTTTAATTTCAATGTGTTTGTGTAGTTTCTGAGGTTCCTCTTGTTGCTGATGTCTGTTTTATTATATTGTAATCAGAAAAGATGCTTGATATGATTCCTACTTTTTTGAATATTTTCATCAGAATTTTGTGGCCTAAGATATGATCTATTCTGGAGAATGTTCCATATGCTGATGAAAGGAATGTGTATTCTGTAGCAGGTGGGTGAATTTTCTGTAAATGTCAGTTAGGCCCATTAGGTCTAGTGTGTAGTTTACCTCTGCTGTTTCTTTGTTGATTTTCTCTGTGGATGATCTGTCCATTACTGAGAGTGGAGTGTTAAAGTTCCCAACTATTATTGTGATGTAGTCTATCTCTCCCTTTAGATCTATTAATGTTTGCTTTATATAGTGGAGCTCTGGTGTTGGGTGCATAGATATTTATAATTCTTACATCCTCTTGCTGAATCGACCCCTTGATCGTTATATAGTGACCTTCTTTGTCTCTTACACACAGTCTTTCATTTGTAGTCTATTTTATCCGATACAAGTATAGCCACTCCTGCTCATTTTGGTTTCCAGTTGCATGGAATATGTTTTTTCACTCCTTCACTCTCAGGCAGTGTGTTTCTTGTAGGTGAAGTGGGTTTCTTGCAGGTAGAAGATAGTTAGTCTTGCTTCTTTTTCCATTCAGCCACCTTATGGCTTTTAATTGGAGAATTGAGTTCATTTATATACAGTTTTATTATTGTCATTTTGTTGCTTGTTTTCTGGTTGTTTTGCAACTCATCTCATCCTTTCTTTATTTCTTCCTGTCTTTGTGGTTAAATGATTTTCCCTGGTAGTATGTTTTGATTCATGCTTCTCATTTTTAGTGAATCTATTATAGGTTTTTTGCACTGTGGTTACCATGATGCTTACATAAAACATCTTGTAGGTATAACGAGTTATTTTAAAGCAATGAAAACTTATCTTATATCACAAAGAAAAGAATAGAAACAAAGAAAAAACCAAAACCAAAAAAATGCACTTTAACTCCATCCCTCTCTTGCATTTTGACTTTTAATTGTCTCAACTTACATATTTTTATATTACCTGTCTCTTACCAGGTTGCTGTAGCTGTTATTGTTTTTTCTATATTTGTCTTTTGGGCTTTATACTAGAATTATGAATGAATTGTGCACTGCATTTATAGTGTTATAATATTCTGGGCTTGCATGTATACTTAACTTTACCAGTGGGTTTTATACTTTCAAATGTCTTCTTTTTGCACATTAGTGTTTTTTTCTTCCAAACTGAAGAATTCTCTTTAGCATTTCTTATAAGATGGGCCTGGTGGTAGTGAATTCTCTCAGCTTTTGTTTATCTGGGAAAGGCTTTGTATCTCCTTCATATTCGAAGGAAAGCTTTGCTGCAATCAGCATTCTTAGATGACAGTTGTGTGTTTTGTTTTGTTTTGTTTTCCAGCAGTTTGAAAATGTCCTTTACTCCTTCCTGGCCTATATGATTTCCATTAATAAATTTGTTGCCAAATGAATTGGAGCTCCCTTATATGTTATTTGCTTTTTCTTTTTTTGCTGCTTTTGGATCTTCTCTTTGTCCTTGACCTTTGAGAATTTGACTATTATATGCCTTGGAGTAGTCTTGTTTGGGTCAAATCTATTTGGTATTCTCTGACTTTCCTAGACTTGGATATTTATACCTTCCTGAAGTTTAGGAAGGTTTCCTGTGATTATTTTTTTAAATAAATTTTCTACCCCTTGCTCTTGCTTAACTCTCTCTTGAACACTAATAGTTCTTAGATCTGGTCTTTTGAGGTAATTTTCTATATCTTGTAAGTGGTCTTTATTTTTTTCATCATGTTTTCTCCTGTGATTGTGTATTTTCTAATAGCCTGTCTTCAAGCTCACTGATTCTTTCCTTTGCTTGATCCATTCTGCTGTTGAGAGCCTCTAATGAATTTTTCAGTTCAACAAATATATTTATCAGTTCCAAGATTTTTGTTTGATTTTAAAAATTATTTCAATCCCCTTGTCAAATTTCTCTGATAAATTTCTGAATTGCTTTTCTGTGTCATCTTGGAGATCACTGTTTCCTTAAAACTGCTACTTTGATTTCTTTGTCAAAGAGCTCTCGTTATCACTCTCTCATTAGGGTCAGTCACTGGTTCCTTGCTTTGTTCATTTGGGGAGGTCATAGGTCCCTGTTTGCTGTTGCTTCTTTGTATGTCTTTGTCTTTGCATTGAAGGATTATTTATTTATTCCAGGCTTCTCTCTCTGGCTTGTTTCGGTTTTTATTAGATATATTTTCTTAGAGATTCTTTACCACTAGGTCACTGGCGTCTTTTGGCTCTAGGTGGCACCTTAATCCCAGCTTCGTCTCGGCTTTAGTGAACTACGAGAGTGCTACCCAACCCAAAAGGGGGAGATCTGAAATGGAATAACATAACGCAGCAGTGTGGGAAGGCTGGGTTCATGCCCCTGGGGCTTTGTTGTTGTTGAATAGCTACTCTGTTTTGGCATCTCCTTTGGCCAAGTTATAGAGCAGAGTTGTCAGAGCTGAGGTTGGTAGTTCCACCTCCCCGCTTTATCTCTGCCTGTCTTCAGGGATATTTCTCTCCTCTGGCACTTACAATGCTTCCTCTGGTACTTGTGATGGGTTAAGGAGGGACTTATGCTGCCTTGACTCATTTTGCTCCTCTGGCACTTGCGATGGGTTAAGGCAGGGACAGTTGCCTTGCTGGGAAACCTAAGATGTTGGGAAAAATTGGTTGTCCATCTTGATCTCACTTTTCCCAGTATAGAAACCATGAGTTGGGGGGAAATTTTTCTTGTGCTTGGTTCCACAGAATGGGGGAAGGGTTGTCACAGATGCAGAAGTATGATTCTCTTACTATTTACTTGGAGTATTTTCACTTCCCTGTGGTCTTGGAGAATGTGTCTCATTCTCATATATTAGTTTTGTGTTATTGCTGGTGATAATCTCAGGATTGTATATTTGTTTTTTGTTTTCTGGGTGGCAGACAGAGGGGAGTAAAGCCAACTTGATTTTATGCTATCATTTTGAGACCAGGAGTCACTATTTTCTCTATTTTATTTATTGCTACCTTAATCTTTATTATTTTTTCTTTTTGCCATCTTTTGGGTTAGCTTCTTTCTTGTTTTCTAGGGCTTTTTCTTTTTGGTCTTTTTTTCTCTAGTTCCTTACATTGTAATGTTAGGCTGTTGATTTGAGATCTTTCTTCTTTTTCAGCATAAGTGTTTGTAGATATAAATTTCCCTACTAGCATTGCTTTTGCTACTGTCTGTAAGTTTTGTGTGTTGCATTTTCATTTTCTTTGGTTTCAAATATTTTCCAATTTCCTTTGTGATTTCTTCTTGGAAATCACAAGGTTTGGATGTCAAAACTTGTGTTTCTAAACTCCACATATTTGTGAATTTTCCAGTTTTCTTTGTGTTTTTGATTTCTAATTTTATTCCATTGTGATCAGAAAAGCAATTCTGTGTAATTGCTTTTTATAATTTCAATCTTTTAAAAAGTATTAAGATGAGTTTTGTGGTCCAACATATGGTCTATCCTGGAGAATGTTTCATGTGCATTTGAGAAAAATGTGTATTCTGCTGCTGTTTAGTGGAGAGTTCTGCATATATGTCTGTTAGGTCCAATTGCTCTATAGTGTCATTCAGGTCCTCTGTTTCCTTATAATCTTCTGTCTCATTGTTTTATCCATTACTGAAAGTGGAGTATTGAAACTTGCAACTACTAATGTTGAGCTCTCTATTTCTCCTTTCAGTGCTGTCATTGGTTGCTCCATATATTTTGGAGCTCTAAAGTTTGGTGTATATATTTTTATAACTGTTATGTCTTCTTGGTGAATTGACTCTGGTAGCAGTTTTCAGCTTAAAATATATCTGATATTAATTTAGCCACCCTAAGTGTATCACGGGATCTAAAGTTAGTCTCTTGTAAGCAGCATTCATTTGGATTTTTTTTTTCTATTCTGCCAATCTATGCAATTTTGATTGGGAACTTGAATCCATTTGCATTTAAAATAATTACTGTTGGGGAAGGACTTGTATTTGTCATTTTGCTATTTGTATTCTGTATATTTTATAGCTTTTTTGTTCCTTATTTTATCCCTTACTATCTTCCTCTATGTTTAGTTGTTTTTTTTTTTAAAGTGACACATTTTGATAGCCTTCTCATTTTTTGTATGTATATTCTACAGATATTTTCTTCATTGTTATCATGGATATTACATAAAATATCCTAAAGTTATAACAACCTATTTTGATTTTATACTTACTTAACTTAAATTGCATACAAAAATCTCTATTCCTATACAGTTGTGTCCCCTGTCTGCAGTTTATGTTACAAATTACATCTTCATGCATTGTGTACTTGTTAACATAGAATTATAATAACTTTTGTGCTTTTGATTTTTTTAAACCTATAAGAACAAAAAGTAGAGTTACAAACCAAAATTATAATAATACTATTACATTCGCTGATATATTTACCTTTACTGGATATCTTTATATCTTTATATGGAGACGAGTTACTAACATCCTTTTGTTTCAACCTGAAAGGCTCCCTTTAGCATTTATTATAGGACAGACCTAGTAGTAATAAACTCCATCTACTTCTGTTTATTTGAATATGTCTTAATTTATCCCTCCTTTTTGGACAGTTTTTCCAGATACAGAGCCGGGCGCGGTGGCTCACGCCTGTAATCCCAGCACTTTGGGAGGCCGAGGTGGGCGGATCATGAGGTCAGGAGATCGAGACCATCCTGGCTAACACGGTGAAACCCCGTCTCTACTAAAAATACAAAAAATTAGCCGGGCAAGGTGGAGGGTGCCTGTAGTCCCAGCTACGCGGGAGGCTGAGGCAGGAGAATGGTGTGAACCCGGGAGGCGGAGCTTGCAGTGAGCTGAGATGGTGCCACTGCACTCCAGCCCGGGCAACAGCGAGACTCCGTCTCAAAAAAAAAAACAAAAAACAAAACAAACAAACAAAAAAAAGAATTATCTATATCATCCCACTGCCTTCAGGCCTCCAAGGTTTCTGCTGAGAAATTGGCTAATAATCTTATTGATGATTCTTTATGTGTGACATGTCACTTTTCTCTTGCTGCTTTCAAGATTCTCATTCTCTGTCTTTGGCTTTCAAGAGTTTCATTATGTGTCTCTGTGTATCTTTGGGTTTATGATACTTGGTGTTTATTGGGCTTCTTGGATTTGTAAATTGATGTCTTTCCTCAAATTTGGGTAGTTTTCAGCCATTATTGCTTCAGATAATTTTTGCCTTTTTCTATCTTCTTCTTTTTTTTGGAATCCCAGAATGTAAATGTTGGCCCATTAATGGTGTCCTCTTAGGCTTTGATCACTTGTCATCTTTTTAATGCTTTTAACTGCTTACACTTGATAATTTCAAATGTCCTATTTTCAAGTTTGCTGATTTTTATTTTTTATTGCCATCTCAAATTTGCTGTTGAATTACTCTAGTGACTTCTTTAATTCAGTTATTATATATTTTAGATGCAGGATTTCTTTTTGGTTCTTTTTATAATTTCTATCTCTTTGTTAAAATTCTTATTTTGTTCATGTATTATTTTTCTGATTTCTTTTAGTTCCTTGTGTTTTCCTTGAGCTCTTTGAACATATTTATGAACAAATTTTTTAAGCCTTTGTCTAGAAAGTCTGATGTCTGTGTTTCCTCAGGGATGGCTCCTAGAAGTATATTTTGTTCCTTTGAATGGGTCATATTTTTCTATTTCCTTGTATACTTTGTGATTTTTTTGTTGTTGTTGTTGTTGTTGTTGAAAATTGGGCAGTTGAAAAACAGCCACCTTTAACAGTCTTTGCAGATTGGCTCTGTGCCAGGGCATTCCTCTACTCATTACCTGGGCATGATTTGACCCTTGGAATCAGCCCAAGGTGAAGGCTTAGGTCCTCTCAGGTTTTTTCTGAGCATAATGTGTGGCTTTTTCAGTCTCCCTGTGTATATGTGTATTAGTCCATTTTCATGCTGCTGATAATGACATACTCGAGACTGGGTAATTTATAAAGAAAAAGAGGTTTAATGGACTCACAGTTCCACATGGTTGGGAAGGCCTCACAATCATGGCAGAAGGTGAAAGGCATGTCTTACATGGCAGCAGACAAGAGACAGAAGTGAGAACCAAGTGAAACGTGTTTCCCCTTATAAAACCATCAGATCTTGTGACACTTATTTGCTACCATGAGAACGGTATGGAGGAACCGCCCCCATGATTCAATTATCTCCCACTGGATCCCTCCCACAACACGTGGGAATTATGGGAGCTACAATTCAAGATGAGATTTGGGTGGAGACACAGCCAAACCATATCAACATAGTTGATTTTCACTGTCTTAATTTTCCAAAGAGTATCACCTAATTTCTCTTAGAGGCCTTATGTGATGTATTGTATGCCTCCATTTGTACTTTCTTGCCCCAGGTACCTGCAAGTCTGTAGTCCCCCTGCAGGTTTTATGAGCTATGCCTGCTACTCTTGGCCACTTTTCCTAGCCTCGGATCCAAGCTATGCCACTTTTCCACCTGAGCTCCAAGTTAGGCAACACAGGGTGCAGCCCTGCTGGCAGCAGCCCCCAGACAGGTTAAAACATTCAAGTAACTTCTGCTCTGTACTCCCTGGTTCCAGAGAGGGAATTGTGAACTGGGTTGCTATCTTCTCCAGACCAAGACTGCACCAATGCTGGGGAGAGGAGGGAACTAGGGTGAGTAAAAACATCACACAATTTCCAACTGTTTTTAATGTGTTTTTTTTTCTTGATCAGGCATTTGTTTAGTCGCCATTGACTTTTGGCTATTTTCCAAAGCTCTCACAAAATTTTAGTTGGGTGCTTTTTGTTTTTTAAATGTTTCTGTGGGGAAATGATACCTGAAGCTTCTTAGTCTTGTCATTTTTTTAAACTAATGCTTTTAATTTGTCTTCTTGTTGATATCTGTATTTATAATTTTATATAAAGAACAGCAATTTCTCTTATAATGAGAAAAGGTAAAAATTGCTGAGAAAGAGACTATTATGAGAAGGGATCTCACTTAGAATAGCAACCAAAGAAATATAAACTGCATGGGAATAGACCTTACAACAGATGCTTATGAACCCAAATAAAACTATATGTTACATAGGAGTTAAATCACAAACTGAGCTCTCACCTGAAATCTTGTACAGTCAACATAAACACAATATCACATCAAGCACCCTGAGATGCCTACACCATGAGAGATGCTGAGAATAATCTCTCATTTCACTCCAGGATGTGCTCCGTAAGTGGACCATGGGCAGAGTCCCCCACACTGCTTAAATTCTCTGTCCTTTAAATACATGTAGTTAATTTACATCATTATTTAAATGTATATTTGTTTAGTCTTCAGTCTATATAAATAAGATTACAAAAGGTTATAAACAGATATAAAAGATGACTTGAATAAATGGCAAGACATACCATATTTTTAAATAAAAGATAATGTATCATGAATAGTTTATCCTTTCCCATTCATAGATTGGCAAGATGCAGTTCCAATAAAACATATACAGGATGTTTTGCAGGCAACATGACAAAACAATTCGAAATCTTACATGACAAAAGAGCTAAATCAGGAAAATGAAAGATGACTCTGAAAAAGGAGAGTATGGAGCAAGGGGCAATACCTTCCTGGTATTAAGTCACACTGGTAAAGTTACAATAATTTAAAATTGTGGCACTGATTCAATGATAGCAATGTCAATAGAATGGAATAGATTGTATAGAAATAAGCTTTTATATTTAAATTGAGTAGTTCATAAAATAGACATTATAATTTAGAAAAAGAACCAAAATTACCTATCAATGTGTTAAATAACAGATTAACGTTTTGTAATAAAGTGCTACTTAGACCATTATTTTTATTATAAACCAAAATAAATTCAAATCAAATATTAGGAAAGATTGGAAATTTGAATTAAATATTTATCAGAGCTTTTGTGGAGGAAGAATTTATAAATTTAAAAGTAATGAAAGAAGTTCACAGGTCAAAATTGCAATTGATTTTATGCAAACAATCTCAACTGCCATTAAAATGATATGCAAAATAAAGACAAAAAACACTGGAAAAGATTGTCAGTAAATTTTATTGAGAAAAGTTTAGTATCTTTATTATATAAAGTGTTCATCTAATGATGGAAAACATCAAAAACTCCATCAATTACCAAATAATAATTTATAATTTATAAAGTAGGAATTGCAACTAATTAATAAACATAAAAAATATTTAACCTTGCAAATGATCTCAGAAATGAAAGATTAAATAAAACTTAGGAACACTACTTCATCCCTTAAATAAGCTAAAATAAATAGTTTTGTTCATTTTAGGAATAATTAATGTTTTATTTAACCCATGTTAAAAATATCCTCCATCATACTATGCAGCCATAAAAAGGAATGAGATCATGTCCTTTACAGGGACATGGATGGAGTTGGAAGCCATTATCCTCAGCAAACTAACACAGGAATAGGAAAAAAACCACCACATGTCCTCACTTGTAAGTGGGAGATGAACAATGAGAACATATGGACACAGGGAGCGGAACAATGCACACTGGAGCCTGTCGGGGGGTGGGGTAGGGGGAGGGAGAACATCAGGATAAATAGCTACTGCATGCTGGGCTTAATACCTAGGTAATGGGTTGATAGGTGCAGCAAACTACCATGGCACACGTCTACCTATTTAACAAACCTGCACATCCTGCACTTAAAATAAAATAAAATAAAATTTAAAAAATGTTCCTCCTTCAGAATTTTATAAACAATCCAGAATTAGGTATATAAAAGTAGTCACAATCTTAGAACTCAGTGGATTTTTTTCCTTAAGTCTGAATCCCTTTAAGTTTAATAACAGCACTCCTGATTTTCCTTCTCTGTAAGGGAGAGAATGGGTCTTTGGAGTGTTGGATAATGACATTACACAGTGGTAGAAAAATTATCCTAGCAATATGAATAGCTTTTTCCATAGCTGTATATACCTGTGTATATATGTATGTGTATATATATATATGTGTGTATGTGTGTGTGTGTGTAAATGCATACATTTTGTGTTTTATTTTTTCTTTTTTTAAAAAATAAATGTTTTTAATGGTGGTGCCAAATGCTAAGGTAGAGTGTAAATGATATTTATACTTATTACTGATGGTATTATAAAGCAATATATGTTAATCATGATGAGTTAGGCTATGCCGCTATAACAAGTAACATAAAAATATCAGTGGCATAACAAAGAAGCTTATTTTTCACTCTTGCAAAGCCCATTGGGTGCTTGTTGTAGCTGTCTTCCATCTGGTGAGTCAGGGGTCCATGCTACTATCTTAATGTATGGCTATTAGTTCTGCTTTGCTAGGTAGAAGGGAGGCATGGAAACACCTCTCTTAAGTGTATGTTAGACATGTGTCATTTCCCCTCATAGTCCATTGGCCAGAACTAATCACATGACCCTAAACTAATTACAAGGAGGTTAGAAATGTAAGGGAGTATATTAAGTATTTAGTGAACACTATTTCTGACACAAGGTACAGCCCTTTTGGAAATCAATTTACAGCATAAATCAAATGCACTAGTAATTTTACTTCTAAATATGTATCCTTGGGAAATAAAAAAAATGGTAAAATCTACATATATAAAAATGGTCA
The DNA here is from genome assembly GCF_000001405.40 of Homo sapiens. NCBI lineage: Eukaryota > Metazoa > Chordata > Mammalia > Primates > Hominidae > Homo > Homo sapiens. The sequence continues at coordinate 35,470,477 of NC_000007.14, read as the reverse complement.
TCACTCCACAACTTCATTATTACCATCTACAAAATGGTAATCCATTGCCCTATTAGGGCAATAAATTTGACCCAGGCTGCAAGGTGACTAGAAAGGTACACTTGGAACACACCTTCATGCCAAGATAGGATCTACCAGAAATAAGTTGCTCTTCACTAAATCTCCTCTCACAACCCCATCACCTATTATGTCATGTGCATTTTACATTCTGAACTTGGCTCCCGACCCTGGAGTTCTTTCCAGTGGGTGCAGGGCATCTTCCACTGTGATTTTCGACAATGACCCTGGCTTTGACCTTGACATCACCCTTGCTTCATGTCCTGGATTTGGTGTTTGATTGAGACACTGGCAGCCTGAGAGTCACCAATGGCCTTTGTGCTTTGTTTGACCTACACGGTGTTTTGAAAATGTTTGAAATCATAGCCAACACTTAAACCTGGGAAATTTCGCATATATATCCAGATTTTATGCTTTTTTTCAGAAAAAAGGGAAAGCCTGATAACCTGTACCGTGCAGTGTTTAGGCTGCACAGCTTGTCACGGTGGAGCCCTCTCTATCTTAATCCTTTTCTGCTCTGCTCACTCAGCCGTGGGCCCTGGAGATTGCTACTCCTTGCTCAGGACAGTTACTCCACTTGTCCACCACCACATTGGGTAGATTTACTTTCCTGCCATTTCTGTGACTTCTCATTGCCCTCAAGAGCACCTTTATTATGATTAACAATGGCCCAAATGATATGCCAGCTTCTTCAGGCTACCCTGCAAAGGCCCCTGGGGACCAGACCTTTGCATCTTTAAGGAAGTCCAAGTCCACAATTTCTTCCTTGGTCCTCTGCAACCTGCACCCAATCTTCTATCTCTGGGGTCACCTCTTCTGTTGGAGCCCCAGCAAATGGCAGCTGATTGGCCTTCTCCTGGCAGGCACAAGTGGGTGCTAATGAATGGAAGAATGTGCTGTCCTTACACCTGATAATGAGGTAATTGAACCCCCACCTCTTCTCTCTGCACCCTCAGTGTTTCTTTTTATGTTTCTTTTTCTTACACTTGACTGAGAGCTCACAAAAGGCTTAGATGTTATTCCAAGGTGCAAAGTTCCCACACTGGTGTCATGACCGAAAACATATATTTAAATAACACACTGAGGCATGTGATGCTGGTACTGCCTGACCACAATAAAACAAAGGGCTGAGATGTCCTTCTGTCTGTCCACCTGCCCTTCCATCCATCCATCCTTCCAGGCAGCATTTATTTGATGCCTTTCTCTGCCAGACCCTTTTATGTACTGTTATCCTCACAATGCCAGAAGGATAGCCCCATTTCATTGATGAGAAAACTGAGGCTTGGGGAATTCAAAAAAATGTGCCCAAGGTCTTGTAACTTAGAGATGAAAATTTAAACTCTAAAGCCTAAGACCATTACAATGAATATTCTGCCCTGAAGAAGTTCATGATCTGATAGAGACATATTTTAGGTGCGATGACTATTAATTCATTCTAAATTTCATGTTATAAATTCTTACTGTCACTTCAGTTATTTGAAAGCTTTTGCCAAAAGCCCTTGAGGGATGACATTGTCCAGATAATGACTTGACAGCCTCAGAATGTGGACTATCCTAGTAGTAATAACATCAAAGCCTTGAAAGTGTGCCTGGCAGTGTGCTTCATGGACATATTCATTTGTGAAGCTCTCCCTGGGCTTGCCCTCTCGCACATTCCAAACGAGTCCTTAGGCTCTTGTATTTCCTTGCCTTGGGGAATTTTTGCACGCAGCACGTAAACAAAAACTGCTGGAAGTCTATGATTCCTCCTGTGTTCAGTAAATGCTTATGGCAGATTGGGTAGAGGAGGTGGAGAAAAGAGGGATTCTAAGGGTCAAAGAAGGACAAGAGAAAGCTTACCCCCATCCTGGGGAGAGGTCTCTGGTCAGTGAATGGCACAAATAGTGTGGGATCCAGTCCCACCCTATGGCAGCCCCTGGGGAGGTGGCCGGACTGTGAGAACATGGCTCTGTGGGACCCCTGGAGGCTTGTGTCTGTGCAAGACTCAAAAACATACAAGGTCCTGGATGGGAGCTGGGAAGAGGGTCGTCTCAAACATAGCTGTGAACAAATTTCCTGCCAACCCAGGAGAATAGGGCCTTACTATCAGAAGGCAGATGATTACAAAAATTGCACACTTTATTGTGCCAGCGTTTCTCCCTAAAACGCTCAGAATGAAGAATTCTTGCTACTTCTTTTTTGCTTCCTGAATCAAAGCCAAATTTCTCAGAGTGCTTTTCGGGTCCTTTCCCTCTCGCAAACTGATCTTTACTTCTAGTGGAATCCCTGCTGCCATCAGTACTTTGGACTCCATATTCCAGCCACTGGGACTTGTTGGCAGATTTCTCTGTGTTCTCTCCTGCCTCCGTGCCTTTGCACGTCCGGTTCCCTCTGCCCACTGAGCTCTTCTGTTTTCAGAAGTCTCATCTTTCAAGGCCTTGGAGGAGCCTTCCCAGACCTCCCTTCCCAGCACACCCACATGCACACACGTATGCCAATAGCAGAATTAATCATTCCCACCTTTATGCCTGGTGGCATTTTATTGTTTGATCAAAGCTAGGAATTTAGGGCTCATTTCCCCAAGTGGCTGTGAGCACCTTGAAGTCTGGTGCTGTGTCTGAGTGATCCATGGTTCCCCAGGACCTAGCACAGGGCAAGGCACACAGAAGGTGATTCAGCAAATATTTACAGGATGACTATGTTGGAGCATGAGCGAAAGGACTGGGGGCTGTGGAGTGGGTGCTCCACACTCAATGCTTGCCATGGATAGTCAGTTCTGAGCAGGGCTCTCCTCTGACCAGGACAGAGGGATGCTGTATCAAATAGCACTACTTGGCTGCGGTCCCACTGGCAGGAAAGTATTTTAATGTCTTGGTTTGATGATGATTCTGGTGTTCATTGCATTCTTTTGTTTTATACCTTTTACTGATCTTTTTTTTTTGTTTCCCCTAAACTTGAGACTTTCATAAACAAAGAAATGGGTATTAATTAGGTGCCTGGTTCGGGTTATATCACAATGCTATGATTCAGTATCATCCATCCCCATCTTAGGGATGAGTCAAGCCATGCTCAGAGAGGTTAAGTAACTTTCTCACATCCTTACTGTGAATAGGGGCCAGGTGCAAACTCAGACTTGCCTTATCCATCAGGTACCAGTGTTGATGTCTCAGTGGAAAGAAGTACCCTCAATCAGGATAATTTGAGAGGTGTTTATGCACAAAGGCACTAAATACATGCCATGGGTGGGTAGGGGGAAGCAGAGGGGGTACTGCAAGGACCTGGGGCTAGCAGCAGCAAAGGACCTAAAAAGAGAGACTTCGGGGAAGCGCACGAGCGTCCCTGCCCCAGTTCCAGCCAGCCTCCAGCAGCCTCTTGCTGTTTCTCCCTCCTATCTACTGGGATCCCCACCAGCCGGACTTGGAGGGCAGGAGCCCATGGATGAGGCCCTCAGAGGTCTGCCTCTATGGCAGAAAAAAGGTGGAGCAGGAGGAAAAATGAATCTAGAAGGACCAGCAGAAGACAGCTGCACACCAGCCCCATCTCACACAGCTAGGCAGAGCAACGTGACATGTTGGGGTCCGGACACCAAACCAGGCCCTCTGGCTACCAGGGTATGTTCTTACAGAATTCTAATGACTGTGGGCCTTTAACAGCAGGTCACGTTCCCACCCAGCATAGTTGCCACTCTGCTTGGGAGGCCTCAGTGGCTCCTGATGGTCCAAGACTGAGTGATGGAGACCAGGAGAGGGGCTGCTGCCTCCTGTTTAAAAGAGACAGGCACCATAGGAGAAGATCCAGTGGCCCTTTTGGGTCCCATGTCTTCCGAGCATGATTTTCCTTTGAGCGAGAAGAGTGGCAGGCAGCAGTCCTCAATTTTTTTTTCTCTCTCCCCACCCCCAGCTCCTCACATCCATCCCATTTGAGAAGAGAAGGGCAGCAGCGTTGTCTTTCCATCAATTTCTCTGGTACTTGATTCCCTCACCTTTTCTCCTTCTTAATCTTCCTGTGGCTCCTAAAAGGATTAATTAGAAAGATGTGAGCAGGGGTTGGAACGTCAGAAAACAATCGTCACTTTCCTATCTGACCTCTCTCACCAGCTGCAGAATTAACAAATTGAATGTTCTCAGCAGACAGGGGTGGCACATGATGCCGAGTTCATGGCGGGCCTGGCCGGGGCCTGTGCGGAGCCCCATTTAAACAACTCTTGCTGATTAAATTCCTCCCGGGCACTCCCGCCAGATGCTGTTAGAAAATACTCACATCCAAGAGGTTTTTAATTTTTTTTAAGCATGTGCCAATTATTTGCCTGCTATCTGCAGGTGCTGGCAAGCGTCACAGGCCGGCCTCGCTGTCTACACTCTTATCCACTCGGCGCCTGCCTGGGGGGCTCACGTCGTCGGGAATGGGATGCTGGGCTCTGCTAGGGGCTGTCAAAAGCTCTCCAGCCACCCTGCGTGGCTGCCTTCCCTGCCCCCAGCCCAGCCCCCAGAGCCTCACCTTCTGAAGCTCACAGCTCTCTAGAATGTTTCAAGGTGACAACACAGACCGGGTGACCTGCTGGAAGTGGGGCCCACAGGGGCAGGCATGCAATCGTGCCTGGGCCCGTGCCAGCTGCCTCTCAGCCAGGCTGTGCTTCAGACCTGAGCCAAACAGGGACATAAAATCGCCACCTCCATGAGCAGGGGGAGGGTGCTTGGCCCTTGCTCACAGGCCCCTTTAAAATATGTCCCAAAAAGCAGCCCCACTCCTGCTCCCACTTCAGCCATCTTGATTACTTTGTTTATGTCTTGCTTGATGCTTAATGAAAACCAAAGTGTTCTTAGCAGTTTTAACAAATGCCAATTAATGTCTAAAAGCAAGGGTGCAAAATATAAGCTACAGAATTTTTATCCATGCTCATATATTTTAATGAGGGTAATAGAAACATTTGACCAACAATAAACTTTGTACTGTGTTCTACGGTAACCACTGCCTCCCTTGCCCCTTCAGACCTAGGGGTGGTATCCTATTAGTACCAGCCCCCAGGACAGCACCTTCCCTTGGGGTTTCCTTTGACCCTGGCCACACCTTTGGAATTGGCTTTTTATTGGACTCTCCTTTCCTTACCTAATGTGAGTGGCCATCTCATCTCATTGAGGACAGCAGCGCTACTCAGGAATGCTTCCTGTCCATCTCATTTAGGAAGTCCTGTCTTGCCCTTTGATGACACCCAGAGCAAGTTGATGGGCATCTTTTTGGGTGCTTCCACCTTTTGGTGCTTAGGATAACTTCTTCTTGCTTCCCATTAAATGAACAAAGAACTCCCATGAGTCTCATGACACAACTAAGTCATTACAGAGATTTGCAGGAGTAATTGAAGGACCTGAACTTGTTTGTCCCAGAGAAGGGAGAACTTGGGGCAGGGGAGGAGCATAAAACCTCCCCGTGTCTGGCAGGTGCTCACATGGAAGAGGTAACACACTGAGTCCATATGTGGAGGAACCAGGAGCAATAAGAGGATAACAAAGGAAAGACACATTTCAGCTCAATATAGGGAAGGACTTTGTAACAATCGGAGCCCCACAGAGATGGAATTGATGGCCCCAGGAGGTAGAGAATTCCCCACGCTGGAGGTGTTGCAGCAGAGGACAACTGACCACTGGGTGAGAAAGGATAATGCTGGTGCCTGTATTAGACCTTTTCCAAAAATTTCTTCCCACATGAGATTTTATGATCCCTCTTTCAGAAATAGCAAGAGTCCTGTAGGGTCTTCACATTAAGAGGGCCATAGTGGTTCTAGAGGAAACCCATAAGACACGATAGGCCCACACACATGTTAGGGAGGAGAGAGAAAAAATAAACAGTTTTGTAAAGAGCAATAGGTTGGGAGAATTTAGTGTAGGGACATTGTCTTTTGTACTTTAATGGCCTAAAAACAATCACTTTGTTAGAGCCCTGTACAATTTTGTATATTTACAATGGCCATTGAGCCAGAAAAGTTAAAATTAAAATTCAATGGAATTTAAAATTTAGAGGAAGGACTTCTGCTTTAAATTGGTGTTATGATGCCTGATATGTCCCTCTTTTCCCCAGAAATGCTGGTGTAAAACTCATGTAAATACAAATAAACTGACAAACAAAAAGCAAGTACTGATATTTTTAAAAATATAAGCAAAGACCACATGTTAAATTCTAGGGAGAACTGCTATTAATTACCATACCAATAGGAAAGGATTGAGAAATAATTTTGGAGCATGCTTTCTTTAGTTAAAACTGCCAAATCCAAAAAGAGAAGATATGAAATAACCTAAATACCTTCCTGCTGATGCCCCTGTCTTCGAGACACAGGGACAAGTACTAGAAAAACAGGCTGTCTCTCTTCCAATATCTTCCAAGTTAGGTAGAGGTGCCAGAGTCCTGTCTTTCCGCAGATGTCCCCTGCCATCCCCTCCCCCTCACACCACGCCTTCAGCCCAGCTTTATCTTCATCCATCCAGAAGCCATAGTTCCCACACAGCAGAGGGGAATGGAGGAAGCACATTGCATCTTGGTTCACTTAGATACCTAAAGAGAAGCATCAGAAGCAGGGTGGAGTCAGGAAGAGCCCTGGGAACAGTTCTGGATAAGCGGTGTAATCTTTTATGTTCTAAACTGTACACAAGAGGAATAAAACCTGTATCTTATCCAAAGAACCTGATAGTTGGACCAAGGAAAATCTAACTTCAACCTAGCAGCATTACTCACAACAAAGGCCTGCATGTGTTGTACATTGAGTTAGTGGCTGATTTTTAACTGTGTACCTTCGAAGGGAAGTTCCAGGAGCTAAATACGCAATGATGGGGGCTCCTGGAAATTCCAGGCTTAAATAACAATCTTTTCTTTCAAGGATGAAGAAATAGAAAGAATCAATAAAGAGCCTACAGAAAGGTACCACAAATTATGGGAAAGTGAGACTTTACCTGATGATTCACGGCTCTAAAGTGTTATTCTAGTAGATAAAATAGAGAATTGTGGACTAAAACAAACCTTCCTGCTGTCTGCAATAATAAGGGTGTGGTGTGGCTTTTATGAAACAGGAACAGGAAGCTATAAAATTAGAATGGGCTGAGATGAAGGTGGTGTGCAAAAGTGTTGGCTGAAACAAGAAAAAAAGGCAAGAAAATTCCAAATGCAGTAGCAGAATTAAATCCAATTGAAGATGGCAAGAAAAATAGTAGAGCTTGCAAAACATTACAGCAGTCATATGGAGAAGAAACTTGAGAAAACCCTCCTTAAAAATAATAATAAGACAGGTATAAAGGCTTGAGAATGTAGAACAGACGTGAAGTTATACACATCCCAGAGGAACCAAAGCCAAATGTGTAATAGTCCTCACCCTATTGGAGTTTCCACTCCAAAAGGAGAGGTACAAATATCCCTTTAAAGATACTAGCAAGTTGGGTTTGACAGAATACTCAAAGTTACTTATCTATCATAACAAAAACAAATTTAATTTCAGATATGCAAAAATTTATTATTATAAAACTCACAGTCAGTGGTACAGTATAGTAATTTAGTAATTAATAGATCAAAAATAAAAACAATATGATCATTTAAATATATGCCTTAAAATGTTTGATTAAATTCAATACCCTTAGGCCCCAAGTCTGGCCAGATTTTTCCGTTGCATATACCCATATTTTCTGCTAAAATTTTTTTATGCGAGTTCCTATGGTGAAATTTAATATTTTCAGCATGGCTGGTGTTTCATAAATAGTAATAAGATTTTAGGTCAATCACCTGAGTAAATGTGAAAACTACTCCTTGTCCCTGAGTCCCGACCAACAGTGTCCCCTGCATTTCTCAAGTGCTCCACTGCCCCTCTCCAGGGTCCCTCCTAGACCTTCTGCACTCCAAAGCTGCCATAGACATTGCCCTCCAGATTCATGATTTACCAGAGTTGCAGGTTGGGGATATAAGGTGGCACTTATCTAGAACATCCCTCACATTTATGCCTTGGTCCCCGAAGCTCCTGTGGAAGGATATGCAGACTTTCATTTCACAGAACAATAGCTCTGAGTGGCGGAACATAAGGGCTTAAATCCACATTGAATTGTCAACAGTTAGCCTTGAAGGAGGGCATGGTAGGAGAAGAAGGGGAGTTCCCAAGCACTTGGGGCTGGGGAAAGGAGCAGATGAGGCAGATCAAAGTAGCAATATTAATCATTACTCATATTCTGATCAGAGTTAATTCTGTCACTATATTCTGTTCTCATGGGTTGATGGTGGTGGGATGGACACCAGGGATGGGCACAGCAAAAGGCAGTAGTCCTGGCCACGTAAACATAGGACTTCTGGACTGCTCTGCAGAGTCTGATGTCAGCCCCTCACATTTTCCAGTGAATCCTTAGATTTATGAGACATGGGTTGAATAGCTGAGAAATGAAATTGGCTCAATCCAACCAACGTATCATTCTTGCATGCTTCTGTGCCTTTGTACATGCTGTTCCTGCTGCCCAGAATCCCCACCCTACCTTGGTCCACCAGAAAAACACCAGCCCAATATCTCACAGGCAGAGGGAAAGGCACCTTCCTCTGTGCATACCCCTTGCAATAGAACGAGCTGTTCCCAGGCCTGTCTCCAAACTACAGAACATGTTTCTCCAGGGCAGAGGTCATGGCTTACCCATTTCTCTATCCCTGGCCTTACATTATGCTTATTACATATTAGGTCTTAGTAAATAGCACTGTGATGAATAATAAAGAAATACAGAATGCAGGTCTCCAAAACTCCACGCTGGGGAGGCTCAACTTGAGGAGAAGATAGGTGTTCAAACCTAGTAAGGGAATACTGTTTCGGACATCCTTGGTTCTTAGTGGCTAACCAGGGCTTGGTTTCTCTCTGAACAGGCCAAATCAAGGGCGGGACTCCGGTGAGCATGTTTGAACCCTCCAAAAGCACATATATCATGAGCTTGTGGAAGCTCAGGCCATTGGCACTCCTGGTGAGGTCTTCAAATTTGTTTCTTCCATCAGAACACATTGGAAGATCCTGATGCAAGAAGCAGCTTTAAAGGACTACCTACATCTGATGGCAGAACACCAACGGCTCCCATTAAAAGAGCCATGGATGCTGAGCTAATTAATAGCAAATGACCACAGCTTTCCCCTGTACAGCTGAGGTCCTAGATCCACAACAGAGAAAATTGTGGGATCGTCTGGCGACAAGAAAGATCATAGATCTGGGAGTCAGGAAACCAGGGGCTTCACTCTGAAAGACTAGTATTGTTGAGTCAGTCTCTTAATTTCTTGGGACCCTGGTTTCCTCATGTATTAAATGAAAATACTGGATTAGATAGCATCTTAGATCTAAAATTCTACATTATTTTAATCAGGCATATTCTATTCAATTCTTTAAGCCAACCAATAATCAAGAGATGGAATAGACTACTTTCTATTTTAATACTTTCCTGGTTAATTTATCTCTTGATTGCAGAGAACAACAAAATCCAAGCTCATCTTCTTATATGTTCCAGTTAAATGAATACTCAGTCATTCTCATCATAGAGGGATATAAGAAGTTCTGAAACTTGCACCTTACCTTGATGAAGATATGAATTAAGATCAAACATTTGTACTTTATTTATAGTGGATTGTCTGTTCACTATCTTGATTGCCAGAGTTAGAATATGAAAGACGGTTTTATCATATAACAATCAATAGTCAATTGACAGTGATCAACATCTACTGTTGGGCCAACACTGTGCTGGGAACTCAATTTGCACATTTACTTTATATAGCACTTTCTGTGCACTTGATCTCATCCAATTTTCACCTCAGTCCTCCTCCTTCCTAGGAGTGCCCACCCAGGCATAGCACAGACCACTTAGAAGTGTTGTGTTTGGAAAATCATCAACAGGGCCTTCTTCCTCACAGAGGAAGATGTCACTCTGACCAAAGAAGGTGTGACTCTGCAGCTCGCTCCTGACCCAGAGGGCACCCTGAAGGACAGCCACTTATCCAGAAATCTTGAGTCTACCCAAGACATAGCCTTAAGCCTCACAAGAACAGCCTTGTGGGATTTCTTATCCTTCCAACTTTGACTTGGCCAGAAATATCCTGAGACCAGACTTTTCAGCTAGATTTTAGCACTTCTTCTCCGGCTTCAGCAGCAGCACCAAAGGGTAAAGAGATGTGAGACACTAATAGTATTTCACCCAGGCACCCTTAAAATAATCTAGGCTTCCTGGGAATGGTAGTTCTGTTTAAGTTTCACATGGAGGTGAAGTGGCAATGGGTCTCCTGAGCTTTCTCCTTTTCTGCACAGAGGCCATGGAGTCAACTTTTGGCTCCGACAAGAGTGCTAAGCACTTTGGAAATCAGGAAAAGAATCAGGTGATGGGCTTCTCTATTTATCCTTTGAAAACATCTTTTAAAAAACTTTGTTGTGCTAGACACAAATGGCTCCGAGGTGAAGCAAAATAGATGCAGTCTCTGTTCCTTTAAGAGATTCCTAGTCTGGACCAGTAAAGTGATAAATTATAATACTGTGGCATGGCAGAAACAGTTAGTTGCCTACATGTTTATGTGATGAACCATTCTCCTTCCTTTCTTGTGAACAGAACTTCAATTTTCTTCTTGTTTAGCCTTCTCTGCCTTGGTGGATCAATTGTGATTGGTCTAAATCAAACACAAATCTGATGCCTTTTTCCAGTGACCAGCCTAGGGGTGGGTATAACACCCAGTTCTGGCTGGTGAGACTTCAGGGCAAGTCTTCTAGACAACTGAAAGGGAGAAATCCCTGTTAAAAGTTACTATAAGGAGGCAACCTTTTGTTTCTTCATCCATTCTTCCTGCTTAAGATGCTGTTGTGTAAGAATTTTGATGCTTAAAATTGGAGAAGCCATTTTGTGACTCAGAGGAGGGTCATAGACAGCAATCATGGATGAGAAAGTAGATAAATGGGTGCCTGGGCCCCTGATGGCATCATTGAGCCACAAAGGCAAACCTGAGACCACCTATCATCTAACTTCTTGTTAAGAAAATAAGCATCCTTCAGTTTGAGCCACAGTTAGTCAGAATTTAATTGCAGCCAAAAACATTCCTAAATGTTAAAAATTAGGAGACAGCTTAAACAATGTGCATGCTACTAAATTCCTGGGAGAGTCATAGAAGGCTGCAAGGTCTTGAAGGATGAGTGGTCACCAGGTGGAGACAACAGGGAAAAGTATTGCAGGCAGAGGCTGGAGCTTGAACAATGGAATAGAGATATGGGGGGCAGGGGGTGGGGGGGAGCGGTAATATTGTTTGGCTGTCCCCACTCAAATCTTATCTTGAATTGTAGCTTCCATAATTCCCATTGTTGTGGGAGGGATCTGGTGGGAGATAACTGAATTATGGCGGTGGTTTCCCCCATACTATTCTCGTGGCAGTGATCTGATGGTTTTATAAGGAGAAACCCCTTTCTTTCACTTGGCACTCACTCTCTTTGCCTGCTGCCATCTATGTAAGATGTGACTTGCTCCTCCTTGCCTTCTGCCATAATGTGAGGCTTCCCCAGCCACACATAGAGGTGTAAGTCCAGTTAAACCTCTTTCTTTTGTAAATTGTCCAGTCTTGGGTATGTCTTTATCAGCAGCATGAAAATTGTCTAATACAGTAAATTGGTACCAGTAGAGTGAGGTGCTGCTGTAGAAACCCAAAAATGTGGAAGCAGATTTGGAACTGGGTAACAGGCAGTGGTTGGAACAGTTTGGAGGGCTCAGAGGAAGAGAGAAAAATGTGGGAAGGTTGGGAACTTCCTAGAGACTTGCTGAATGGCTTTGACCAAAATGCTGATAATGATATAGACAATGAAATCTGGTCTGAGGTGGTTTCAGATGGAGATGAGGAGTTTATTGGGAACTGGAACAGTGGTGACTCTTCCTATGTTTTAGCAAAGAGACTGGTGGCATTTTTCCCCTGCCGTAGAGATATGTGGGCCTTTGAACTTGAAAGAGATGATTTAAAGCATCTGGTGGAAGAAACTTCTAAGCAGCAAAGCATTCAAGAGGTGACTTGGGTGCTGTTAAAGGCATTCAGTTTTATAAGGGAAGCAGAGCATAAAAGTTTGGAAAATTTGCAGCTTGACAATTCGATAGAAAAGAAAATCCCATTTTCTGAGGTGTGCAGCCTAGGGACTTGGTGCCCTGTGTTCCCAGCTTCTCCGGTGTGGCTGAAAGGGACCAATGTAGAGCTCGGGCTGTGGCTTCAGAGGGTGCAAGCCTCAAGACTTGGCAGCTTCCACATGGTGTTGAGCCTGTGGGTGCACAGAAGTCAAGAACTGGGGTTTGGGAACCTCCGCCTAGATTTCAGAGGATGTATGGAAATGCCTGGATGTCTAGGCAGAAGTATGCTGTAGGGGCAGGGCTCTCATGGAGAACCTCTGCTAAGGCAGTGTGGAAGGGAAATGTGGGGTCACAGCCCCCATACAGAGTTCCTACTGGGGCACTGCCTAGTGGAGCTGTGAGAAGAGGCCACCCTCCAGACACCAGAAATGACAGATCCATTGACAGCTTGCACTGTGTGCCTGGAAAAGCCACAAACACTCAATGTCAGCCAATGAAAGCAGCTGGGAGGTAGGCTGTATTCTGCAAAGCCACAGGAGCAGAGCTGTCCAAGCCATGGGAACCCACCTTTTGCATCAGCATGACCTGGAAGTGAGACACAGAGTCAAAGGGGATCATTTTGGAGATTTAAGATTTGACTGCCCTACTGGATTTCAGACTTGCATGGGGCCTGTAGCCCCTTTGTTTTGGCCAATTTATCCCATTTGGAACAGCTATATTTACCCAATGCTTGTACCCCCATTGTATCTAGGAAGTAACTAACTTGCTTTTGATTTTACAGGTTCATAGGTGGAAGGGAGTTGCCTTGTCTCAGATGAGACTTTGGATTATGGGCATTTGAGTTAATGCTGAACTGAGTTAAGAATTTGGGGGACTGTTAGGAAGGCATGATTGGTTTTGAAATGTGAGGACATGAGATTTGGGAGAGGTCGGGGCGGAATTATATAGTTTGGCTGTGTGCCCACCCAAATCTCATCTTGAACTGTAGCTCCCATAATTTCCATTGTTGTGGGAGGAACCTGGTGGGAGATAATTGAATCACGGTGGTGGTTTCCCCCATACTGTTCTCATGGTAGTGAATAAGTCTCACCAGATCTGATGGTTTTTTAAGGAGAAACCCCTTTCACTTGGCACTCACTCTTTCTTTGCCTGCTGCCATCCATGTAAGACATGAGTTGCTCCTCCTTGCCTTCTGCCATGATTGTGAGGCTTCCCCAGACACATGGAATTTAAGTCCAATTAAACCTCTTTCTTTTGTAAATTGTACAGTCTCAGGTATGTCTTTATCAGCAGCATGAAAATGGACTAATACAGGGGGCATGTTATATTTGGACATGATGGGAAGTTCAGTATGGTTGGAATACAGACCAAGGTGGGAGTGATGAGAGAGGATTTATTCAGAGTTAAAGTTACAGTGCTTTAACAAAAGACAGTGGCTTAAAGGATGTAAAAGCTTACCTCTCTCTCATGGAACAGTTCTAATGTGGGTAACCCAGGCTGTCAGGGTAGGACTGCTCTGTGTGGTGGTCCAGGGACTCAGGTTTCTTGCCTGTATTACTCCCTCATCTCCTAGGGTATGGCCCTAATCTCCATGATCCGGGGAATCTCCAGTTCCCATCCTCTTCAGGGAAGAGGATAAGAAACTAGAGAAATATGTGTCTGATGTATGAAGGCCCCCCATGAAAGTGGCACCAACACACTTCGTGTTTGCTGATTTTCAACGAGCAAGAATTTAGTCACTAGCCACAGCTAGTGCAGGGAAGTCTAGGAAATGTAACCACTAGCTGTGTGGGCACCTAGCAAGCTCTCTTCAGGCAGGAAGAAGCTCTGAAGAGCTGAGGGCAGCTTTTAGCTCAATGTATGGATAAAGGCTTCCATACTTAGAATCGGCCAAAAGCCAACATGTTTAATGATGAAGTCAGCTTCTCTTCTTCAGAGATATTCAAGCAGAAGCTGGACAGCAGCCGTGCAGATGCCTTGTAAAGGGGACTGGTAATGAAGCATGGACTGGACTAGAGGAACCCAGCCATGTCTAAGGCTCTTGGATTTGGCACTTGCTACATCTCTGCCTCTCAACAGTGGTGTGATTGGGCAGCCTGAGCCTGGAGACAAGGAGATCAGTTAAGAGGCTGAGCCAAACTGTGAGGAGGTACCAGTGAAGACAAAAAGGAAGGAATGGTTGTGAGGAAAAATGGAGAAGAAGAGCCACAGTTCTAAATGTCTGATAGGTTGTCAGTGGCAGGTTTAGCAAACCAGAAGAGTTAATGATGATCCCAAGTTTTCCAGCCTGCATACCTGCAAGACGTCACCAAGCCTCTAGCAGAGATAGATGAGGCCTATGGCATATTGATCAGGCAGCTGAAAATGTGAGTAGGCAACAGGTGAAGAGGTCCAGGCTGGGGGATTTAGATTTGGGAATTGTCCAAATACATATGATTTTTTTTTTTTGAGATGGAGTCTTGCTCTGTTGCCCAGGCTGCAGTGCAGTAGCGTGATCTCGGCTCACTGCAACCTCCGCCTCCCGGGTTTAAGCAATTTTCCTGTCTCAGCCTCCCAAGTAGCTGGGATTACAGGTGCCCGCCACCACGCCTGGCTAATTTTTGTATTTTTAGTAGAGACGGGGTTTCACCATGTTGGCCAGGCTGGTCTCGAACTCCTGACCTCAAGCGATCTGCCCGCCTCAGCCTCACAAAGTGCTGGGATTACAGGCGTGAGCCACTGCACCCAGCCCATATGATTTTAAAAACAGGAATTGGTAAGATCACCAAGAAAAAAAGTAAGGAGCAGAAGTGGTTAACCTGGGATTTACAGGCTCCTGTAGGGTCCATGAATGCCCATTGTGTGCTTGTGTTTGTGTGTGTCTGTGTGTGAGTGTGTTTTCATCAGATTCTCAAAAGGACCTGGGACTTAGAAGAATCACAGCTGTAGGAAAAGAATGTTCCTTCAGGGAGAAGAGAACTTGGGGGAAACTATTATTCATAGGTGCCAAAGGGAGCAATCACTCCAGAAAGAGGATGTTTGCAATTTCGGATGTTCCTGCGAAGTCCTGTGGCCTATAAGAATCGAGAAATGGCCATTGGATTGGCCAACTGGAGACCTTTAAGAAAGCCACCTCCGTGGGAGAGGGTGCAATTCAGATCCCAAACTGAGGCGAAGACCGCGCCCCGGAGTGTGGGCCGCCTTCCCAGTAAATCTGCTTATGAGAGGAAGTGATGGACCAGATGCTCAAGGGGTAGGGACTAGATTTTGCCTTACGGAGGACAAGTCAGTCTCTGAAGAGAAGTCGCGGAGAGGGACGCAGAAGCGCAGTGGGACGGAAGGGTCTCGGGGAAAGTGGGCTTGCGCAGAGGTGCCAGGGAGCTCGTGGGAGGTGCAGAGAGGCCGCTGGGATTCGGCCAGGAAAAGCGAGAGTGCGCGAACAAGCTTCACACAAATGGCCTTAACCTTGCCTGCTCAGAGTTGGGGTCAGAGGTGCACTCGGGGGCTGATCCTACCGGGGGTGTTTGAACCGCTGGCGTGCGGAGCGAGATGGGGGCGAAAGCGTAAGAGCCCGCGGGGCCGCGGCCAGGCCCGGGACCCTGGCTACCCCGAGAGCAGGAGCAGCTCCACCTGGAAGCGGGGCCCGCGGGACTGAGCCATACGCTGATTGGCCGGCGCAACATCGCGCGCGTCAGTTGCCAGCCGCCGCGTGGCCGAGGAGTAGCTTTGGCCCGAGCGTTCGTGGGGCCCCCACACCAGTTCCTCGGTGCCTCCGCCCGTGATGTGATTAGCCGAGACCTGTGCCTTTAAGGAGTGCCCCCTTCCTCGGCCCTTCCCCCTCCAATTACAGCACTAATTTCAGTAATGGAGCATTAATAGAGTAATGGGCGAGTGAGGCTGGCCTGAAGGAACTGTGGAGCTCAGCACAAATTGAGTAAATAAACCATGTATTAGATTTCTAAACAATACTTTTAGTCTGGTCTCCAGGGAAAGAGAGTCTTCAAGACTTATTTAAGTCATCCCTGCAAAGTGTATGTAAAAGAAGCCTCCTTTCAGAGCTTGGTTGTTTGTAGAAGCAGGAAATCTCTCTCTCTCATCCCGGGGATGGGAGAGGTAAGATAGCTGTTGTTCCCACATTTTCCCTTTTCCTGTTATTTTCCAATTTTTTTCTTACTTTGACAGATCTATGGGAGGTGAGAATCTCCAAGGATGCTTCCCTCCTGGGGACCCTGGTAGGGGTGGTGGAGGCAGACGTCTCCCAGTGAAAGGTAGCTTGCGCAGATCTTGATGATGGGTAGGAAGCAGAGGCAGGGGCCAGAAGGGGGAGAAACTTGGGGAGAAAGAGGGAAAATTATTAGCAGATGACCTCATTATGGAGAATGAGGCTGTTGCCTCCACTACTTGGCAATGTGTTATAGGGATGACTTTAAGAAGACTAAAGAATAATAACATGTTACAATAAGAAGGACTGCATCTTTGTTGCTTTAATGGGTAATGGAAAGAAGGAAGGTCTGGGTGTCAGAAGATCAAGGAGATGGTCTCAGATCCCTTATTTACTAGCTGTAGGACCTTGGACAAACAATCTTACCTTCCTGTGCCTCAGTTTCCTTGTCTGTAAAAAGGGAAGAGTGGTATCTTTCTGCCTGCTCCCCAGGGTCATTAGGAGGGCTAGAGGAGAGTGTGTGTTAGTTGCTGGGCAGGTGTGTCCTCTGTGCTTCTGATGTCCATGCAGCCCAGCTTCAGCCTCTGAGGGCAGGTCAGAAAGAATCTGTCACTCTAGTTGAGCAATGTTGACAAGATGAATATCAGTTCAAATGAACATCTTGGAAAGAGACACAGAGAGGCCACAGACTGTGGGGAGAGAGAGAATCCTATTTTATCCACAGTCCCTATACCAAATACTACTCTCACAAATCCAGGTAAGAGGTGTGGTGGCTCACTCCTGTAATCCCAGCTACTCAGGAGGCTGAGGTGGGAAAATTGCTTGAGCCCAGGAGTTTGAGGCCAACCTTGGCAAAATAGCAAGACTCCATTTCTAAAAAAAATAAAAGGAATACTTTGCTAATATTTTTGATAGCTCATTACTTTTTAGCAGTGAGTAATATCCCATTGTATGAGTGTACCAGAGTTTAATCATTCACCTATTAAAGGACATCTTGGTTGCTTCCAAGTTTTGGTAATTATAAATAAAGCTTCTATAAACATCCATGTGCACGTTTTTGTGTGGACATTATTTTTACAACTGATTTGGGTAAACACCAAGAAATGTGATTGCTGGATTGTATGGTAAGAGTGTGTTTAGTTTTATAACAACCCGTCGAACTGTCTACCAAAGTGCCTGTGCCATTTTACATTTTCACCTGCAGTCAACGAGAGTCCCTGTTGTTCTGTGTCCTCACTGGCATTTGGTGTTGTCAGTATGGGTTGCTTTGTAATTTATAGGTTTCTTCTTCATCTTGCTCTTTTTACCTTTCAGTTTATTTGTTGAAGAAACCAATCATTTGTCCTGTAGCATTTCCCAGAGTCTAGGGTTTACTTATTTTATCCCCATGGTGTCATTTAGCATGTTTTTCTGTCTTTGGATTGCCTGAAAATCAGCATTTAGATCTAGAGCTTGATCAGATTAAAATGTGATATTTTGGGCAAGACCATTTCATAGATGGTGGTGTGCACTTCCATCAGGAGGCACTAAATGATTGTCTCTATTTTTATGCTATTAGTAGCCATTGATCATTGATGCTTAGATATATTAATTTATGCAGATTATAACATAGTGATACTATATCATCACTTCTTCATCCTTTAGCTGGAAACTCTATAAAGAGAAATCACCCCTCATCAACTGTTTGGTTACCCTAAAGTATAGGGTCATACTGAAAAGGTGAGATAAATGTTTTATTCTTTCTTTTTTACTTACCAGTGTTAAAAATAATGAATTGGTTTCCTAGAATACATTTGGTATGTTTCAGTCCATTGCAGCAGTTATCATTCCAGTTGATATTCAGATTACCCCATCTTTGGCCAGTGGGAACCTCTTCAAGACAGCTCCTGAGTCCTTTTGACATGACCCTAGTAGACTCTGCTAACTTCCTTACTATCTGGTATGTCAAGAAGCTCCAGGTTTATCCTGTGTATTTCCTGTCCCAGACCTTGAAGCAGTCTTTTTTCCAAGGTTACTTGTAGTGGGTGACTGCTGCTCTTTGCCTCATGTTCTTTAATGTTGATAAAAATGCAAGCTGGGACGATTAGCTAAGCATAGAATTATATTAGTGTTGTGGATGTTTTACATCTGAGGCAGCCTAGGGCATCTTGAAACTCTGAGGGGCATTCCCTGTCTTGGCCATGTTCAGGGGCTTCTGTAAAGACTGTTGGTTATTGGCCGGGAGCGGTGGCTCATGCCTATAATCCCAGCACTTTGGGAGGCCGAGGTGGGTGGATCACAAGGTCAGGAGATCAAGACCATCCTGGCTAACACCGTGAAACCCCGTCTCTACTAAAAATACAAAAAAAATAGCTGGGCGTGGTGGTGGGTGCCTATAGTCCCAGCTACTCGGGAGGCTGAGGCAGGAGAATGGCATGAACCCAGGAGGCTGAGCTTGCAGTGAGCCGAGATCGCACCACTGCACTCCAGCCTGGGCGACAGAGCAAGACTCTGTCTCAAAAAAAAAAAAAGACTATTGCTTATTATTTCTTATGAACTCACAGTCAGCTGGGTCTTCTTTTATCATAATATTACAAGTATAATAATAATAACACTCATCAAATTGTAACTATGTTCCAGGTACTTTACATGCATTTTTTAATCCTCCCAACAATCCCATGAGGTAAGTATTATCATTAGTCCTCCCTCTTTACAGATGAAGAAACTAAGAGATTAAATAGCTTACTCAAGATTACAGAGGGAGAGAATTGGTAGTGCTGGGGTTTAAGCTGAGTAGAAATAATTAGGGCAATATACTCTCCGCAGCAAAACAGGCTTGGCCTGGAAGATGTGCCTGTAGGGAAAGCTGTTTTTCTTTGTGGTTAAGGAGATTTCAAATGGGAGATGTGTATTTAAGACATGGTAGCAGTGGAGAGAGAAAGACCATTGTTCTGGAAGCTGATAAATTGTTGCAGCATCTTTCTAAATCCTCCATGGAAGATTGGCGTAGCTAGTTCTTTGGTCCAGGAACCTTCCTGGCCTTGACTCTGAGCTTGCTGCAGGCCTCTAAAGCGGGGGAAAGGCTAGGAAAGGAGAAAGTGGGCATGTGGGAAGAGATTACACCAGGTTTCCTCCAGCAGATGGGTCATGTTCTAATTTATTGATGGCTGCTGTCCCAGTGGAGCCCATTGCACTGTCAGAATGGCATTTGTTGAGCCTGGCAGAGAGACAAACCATGCCTATGTATACCCCTTAGTCTCTGAAGCCAGCACTTTTTTCTTTAACGGCCCTTTGATGTGTTACAAGATCCTAATTAGGGCATTTCAATAAATCAGTCCCTTGGGCATTGACACTTCAACACAGGCCTAATTTGCTAAGCACTGGTAGACATTAACCAGTTGTTAAAAATTTGCTGTGACATTCCTTAAAGACTCATGTGGGGATCCTAGTCCCATGTGAGGACCTGGATGCCAGATTCTGGCCTTGAGTGTATGTACCCAAAGGTTGATCTCAGATATTCCATGACTAATAATACCACTCACAGGCCTTTAGTGGATTAAGCTATTGTTTGCCTAACACTCCAGGATAGACAGAGATATGTAAAGTGTTAAGTGGCAGCCTCATGGCTCCAAGTTTCCTGTGGTTACTGCCCAGCCTTCAGGATTAATTTGGGGCCTATGTTTTTAGAGAGTCAATTGTCCTGTGCAATCCTTATTCATAACTTCCTGCTACATCTGGTGAGACACCAGGACACTCATTCTTTGTCTGCTAGGCCCGAAAGAGGGAAAAAAAGGGGGTGGAGAATTGCAGAGGAAGGAAGGGAATTAGCGATGTCTTATCTTCAGAGAGTTAGGCTAGCCTTCCTCTGCATAGGATAAGAATGGCAAGATTTATCCTCATTGGCATCCTGCATGTCCAGCCTGGGATGGCACAGTGCAAGAAGGATATGACACATGTAAGGATGAGACATTCCCATCTGTTACGAGTGGTGCACTAGCACCTGGGCAAGTAAAATTATAATACCAAGATTTTTTTTTTAGAACTTGTTCTAAAAGGCCCTGTGCTCATGCCTTTCAATGCAATAGTTTATTTAAACTAAAAGGCTCTACACTCATGACTTTAAATGCAACATTTTATTTAAACTACCTGCAGTCCTACATGGAGTAGAAATTACTATTATTTACATTCTACAAGGGATGAAATTGAGGCCAGAGAGGTGAACGCCCCTACCCACCATGCAACTAGGAAGTGGCTTAGGTAGGCTAATGCTGAACTCCGAATTATGCACATTGAAGGAGCCGTTTCCAACCTGTCCCAGGGAGAGCCCCCGTGAGTGTGATGGCTGGACACTGGACCCTGCACAAGCCCTGGAGGACCAGTTATGAAACTCACTCATCAAAGTCTGGTGCAATAAAGTGGTTTAGGAATGAAGTTATTCCAGAGGGAAAAGCCTGGATCTGCTCTAATTTATATTTAAAAAGCAGATGATTTTCAAACTTCAATTCCTACAAGCCAGACACTACCTGCATTTCATCTCACCACTGATCCTGGTATACCTGTGGATCTCTTCATCGTGTCTCATGCATAGGGTGCTTAGCTTCCATCTGTCTTGTTAGACATTACTTTTGTTCCTGCCATCCTTTCTTACACACATCTCTGTTTGGTGTCGACATATATGTCAGGCCCTGTGCTGGCTGAGAACAGTCCTGAGGGCAACAGGCAGGTTTCTGCTATCGATGTGAGCCCAGGCTAGGACCGAGTCCCAGCGTAGTGTTGTGCTTATGAGCAAGGGCTGGGTCAGATTGTCCAGGTTCAATCCTAGCTCTGCCATGTATCAACGTCTTTGAGTCTTGGTGGTTCTGTCATCTGTAGAATGGGGAAAATAATGACCTACTTAACTGGGAACAGCAAAGATTAAATGAGATAATTCATTTGAAAACTTGACCCAGTCTCAAGTGTAGAGTAAGCTCAAACAGATATCAACTGTTAGTGTTTTCTGACTTTCTGGGCTTACCCTCTTTTAATGACAGCCAGGGGTTCCTGGTTTACTGGCCCTGCCTCTTGAATCTGTGTTTGATTGATGATCCTCTAACAACAGGGTCTTGGTGTTAAACTTGCCCAGGTTAACAGTACAGGACTTTGCAGGATCTCACAATACCCAGCTAGTCCACAACTTGGGGCAGCTGACCTGGGTACTCCTGCATCCAGACCCTGCTTGCCCATGGGCTCATCCCCTGCCCATCTTTGTCAGGCACCACAGTTATCTCCACCTCAAATAATATATTTGCAGTTTTCCACAGTATCGGTGACATATTTTTACATTGGCTGGAATCTTCTTGCCATTTCTTTGATTTCCTCTTTTGAAATAGGAAGATCACTTTTTATAACTTGACTGAGAACGGGATGAAATGCCTATTTCACATAGTCTGTCTCAGGCTCTAATGCTGTTTGGCACTGTGTGAAAAATACAATGTGGGAACATGGGATGACCCATGTTCCTCTGTAGAATATTGCTCTAGCTTCTGTGTCCTCGCAAGCTGTGCTCACTCTTGCATCTGTGCCTTTGTTGGCTGCTTTCCTAGCCTGGGCTGCCTTCACGTGTCAGCTGCTTTCTTTCTTCAATGCGCATCTCAAAGTTTTATTCTAGCTGTGGAGCTTGGAACCTTCCACCCATGCTTGACTTCTTTCCTCCCTGTATAAGTGGAGTACTCACTGCAACCCATAATCTGACACTGTTCATGTGCTTGCTTATGTTCAGATTATTCAGCAAACCTCCTAATATTTTCCAAGCCTTGTGCTAAGTATTTTTCACATATATTGCCTCTTTTAATCCTTACAATAACCTTGAGAGTAGATATTATTAATTTACCTACAATGTATATGCGACAATTGAGGTTAGATTCAATAGCTTAAATAACTTATCCATTAAGAAAATGAAGTCCAGGTGTGGTGGCTCAGGCTTATAATCCCAGTGCTTTGGGAGGCCAAGCCAGGAGCATCGCTTGAGACCAGGTGTTTAAGACCAGCCTGGACAACATAGCGAGTCCCCATCTCTACAAAAATAAAAATAAAAGACAATTAGCTAAGCATGGTGGTGTGTGAATGTAGTTTCAGCTACTTGGGAGGCTGAGGTGAAAGGATCATTTAAGCCTAGGAGTTGGCTGCAGTTAGCTGTGATCATGCCACCACATTCTAATCTGGGTGACAGAGACCCCCATCTCTAAAAAGAATAAAAAGAAGAGAAAAGATAAGCCACCAACTGGGGGAAAATATTTGCAAATCTTATTTCTAATGTGGAACTTGTATCCTGAAAATATAAACAACCCTTACAACTCAGCAGTAAGAAGACAGATAGTTCAACTTCAAATGGGCCAGATTTGAATAGGCATTTTTCCCAAGAAGATGTGTGCATGGCTAGTCAGAGCATGAAAATATGTTCAGTATCATTAGCCATTAGGAAAATGCAAATCAAAACCACAATAAGATACTATTACACCCATTAGAATAGCTATAATTGAAAAGAGAGGCTGGGCACTGTAGCTCATGCCTGTAATCTCAGCACTTTGGGAGGCCAGGCAGGTGGATCACTTGAGGTCAGGAGTTCGAGAACAGCCTGGCCAACATGGTGAAGCCCCGGGTGTCTCTACTAAAAATACAAAAATTAGCTGGGCTTGGTGGCGGGCACCTGTAATCCCAGCTACTCAGGAGGCTGAGGCAAGAGAATAGCTTGAACCTGGGAGGTGGAGGTTGCAGTGAGCTGAGATTGTGCCATTGCACTCCAGCCTGGGCAGCAAGAGTGAAACTCTGTCTCAAAAAAAAAAAAAAAGAAAAAAATGAAAAAGAAAAGAGAGATAATAACAGATTATAAAGATGTGGAAACTAGAACCTTCATGCATTGCTGATATGAATGTAAAATGGTAGAATCATTTTGGAAAAGAGTTTGGCAGTTTCTTAAAAAGTTGGATATTTAGCTTACAACTCAACAAGTCTACTCCTGGGGATTTACCCAAGATAAATAACATATATCCACACAATAATTTACATGTGAATGTTCATAGAAGCATTATTCATAATAGGCCAAAACTGAAACAATCTAAATACACATCAGCTGGTGAATGGATAAACAAAATGTGGCATATTCATAAAATGGAATACAATTCAGCAATCGAAAGGAATGAATGTATGCTAATACATGCTACAACGGGGATGGCACTCAAAAATGTTATGCTAAGTGAAAGAAGCCAGACACAAATGACTACATGTTGTATGCCTCCATTTATATTAATTTCTAGAAAATGTAAATCTATGGAAAGAAAAAGCATTCAGTGGTTGTCCAGAGCTAGGGTGAGAATGAGGATTGCCTACAAGTGGTCATGAGGGAACTTTTGTGGGGTAATGGAAATGTTCTAAAACCAGATCGCGGTAATGTTTGCACAACTCAACTCTATAAATTTACTACAAATAACTTTACTAAACTGTATACTTCCAATGGGTAGATTTTATGGTATATAAATTATGCTATTTTGTTAAAAAAGAAATAACTTGTAATGATATTTTGAAAATAACTTGTCCAAGATCTCACAAGTAGCAGAGTAGGGATTTGGGTAGAACCTTCCTTCAGTGCTCTTCTTGGCTCTTCATTGCTCTTCTTGCCAGCCTCTGACATTTGCTGCTTGGGTATGGCTTGTCTCCCAACAGAGGGAAAGCTCTTTGAGAACAAGGAGCATGCCTTTACATCTTCGGGACTTTCTCAAGTGTCCTCAACAAATATGTGGAACCGAGTTGATAGCACATTGTAATATAATGGGATTATTCTGTACCAGAAGGAACTCCATAGGGCTGCTATTTCTCCAAATGCTGCCTGCAGTGTTGAGACAGGAGGGGTAGATAGTCGTTCAAAGGCACGCCGCCTGAAGAACAATGTAGTGACAGGGCTGGCTGACAGCGAGAGACAAAGAGCTGTGCTGTTGAACACTGCCCAGAGCAACCTGTCTCTTCCTGCTCAGCCCAGCAGACTGTAAATGGACCACAAAAGGCTGCTGGAAAGAGGACAAGAGCTTAAGAATTTGCTGAATGTGTTACTCTTGATAGCAGGAGTAAACCCGAGTGACCTTCCTGGGACACACAGTAGAGATCATTAGAATATAGGCCAGACCTGAATCCAGGCAGGGAGGTGGAAATAAATATTTGAAGACATTGGAGTAGGCTCACACATATTGGACCAACTCAAATTTTTCCAACTTTGTTGGAAACCAATATTAAAATTAGTTGTTCGTAACTTAAGGTGTTATAAGGAAAATTCGTCTACAACTTGAAAACAGGCAAATGAGACTGCTAGGTGTCCTTTCAGTGGCTTGCTGGACATTGTCTAGCATAACCTATAAGGAGTGCACTTTTGATTGGCTCTCCATTGATTAGGCTTATTTTACAGCCATAGGGGTAGAAGTTAGCTTGTAGAAAATTTGATAATAATGCCAATGATTCTTGTCCGCAGCAAAGCAAGTGATTTAGAAAAGCAGCAGATTTAGAAAAGATAGTCCTAAACATTAGGTCTTATTGCCCTTTCAGATGTTAACCAGTTTTGCATCTGTTATTGACTTTAATTCAGCATTCCTGACTGCCTTTAGATACCTCTGTTCTTCAAGTTCTCCTTTAACCAGTGTTAACATCTTATGGGTTCTCCCATTAATTGGTGAGTCAAATAAAATCTTTTATATTGGCACGGGAGTCATATTTTTAACTTTTTGAACATTATATTTGAAGAGTGTGCATGTATATATTTCAGGTTCATTACTATGGAGACCACAATTTCTAAACCAAACATGGTCGTCTAGCATCTTATCAGACAATTAAAGGAGTCCCCACCTTCCTACAATCTTGAAACTCTCCTGTTGCTTCTCTATCAGTCTAACAGGTGTTACTTTCTTTACCAAGAATCTTTCTCTAACCTTTAGACTGAGCTAGATGTCTTTGTTCTATGTACTCTCTTTACTTGCTTTTCTTGCAGTACTTAGCATAGGCGCACCCAACTGAAAAATGGTAAAACTCCAATGAGGGGCAACAGTCAGAACAATTACTGAGGAAGCAGTGGGCAGGGCAGGGTCTGCGACCAGTTTAGACCATGGTTAAGTGCCAGGGGTTGGAGAGTTGTCTGAGATTACACAAGTAGCAGAGTAGGGATTTGGACCGGACCTTCCTTCAGTGTTCTTCTTAGATCTAGGAGGTCAAGGCTGCAGTGAGCCATGATCATGCCACTCCACTCCAGCGTGGGCAACAGAGCAAGACCATCTCAAAAAGAAAAAGAAATGATTAATAGTGGAAGTGTGGTTGAATAGCCAAGGTTCAAGGAACAGGTGGGCAATCTTGGATTGGGCACCAGGTGGGAGCCCAGCTACTGCTTTTTTGGGAAGATCATTTTCTTCTTCAGTCAAACCACCCAATCAAAGTTTCATTGCCCACAGCTGGTCCAAGGAACACAGAAACCAATGGTGATAACTTTTTATGTCAAGATTAATAGTGAAAGGTTGGGTGCAGTGGCTCACACCTGTAATCCCAGCACTTCAGGAGGCTGAGGTGGGAGGATTGCTTGAGCCCAGGAGTTTGAGACAAGTCTGAACAACTTTCTCTATAGGAAAGTTAAAAAATTAGACAGGCGTGGTGGTGCAGGTTTGTAGTCCTGGCTACTCTGGAGGCTGAGGCGGGAGGATTGATTGAGCTCAGGAGGTCAAGGCTGCAGTGAGCCATTATTGAGCCACTGCACTCCAGCCTGGGTGACAGAGTGAGACCGTCTCAAAAAGAAAAAGAAAAATATTAATAGTGGAAATGTGGTTGAATAGCCAAGGATACTTGTCCTAGACAAACAGAGAGAACTCATTAGACTAGTTCAAAACAATCACAAGTATTTAAATAAGCACATTCTAATTCTTACATAGGAACTAGCTCTACAGCACCTGTTTCTCTTCTTTTTTTGCAATCAAAACTGAGTCTCAGAGAGATTATCTTTTATGTGTTTAAAAAAATAAGTTTATAATTGCCTTTTTCTGTTTTTCATATAAGATTTAGGTGAACTTTAGCAATGGCTCCAGCCCTCTTGTGAAGTAGCGACACTTCAGTTGGAATTAGTTGGCCAAAATATTTCTTCAAAGTTTAGTAAGGATGGATAATTTCTACATTTGTGGATAGCCATGCCTATCTGCAAATTGTGAAATTTATAACAGACTATATTATTAGTTAAAAGAAATGGAAAAGACTGTGCATGCATACTACACATACATAACAGAAGAACTAACACAATGACAAGGACATTAAATTCACAATACCTAGTCATGATTTAAAAACTCTCATAAAACATAAAAATATTTAGAGATTGCTTGAACCCGGGAGGCGGAGGTTGCGGTGAGCTGAGATCGCACCACTGCACTCCAGCCTGGGTGACAGAGCAAGACTCCTTCTCAAAAAAAAAAAAAGAAAAAATTTAGAATTCATTAAAAATAATGTACATTTTGTTTACAAGAGACATACTTAAAGTGATACAGAAAGTTTGAAAATAATTTTTAAAAGGAGATAGACATGAATATACATGTTAATACAGGTAAAAAGAGAATAATGTTGGCAGTATTAATATTGGACAAAGGAAAATTCAAGGAGAAAACTTCAGGGAAGCAAGTGTGTTTCGTATAACATTTTTAAGAAAATGATTTGCAATGAAAGAGTGCCTCTTACACATCTGATAGGGGCAAATGCTATCATCACAGTGTAATTACCAATTGTGCTTTAGCCAGTCAACATATTTTTAAAGTCATTTTTTTGACCTTCTAAATATTGAGCAAACATCAAATCGTCTGAGAAGAAACTATTAGAGGTACAAGGGAAAACTAAGATTTTGATTATAACAAGAGTTTCACACACTCAGCTCAATCACAGACACAGCAAATAGACAAAATAAATAAGGATATAGAGGACTGGGATAATATGATTAATGATATTTGCTTAAAAGATCCATGTGGAAAATTACAGGTTACAAATAGAGAAAATATTCTGTTCAGTGTCAATGGGATTTAACAGAAATTAATCATTTATTGACACACTAAAGAAAACTCAAGGCTTTCCAAAAAGTAGAAATCATATGGGCTATGTTTTCCATCTATGATGCAATAAAACTAGAAATAAAAACAATGTTAAAAATTTAGAACAAAAAAGGTCTCAGAACTGAAAAATTTTAAAATTAGTTTCTAAAAATGGGTGAATGAAAAAAATAAAAATCACAGTTAAAAAATGACAGTAAGAATATTACCTCTCAAACAAAATATATTACCAAAGTTTTTGGGTTGACTGTGTTCATCTTTCCAGTTATTTGCCATCCTCCCTGTGACAGCAGTATGCCCTTCTCTTTGAACGTGTGACATTGGTTTGACCACTAGAATGCGAATGGGGGCAAAGTTTGCCTTGTCCAAGCAGAAGCTCCAAGAGCCTCTGTATGTTTCAGCCACAGGAACAGCATGTCCCAGAGAGGAGGCCGTTTGTTCAGCCTGGATCTCAGAATGAAGACGTTAATCAGAACTGCAGTCAACATGCAAAGGACGTGTAATGTAAAAGATAAATAAACCTGGGCTGTTGTAAGCCAGTGAGGTTTTGATGTTATTTGTTCCTTCAGCGTTACCTAGCAAAAATTAACTAATACAGCTATATGCCGTAAAGAAAACTATAGTCTCGAGTATGTTTATTATTAAAGAAAGGAAACAACAAAATAATCTGAGCTTTTAACTCCATTCAGAAAGAGAAATATAGGGGAATCAGGAGGAAGATAGCACGAAATTGAAATTAAAATTAATTACAAGAGTGAAGAAATGATAGTAAATCCCAAATCCATTCTTCGAAAAGAGCCAATTATGTTGGCAAACTCCTCACGAATCTAATCAAAACAAAAAAAGAAAGAAAAAATACACAAAAATTCCAACGTAAAATATCAATAATGAGAAGTAGACTTAGGCAAAAATACAAAAGAGATTATGAAAAATTTTGTGAAAATACCATGTATATTTTTATGTGGATAAACTCAAAAATCATGATTAAATCAAAGATTTAAAGAATAAAAATGAAAATGATCAAGTCTTATAAAAGAAGTTGAGAATCTTAATAGAGAAAATAAAACAAAAAGCATAGAAAAGGTAGGAAATTTTGTTAAAGATCTATTGTTAAAGGTACTGGATCCAGAGAAACTTAGAGACAAGTTATTTTAAATCATCAAAGAACACATAATTCCTGTGTTATTAAAAGCCAAAAGGAAGGGAAATGGAAATCTTTACCATTTATTTTAGAAAACTTGATAACTCTGATACCAAAACTTGACATATTAGAACCCCAAAGAGAGCCAACTATAGATGAAATATAAAATTATAAGTAATAGTCTGTGATGGTTAATACTGAGTGTCAACTTGATTGGATTGAAGGATGCAAGGTATTGATCCTGGGTTTGTCTGTGAGGGTGTTGCCAAAGGAGATTAACATTTGAGTCAGTGGGCCAGGAAAGGCAGACCCACCCTTAATCTGGTGGGCACAATCTAATCAGCTGCCAGCAAATGTAAAGCAGGCAGAAAAATGTGAAAAGATGAGACTGGCTTAGCCTCCCAGCCTACATCTTTCTCCCATGCTGGATGCTTCCTGCCCTCAAACATCGGACTCCAAGTTCTTCAGTTTTGAGACTTGAACTGGCTCTCCTTGCTTCTTAAGCTTGCAGACAGCCTATTGTTTGAACTTGTGATCATGTAAGTTAATACTTAATAAACTCCCATATATATGATATGTATATGATCAATACTTTGCATCCTAAAAATACTATGACAAAGTAAGTTTATTCTAGAAATATAAGAATGATATAATTTCAGGAAATTTATTAATGTAATCAATCATATTACTAGAACAAAGAAAATTACTAGTACTTTAGTATCAAAAACATTTGATGAAATTCAACATCCATTCCTGATTTAAAAAAAAATTCTTAGAAATAAAGTTTTTTTTAACCTAATTAAGAATACTGGCCGGGTGCAGTGGCTCACACCTGTAATCCCAGCACTTTGGGAGGCCAAGGTGGCAGATCACCTGAGGTTAGGAACTCGAGACCAGCCTGGGCAACATGGTGAAACCCCGTCTCTACTGAAAAATACAAAAATTACCTGGGCACGGTGGTGCACGCCTGTAGTCCCAGCTACTCAGGAGGCTGAGGCAGGAGAATCACTTGAACCCAGGAGGTGGAGGTTGCAGTGAGCTGAGACCATGCCATTGCACTCCAGCTTGGGTGACAGAGTGAGACTCCTAAAAAAAAATAAAAATTTAGTATAACCTGAAATTAATAGTAAAAAAGTAAAAATATTTCTCTTCAAGTTAAAAACAAGGCAAAGGAAGATACTTACTATAACAATTATTATTAAGTATTGCTTTCAAAGTTTAAAGAATGGCAATAAGGTAAGAAAACAAAATGAGAGGTATAAATATTGATACAGAGGAAAAAATAAAAAAGACTTTACAGAAGACAGTCTATCTGGAAAGACTAATAAACTCATATATAAAGAATATTGAGTAAAGTGGCTTATTAAAAATATGTACAGAATAATAGCTTTTTAATACTAGAGCAATAACCAGTGAGAAAATAAATACAAATGAAAGAAAAAATTCCATTAAAATGGTAATTAAAACATAAAATATCTAGGAATAAATTCAATAGAAAATGTTCAGGACATATGTAAGGAATCTATAACATGCTTTATTAAATTCTAGACACATGATATCCCTGTATAGGGAATTTTTATAATGATCTATTTTGTCACCAAGTTAATCTATAAATGTTATGCAATATCAATAAAATCTCAATGGGGATTTTTTTTCGAGATTGGCGGTCTCACTATGTTACCCGGGCTGGTCTTGAACTCTTGGGCTCAAGTGAGCCTCCTGCCCTGGCCTCCCAAAGTGCTGAGATTATAGGCATGAGCCACCAATACCTGGCCCTCAATGGAGATTTATAAGAAAATGTGAACATATGATTCACATGTGTTCCTGAAATAATAAACATGGGAGAATAAATGAGAATTTTTAGAAAAATGTATAATGAGGAGAGAATTGCCTATGCTGATGTCAAAACAATTTTTAAAGCAGCATGATACTGGTGCAGAGAGGCAAGCCCGATGAAAAAATAGAAAGTTCAGAAAGAGATTCAAGTTTAGATAAGGACAAGGCATTTCACATCAGTGACAATGGCAGTTCGATTTGACTGAGAAAGGGCATGTAATTCAACAAATACTTTTGAGACAAATTGCTCACTATATGGAAAAATGAAACACTCTATTTTGCACTCTAAAGAGAGCAAAATAAGGCCCACATGATTTAAAAACAAAAAGTAAAATAGAAAAAAAATGTATACACACACACATACACGCACACACACACACAGTCTTGGTATATATAATATCACTAATCCTGAGGCAAGGAGAGAGAAAACATGAAGGAAAACATTAATTTGATTTTTTAAAAATTCTGTGTAGCAGAGAACACAATAAGTAAAACTGAAGGGCACATGATAAACTAAAAAAGGTAAAACTCATCTAAATGTTAATTCCTTGGATAAAGAAGTCTTACAAGTGTTGGACATCATCCATCCAGTAACTACTGAGCACTTATTTTTGTCAGGCACAGTTACAGGTGCCCCAGAGACCTAAATGAACAAACAGACATACGTCCTTCCATCATGGGGCTTAGCTCATCAGGCAACTTATTTAAACAAATTTAAATAAAAATGAAAAAAAAGAAAAAGACCTTCATTAGCAATCAAAGGAATGTGAATGAAAATGTTTTAGTTTTTCACTATTTTAATCAGTAGAGATTTTAAAAAGTTGATTATACTCCACGTCGCCAAGGATATGGGAAAAATGTTTTCATATGCTTCTGGGAGAAATATAAATTGGAAGAACTTTCTGGAAGGCTGTTTGGCAATCTTAAGAAGGTTGACTAGCAATTCCCCTTCTAAGAATTTATATCAGGTAAATAAACAGGTAATTGTAACAACAATTTAACTACAAGAATATCTATTGTTTATAAGACCAAAAAATTTTGAAACACTCTAAATTTGATGTACACACACAATGAGTAACACACAAAAATTCTATCATGGAAGAATAATGATACAGAAATATTGTTAAATGAAAATATAGGTTATAGTATATATTGGATTGATTCCATTTTAAATAGAAAATATACTGCTTAAAACTAGAAAGATAGACAATAAAATGTTAATGAAGATTCTTAGTGGCAATTTTGGATGCTTTTAATTTTCTTTTTTGTGTTTTATATGGTACAGGTTTTATAATTTAAAATAGTGTTGTTTCTTTAATGTACAGATTAAAGATATCTACGTGCCTTAGGTGTTTTATATTTTATTGGGTCTGATTTAATTATTGCAGATGCAGCTCCTTCAAAACTGCATTAATTCTCTCAGACTAGAGAAAATGCTGCCAGAAAGAAGGGATCGGCAGGGCCAGGATTAGGTGAAGGGAATGAGGTGAGTTGTGCAAGACAGAGTCAGATACTGCCTTTACTTACAATTACGATATTTTGTTCATTATAGTTTTTTTCATTCATTTTTATTTTATTTATTTATTTATTTATTTTGCGATGGAGTCTTGCTCTGTCCCCCAGGCTGGAGTGCAGTGGCGCAATCTTGGCTCACTGCAAACTCCACTTCCTGGGTTCACGCCGTTCTCCTGCCTCAGCCTCCTAAGTAGCTGGGACTACAGGCGCCCGCCACCACACCCGGCTAATTTTTTGTATTTTTAGTAGAGTTGTGGTTACACCATGTTAGCCAGGATGGTCTCAATCCCCTGACCTCATGATCCACCTGCCTCGGCCTCTCAAAGTGCTGGGATTACAGGTGTGAGCCACGGCACCCGGCCTCATTTTGATTTGTAAAATACTGCATTAATATTTTTTCTTGAATACTGAGTTATTTGGCATCCCTTGCACTTTGCACCTGAGGTGTATACCTCACCCTAGCCTCAGCCCTGCTCACCAGCAGCCCTCTGCACCCTCCATGCTCCCCAAACAGCATCTCTTCATGTCCTACATCTGCCTCCTGTCGAGCAGCTGCAGTGCCTTCCTGACAACACAGAACCAAGCCTGGATGCTCTGGGTAGAGGAGGGATGGCAGCAATCCCAGCCATTCATGGAACATTTCCTTTGGCCTGGGCTCTGTGCAAAGCACTTTACCAGCATTATCTTGTTCAGTCCTCATGATAGCTGGATAGGTTTGGTAGCAGAGAATAATGTGCATCTCCTTATATCATTGTTTCCTCTCCATAGTAGTCTTTCCCAATTGCATCTGGGTATGTGGACATCCAAAATAAAGACTTCATGTCCCCAGCTCTCTTGCAGCCACATGTGGCCATGTGATTAAGCTCCAGTGAAAGAAGATAAATAAGAGTGTTGTACAGTTTGCAGACATGTCTATAAAGGGAAAGGCCATTCCCTTCTTTCCCGTTCTCCTAATTCCTCTGTGTGGAATGTGAGTGTGAAGACTGGAGCTGGAGTTCCACCTGCAACCAGAAGATGAGAGCCACAAACTGAAGATGGTGAAGCAAATAGGTGAAAGAAGACAGAGTCCTTCCTGATATGGGGTTGCAATTCCCAATCTGGACTGCTATGTTTACGTGAGAGAGAAATAAACTATTTTGTTAAAACTACTGTTGTCTTAAATTACCTGCCGTTTGCAAACCAACCTAGTCCTAATTCATTTGCATAAATATTACAATTATGTCCATTATGTAGATGAGAAAACTGGGACTCAGAGAAGTTAAGTACGCTTCACAAGATTACACAGCTATTAAGTGATAGATCAGAATCTGAAATCAGGATGTCTGACTCCAATGTCCTACCTCTTAATCCTTTGCTGTTAAACTTCTGTGCCCCAGGAAGATTTCCAAATCTGAGTAAAGGGTTTGCGGGCCTAGAGTTTGGATACTCATCCCTGTATTTTTCTCCAGCCAAATTCCTAAACCCTTTGGTAGCTTCAGGGGTTGGATCACATGCCGTTTTCAGAGCACTGTTGAAAGACTAGGAATACCTTGGAAATGTCTTAGTTACTACCCATATGTATTTTGCTCAGGCCACTCTGTGGTCCCAGCACTGTTGGTTTGCATCAAGACTTGAGGATCATTCATCATTGTTACCTAGGACAAATGTTACTCTGCTCTTCCTACAATGAGTGGTGGGAGTGGCGTATTGGGGAGGTCTGCATCTTTGCAGACAGTTCAGTCAGAAATCCCACTGCTTTAAAAGTCTCATGGCAAACCCAGTTCCAGCCTTGCAACACTGGGTAGCCCTGTGGCATTTTGACATTGGGTGTCTCTGCATTGTTGAAGTAACTCAGCACATTGCCATGCGTTTATCCTCTTAGGTCAATGCTAGGGGAAGTTCCTCACCTCTGCTTCTTCAGTAACTGATGTCTGGTGCATCAGCTGAATGCATTTCAGGCTTATAAGCAGTTCCCCCGGATCTACAGGCAAAAAAGCTTTTCACCATCCCCACCTCCCCCACGAGTGACCAATTTCTCAGCATTAATGCATCTGATGGCACCGAGCCTTAGTGGCCTGAGGGAGGACAGTCGCCAAGCAGAGACTGAAATCACATTTTTATTTACATTATTACTTTTCCACAGCTTGGTTTCTTGCAGGGTTTTGATCTATTAGGCCACACTATTTAGTCTGGACTGAATCCTTGAATTACTTTACTTTGTCTTCCAAGACTCTCAAAGAACTTGATAAACTTGTTCTAATTAATCTACATATTCATCCATAGTGTCCATATACCAGATCTAAAAACGAAACATTGCTTAATGCACACAGCATGAAAGACAATCTGGACATTTTCAAGTGTAGACTTTGCTTGTGACTCTTTTGTGAAGAATAATCATTGTTATTTTAGGAAGACCCTAGTTTATCCAACTCTTGTTAGAATTGGGTGAGTATGAATCTCTACAATAAAATGGAAATGTGAGATCCAAGCTTATAAAATAAACTCATATTATCATTTATACATGTCTGGTCATTGTGTTAATAAAATCAGTTTGTCTTGGATGAAACACATGGTTGGCCTTTATAATAGATGTGAAAATGGGATTATAGATCATTGCTCTTTTTTATTCTGAACATTACTTTGTATTTATTGCCAAACTCTTTCGACAGCTCCTAAGGAGTAAATTTTAAGTGCATTTTTGTTGTTCTCCAGGAACAAGCTGCCACTTCAGTTTCACCACATTCTTCTTCCACACACTGATGAAAGATATGGAGACAGCAGGAACTGAAGTAGAACCAGAGGGATTTGTTAGGACAGACATTCGCATTCATTCATTCTGATTCTCACTATGGTCAGACAGTCAGTAAAAGTTCACTGAATTTTTCTTTTGATAAATAAAATGGACAATTTTCTCAGTGCAATGCCTTAGTTTTAGAAGAGCAACCTTAAATGTACTACTGATTAGTAAACTCTAAACTGCTTTCTGTGTTTTTTTTTTTTTTTTTTTTTTTGAGACGGAGTCTCGCTCTGTCACCCAGGCTGGAGTGCAGTGGCGCCATCTCGGCTCACTGCAAACTCTGCCTCCAGGGTTCACCCCATTCTCCTGCCTTAGCCTCCGGAGTAGCTGGGACTACAGGCGCCTGTCACCACGCGTGGCTATTTTTTTGTATTTTTAGTAGAGACGGGGTTTCACCGTGTTATCCAGGATGGTCTCAATCTCCTGACCTCGTGATCGGCCCGCCTCGGCCTCCCAAAGTGCTGGGATTACAGGCGTGAGCCACTGCTCCCGGCCTCTGTGTATTTTTAAAAAATTTTTCAACTTTTATTTTAGATTGAGGGGTAGATGTGCAGGTTTGTTACAAGGTATATTGTGTGATGCTGACTTTTGGGGTAGGATTGAACCCATCGCTAAGGTAGTGAGCATAGTACCCAATAAGTAGCTTTTCAACCCTTTCCTCCCTCCCTCCCCCTTCTTGTAGTCCCCAGTGTCGACCGCTCCGATCTTTATGTCCATGTGTACCCAATGTTTAGCTCCTACTTATAAGTGAAAACATGTGGTATTTGGTTTTCTGTTTTGCACTCATTTGCTTAGGATAATGGCTTCCAGCAGCATCCATGTTGCTGCAAAGGACATGACTTCATTCTTTTTTATGGCTTTTTTATATATAGTATTCATATATATATGCACCATATTTTCTTTATCCAATCCATAATTGATAGGCACCTAGGTTGATACCACGTATGCTATTGTAAATAGTGTTGTAATGAACACATGAGTGCATGTGTCTTTTAGATAGAATGCTTTATTTTTCTTTGGGAATATACCTAGTTATGAGATTACTGGATCAAATGGTAGTTCTATTTTTATTTCTTTAGGACATCTCCAAACTGCTCTCCATAGAGGCTGAGCTAATTTATTTTCCCACCAACAGTGTATAAACATTCCCTTTTCTCTGCAACCTTGCTAGCATCTATTGTTTTTTGACTTTTTAATAATAGCCATTCCAACTGGTGTGAGATGGTATCTCATCGTGGTTTTGATTTGCATTTCTCTGATGATTAGTGATGAGGAACATTTTTCCATATGTTTGTTGGCTCCTTGTATGTCTTCTTTTGAGAAATGTCTGTTCATGTCCTTTAGCTAGTTTTTAATGGGGTTGTTTTTTGCTTGTTGGTTTATTTAAGTTCCTTATAGATTCTGGATAGTAAACCTTTGTCAGATGCATAGTTTGTGAATATTTTCTCCCATCCTATAGGTTGTCTGTTTACTCTGTTGATAGTTTCTTTTGCTGTGCAGAAGCTCTTTAATTTAACTAGGTCTCACTTGTCAAATTTGGTTTTATTGCAATTGCTTTTGAGGACTTAGCCATAAATTATTCGCCATGAATGATGTCCAGAATGATGTCTCCTAGGTATTCTTCTAGAACTTTTATAGTTTTCGGTCTTATATTGAAGTCTTTTATCTATCTTGAGTTTATTTTTGTATATGGTGATAGCTAGGAGTCCAGTTTCATACTTCTGCATATGGATATAAGTCAGTTATCCCAGGACCACTTATTAAATAGGAAGTCCTTTTCCCATTTCTTATTTTTGTTAAGTTTGTTGAAGATCAGTTTGTTGTAGATATACAACTTTATTTCTGGGTTCTCTATTCTGTTCCATTGGTTTATGTGTCTGGTTTTGTACAAGTACCATGCTGTTTTGGTTACTGTAGCCTTGTAGTATAGTTAGAAGTCAGGTAGCATGATGGCTCCAAATTTGCTCCCTTTGCTTAGAATTGCTTTAGCTATTTGGGCTCATTTTTGGTTCCATATAAATTTCATAATACTTTTTAAAAATTCTGTGGAAAATGGCATTGGTAAAGTTTAACAGGAATAGCATTAAATCTGTAGATTGCTTTGGCGGTATGGATATTTTAAAAATATTGATTCTTCCAATCAATGAGCATGGAATGTCTTTCCATTTGTTTGTGTCATCTATTATTTATTTGACAACGTTTTGTGGTTCTCCCTGTAGAGATCTTTCACCACCTTGGTTAGATTTATTCCTAGGTTATTTTATTTTATTTTCTTGTGGCTATGGTAAATAGGATTTTGTTATTGACTTGGCTTGAGAGCCTGGAATAACTGACTTATATCCATATGCAGAAGTATGAAACTGGACCCCTAGCTATCACCATATACAAAAATAAACTCAAGATAGATAGAAGACTTAAATATAAGACCGAA
This sequence comes from Homo sapiens, assembly GCF_000001405.40. Lineage (NCBI taxonomy): Eukaryota > Metazoa > Chordata > Mammalia > Primates > Hominidae > Homo > Homo sapiens. The sequence continues at coordinate 35,433,473 of NC_000007.14, read as the reverse complement.
AACTATAAAAGTTCTAGAAGAATACCTAGGAAACACCATTCTGGACATCATTCATGGTGAATAATTTATAGCTAAGCCCTCAAAAGCAATTGAATGTTATTGGTGTCTAGAAATGCTACTGATTTTTGTACATTGATTTTGTATCTTGAAACTATAAACTTTCTTCTTAACACTGCTTTTGCTGCTTCCCAGAGATTTTGGTGTGTTGTGTCTGTTTTCATTTATTTCAAATAATTTTTAAAATTTCTGCCTTAATTTCATTGTTTACCCAAAAGTCATTCAGGGGCAAGTTGTGTAGTCCCCATGTAATTGTGTGGTTTGAGAGATCATCTTGGTATTCGTATTTTTATTTCATTGTGGTCTGAGAATATGTTTGCTATGATTTTGATTTTTTAAAATTTATTGAGATTTGTTTTATGACTGAGCATGTGTCTGATCTTGTTCCATGGTCTAGTGGAACATGGTCAACTGAGCATGGTCGAGTACGTTCCATCTGCAGATGAGAATGTATATTCTGTGGTCGTTGGATGGAGAATTCTGTAGATGTGTTTTAGGTCCAGTTGGTCATGTTTTAAGTTTAAGATCAGAATTTCTTTGTTCATTTTCTGCCTTGATCTGTTTTAATGCTGTTAGTGGAGCGTTGAATTTCCCCATATTGTGTGGCTGTCTAAGACGTTTTGTAGGTCTACAAGTACTTGTTCTATGAATCTGGGTGCTCCAGTGTTGGGTGTGCATATATTTAGGATAGTTGAGTCTTCTTGTTGAATTGAGCCCTTTATCATTATGTAATAGCTTTTTTGTTCTTTTTTACTATTGTTAGTTTAAAGTCTGTTTTACCTGATACAAGAATAGCAACCCCTGCTCTTTATTGTTTTCTGTTTGTGTGATAAATCTTTCTCCACTCCTTTACTTTGAGCCTATGGATGTCATTGCATGTAAGGTGAATCTCTTGCAGACAACAGAAGGTTGGGTTTTGGTTTTATATCCAACTTGCCACTCTGTGCCTTTTGAATGGAGCGTTTAGACCATTTACATTAAAGATTAATAGTGATATGTGAGATTTGGATCCTGTTTTGGTGTTATTTGCTGGTTGCTTTGTAGTCTCAATTGTGTAGTTGATTTATGGGGTCCATGGATTATGAACTTATGTGTGTTTTTAGGGTGGCAGGTATCCTTCTTTCCTTTCCAGGTTTAGAACTCTCTTGGCTGGGCATGGTGGCTCATGCCTGTAATCCCAGCACTTTGGGAGGCCGAGGTGGGCGGATCACGAGGTCAGGAGATCAAGATCATCCTGGCTAACATGATGAAACCCCGTGTCTACTAAAAATACAAAGAATTAGCCAGTCTGGTGGCAGGCGCCTACATGTAGTCCCAGCTACTCAGGAAGCTGAGGCAGGAGAATGGCGTGAACCCAGGAGACAGAGTTTGCTGTGAGCAGAGATCACGCCACTGCACTCCGGCCTGGGCGACAGAGTGAGACTCTGTCTCAAAAAAAAAAAAAAAAAAAAAGAACTCTCTTAAAGATATCTGGTAAAGCTCATCTAGTGGTAATGAATTACCTTAGCAATTGCTTGTTTGTAAAGGATTTTATTTTTCCTTTGCTTATGAAGCTTAGGTTGGCAGAAAACGAAATCCTTCATTGGAATTTCTTTTCTTTAAGGATGCTCAACATAGGCCCCCAATCTCTTCTGGCTTGTATAGTTTCTGTTGAGAAGTCCACTGTTAGCCTGATAGGGTTCCCTTAGTGATATGATCCTTTTCTCTAGCTGCCTTTAAGAATTTTTTCTTTTACACTGACCTTGGAAAGTCTGATGACTATGTGTCTTGGGGATGGTCACCTTATATAGTTTCTTGTAGGGATTCTCTGAATTTCTTGATATTGCATAATGACCTCTCTATTGTAGTTGGGGACATTTTCATGGGTTATTTCCCCAAATATGTTTTCCAAGTTGCTTACTCTCTCTCCTTCTCTCTTAGTAAGGTTATTAAATTGTATGTTTGGTCTCTTTACATAATCCCATATTTGTTGGAGGCTTTGTTCTTTTTTAAAAATTCTTTTTTCTTTATTTTTGTCTGACTGGGTTGACTCAAAGGACCAGTCTCTGAGCTTTGAAATTCTTTCTTCAGCTTTATCTAGTCTGTTGTTAATGCATCCAACTGTATTTTGCAATTCCTGTAGTGGATTTTTCAATTCTAGAGGTTCAATTTGATTCTTTCTTAAAATGGCTATGTAATCTTTAAAGTCTTGGATCATTTTCCTGGCTTCCTTGAATTGGATTTTAACTTTCTCTTGAATGTTGTTGAACTACCTTGCCATTCAGATTCTGAATTCTATGTCTGTCCCTTCAGACATTTCAGTCTGATTAGGATTCATTGTGAGGGACTAGTGCAGTCCTTTAGAGGTAAGAAAATACTGACTTTTTGAATTGCTGGAGTCCTGGTGCTGACTCTCATCTGAGGGCTAGTATTTATTTTTCTTTTTGAAATTGCTGTCATTTGGATAAAGCTTTTTGTTTTTATATATTTTTTTCCCTTGAGGGTTTGACTATGGTGTATGTTGTGTATAGTAATTGGCTTCATTTCTCGGTGGTTTCAGAGGACCAAGGCTTTGTAGAGGACCTTTGTGTCAGAGAACCTGAGTTTTGAATGGGTTTCATAGCCGTTGCATGCTGAAGATGTTTTTGTTTGGTGGTGTAATGCAGGCTAAGGTGCAGTAGATGGCGCTTAAGAGTAAGGGCCAGAAGATAGGCCCTTACTGAGCTGCAGGCCTCTTGTATTTCAGCGCATATGCAGCAGTGCTCTGAGGAGGCGGGGAGGAGGTGGCAAGAGATGACTCCATCACCAAGTCTGTTCCTGGGCCTTGGTGGAACCCCCTTCAATTACCGGAGCCGAGCTTGTATTTCCTTAACCTCAAGGGGGCTTTGGCAGGCTGTGTTCCCTCCTCCCATAGGAGCAGTCCAAGTCAAAAGTTAGGTCACCAGGAGACCCACAACTCCCTGGGGACCTGCTGGTCCTCTGGACTTGTCAGAGTCAGAGCTGGTTGTGGGGTATGTCTGTGGTTGGACTGGTGATGCAGTGGGTCAGGAGTGGAGGATCCCCAGGCAAGATGGTGGTACTGTGGGTATGTAACTGGTGTGCCACCCATGGCCTGAGGTTTTTAGCCCAGCAGACTGTTGTGGGACCCACGCAACTCACACTCCCCTGATCAGGTCTCTCTCCGGCATCTGCCTCAAGTGCAGACCCAACCAGCTAGACTTGTTCCAGCCTTCTGTGCCCAGATCACTGGACTGTTCCAGGTGTTCTAGGCTGTGAGGCTTTTTGGGACAAAAGCTGTGGCTGGCTAACAGGCTACATCTTTCCTAGACTGGGCTTGCAAATGGAGGGATGCCCAGCTTCTACAGTGGCACATGAACCCACGTCACAATCTTCTTAGTGTTCTGAGAGAGGGGGCCTCCTCCTCCACTTAAGCTCAGGCCACAGATCTCAGCTCAGTAACCCTGGGTGATGTGCTGAGATCCTCGGGCGGGTGGGACCAGGCCTGCATTTTTTTTTTCCACTGACCCCTCAGGGTTAAGGGCCAGCCATGCTTGGGGGACTGAACTACTCCCAGGCTGCTGGCAAAACACTCCGGTGGGGCAGTGGAGGCTGTGTTGTAGGTACCCTCCTGTGGGAGTGGCCAGGCAGGTGGTCTTGGGAGGGGTCAGTGGACGAAGGGTGCATACAGATCAGATGCACTCTGGTCATGCAGGAAAGGTAGCCTTTGTCTTTTGCGGCCTGGCAGTAAGCAGGAGCTACAGGCACTCAGAGAAAGATAGAGTGTCTTGGGGAATGAGCACTTATGGTCGCATTTTGCTGCAGCTACACCGCAGGCTCTGAAACCTTCTGGGCTCCACTCAGGTTTGCGCTCTGCTTCTGTCTGCTCTCTGTGCAGTTTCCTCTGCCAATTCAAATGTCTATGGAGGTCGTGGGATCTCTTGCAGCTAGGATCTCAGAGGTCTGCAGTGGGAGTGTGGTCCCCTGGAGTTCCTTCGTTCACCCCTTCCTTAGGACCTCTTCAAGACTTGGAGACAGCCCTGGTGCTCAGTGACTTCATGCAGGCTTCCCAGCTTCCTCCCTCTTCAAACATGGTGTCTATTTTCTCTCAAAAGATCTGTTCAAAGTATGATGGTTTACTTGGTATTTTGTTTTTTCTTGGTTCTAGAGGCGTTTCCTGGCTGCATCTAGTTGGTCATCTTCGGTCACACTCCCCAAACACTGGTGCTGAGCCCAGCCCAGTACTGTCAGTCACCAGTCACCAGACAGGCCCTGGCCAAATCCAAGATGGCCTGTTTTCTATGTACTTCAAGAGTAAAGGATAAGAGAAGGACAAAGGGTCCAGCCAAGCTATATCCATTGGAATTGAGGAGGGGCCCAAGGAGAGCGGAAGTAAGAGTTGGCATTGTCCCTTTCTGGGCCTTCTGGGATGGTTGGTATTGTACAGAATTGCCCAGAATTTCCTTCCCTGTGTGTTTCTGAGTTAGGGTGGACCCAGGAAACATTCATGGCAGTGACACAGTAGCCATTATACTCCAAAGTCAGACCATAAACCTTGTCAGTGATCTGTTGGCTTACCTTGTTAAAGTAGGGTAGAGGCCAAGACTGCAGCTCTTGCTGGATCTCCCCTTCAGCTTCTCTGAGCCTTGAGCGAGGTGCATGTGCAGTGCTGAGGCAAAGGGCACTGTCTTCTTATGCAGGTCACATCACCAAGGTTGAAGGTGCTGAGAGGCAGACATGGGTTGTCATCTCTTCTTGTGGTTTCCAGTTTTTCCCCCCTTTCCTCCACTTCACAGTCAGCTTCTCTTTCCTCTGTTGACCATGAGCAGACTGTAGACTTCTTCACCAGCCTTGTAATTGGATAAGACCTAATCTTGTGCTGTCCAGTACAGTGGCCACTAGCCATGTGTGACTATTAAAATTAAAATGAATTAGAATGGAATAAAATGCAACATTTTCTCAATTGTACTAGCCACATTTCACATATGTGTCTAGTGCCTGTGTTATTGTACAGTGCAGAAGTATAACACTTCCATAATTGCAGAAAGCTCTATGGAATAGTACTGGTGTAATTCCTTTAATAAATTCCTTATTTCATAGCACTCATAGGGATTCTGCTTCCCTAATCACACCCTATCAGATACCCTCGCATTTTGTAAAGACTGGTCTAGGCCAGTGGTTCTCATTTTTTTGTCCTTCTAAGCCTCTTTCACTGATAACATTGTGAAAGATGTGTGACACATTTCAATGGTCCTACTCAGATTGCGACAAAATCCCTCAAAAATTTTCCAAGGAGGAAAAGCAAATAGGTGAAATAGACACAGCATTAGTTAACCTTTACCCTCGCCCCCCATTTTCTTTTTTTTTTTTTTTACCACTTTAGAAAATATACCAAAATGTGTATAAGATGACATTTTATTGATTTTAGATGTTTCTTCTTTTTTATTATAGGCATTTATGCCATAAATTTCCCTCTAAACACTGCTTTTATTGCATCCTGTAAGTTTTGGTGTGTAGCATGTTCATTTTGATGAATCTCAAAATATTTTCTAATTTCCCCTGTGATTTCTTTGACTCATTGGTTTTGTAGAAATATATTATTTAAGTGCCACATATCTGTAAATTTCCTTCTGTTATTAATATGTTGTCTTTTTGTTGTTATTATTGTTTGTTTATTTAGTGACTTCTCTGGACTAATTCTGTAAAGTCTGTATTTTTGTCATAGGTGGCTGTTGAAGTCTCTGCTCAGCTTAGTGGTCATCTGATTATTGGACAATTATTTTCTTAACTCCCTGGAAACAATAAGCCTCCAAATTTTTGCCAATGATTGACTCCCAATGTTTGCATGTTAGGGCACACATTCAATTCTCAGCAAAGTGGTTGGAAACTCTGCCTTAGCCTTCATTTCCTGCTTGTGTAGAGCCTACAGGTCAGCCAGAGGTGAGAACTTAGGGCCCTTTCTGGTGTTTCCTGAACATGTGTACAGCCTAATATGTGTGTGTAGTCTTCCAGATTCCCTTGAACGTGTTGGAGTTTTTCAAATCCCCTATGACCATCTAATTTCCCAGTTTTCCTTTAAAGTTTTTGGTTTGTCTATTGTTTTTTCCAGCTGCTATTCTCTGCCTCAGGCAGCCATGAAGTTAAACAACTGCCTGTAACCAATGCCCCTTGGAGAAAAGGATTTTTGTTTGTGGGGGATAGGGGTCTGGAGGCTTTTTGCACTGGCTGAGCTCCAAAACAGGTTAAATAAAGACAACTTTGTCAGGGAAGTCTTCCAGGGAACTACCAGACAGGGAAAATTATGGTAATTCTTGCAAAAAGATGCTTTGAAAGAGCTCCAGCCTCCATTTGGTGACTGCTAGCCTGCTGATTTTCACAATGATTATGGGTAGTTATTTTTCAAGGCTACTGCAGGGCAGGGAGAGCTGAGACTAGGACAAGACAAAATGCTACAAAGCTTGCTGTTCTTACCAAGATTCAGATATTTTGTTCTTGAATATATACCCCACTGCTTGTTGTAAACCTTTATTTAATTTTTAGAGCTCTGAAAAAGTTGATTCTGATCATTTTTGTCAGATTCCTTTGACGGAGGAAAGAATTTTCAGAGGTCCTAACTTCACCATTTTTTTCAGACATCACCCAAGGTTGACATTTTATGCAGATAATCACAAATTATACTTTTCCAACAGACAAAACAAGACCAAGATAGAAAAGAAAATCACTCAATCATCCAACCTAAGTACTCCAGCCTTAGTCCATAGTAAAATAAGAAATACTACATGGATACTACCTGAACATGGAGGAAGGCTAACTACATGTTTTCTTAATTATTTGCATTTCATGAAGGCTACTTGCCTAGGATCAATGTGGATGGCTATTGAGAAAATATTAAAGACACTGAGATGAGCAAAGAGGGTGAGTCCTCTCTTTGGAAAGAGATGGGAGCCTCACATAATTTGTCACGCCCTCTGCAGTGTTCACTCTTCCTATCAGGTGCATACTTCCCTGGAATCAGTCAAAGCCTCAGGGGGTAGGGGGAGGTAGCGGAATACTGTTCTTTCCTCCTCCAGTCTCTCCCCTGCTCTGTGTCATCTCCTCCTCACTCTGTCACCCAAGGACCTAATGCCCCACTTCACCCTTCAACTGAACAAACCTAATCTCTAGAAAGGTACTTCTTCTGTATCCCACATTTTAGCCTTAGAAAACCAGCCCCACCTTGTCCTATTGGAATGAAGTTAGCTTTTACAAACCTCAGCAGTTCCTGAGTAATCTACTGCATGTCCCTTGTCCTGACAAAGGATTTCTCAGACATAGCTGAGAGGTGTGTTTTCTTTTATCGGCAAGAAAACTTACTTATTTTTTCTCTGATGCCCTTTGATTTATTTCCATTGAACACCTATAAACAATTCACCACCTCAATGCTAAGCACATTTATAGACTAATTCAGTATTTCTGAGGCCTTTTGTAGGCATCTCATATCTGCTCCTTGAGTAACAGAGGCAGCTGGGGCAGATTAAATGCAGTAATTCCTGTGAAATAAATTAGAATTTCTTGGATTCCCTATGAGTACAAATTATTTTGCTCTATCTTGTTATTTTAAAGGAAATAGTAAATGTCCTATTTGTGTGGCACCTGTGGATTTTTTTCTCAAAGGAGAAGGTGCAGATACACCTGAGTGCTGCCTTCTCTGTTTTACTACTCAAAGCATAAACATTGAAGACTTTTTAAAGACAGTCAATAAAGAACAATAGTTTAGTGTGCTGACATATGCTTTTTGCTTGTTTGTTTTGAGACAGGATCTTGCTCTGTCATTCAGACTGGAGTGCAGTGGTGAGATCTCAGCTCACTGCAACTTCCATCTCCCAGACTCAGTTGATTCTTGTGCCTCCACCACCTAAGTAACTGAGACTACAGGTGTGCACCACCATGCCTGGCTAATTTTTTTGATGTTTTTTGTTGAGACAGGGTCTTACTATGTGTCCCAGACTGGTCTTGGCTTCCCGGGCTCAAGTGATCCATCTGCCTTGGCCTCCCAAAGGCTGAAATTACAGCTATGAGCGTGCCCAACTGTAAACTGATATATGTTATTAGAATCTGCACCATATCCAAATGAACTTTAATTTTCTTCCACTCTTCAAGTTTGGAGGAAGAAACACATCATTTTTATTGCTGGTGTCAATTTTTAAGAAAAAAATTTCACTTTAACAAAACCAGGATTTTAAGATGAAAACAAAGTAGAATCAAACAAAAAGAAACAACAATTGCCACCCAGCTCCCCCGCTCAAGGAAAAACACCTGTGCCGTTGCTCAGCCACAGGATCAGTCCAGGCCTCCTGTGGCCACTAGCTGCAGTGGTTGGTTGTGTGCACTGCACTGCCCTCTGCTGGGTGGGCCAGCTCACATCTTACTTTTTTTTTTTTTTTTTTTTAATTGTGGTAAGAGTGCTAAACAAGAGATCTACCCTCTTGACAGATTTTTAAGTGCACAATACAGTATTGTTAACTATGGGCACAAAATTGTTCAGCAGATCTCTAGAACAAATTCATCTCATATAACTGAAATTTTATACCAGTTGAACAGCAACTCCCTGTTTCCCCCTTCTCCCACCCCCTGACAACCACCATTCTACTTACTGTCTGTTTCTATTAATCTGACTACTTTAGACACCTAATATGAATGAAGTCATGCAGTTTTTTCCCTTCCGCGGCAGGCTTATTTCACTTGGCATAACGTCCTACTGGTTCATCCATGTTGTTGCATATAGCAGAGTTTCCTTCTTTTTTAAAGCTGAATAATATTTCGTTGTATGGATATACCACATTGTCTTTGTCCATTTATCTGTCAGTGAACATTTAGGTTGTTTCCACATCTTGGCTATTGTGAACAGTACTGCAATGAACACAAAGGCTCACATCTTAATTCCATCTCCTCTGAGGCTTTTATCTGGAGTGGCCCATTTGATCTCTGCATTTGCCACTGTAGAGCCTGGGGCTTTGTAGTGGGACTAGGAGCTCCCATATACCCTATATCCATAAAAGTATGCTGCATTGCTTGTCAGGGCAAGGACCCTCCCTCTACCCTCCACCCAAGGATGAGACAGAAAGGGAGAGGACTTCAGCAATATTCATTATTGCTGATGAAGGTCACTGGGGTTGTAAAAGAAGGAGAAAGACTAAGACCGAGAAAGTCTGATGAGGGTTATGCTGGAGGTATTTGGGAGTGACAAGAAGGGAAGTATAATTTCAGAGGCCTGGCAATAAAGCACTGGAGAAAGGATATTTGGAAAATAACATTGGAAAGGGGCCCTTCATATCAAGCCACGAGAACAGGGCAGTAGATATACCCTGCTACCTCCTTGCTGGACAAGTATGTACCACAAATGAATCAGGCAAGTCCTTAAGGAATATCTAATCTACAGGGAAAACGAAACATGTGGACAGAAAACTCTATTCCAAGGTAGAAGTTTGTGTTGCCAGGGAGCCATGATTAATGTGTTCTCAGAGTTTAGAAGAGGAGAAAGCCCATGTGGCTGGGGGAGGATAGGAGAGGCCTCGTGGTGAAAGTAGGATTTTAGTGCAGACTTGATGAGCAAGGAAGACTGGATATGGAGAAGACCAGTCTTTAAAAGCTGTTTAGTTCTCATTTTAGTTCCTTAAAAAGCAAACTTTCAAGGGTAGATAGAGGGTGTGGGGAGGGAGAGGTCTAACCTCACTTTCTGAAATGGAATTTTCATGTAATAACCAATAGATCCTTTCACTGTAAAGATTTATGTCAAAATAAACATATGTAGTGGTAACTTTTGAAATTAGCTTCTCCAAATCAGTCTTAGATTTAAATAATTTAGAGGAACACGGATGTTATGGGCTGATGTGTGTCACTTGCCCCAAATTCCTGTGTTGAAGTCCTAACCCCCAGTACCTCAGAATATGGCTGTATTTGGAGATAGGGTCTTTAAAGAGGTGATTAAGGTAGAATGAGGTTTTATGGGTGGGCTCTAATCCAATATGACAAGTGTCCTCATAAGAACAGGAGATCAGGACACAGACTGAGGGGCAACGATGTTAGGACCGCAAACTGGGGAGAGAAGCCGCAGAAGCTATCAACCCTGCCAGCACCTCAGTTTTGGACTTCCAGCCTCCAGAACTGTGAGAAAATATATTTCTGTTATTGAAGCCACCCAGTCAGTGGTACTTTGTTATGGCGGCCCTGGCAAACCAATACAATAGGCATTACGGATTCATAAAACACAAAAACTTACTCCTGCGTTAAAGCTGGGAAACAATAGGCTCAGCCCTAGGAACAATCACTTGGATATTCCAAATGAGTATTTTCTTAAATAACAGGGCAGTCTGGATTGTCTTCCAAGTTGTTTGATTAAACATAGTAATATGTCCAACCAGAAAACCCCTAGCCATATTACAACAAACTAGTTGCTAGGATTTCTGTGTGATTGAAACTCTTTGACTTTTCAACCCATTGTTACTGCACGCGGAGACATACTCACTGTTCACCCTGGACTGCCAGATGATGTACTCTGTGTGAGTGTCAAGACTATTTTTACTATTGAATGTCACCTTTTGTGGCAGTCCATGTTTCTAGTTGCAAAGCAACCAAAATCCACTCTGACTAGTTTAAGCAGGAAAAGAATTTATTAATGAATATGAAGGAACTCACAGAATTGGGGGAAGGGCTAGAGAGAGGGACCTGAAGCTCAGCTCCTAGGAGCAACACCCAAACTCTGAACAGAAAATGGCCTGGCAAGAAAATCATTGTCTCTGACACTGCTGAATACCTAGTGCCAGAGATTCAGCTTTACTGCACCAGTTTTTCCATCCCTTTTGAGGACATTTCTGCAATAGGATCTTCCATGTGGAAGTCTTTCCCAGGTACAACTGACTGATGAACCCACAGGACAAATGTTGTGTCCTGGGTATGAAGGAGGCAAGTAACTTCATTTCCAACTTCTATATTGGGAGACATGGATATTTCAGCTAATAAAGGGAGGTTATTTTAAAGATGATGGGAACTAAAACTACCATTTGATCCCGCAATCCAACTACTGGGTATCTACCAAAAGTAAAAAATTATTACTAAAAGATACCTGCACTTCATTGCAGCACTTCTCACGATAGCAAAGATACAGAGTCAACCTAAGTGTCCCTCGACAGATGAATGGAAAAAGAAAATGTGGTATATATACACAATGGAGTACTATTAAGCCACTAAAAAGAATGAAATCATGTATTTTGCAGCAACATGGATGGGACTGGAAGCCATTATCCTAGGTAAAATAACTGAGACACAGAAAACCAAATACTGCATGCTCTCACTTATAAGTGGGATCTAACTAATGTTTACACATGGACATAGAGTATGGAATGATAGACAATGGAGACTGGAAAGGGTAGGTACTTGGGGGGTGGGGGGTTATGATAAGAAATTACTTAATGAGTACAATGTACCTTATTCAGGTGATGATTACCCTAAAAGCCCAGACTTCACCAGTACTCAACTACAAGTGTAACAAAATTACACATGTACCCCATCAGTTTATACAAATAAAAATAAACAAAAGTTGATGGGCAAGAAAGACTATAACAACTGCCCACTTCAAGTTTGGGGTTCTTCATTACTACTACGATGCTATGATTTTTTTGATGTTTAAGCCTTGAAAATAACAAAATTCATGTTGGACAAATTGAATGAGGATCCAGGCTGACAAGTCAAATATTGTCAATCAAATCCTCATCAAAATTTTATACAGAATTTCCTGCAGTTGATACATGTTCAGTATTCTTGGAAAATTCAAAAAGCATTTGTTGAGGAGTGAATAAATATTATGTAAAGTGTCCCTTCCGTTAATGAGAACACCAAAAACTATTAGACCCCAAATGGTTGGGCTGCAGTTCAAGATCCTTATTCTCATGCCCCCTAATGGTGTCTACTTTCTTACCCAAGAATATAGCTTCTCTTTTGCAATGGTGGTCTTGTTTCCCAATAGGACATTTGGGACGCATGATTCTGATAAAGAATCTTAGTAATTGGTTTTGGGCACAAGAAGCTGCTAGCTGGAAGCTCAAATATTAAAATGGTCATCTTGATGGTCGGTGAGGACAAGGGAACAGAATGTTTAAAGCTGGGATTATTCCAGAAAAGTATGATAGAGTCATGGTGCAGACCCATGGTATAATGGGTATAAGATTTGCTTTCAAGAGATGTTTTACAGGCATTTGTTGATTCATTCATGCATTCATTTTTTATTTTAACAAATATATATTGAGCACCTACTGTGTGCCAGACACTGAACTAAGCCCTTGTAGCATGTTCCACAAAGATTTTGCAGTCCAATAGCATCAGGCAGACAGCTAAGTAAAACAATGCAGCAAAAGTAGCTCTGGGAAGTAAATCTACAAGTCTGATTAACCACACACTGCGTTATAATTTAACAACAAAAAGTGAACTATAATTCTTTCTTAATTTGCTACGGAATATAATCACAAAAAGTCATGTATCAGTATCTCAGTCCCAGTGCATACTGGAACTCCATTAAGAGTGTTTGGAAGTCCACTGCCTCTGCGCTTCCGTTTGAAGACTTTGTTAGTTTCACTTTGCAAGCAATAAAATGTCAATGCATATCTAGAGCCCTGGATAGAAGATTCCACATAAATACAAAGGAAAGTAGCATGATTTCATTAGCTTGTATACAGAACAGACTTTTAATGAGAATTTCTCTTAGTTCAGTCCTTTCCCCCTTCTCTCTCAGGCATCTAATCATTTTCAATGACTTTTTCAAAACAAAACAACTTATATCTTAAAACCTGTGTGAAATCTTTAAGAAAGATCCCTTTCCAGTATTCCTACTGCACTTTGTTCATCTCTCTATGGGAGCAGGCATCATCTTATTTGATGTGTGTAGTATTTATTTTATTTTTGTCTGTCTACCACTGTACACCATGCATCCTTTTTCTATCCTTGGCACATAGAACCTGTAAGGTGAGCAATCTTTTCAGTATGAATGAGAAGATAATGGAATAAATGAATGAACCCCTTATCAACATCAGAAGAATGAAGAACAGTGTTCTAGTTAGGACTACAAGTTTAGGAGCAGCCTTGGGTTTATTAATTTGAGGACCTCAGGCAAATCATATAATCTCTCTGGATCCCAGTGGTTTAATCTGCAGTATGGGAACAATGAGTAGAACATGTCTCACAGGCTTGTCTGTGAAGATGAAGAGGGCTGATGTGTATAACGTTTGGAAGGCAATGCTGCTGCTCTGTGCCAAACCTGGGGCAGATCTTTGCAAAGAGTGTCAATAGTTATCATGGTTATTAACAATGACTGAAGAAGAGCTTTATTGCAGCAAGCACCTAGGATGCAGGGGCACTGATTTTCTGGGTAGAACAGTTGCACTGGCCCTTGGCTGCTATGTCCTTTGCCTCACACCCCTTCCCAATGTGGAAGCAACACCTCTGCTTGTCCCGAATCTCAGTGCATTTTTCACCCCTTGGGAAGGTGGCGTTTTTTTCTTACTGCCACAGCTCAAATTTTTCTTTCTCTGCCTCCCACTTCCCTGGAAGGGTATTTGATAGGAAAATGTCCCCAGCCTCATTGGAAAGCCCAACCTACTAATTCATCATAAAACATAGAAACCTAATAGGCTGGCTTCATTAAACTGGGACCCCAACAACACTGCACCACAAAGCCTAGGGAGTGGAGGACGTCGGCAGAATATCCCCTTCTCCCTGCCCCAAACAAAAACACACACACTGTCTTAAAAATAGCCAGAATTCTTTTTTTCTGTTTCTCTTCAACAGGAGGCTCATTCTGAAATTGAACCAAGTGGAAAAACACAAAGCCCTTCAGATGTGTCCAGCTTTGTAGCATTAAATTCGGATGGAGCATGTGACGGGGTGGGGGTGGTTTCATAATATAGTGAGTGGAACCTTTTAGCTTCAGTAAGTGAGTCTGATTCAGGAATGCAGGCGATTGTATCTCCAAAAAAATCAATATTAAGATGCACAATTATTCCCCTGGTATTGAAAGAATTAGTTGATCTACATGCTAAATGACAAGCCTCTTGATAACAGGGATTATGTGACCTGCCTTTCCAGCCAGAGCTGCTAGAGACGGTCCTTTAGGTCCCTAAGGCAGAGATAATCTAATTAGAACAACAAAGACCAGGTCCATTTGAGGAGAAGGCAACCGTGGGGGTGGGCGGGGGTCGGGAGGTGATGGTGGGTGTGCAGGGAGCCCTGCGGGGTCTGTGATGGCTGGGAGGGGCTTGTACAGAGCAACAGCAAGTAGGTGGGGAGTTGCTAGGGGGTGAGGCCGGAGGGGAAGGGACGCCTGCAGAAAGGGGTGGACAGAGGTCACCTCTAAAACATGACTTAATCTCCACTTTGGCTCCACAAACACTGCCCCGCTGGCTCCCAGACTGCGGCCAGACTTGACAGGATGAGTGAGCAGGGCTCCAGACATTCAGACACGCAGAGGTCTTACTAGCCCGCCACCGCCACCGCCGCCGCCGCCACCACCGCCACCGCCACCGCCACCGTCACCGCCACCGCCATCACCACCGCCACCACCACCACCACCACCAGAGAGAAATAAGAGGCCTGGGAGACATACGTGGGCCACTCCAACCCCAATCTTCTCACTCCTCTGGGAATTCCCCACCATCTAAAGACCAAAAGACCAGAGTCTGATGGAATTTCCACCTGTCCATAGCAAGACAAGAAAAATATAGACATGGGCTACATTTTCACAAAGCTCAATATCTTTTATTAAAAGATCTGTCCTCTCTTCTGATATTATGTCCTTCTTATGTTTTTGGTGGTAAAGATTCCCTTTTAAAAGATGGATAATGGGGATTTTTCTTCTGATTGTTTTGGTGTTTTTTTGTTTGTTTGTTTTGTTTTTGTAATGTTCTTACCTGGTACAATAAAAAGCTTCTGTTGATTCCAAAAACAATTTGTTTCTAAAACTTTGTCTGACTTTAAAAAACAAAAATCTATGAAATTGTCTTGTTAGACTTCTCAGCAAATGTTTTTAAATTTGATACTCATGTTTTTCTTCTTCTTAGGGAAAAAAAAAAATCAGACCAAATAAGCTTTGCTTTTAGTTCCTGTATCCTCCACAACTTTTCATTCCCAGGGTATTTTGAGCAAACGCTTTTTGAAAAAGCTGTTTTCGGCACCATGGAATTCTAAGGCAATGGGGCATTTATTAAGTAAGTCGTTTTTCCATTTTTTAAAAGCAAAGGGGCTTTGTCATGCAATCATTTCACTAAAACCTCACTGTGTACACAGTGTGATCTAAAGCAGAGAGGCTCTGACTTTGGGAAGGCGTTGAGGGGAGCTCAGAGCCCTGCCCTGGTCACCTCAGGAGAGCCTCGGGCCTTCAAACATAGCCTGAAAATGATTGCCAGAGGTGGTCCTCCATGTTTTCCTGAACTGTGGGTGGTGGGTGTGCTAGAGACCAGTTCCCCATCAGCCTGCCCAGCCCTGGGTGGGTAGGAGACCACCCCCTTGCCTCTCTAGCTTTTCATGGTGTTGAGAGACTGGACCCTGAAAAGCCAAGTGGGCATGAGGAAAACCTTCCCAAACTCAGGGCAGTGGAGATGACTTGTTTGAGAGGCCTCCCTACTTGTCTATGAACGCACAGGTGCTAACCATGAAAAGAACTCAAAAATTCTGGTAATATTGGCACTCAAAGTGGGAAATGAAGGAACTTTGTTGGGACAGGGGGTGGATGATGGAGAGGACAGGGTTTCAGTTATCCGCCAGGCTGGTCCTGTTGGCAAACACATACTAATAATCCTATCTATGAATAAAAAGCAGTTGGAAAAATATGTGAGGAGGCCTTAATGATAGTAAAAGATCCTGAATTTTTATTCTTCCTTCCCTCATCCCCTAATACAAATTCTCAACTTTCTTAGAGACAGCCTCTGGGTAAATAATTAATTACTTTGGCATTATTTTTACTCATAATAATATCAGTGATAATAATTATATTTTCTTTCTTTATAAGAAAAGGCTTGCAGGTTTTTGCTGAGGGAAGAAATTGTAAAAATTTTTGCATGATGGTTTTTTCTATTTAAAGAACTGAATGAAATCTTTAAGGACGTTATCTGTATTTGACTTCCTTCCTAAGTTCTGAGGACCAAATCCTAGAATAAATGACAGTTAACATCTGCTTAGCTTAAGATGACACTTGGAAGGCTTAACAATCTCTCTCAACTTATTGAGGTACCAATAATTTATATTAAATTGATTCACTTGGGCTTATACTTGAGTTTGATTTTTAGAAAATGCTGCCTTCATGTCAATCTCACTATGATTGATTTTGAAAGGCAGTCATGGTTCAATGAATGAGAAGGGAGAAGGTAAGAGGGAGGAAATCTCTAAGCCCTCCTTCTCTTCTAACTGAATCAAAATATACATGTATATTTTTAAAAATTAATTTTAAATTCACTGTTCACATTGACTCTAATGTCAACTATTGAAAACTTATTGTGTCCCTACTATTCTTGAAGATATCAAAAAAACATTCTTCACTGGGGAGAAAAGACTAACAGGAACAAACTTACTCAGTCCCTGAGCAAGGTTGTGTCATTAGGTGGCATATTGTTCAGTACAGTCACAGCTCAGTGGACATCCATGTGGGCTGAAGGCTGGGTGGAGACACAGGCCTTGAGGCTTGACTTGAGAGATGGAGAGAGTCATGCACAGCAGCCCAGGCAGGAAGACACATGGAAGAAGAAAATGCAGAAGCAGAAGAAAGATACCCTTGTGGCTCACTGGGAAGGCTGAGTCAGGTTCAGACTCCAATATAGGACCCCTATTTGGGAGACAGAATATGAAGCGAGGTGCGTCAGATGAGGCTGGGTTATGGTAGTGTTCACATCCAAGCCTGGAATGGCTGTTGCACATCACCATTCCTTTGTCCACAAAGACATCCACAATGGGTCATGACACTCCATGTCCTCTGTAGCTCTTCAGGTAGCCACTGCCAGCCAATTGAGCAGATTTGGCCTTCAAGATGAAATCTATTCTCTAATCCCATCTCAGGCAACATATTTAGGAAATGGAGAGATAGCGAGTGAAGAATAGATGAATGAAGAAGACAGGGGTCCCTAAACTTCCCACTTACTGTTGATTTCAACCTTTCCTAACACATTTACGTTTTAAGTGGGAGCTGGACACGATGGAAGATCACTGGACTGGAGATCCTAGGGCTTACATTAAAGCTCCATTTCTGCCACTAACTTCCCCCAGTCTGTGCCTCATTTTCGTTATCTGTAAAATGAAAAGATTGAAATAGATGATGGATAAGATGTGTCCTGACATTGCCTTTTGAGAGTCCTACAAATGCCAACAGAAAAGAAGCCAGGCTGAGCTTTGCAGGGGTCTCCTCTAGGAAGAGATGGAGGCTGGTACAAGCACAGCCAAGCCATGGAGGGGAAGAGGAAGCCAAGGTTCTGGCTGACCCACACCCTAAGTTAACAGCTCCTGGATAACTGAGAGCAAGCAGCATCAGTCACTGTTTGTGTTGGATGATCCATATGGCACGGAACATGTAGTTTAGGCGCCTTGAGGTCTCTCAGTAGGAAGTCGATGAAAGGCCTCATCTGGAAACAGCTTCTCTAAGGATCAAGGCAAGTGGGAAAAGTTTGTGTATCCTTGTTTGCCTCCCTCTGGATTACCCTGGCCCTGTCCTCAGCTTCACGTGGCCAGTTTGGCAGATGTCCCCACCCAAAGGCACTTCACAACAAAGCAGCCTTTCTCACCGATGACGTCTCCTACCTCCAGCTTGCCTGCTTCATTGGCCTCTAAGGGATGCATTTTGGAGACATGAGATGAGGCAGGATGAGGTCATGGCTCCATGCAAAAGGACAGGAAGACCGTGCCTTCCTTCATGCATGGAGCTGCACACCCTCATCCATGGAGGTTATTACCCCATATGCCGACAGCAAAAGATCAGCTCTGGCAGCCAGCTTGCCAGCGGCTCTGTTGAAACTTCAAGAATGCAGATAAGGCTGAGCAGCTTGGAGCCATGGTATTTGAATGTCTAGCTAGGCATTTTGCAGGCCTGGCTTGGCTTAATTTATTAATTTATTTGTATTCCCACCAGGACATGACAAGACTCTGTGCTTCCCTCTTGAAATGTGCCTTTTCTCAAGGTCCCTGCATGTCCATTCAGGGGCTGAGTATGCAAGGTCTACAAGGTCTGATGGAGAGGTCTACATGGCAGGAATAACATCTGTCTTTCAATTTGTTGCTTTTTAGAAAGCTCTTTGCATGGATGCTAAACAAAATACTTGTCTACTGTCACTTTTAAAGTACTTCTTGGAAACACATGGCTAGAGACAATGAAGGGGAAAACTAACTATTATTTACCGATATTTTGCATCTCTTAGTTCTAGGATACACAGAAGTCCATGACTAGAAATGAGGAGCTGGGACTCAAATGAGCCGAACTTGTTTCTGTCCCTCTCTTGAGTTGGGCTTTGTCACATCCATGCACCCATTAATTGATTCTTCCATCCTTCTGTCCATCTGTCTGTTTAGCCATGCATCTGTCCATCCATCCACTTTCTCATTCAACTGTCTGATACTTATTGCCTCCTCTGTGCCCAGCACCGAGGTTGCCATGGTGAATGAGACAACTTTCACCTTCACAAGCCCATGGCTGGAGGGGGCAGGTGTTTATGGGGAACTCTGTTGCTGGAGATTCTCTGGAGTTGTTGAGCTGCAGGTACAACTGGTTTTCTGCAGGCAGGATGGACTCTGCCTGGGTGTGCACTGCTTGCTGCTCAGAGCTTCTGATCTTTTAACAAATGAGGAAATGTTTCTTGTGGCCATGGAGCTTTCTATTCTACCTTCAGGATTTTTATATCTAATTTAGGAAAGAGACTAAAAGAGTAGGGAACATAGCTGAAGTCTTACTGACCCCTCTGTCTCTCACTATGGTGGAGAGAGGCATTGGTTTGGAGCTGTCCAGCTGGGCACTTGCCCTGATATCTGAGCCTTAGTTTCTCTTTCCCTAAACGCCAAGTGATAACATTCATTCTTCTGTGTCATTGTTGTGAGGACTGCATGAGATGAAGTGCACTGAGTCCTTAGCATAAGGCCTGCAATGTTATAAGCCTTCAGCAGATGGGAGTGCGTATTCTCATTAAACCTGACAGTGGGTTAGAACAGAGCTCTCTCACTTTCACAAGGGCTGTTAGTGGCTGTCAGTAACTAAGATTTGGACTTTATTTTACATTTCTTCACAAAATTGAGGTCCTCACCATGCTGTCACACAATAACAAGCAATCAGGCAGGGTTTCAAGCAAAGTAATGATTATCTTTTCCCTAATAACTTTCAGGTAGGACCTCAATTACTCTGTAATGAACATTAGTGTTCTTTGTCCCTGTCTGTGTGTCTCTGTGTAGGTATGTTTGTGTGTGTGTGTGTGTATGTGTAGGTGGATATGTATTTGCAGGACATAGATATGGCTAGGCTCCCCTAAAATTTTACCTAAAATAGTACTGAATTGTATGTGAATTGTTGAAAGTAGCATCATTCCTGAGTACAAAGAAGGAAAAGAGGAGGGAAAGAATAGAAAGGCTTTCTTTCCTAGTAGACACGTGGAAGAGAATGGGAGGAGGTCCTGGGACCAGAGGAGAGGAGGCAAAGACGTAAGCATGGGCTGCCATGGGCAGAACAATGTCTGCTGCTTCAGGGCACTAGTTTTCCTCTCTGCAGTGGAAAAGCATTTCCCTTTGAGGGGCAGACACTCCACCCCACAGGGCAGACACCAGCACAGGTGGCCCCCTTTCCATCTGCACAATGTTTAGGGAGCTTATGAGATGGTCTTTCATTCTGTGACAAGCCCCAAGGCACCCCCAAGAGAAAGTGTGTGGAAAGTGAGTGTATATGGCTTCCTTTGGGCTGGGAGCTTGCCTGCATGTGGAGCCAGACTTCATCCATTGCGGAAGCTTTGCTGCTTTTTTTCTTCCTTTCCTCCTACTCCTTGAAACCCCTGAGGATAGTTGTAGTTTTCCTCTGGATGCTTCTCATCAGATGATTGTATTAGTTTCCTATTGCTGCTCTAACAAGTTGCCACAAACTTAGTGGCTTAAAACAAAACAGATTTGTTATCTCATAGTTTCCATAGGTCAAAAGTCTGAGGATGGCTTTCTTGGGCCTTCTGCCTGGAGCCTCACAAAGCTGCAGTCAAGGAGTCCACTAGGTTGCATTCTCATCTGGAGGCTCAGTGGGAGAAGAATCCACTTCCAAGCTCATTCAGATTGTTGGCAGAGTTCATTTCCTTGCAGCTGCAGGACTGAGGGTCTGGCTTTTGCTGGCTGTCAGCTGGAGGCCACCTTCAGCTCTGGAGGCTGTCTGCAATGCCCCCACACAGGGACATCCTCATCACAGTGCTTACCTCATCAATCCAGCAAGGAGAGTCTCTAGTGTAGGTCCACAGGCAAGATGGAGTCTTTAAAGTATAACATAATTATGGGAGTGACATCCTTTTATCTTTGCTATATTCTATTGGTTGGAAGCAAGTCACAGGTCAGGCCTACGCACAGGTGCTCCTCAAGGGGAGAAGGTTACACAGGTATGAACACCGGGGGTGGAGGTCCTGGGGCCACCTTACATCCTGTCCACCACTGTGACCTACATATTTCAAATTTTCCCACAGGTGTTCTAGTGGCAAAGAACAGTCAGAAGCTCCCACCTCAGAGTGTCTGCTGCAAAGCTAGCCCCTTCGACTTGGAGTCCTCATCTGTTCTCAGCACTTTTCTCCCAGACCTGAACCCGAGTCCCACCGCTCATGTCTCGACCTTCGTGGACGGTAGTTGCAGATACCTTTTTGGCACCATCTACGTAGTCACCAGGCAGGCACACAAGACTTCTGACATCACCCTCGAGTCTTCCTTTCTTCCTGACTCATGCAAGCATTTCCCAACTCCCATCAATTTTAGCTCCTAATTGTCCTTCAAATCTGTTCTTGCTTCTCATCAGCACAGAGACCAGCTTAGTCTAACATTTCCTTATCTTTTGCTTAATCTACAGTAGTCCCCAACCAACTTCTCTGCTTCCAAGTTTTACCTCCTCAAATCCATTCCCACGTCTCGTCTCTCCCAGCACCATTCCCTTTCCCACTCTCTCCTCCAGCAAACCCAAACTGTTCATTGTCTTCCTTTGGCACCACGCTATTTCAGACCTCTGTGGATTTGCACATCGTGTTTTTTTTTCTCTACAGTTCTCTTCTCCAGTGCAATCTCTACCATTTGACTGTCTAGAAAACACCTACTCATCCTTTGGAATCTGACTGAGGTCTTGGGAAGATTTTCTTGACTATAGACAAAATAATTCACTTCCTTAACTGCTTCTTTGAACTTATTTCTGCTTTTTTTTTTATTTTGTTCTTGTTTTGCATATTCGTAACTAAATGCACCATCCCTGGTATTTTTTGGCTTGTTGATCGTTCTCTGTCCTACTTGCTTGAGAAAAGAATGTGTAACTCACCTGTCTTCATCTTCTCAGTACCAAGTACAACACTCCAATGCATAGTAATCAATAAATGTTGCTGAACTCAATTAGCATTTTTGAA
Organism: Homo sapiens; assembly: GCF_000001405.40. Classification (NCBI taxonomy): domain Eukaryota; kingdom Metazoa; phylum Chordata; class Mammalia; order Primates; family Hominidae; genus Homo; species Homo sapiens. Next base: position 35,411,829 of record NC_000007.14, on the reverse strand, counting down.
ATTATTTGGCCAGCTTTGGGGAATTTGTCAAATCCTATGTGATACCAGGATTATTTTAAACCTGGTTTTACACTCATACTTAACTTTAGCAGTTTGGGGTTCAGTTATGTATTTGATGCAATTTTTAATACCTTGCCCCCAATCTTTCCTCAGTTAGTTTTCATTTATTTCCAGCTCTCTTTGGTAGAGCTCAACAGCAATGAAGAAAGGAGCTGTATGTTTTTCAATAAGGAGCTTTTCGTGTTTCTTTTTCCAAGTGTTATCTCAATTCTGTGACCACAGAGAGCATTCCACAACAACATCACACTTTTCAAGTAAGCAGTCAGCCTCGAGTAAGAATTCAATGATCTCCACATCCTGATATTTTTTTTTCCTTCTCCAAACAGCTGGGGCCCAGCAGAAAGTAGAAAGTCTTTGCTTCATTTGCTTTCCTATGATGCCATTGACTCTTGCTTCTTCACAGCAATGTGGCAGCGAGAGCCAGATGCACCATCTTTGAGGGGGGCTGCGTGGCTCAGTGGAAGAATGGGCACCCAGAGCAGTGGCAGAGGGCACACCTCAAGTCACTGTATGTAGTAGCCTGGATCCTCACTTCAAATCCTAGCACCACTATTTACAGCTCATGTGAACTAGAGCAAGTTATTGGGCCTCTCTGTGCCTCAGTTTCCTCATCTGTAAAACAGGGCTAATATAGGACTATCCTCATGGAGTTATTGTGGGAATGAAAGAAGATGAAGCACATACACATACAACACTTAGAGGAGAGTCTTTCACATTCTAACGTTATAAGCATTCACTAGCCATTAGCCAGGCAATTCTCATTACCCCAGAACTTAATTTCCACTTTTCTGAAAGGACATCAAATGAGGGACCGTATTTTCTGGAACTGGTCCTCCTCATTTTCAAGATGCAAATTTCCAGAAAAGGCATCAAGATGAAAAAATGATCAGCTTCTCTAACATCACCTTTTCTAAGGGAACTTTTATCTAATCCACTTCATTTTTCTTATCTAACAGTATGAGTAGTATCTCCTGCTTCTAGTATTTCTTTCTTTTCTTTTTTTTTTTCAAATTCCCTTTCCCAGAATTCTAAAGGTTTATCTGAATTGAGAGATCCTCTCTATCTTTCTTCTGTTAGATTGTTTCTTGGTTTAAATTAATATCCGCAAACATAGACTGAATGCTTCCATCTGCGTGGGAGGCTTGGTGTTTGTTTTTACTTTGTTCTTCTCTGGACAGTGTTAAGAAGGGCTTGAGGGGATGATTTGGGATTCTTCTTCTGCAGGGACCCTTGAAGAGACATCCCTGGGAAGAGGTCAGAGTTGTGGATGTGTGTGTGCGCCTGAGCTAAGGTGTGGGAGTGAAGACACAGTGACAGAGTGCTGTGTCGCAGGAGGATGGATGGAGGAAGATGAAAGGAAACTATCAGGAAAGAGCCCCTCAAGATAGAGCCATTGAACAGCACTGACAGGTCCATGATTGAGCATGCCTGACCATTTCTCACTCCTTCCCAGGAGAAAGGAGAAGTGGGAAGAGACTCAGTGCTCATGGAGGACCGATCACGTGCCAGGTGAGGGGTAGGACATACTCATAAACCTTATCTCTCTTTTTAAAGCAACCCTGTGAGGTTGGTGGTGGTCCCTGTTTCACCCATGAGAGAGTTATTTCTTCTAAAAAGTCATACTGTATTAGGGGGCAGAAATAGGTTTAAATACAGATATCTCAGATAGCAGAGTGTGTTTTCCTTTGTAATGGATTCATTGTAGCTGAAACTTAAAAGTTTAAAGACCCCATGCTGTTCAGTGCAGGAGATGATCAAGCGTGGGAACATATAGACATCACTGTCTTCTTTCTGCAAGTCTTGGACTGTCACTCTCACAAGCCACCAAGATAACTCCCTGAGTACTTGGTAGTTGTTAGAGGAGTTTAAAAAAAAATCTGTTACCCAACTTTTTCAAGGAAATGCCTATCAGCTAAAATGATTCAAGATAAGGGTAAGCAGATATCAAAACAGACCACCAAGGAGCTGAGAAGCCTGAGGAAATTTGGGAGAATTGTGACAGGTGATAGAGGGGTACAGGGACACATGGACTCAGATATAGGAAGTCACAGGCAGTACCAACACCTGTTAGAGAGACATCATTGTTAATGCTTCTATTCCATTTATTTAAAGCCCGAGATGCTCAAGATGTTGCATGGAAAACAATTGCTCTGAAACAAAGGAGAGAGGGCATTCTTCCACCATAGATTTGCATTATGCTTCACTTTCACATAATGAAGGGGAGAAACTGGGGAGGGGCAGATGGGGACAGGCTGACTTCATTCTTCATGGCATGTGCTGCTTGGTCCAGCAGCATGGCCAGTGTGATGACATGGGAGAGGGTGTGTGGAAGAGTCCCCTTCTTTACCTGCCAGTGGATCCACACAGCAGCCTCTGGGTTAAAGTACCCTCAAGCTACCCCTCAGTTGTTGGCACAGAACAGAAAGCCTCAAAGTCCAGAATTTTCCAGCAACTCTCTATCTTTTATTTTAAAAAGCCTGTTATAGCAATTTTAGCAACTAATGATTTCTATTTTACATGGCAGCTTTGAATCATGTATATTTTTCATCTCAGTCTAATTACTGAATATCCGATGACACTGTGTGTCCATTGTGACCAAGAAGTGAATACCTTATAGAAGTGTTGATATTTCTGCTCTCAAACTAACGATTGAGTTACTTCATTGCTTTCTTCAGGGCTCTTAGAAAAATGACAGGGTGTTAAAAAGAATCCATCAATATGTCTCAGGAAAAAATTATCAGCAAACATAATTTTTTTTTTTTTGAGACAGAGTTTTGCTCTTGTTGCCCAGGCTGGAGTGCAATGGCATGATCACAGCTCACTGCAGCCTCTGCCTCCAGGGTTCAAGCGATTCTCTTGTCTCAGCCTCCACAGTAGATGGGATTACAGGCGCATGCCACCATGCCCAGCTAATTTTTTTGCATTTTTAGTAGAGATGGGGTTTAACCATGTTGGTCAGGCTGGTCTGGAACTCCTGACCTCAGGTGATCCACCCGCCTTGGCCTCCCAAAGTGCTGGGATTACAGGCATGATCCACCGCTCCTGGCCAACAAACGTAATTTTGAAGGACTAACTATCCACAATTCAGATGACAATGATAAGCTAAACTTCAGTAGCTTTGTTAATAGAGGTGTCCACAGTCTATGCTTTAATCAGCTTTAGTCAACTAATGAACATTAACTGTAACAGTCATTCATTCCTTTAACACACATTTATTGAAATATTTAAAATGTTTAACAGTTTAAAAATCTTAGAATAACACACATTTATTGAAATATTTAAAATGTTTAACAGTTTAAAAATCTTAGAAAATACCTTTTCCTAAATTGCATGAGCATTGCAACCTAGCATGAATTATTGCTTTGGATTTTAAATAGATTTTCAGTTTAATTTATTGGAAAACTGGGATAATTTCATGGGCAATATTTTGGCATCTAGCACAACTTGGATATTCAATAAATGTGTTAAATTAAACTGCATTACTAAATAATAGGAGATCTTGAAACAGAAGCGTAGTTTTTGAGTCCATTCCAATTTAAGCAGTATTCATTATATGTATAAATTTATGTGCATAGGACTGAAAATAGAGCCAATAATTTAAAACTTTTAAACTTTGTGTAAGTGTCTGAAAAAGCCACATTTAATTTCCAATTAATACTATGGGAGAGGAGAAGCAATTTGTCTAATGAAACTCAGAGTGCCACAGCTTGTCTTTGGTTGATTAGCAGATTGCGACTTTTAGCAAATTTTCTCTGCTGTATTATCCTGGAAAAGCCTATTATTTTATAACTTACACAGACTAGACTATTACAGGCATATGTTGGAGATATTGTGGGTTTGATTCCAGACCACTGTAATAAAGTGATTATCACAATAAAGTGAGTCACCCAAGCTTTTTGGTTTTCCAGTGCATATAAGTTATGTTTATACTATTCTGTAGTCTAAGTGTGCAATAGCATTTTTTTTAAAAAAGCCAATGTACATACCTTAATTTAAAAATACTTATTTTATTGCTAAAAAATGCTAATGATCATCTGAGCCTTTAGCAAATTATAATCTTTTAGCTGGTGGAAGTTCTTGCCTAAGTATTGCTAGCTACTGACTGATCACAGTGGTGGTTGCTAAAGGCTGCGGTCTATGGGGGACATTACTTAAAATGAGACAATGAAGTTGGCCCCAGGGATTGACTCTTCCTTTTATAAAAGATTTTTCACAGTATGGGATACCATTTGATAGCATTTTACCCATAGCAGAACTTCTTTCAAAATTGTAGTCAGTCTTCTCAAACATTGCTGCTGTTTTATCAACTCAGTTTTGGGAATATTCCAAATCTTTGTTGTAATTTCAACAGTGTTCACAGCATCCTCACCAGGAATAGATTCCATCTTAAGAAACTACTTTGTTTGCTCATCCATATGAAGCAACTCCTTGTCTATTCAAGTTTTATCCTGAGACTGCAGCAATTCAGTCACATCTTCAAGCTCCCTTTTGTCTCTAGTTCTCTTGTTATTTCCATCACATCTGCAGTTCCTTCCTCCATTGATGTCTTAAACCCTTCAAAATCATCCAGGAGAGTTGGAAGCAGCTTCCCCCAAACTCCTGTTAATGTTTATATTTTGACTTTCTCCCATAAATCACAAATGTTCTTAATGGCATCTAGAATGGTGACTCCTTTCCAGAAGGTTTTCAATTTATTTTGCCCAGACCCATCAGAGGAATCACAATCTAAGGCAGCTATAGCTTTAAAACATGCATGTCTTAAATACTATGAGTTGAAAATCAAAATGAATCTTTGATCCATGGGCTACAGAATGGGTGCTATATTAGCAGACATGAAAACAACTTTCATCTCCTTGTACATCTCCATTAGAGTTCTTGGGTGACCAGGTGCAGTGTCAATGAGCTGTAATGTTTTCAAAGGAATCTTTTTTTCTAAGCAGTAGGTCCCAACTGTGGCTTAAAATATTCAGTAAACCATGCTGTGAACCAATGTACTATTATCTAGCCTGTATTGTTCCACTTACAGAGGACAGGCAGAGTAGATTTAGCATACTCTTAAGGGCCGTAGGATTTTCAGAATGATAAATGAGTGCGGGCTTTAACTTACAGTCACCAGCCACATTAGACCCTAATAAGAGTCAGCCTGTCCTTTGAAGCTTTGAAGCCAGGCATTGACTTCTCTCTAGCTAGAAAAGTCCTAGATAGCATCTTCTTCCAATATGAAGATGCTTTATCTACATTGAAAATCTGTCGTTTAGTGTATTCACCTTCATCAACAGTGTTAGCTAGATTTTCTGGATAACTTATTGCAGCTTCTCTGTCAGCATTTGCTACTTCACCTTGCACTCTTTTATGGAGATGGCATCTTTCCTTAAACTTGTGAACCAACATCTGTTAGCTTCCAACTTTTCTTCTGCAGCTTCTTTACTTCTTCCAGTCTTCATAGAATTGAAGAAAGTTAGAGTCTTGCTCTGGATTAGACTTTGGCTTAAGGGAATGTTGTGGCTGGTTTGATCTTCTATCCAGACCACTGAAACTTTCTCCGTATCACCAATAAGGCTGTTTTGCTTTCTTATCATTCGTGCGTTCACTGGAGTAGCACTTTTAATTCTCTTCAAGAACTTTTTCTTTGCATTCACCACTTGGCTGTCTGGCACAAGAGGCCTAACTTTAGGCCTATCTTGGTTTTCAATATGCCTTCCTCATTGCTAGCTTTTCATTCAAAGTGGGAGACATGCGATTCTTCCTTTCATGTGAGTGCTCAGAGACCTTTGTAGGGTTATGAATTGGCCTAATTTCAATATTGTTGTGTCTCAGGAAATAGGGAGGCCCCAGGAGAGAAAGAGAGAAGGGGGAAGCAGTCAGAACACACACAGCATTTATTAAGTTTGCCTTCTGAAATGGATGTGGTTTGTGGTGCCCCAAAATAATTATAATAGTAACATCAAGGATCACTGGTCACAATCATAGCAGATATAATAATGATTAACATTTCAATATTGTGAGAATTATCAAAATGTGACAGAGACAGGAAGTGAGCAATCCTGTTGGAAAAGGGGTGCCGATAGACTTGCTCAACACAGGGTTGCCACAGACCTTCAATTTGTAAAAAACTCAGTATCTGCGAAGTGCAAAAAAATGAGGTGTGTCTATGCTGGGCTAAGGGGTTGGGTCGTGTGGAAAGAGCTGATAGAGACAAAGTACAATATTTAACCTCGAATACATTTTTTAAATGTGATGGCATTGATAGTCCTTTCTGTTAAGTTTTGGCCCCACATCTTTTCTTTCTTTATTTATTTTATAAACTTTATTTATTTTGAAGACAGGAATAGCCAAGTGATGATGGCTCTTCATCAAAAACGCAGATTCTGCTGGCATCACACTTGTAGATTGCATTGTGAGCACTTCATCTGGTTCCAAATAGCATATATCAAGCAGTTTGTTGTCAGGCTTCCAAAGGAAGGGAGATGGGAGGACGCGCGTGTGTTTTAATTTGATTGATTTGTGACCTACATTCTAAATGGCATACCTCTCGAAATGCAGAAAATCATACCTTCTCAGGTTAGAGATTACATAAAATAGCTATGTTAGAGGAACGTGAATACTTATAGCTGATATTAGTTGGGCTCTTACCACATTCAGCCCATCACCGAACACGTCATGCATGTGTCTCAAGAGATCCTCCCAGCCACGCTCTGAGGTGGGCATGGTTCTGTTAGATTTTCTGTGTAACAAGTTGCCCTCAACCTAATGTCTTCAGAGAATGCCCGTGTCACTTTTGGTTTGTTTTGTTTAAGGCCATTTAAAATGAGTTTTCATTGACCTGTCACTGAAAAAATCATGGGTAGAGACATGAACACACCCTGGGTTCTGTGTAGCCTCCTTTATTCCTCTTGAATGCCTTCACTGAGTGATTTCCAGAGTAGGGGTGGTTTGAAAGGCCCCAGTGCCACAAGATCCACACGGAGGACGATCATGCAGCTCAGAACTCAAGCTAGAGCATGCAGTCAGCTCCTGGTAGAAACCATGTCCTCTCCTCCCTTGGGAAGCTTTGCCCCAAGGAGTGAACCAGACCTGTGGGCTGCGGCTGTTCTCAGGAGATCTGGTTTGTGCCTCATCATCCAAGGTCTCCAGCTGCCCTTGACCTGTTCATGTGAGGCATAGTCATAGATGGGAGAGAGGTAGCATGGTAAAGGATAGGGTTGGTGGCCTATGGGGATCAATGGGGTTTCCCATTACAAAAATAGACTTGTTATCCCTGAAACTAAAGGAATACAATCCCTTTTGTTAAATACTAAAATACACATTGTCCAGTTCATGTTCATGTTCATGTTCATGTTCATGTTCATGTTCATGTTCATGTTCATGTTCATGTCTTCCTTTGTGGCATGGGAAAAGAAAATTCTTTTTCTCTTTCTTTCTTCTTTCTCCCTACCCTGATCCCTCATCTTTCTCTCTCTTCCCCTCTTCTTCTCTCTCTTCCTCCTCCTCTACCTCTTTCTCTGTTTTTTTCATTCTCTCCTGTCCAGGAGACTGGATTTTGTTATCTGATTTCTCCCCTCTAAAAGAAAAAATAAATAACCGTAGTGGAAGGGAAAAGAATGTGGCCCTTCTCACTGTGTCTTCTGCTCCCCACTCCCAGTTCCTGGGTCCGCAACTGCAGAGTAATTCTCAGGTGCCTCACTGTGACCCACCTTTGTCACTGGCCACCACTTGCAAAGAGGCCTGGAAGATTTGACAAACAGATAGAGCCTCCACTGGGCTACAAATCTGCACAAGTAAACCAAGCTCTGGCTCCGAGTGACTTCTCCCTGAAAGTGAAATGGCTTGGAAAATGGAAGCAAATCCTGTCACCTTCTGCTTCTTTCAAAACACTTATTCCAACTCTCAACAGGCAAGTGAGACGGGGTGGTTTCAGTTCAAAGTCATTCACTGCCACCCTGTGCTTAATTGCTGCTTCAGCATGGAACTGATGCTTTTCTCACTCAGGGAAGGTCCCTGGGTGTCTCAGTGCGTTTGGGCTGCTCTAACCAAGCACCATAGACTGGGTGGCTTAGAAACAGCGGAAACCTCTTTTTTAGAGTTCTGGGGGCTGGAAGTTAGACATTAGGGTGCCAGCCAGGTTGGGTTCTGGCAAGGGCCCTCTTTGGGTTGCAGACTGCCAACTTCTCTGTGTAACCTCATTTGGGGGGCAAAAAGAGCAAGAGAGCTCTCTGGGATCCCTTTTATGTATACTTTAAGTTCTGGGGTATATGTGCAGAATGTGCAGGTTTGTTACATAGGTATAGACATGCCATGGTGGTTTGCTCAACCCGTCAACCCGTCACCTACATTAGGTATTTCTTCTAATGCTATCCCTCCCCTAGCCCCTTACCCCCCAACAGGCCCTGGTGTGTGATGTTCCCCTCCCTCTGTCCATGTGTTCTCATCGTTCAACTCCCACTTATGAGTGAGAACATGTGGTTGGTTTTCTGTTCTTGTGTTAGTTTGCTGAGAATGATGGTTTCCAGCTTCATCCATGTCCCTGCAAAGGACATGAACTCATCCTTTTTTTATGGCTGCATAGTATTCCATGATGTATATGTGACACATTTTCTTTATCCAGTGTATCATTGATGAACATTTGGGTTGGTTCCAAGTCTTTGCTATTGTGAATAGTGCTGCAATAAACATATGTATGCATGTGTCTTTATAGTAGAATGATTTATAATCCTTTGGGTATATACCCAGTAATGGGATTGCTGGGTCAAATGGTATTTCTAGTTCTAGATCCTTGAGGAATTGCCACATTGCCTTCCACAATGGTTGAACTAATTTACACTCCCACCAACAGTGTAAAAGCATTCCTATTTCTCCACATCCTCTCTAGCATCTGTTGTTTCCTGACTTTTTAATGATCGCCATTCTAACTGACGTGAGATGGTATCTCATTGTGGTTTTGATTTGCATTTCTCTAATGACCAGTAATGATGAGATTTTTTCATATGTCTGTTGGCTGCATAAATGTCTTTTTTTTAGAAGTGTCTGTTCATATCCTTCACCCAATTTTTGATGGGGTTGTTTGTTTTTTTCTTGTAAATTTCTTTAAGTTCTTTGTAGATTCTGGATATTAGCCCTTTGTCAGATAGATAGATTGCAAAAATTTTCTCCCATTCTGTAGGTTACCTATTCACTCTGATGACAGTTTATTTTGCTGTGCAGAAGCTCTTTAGTTTAATTACATTCTGGGATCCCTTTCATAAGGGCACTAATCCTGTTCAAGAGGGCTCTACCCTCCCAAAGGCCCCACCTCCTAATACCATCACATTCGGGGTTAGGGTTTCAATGTGTGAATATGGGGCAGGGGCACTAACATTCATCCCATGGCCCAGGTGTTGTCTGAAGCCTCTTGGAGATTTTGTTCTGACATCTGCACTGCTTTCCAGGTTCATGTGGCAGCTGTGCTATGAATCTAGTGGGGTGCAGAGAGGAGAAAACCCTGAGCTCAAATCCTAGGCACAGCTCAGAGCCAGCATTTCCTTTCTCCGCTACCTGGTTCTCCAGCTTTGTAAACGTCTTCCTGGCTTTAGACTGAAAGGCAAACCTGAGGGCTTCTGGCTTACAAAGTGGCCCTGTCACTTCCTACTGTGTGATCACTGGCAGGGCACTTTAACCTCTCTGGGCCTCAGCTTTCTCATCTGGAAAATGGGGACATTGGACTGAATCAGTGGTTTTCAAATTCTTTTCTGTGACCATAGGAATCTCTATCTTGAGGAGGGAGAAGAGAAAGAGCTGGAGGTGGGGGTGGGGCTGCAGCCCCTTCCCTGCTTTACCTGGTGCAGCCTGGGTTCTGCAAATGTTTCCTTCTTGGAAAAGTTCCACGGCTAAAAAGAATTCTGAAAATCACTGTCCTTGGTCAGGACCTCCCAAGCTTCCCTGCTCATAAAATCTTCCCTGGTTGGTATAGGGTGCATCCCCTCCCAGAATCTAAGCAGTTCTCGCTCTGCCCAAAAGCCTACCACAGCCTCAGGCCCCTACACAGAAAGGCGGAGAAGGGACACCCACTCAGGCCCAGAGAACAAAGGCCAGAGGACACTGCAGCTACCTGAGGACATGCTGCATGGTGACGTGGTTGCCCGGCCCTGACCTCTCTGCCTGGCTGCCAGGGCTGGCATTTGTTCCCACCTCCCTTGCCTGGACTGTGACTCAGCTTATGACACAGGATCCCACCTGGGTAACCCTCAAACAATGTCTGTAGGGGCATCTCCTGCTCACATCTGTAAAGGGCCTCAGGACAGGTTTTCATTCCCTGTCCTCGTGTGCTCCTCTCTCATTGTTGGGGAGTCTCCAGGTCCAACATTCAATGCCACGGAACCAAAGTACACGCGCCCAGCTCAGCCCAAGCTGGAGTCACCACAACCATGCACAATTGACCAGGCTGTGTCACCCTGCCACAAGGTTTCCATCCAAATGAGGCACTTTTTTCTAATTAGGGCACAGAGGATAACCTATTAAAGAGAAATCACCAACTCCCAGATTATGTGGAGATTTTCTTATATTTTTCAAGTTTATAACTAGTTCTTTTAGGCAGAAAGTGAGGCCAGATGGCAAAAACAGACCACATACCTGAGCAAAAGCAGGGTCAGTCTTCAGAAAACCAAGCAGGGCATATAAGCCGGGAAAGTTGTGTGTCTCAAAGACATAGACTGTGAGCCAATGGTCCTTCCTTGTGTTATTTGGAAGAAATTTAATGGCAATATTAGTTCTGGTAAAATATGAAAAACATTTTCAAAAATAGGTGCTTCCTATTTTCAAATGATCTTTCAAAATTGTATCCCATGACTGTACAGATGTGATCGGAGGTGAGGGGTGGAAGATGGGGAATGTCCTTATTTAAAAAGATGAGTGAGGGCAAGTACTTTGGCCAAAGCCTGATGGATGGTACAGTCAGTTCTGGAATATCACATGTTTTAAAAATGCGAATTTGTTCCAATGCAATTGATATATTAGAGAATAATTTGAGTATAATATGCATGATGTTGTCCAGGAGAAACACTAGGCAAATGCAGAAAATGCACCTAGCTGAAGTGAGCTGTGTGGGACTATGCAACCACACAAACATCTCAAATATCTACCAACTACTTTGGTTCACTGTGTAAATTATGAGCTATACACATCAACATCTCATATTACAACTCTGCCCATTTCCAGAATGGTGAATGGGAACTACGGATGCCATGACTCCATTTCCTCCTCTGGAGCACCCTCTTGGATGTTCTCTGGTGTAGGCTGATCTGGCCTTCTCATCATATGAGGTGTCCTGGCCCCCTCCCTGCTGCCACACCGGCCTTCTGTGACATTCTGTACCATGCACCACAGTAAGAAAGAAAGGAAGGAAGGGAAGAAAGAAAAATATTTTCATCCCTCCTTTCCCCAGGGTTTTCCCTTGGAGAAAAAGAAGACAAAACATCCTGATCATGCTCATTCTTCTCCACTAACATCTTTTCTCTCCTTTGACAGGGACTTCTTGTCTCTGGGTCAAGTTTGTGTATATCTCTGTAGCTTCCTTCTCATGCAAAGGGTCCCACTGGGTCTCTCCACCAGCCCTTGACAACTGCCTGGACGTTTCCAAGCTGCAGGGCGAGCACATCCAGGCCTCTATGTGGGACCCCACCACAATGAGCACAGTGCGAGTTTTCCTTATTGCACACTCCAGCATCTGCTTTCAGACTAGCAGCCTAATCTTTCCCTAAAAGGAGAGTGGCTGTGTGCTGGTACTATTTGCACCACTTCACAGTAACCTCACAAACTGTAACCCTTCCCATTCCCTCGAGCAGATTTTTAAGTTCCTTTCAAGGTAAAGCACCCTATTTATTATGATATTTCTATATATTTTTAACCCTTCATCATGTGTAATCATTTGTCATATTTTTACCAGGTTCCTGTCATTTTTTGTTTTTTTTTTTTTTTTTTTTTTTTTTCTAAATGTGTCACTAGTGAAGTTTTGGATTGCTGTGCCCTAACTTTGTTTTTCCCATGAGCCCTGTTTTTCTTGTGTGATTCTGCATAGCCTGGTGAATTTTAAGAACACTTATGTCATGTTGCAGCAGAATTGACTACATCAAAATGTTAAATCCCACGATGACAGTTTAAATGTTCACAAACAGCATTAGATACACATTCATAAGTGAGATCCCACTGCAACTATAAAAACCATGTACAATTCCATCCCAGCTCTGCCTCCAATGTGGGTCTGCTCTTTCCTTTTGGAGAAGATTGGGCTGCTAGTCTGAAAGCAGATGCTGGAGTTTGCAATAAGGAAAACCTGCACTGTGCTCATTGTGGTGGGGATCCCACATAGAGGCCTGGATGTGCTCAGCCTGCAGCTTAGACACATCCAGGCAGCTGTCAAAGGCTGGTGGAGAGACCTGATGGAACTGTTTGAGAAATTGAGATCCTCATGAGAAAGAAGCTATTGGAGGTGCACATAAACTTGGCCCAGGGAAAAGAAGTTCCTATCAGAGGGGTGAAAAGATGTTAGTAGAGAAGAATGGATGCATTCAGAATGCATTGTCTTCCTTTTTCTCCAAGGGAACACCCTGGTGAGAGGAAAGATGAAAATGTTTCTTTCTTCCCTCCCTTTTTTCCTTCCTTACTGTGGTCCATGGTGCAGAATGTCACAGAAGGCTGGTGTGGCAGCAGGGAGGGGGCCAGGACATCTCATATGACCAGAATGCCAGATCAGCCTACACCAGAGAACACCTGAGAGGGTGCTCCAGAGGAAGAAGCAGAGTTATGGTACCCATAGTTTCCATTTGCAAGTCAATTCTCCCTTAGACAGTGAGACAGATGTCCACGCAAAATCTATAAGAGGCATGCCCCCCAGTCCTGTGGAAGGGCAGAAGAGAATGGGACTAACTCCTCCTGGGTGAGTCAAGAAGGGGACAATATTGAACTGTGCTGCAAAGTGTAAGCAGCAGTTCACCAAATTCCAGGAAGAAGGACTCAAATATGCAAAGGCACAGAGGACAGAAAGAGGCAGTTGTCTGGGGCTGCCAAGGTAAACGGTGGGAAGAAGGGCTGCAAAGTACACCAGGGTTACCCATGCCAGAGCTGTCATGCCAGACACCAGTGATGTCTGGAAAAAATGGGCGAGCTCAGGCAGTGGTTTGACGGAGAAGGAAGGTGGAGTGGAGGCTTTGAGGAAAGGGATTTTTTTTGAGCCCGAGGTAGGAAGTCTGATAAGAAGCAGTGCTTAAAGTCCAGGAGATGGTGGGGGTATGTGAGGGGAAGGGTTCTGGATAAGGGGACATAGGGTCCAGGTGGGAGGGACAGTGCTTTAAGAATGAAAGCTGAGCCCTGGGTGGAAGGGGCCACCTGCAGAGGTGGGAGGCGACTGGACTGTGATGATGGACTAGGTGTGACAAGAATAACCAGCTGGCTCAGTACTAAGCTTGGACTTGAAGACAAATAAGGCAGGGACCCTGCAGAGGAAGCTCACAAGTAGATTTTTCTCTAAGTTTCAGAATCTAAGACAACTGTAACTAACACATTTAAAATACTTCTTACCTGGAAAGACAGCCAACCAGATTTTACCTTGCCTTTGGTAAGTTAGTTAGCAATAGATTCTGGAAGTGTGACTTTTTACTGCTCACCAAGCCAGGTATTGTGCTAGGCACTCTGCGTGTGTTATTTCTGATCCTCACAACAAGCTCTGAAAGAGACACTACCATTTCCATTTACAAATCAGTAGACTGAGGCTCTTAGGGACAAAGTGACAAGCCCAGGAGCATATAGCAATTAAGATGTGGAGGTGGGAGTCAAACTACCCTGGCCTGTCTCCAGTATCCACACGTTTTCTCCCTTAGAGTGCACTGAGAAGAAACTGGTTTGGGTCAGTTTCCTTTTGATCTTCCCTGATTGGCTACTGGCTTATAAATACAACTTCCTTATAGTAGGGTTTCCTCCAGTGTCTGATGCACTAAAGTTTCTAGGCCCCTTTTCTCCTATTTACTAACCTCAAAACATTTTGCATGTCCTCTCATTTATCCAAACTCAGTTTCTTCATCTGTAAAATAGACAAAGCCAGCCTATCTACAAGAGGAAGCCATTGCAAAGCTCCAATGAGAACACAGAATTCCTTTGTACATTGTGAACTACTGTGTATGTGTTAAAGAAAACAAACAAAAACATCTTCCTGAGTATTCTCCCATAAAGCAGCACTAACGCCAAGTCAGTGGGGAAGGACAGGCCTTTCTCCTAACCCACACACATGTGCACACACACAGACACATATGCATACCCCAAGATGAGTGTTTCCCTTTTGAGTTGCATTTTGTTCCTTTCAAAGTCATTCTTGATGCTTATTGAAGTCTGACCTTGCCCATAGGGAATGCTGGGGAGAAAACCATATGTAAAATAAGAGCTATGAAAACTAATAAAACAGGGTGAGGGGACAGAGGATGGTGGGGGCAGTGCTAGTCCATGTAGGATGGTCCCACAGGCCTTTCTGAAGAGTTGCCGTTTGAGCCCAAACTGTCAGGAAGTGAAGGAGTCTGCCGTGTGATTTTCTGGGGAAAGTGTTAGGCAGGGGGAAGAGCAAGCTCTGGGTGTCATGAGGATTAAACAGGGTTGTGCATACACAGCTTGACACATAGCAAGTTCTCACTAAGAGATTTACTCAACTAGAAGTCTATACCAACATAGGCCAGTGATATAGTTTTGAATAAGAATTTCTGTATGGAGTTCATTAATATGGAATAAGAGACAGATTACATTTTGTCATATTGACTTCCTCCTCAGATGGCATGTCTCATTATCTATATAGCTGGTCCAGTGTCACAATTTTATTCATGTCTCTGGACTGCTGATGAGTTTACCTAGTTCTTCCAGAATGTACCAACTGTTTTTAGGTATGATCAGAACATCTTTGAAACATTTGGGGCCACCTTTTTTCCTGGCCTTCAACCCTTGACTGTGAGAGTAATGTTGTCAACTAAAGTTCCCCTCCTGACCATGATCCATATATTTATTTTTTTAACCCCGCCTATCCGTTGGTTCTATGTGGCCATTCTACTGAGAGTTCCAAATTGAATTTGTATGGATCGCTCACGCAAAAAGCCTTTTAGAGAGAGTGGAGGGCAGACTTGTGGGGGTGGAAGGGAGGTTTGGCCCAATACAGGTCTGACTTTGAACACTCTCTCTCTCTCATTCTCCCACTCTCTCTCCCTTCTCTTCACCCCATTCCGTGAATGCTAGAGGTGAAATGAAAGTAGATTCTTTCTGAAAAAGCAGGATAGATAATCAAGGACTTAAAGTCAGAGACGCTAAAGGACACAGCCTTCTGCTTTTAGTTGGCAAATTCAACAGATATCGGAAAAGTACCGGGAAACTCCACACCTCTTACTTCTGTGCCCACTGACACACACTTGAGATCATCTCAGTTTGCTCCCTTACAGAGCTCTCTCACCAAACATCCATGGTTTAGGCACATTTGTCCTCATTTCCTTGTGACTGCTGGGGGCTCTGGAGGGAGAAGAGCAGTGGAGTAGAAGAGTGAGGCTGCAAGTTGAGTGCCCCACAGGATGGGCTCCTGGGAAGTGAGGGAGAATGAAACTCCATGGGGAGATGTTAACAGCTTCAACCCAGCCCAGGAAGGTGGAACTTTCATTTAATTAGATTGGTCCCCAAAGGGAAATTCTAGTGCCTGGGGCAAGATCGCATTTGTCATCTTGACACCTTTCCATTGCTTGTCAC
This sequence comes from Homo sapiens, assembly GCF_000001405.40. Classification (NCBI taxonomy): domain Eukaryota; kingdom Metazoa; phylum Chordata; class Mammalia; order Primates; family Hominidae; genus Homo; species Homo sapiens. Next base: position 35,396,034 of record NC_000007.14, on the reverse strand, counting down.
ATCTTAACAGCCCTCCTGGGCCTCTTCACATGTCCTCCGACTTCAGGGTCTCTTTGTCTCTGGTGCAAGTCTCATTGGTGGAAGTTGTTAAGAAATATTGTAAAAGCAACTAAGGTCCAATTTCTGGAAAATTCACATTTGCTCATTTTGGAGCTTAATGGCAAAGAGCACAGTGTGGTCTGCATGAGTTTAATCCCCAGCTCTCACACTTGATCTGTTCGGGCCTCAGTTTCATGGGCTGTATGATGGAGAAGGTCACAGCTGACCCTCAGGCACTGTTATGAGGGTTGAGGAGGATGGATATATCTGTAAAACTCAAGTCAGCTTTTGCGCATGGCAGCTGACAGTCCCATTGACATTCGTTCGTCTGCTTTTTGGGTTGCCTGCCTGCTTTATCGAATCAGAACACTCCTTTAAAGAAGGCAGCAAACTTCAGATTACATGAATTGAGGCAGCTCCCAAAACCACCTTCTTGGGAGAAATTGACACTTCGGCTCCAAAAGAGTGCATGACAAGGGCCCTAGGCACACAATTTATAACTTCCCAGTGGATCCCCGAAAGCATTGCCAAATTGCCAAATTTAACAACAACAACAATCACCCAAACCAGAAAATAAAGCAAAGCTAAAGAAATAAAGAAAAGGGCAATATTATTTGGGACATATCTGGAATTCAAATGTAACTGGACTTCCTGTGACCCTGTGTTTTATTTGGTGGCCCTAACAGGTGCTGTTCTATCCTCACATTTGGCCTTTTATGGTCTGTACATTAGCATATTTGTCTTCTGCTCCATCATATGCAACACTAAGAAAAATCTATTCCTGAAAAACTTCATGACATGGCATGACTTGATGCCAAGTCTGGCTGCATCACTCACCAGCTGTGGGTTCGTAGGCACAGTACCTAACTTCTCTGAATATCAGTTTCCTCATCTGCAGAACACCTGCCCCATCTATTTAACAGAGTTAGACAAGCAGATGAGATGTAAGTCTTGACCCATTTCATGGTGTGTATTGATGCATTCATTAAGCACAGATGTTCTCTGTGCACAAGCACATGTGGTATGTCTTCATTTATTGAGGGCTATAACATATGAGACACACTAGAATACTTTCAAAGTCAAGAAAGATTGCAGCAATGAATTCGAACCCAACTTTCCAGGCTGTCATATGAAGGTTAATTAGATTGATCTGATAGAAAGCTTAATTTTATGACACTATGTTGGTTGTCATTGCATTTAGGACAGTGTCTTGCACACAGCAGGTTCTCAACAAATGTTTGTTGAATGAATAAATAAATGAGTGAATAAATATTACTCCATTCCCTGGTTACTTCTAAATGCTGCCAAAGTGGTTTAGCATTATATCTTTCCTTGGCAGGAATTTTCTGGCATAGGGACTGAGATTAAAGAGGTTTATGTCAAATTACTCCACAGACTCACCATGGTTTGCTATGCTTCCCACCCAGCTAGTCCCTGGGCAATTCCCTTGGTAGTCCGGATCACACGCCCTCAGATTGTGCAAATCATACTCTGCCTCTATGACTGAAACAGGTGTAAGCATCCAATCTGCTGGTCCTTTCTACTCCCTTTGCTTTCCCCACCTTCCAGATCTTTCCATTGACTTTCAAGATGACACAAGAGTGCTCCAAAAAGTGTAAAACACTGCATACTTTTAAGGAAAGCTCATTCTTATTTTTCATTTTTTGTTTACATTCATAGGCAAAATAACTCTTCCTTACCCCTCTAGAGAGAGGGTAGTGTTTATCTGTGATTCCTTCTCTCCTCCTTACATCACGTCCTCCAGTACTAAAGGGACAGCATTTCCCTTTACTCTCCTTTTGTGCCCCTTGAAAAGCTATATCTTGTCTCCTGCTTCAGATTTCCTGAATTCCTTTGAACATTTTTTTTCTGATTTTTCTGTCATCTTCCTTGGGAATGAGTCAATCTTACAATTTTATGGCCACTCTGATGTGCGTCTCTGTTCCTGTGGAGCTGGGGTTTGCTCACTGGATGGCCTTTCAGTGCCTGCATCCTTTTTGGGGGAATGGTAACAATGTAAGAGTTTTATGAAAAAGTTTTTCTACAAGAGCACCTGGCTGTCTTGGGGCCCCTATTTGACCCTTGATCTCCTTTCTCTGGAGACTTTTTCAATGAACCCCTTAAGCCTGGTGAAATTTTCTTTCTTAAAAGCCATTTACTTAAATTGACCACTTTTCCCTCTTCTCTGATAGTTCTCACCCTGGTAACCAAGACACCATTTCAATTGTATATTTCTTGTTGACCAAGCCCCTATGCCCTGCATGAAAGTCTCAGAATAAAAGAAACACAGCCTTAAATGCTCCCTTTCCATAGACTTGAAAATGTCATCATCCTCACTGCCTGTTAAGGGACTAGGAATGGAAAGTCCGCATGCTTTCTGGTCAGATCACACCTCTCACATGTTGGGGCCAGATGTCTATATGTTGGTATAGATGTTTGGGTTCAAGGAAACCCATAGCATCATTTCCTAAATGACTTAATTTTATTCCTAAAAGTCACAAGTACCCCAAGAGATGTTGCTCCTGTGTTTTAGACTTTTGGATTTCCATAAAGAGGACATGCCTGAAATAGATTGCCTTCTGCCTTGAAGAAAAGAAGACATGAGCAAAAACCCAAGCAGCTCCGGTTTGGTGCAAAATAGCAAATTCATAATTCATCATCAGTTCCTGCCCTGCCAGTGAGCTTCCTTTCTCTCCCTGTTACATTCTCTACACACTCACCGCCATAGGTTCACATGAGATGCCCATAGAATGAAGCTGACACTGGGTAGCAGAAGCTCACACACTGATCTGCTCTTCCTGCACCCAACACTTGGCTTTCTTGGGACATGTCACCTGGCTTAAAACTCCTGCCTCTGGAATGCCAGGAGACTATTCAAATAAAAGTCTCATTCTGAAAGCTGTGCAAATGTCACATACAGCAATACCTAGGAAGTTTATCGGAGACTTGTCCTCACCAGAAGCAACCAATTTGTACAGCGTGCAGCAAAGTCCCACCTTGAGAAGCAAGTCCCACTTACATTTGCATAATGCTCTATCACTTTTGACCCCCAGTGGCTGATTGCCAGGATGGCCTGTGGAAAGCACATGAGTTAAGCTGGGGCAGTCATCCAACGCTTCATTAATACCAACAGGAATTTAGGGAGTTTTGTTTATTGAGATTTTCCCATTTGGATAAAACAATCACACTGGAATTTGAGGGAAGGATAGTAAGAACATGTTAAAATTTTCTGCAAGTGTTTAGAAATGAAGCATGTATCTGCGTCTTCATCATTTTCTACCCTTCAGTTAGGGACATCGTAGCTACAGTGACTAAGTCTTCTCCCTGCTCCCCGTCTGTCCCTCCTCCAGTCTTTCCTCATGCCCTTCCCTGCAATAAATTACTATTGCTTCACAAGGTAAGTTAGGTATTGTGGGTCACTTTAGCACTTTCAGGACTCAGGAGTACTATTTAGTTCTTGGTCCACTAGTACATTGTGGATAGTTTTATAGTGCAATAACATCTACCACTATACATGTACATGTACAACTCCTCTCTGCCTGAGGAGTCAGTGTGCTTCTTTATTTATATTTTTATCTCATTCCTCCTAACTAAACCCAGAGGTGGCAGGACAGTTATTTCTCTTGATTTTCCAAGTCAGGAAACAGAATGCAAAGAAATGAAATATTTTATCTAAAATCACCTGGGAAGTCAAAGCACAAATGCTTGTTTTATGCTTGGTAAGAGCTTGTAATTGTGTCCTTTTCTTTGCCACATTTGCCTTAAGTGAGTATCCTGGACTATGCACACAGAGGAATAAATGACAAGAGCCCGTGAGCCCTGGGTGGGAATGAGCTGTCCTGGCTTCTAGCCTGACTTTGGTACCACCAAGCTGCGTGGTTTTGGGCAAAGCCTTTTAAGCTCTCTGACCTAAGCATCTTCAGTAAAGTAAGAAGAGTTGAAGAAAATGACTCTAGAGTTGTTTCCACGTGAGCCATTTACTTTCCTATGATTAATGTGTGACAGCCTCGGATTACATGGGTTCTGAGACAGATAGCTGAATATTCCACCTCTCAGGGACAATGCCTATTTACCTGTCACCTCAGTGTCATTATTAATAGAATCCCCTTTCACTCTCAAAGGTGTCTTAGTTTGAATGATGGTTATAAGTAAATCAAAATATAGCAGGTGGACCCAAACTTTCTGTTAGTCTAATATCAGCAGAACTGCTGATCCTGCCATCCAGGGCAGTAGACTTTCTTTTCATAGCAGTGTATTTCGGGACCCACCTTTCTGAGAAGTTAAAAGCCATATGATTACTCCTCCTCCAAAGGTCTCAGATCTGTTGTGTCAGTAATTCCTATAGCTTAGAGAGAAATCTATGTCATTCACTCCATGGTGTTTACTGAGCATCTATTACATGCATATCTATGTTGAAATACACGTCAGTAGAATATTGGTACTATGAATCAGGAATTAATTTTGTTAAAAAAAAAAAAAAACAACTGGAGAGAAAGTTCTGTCATCTCCAAAAAGTCAATGAGGGGGCAGCCCAGCGCTATAGCTGATTGTTCTCCTGTCACAGCTTTGCACAGACCCTTTCCTTTTTGACTGCAGCTTCCTTCCTGCAGAACCAGATTGTTTTGATTTTTCACAAATGAGGTGGGCAGTGCATGAGTGAGGCAGTGATCTTGCTGCAGCATTACCCAAGAACTGCAGCATATGGGCATGACATCTAGTCCAATCCTACATGGAGGGGTTTACTATGTCTTTGTTTTTAACCTGAGGCATTAGAACAAACCCAGCACATGACTGCACAGGTGGCCTGCAGCAACCATATCACCTTCCTACTCCCTACAGTGGCTCCTTGGCAAATGTGTGTGGAATTGGGTTGCTCACCTGGTGCAGAAACTCCCTCTTTAGAATCTCTGCCGTCTCTGCCACACCCTTCCAGTGACAAGAAACTCAGTACCTCAAAAGGTAGCCCAGTCCCGTTTTGAATGTCTCTAATTGTTGGGCTAGATAACGCTAGGTCCTAGGCCCCAAGGCCTGAGAAAATCACCTCGCAAACACCAAAGTCTGTGTGGCTCTCCAGAATGGCATGAGGAGTCAGGACTCCCCCCGGCTCCTTCAGTCCCCACAGCGCAAGAGGGTGTGGCGGTCTCTGTTCTGTGAAGACACAGCCATCCATGTTCTCAAAAGCAAAAAAAAAAAAAAAAAAAAAAAAATGCCCTGTTCATAAATCCAAAGCTAGAACAGATGAGTTTCCAAACAAGCTGATATTTCCTCAAACTGATATTTGAGGCTTTAAGTTAAAGAGTGGGGACTCAACCAGGACTCCTGAGGGAAGTTCTGGCAGTAGCAATTCCTTTTATTTTAATCCTATTTTCTTCCTGATGAATGTGTCCTCTTCAGGCGCTCTAGGTGCTGAGCGGCCTGGCCTTGCAGTGTGTCATCCTCAGATGTTGCCATGGATTGGCTCACAAGGTGGTTTGTGTCCTGAAAGCACCTGTCACTGTCCCAGGTTCTAATCCAAACTCCCAGGTTGTTTGGAAAGTTCTTCAGGAAACATTTAACTGTGACTAATGTGCTGATTTACAAGTTGTAAGCAACCCCTAACCAAGGAGAAAGGCTGGCGGGAGTCTCTGTGGAGCAGCAGCGCTGTGCTGTGCCTCAGGTTGCCCGAAAGCCATTAACAAGCCGAGGTGACAGACACATGGTTAAAAGGTGAAAAGAGAACCTTGGGGGAGATGAGCCATTAACATCAGAGAGGAGAGAAAGCAAAAGTGTGAAGTGTCATAGTCGAGCAGGGTTCAGTGGCTCAGCCTCTGTCTGAGTTCCCTTGCTGAGCCTCCAGGTCCAGGCAAGTGGGGTCCACTGTGATGGCCGACTCAACTTCTTAGCACATTAAATTCCTTGGGGGTCATGGCCAATGAGATGGAGAAGCCTAGAAATTCTTAATTCGGTCATAACTTGGTTCAGAACTTTATAGATTTTAAAATATTAACTTCTAGAAATTATCATCCAACTCCACAATTGCCATCCACCACAGACAAGCAGGACAGGTCATCTGAGATCCGCCTGAGGTCACCCCACAAGGCCCCTCCTTATTTTCCAATGTGCAACATCATTGGCTCTTGGGGAATTCCTTCTTGCGTGAACCCTAAATCACCCTAATGCTGTCTCAGTCTGATTCATTTTATTAGAGAAACAGTGAGGGGTGTGGCGAAAGAACAGTCAACCTGGATAGACTTGTTTTCCCAGGGTTTCCAACTGTGTAGTTTGGGGCAAAATAATTAACTTTGCTGGGGCACAGTTTCCTCATCTAAAAAACATGGGTAATGATGACCATCCCTCTGGGATGTTGTGAGAATTAAATAAGATAAAGTCCCAGGGAATCGCCAGTGCCATGGTTGACACAGAGAAGGCACTCAATAAATAGCAGAATCTCCTTTTGATTCTTCTTCTTCTTCTTTTTTTGAGACAGAATTTCACTCTTGTCACCCAGGCTGGAGTACAATGGCATGATCTCGCCTCACTGCAACCTCCACCTCCCTGGTTGAAGCTATTCTCCTGCCTCAGACTCCCGAATAGCTAGGATTAGAGGTGCCAGCCGCCATGCCCATCTAATTTTTGTATTTTTAGTAGAGATGGAGTTTCACCACGTTGGCCAGGGTGGTCTCGAACTCCTGACCTCAAGTGATATGCTTCCCAAAGTGCTCGGATTACAGGTGTGAGCTACCTTGCCCAGCCATCCTTTTGACTCCTCAATATGAATATGTATTATTTAGACATGAGGTATGCTGGATGGTGGGAGGAGGAGGTGATGTTCTTGGAGTGTGTGGCTGAGACAAGGTAAGGGGACTCAGGGCATACTGCCCCCAGTGCTTGCTAGATGGACCCCTCACTCGCCCACTCACTTCCTGGTGACTCTCAGAGATGGAAGCGCCCAGTGCTCCCAGCTCCACCTTTCTGTGGTGACCCCATCGTCCTTGTGTTGCCACCCTGTCGGTCAAAGCGGAGGCACCTGTGTGTCTCTAAAGGTGGTCAAGTTTCATATCTCCGTTTTCTTTAGGCTGATCCTGAGCTGAAAAAAGACACTTGGTGTCAATATTAGGCCACCACGTCTGTGGAAACAGAGCACATAACTCGGGTCTGGGGCAAGTGTCATTTATGAGCCATAACAGAATTTTTACATTTCACCCCAGGAAATGAAATGGGCAAACTACTTATCTTCCTGACTTTTCTTAGGCCTCTTATACTCTGGCACATAGAAAATATATGCACATTATTTTCTCTGAAACTTCCTGCTACACTGAAATGAATAATCCCACAGTGTTTTTATTAGAAATAGTTTCTTTTTTAATAAAAAGAAGATCTAAGAATTCTCACCTGATGCTACTTCAATGGTATGTAAGAAGTTGAATTTGAAAGTAACCTTCCTGACCAATATTATTGCGTGAAGGCAGAAGCCGAAAAATAAAAAAAAAAAAAAAATTAAATAAGCATGGAAAACTCAGTCCTTATGAGATTTTGTCAATAAAAGAGAAAGGAGGTAAGCAACTGGTCACGTAGGATCTAACACAAAATTTGGGGTTCATGGTAAGGAGGAGCACTCAACGCTGAACATTCCTACCACAAGCATCAGTTTCATAAATTATGATTTTATTTTTATAGCCGTATCTTTCCTCCTGAAGCAATCGGGTCTCTGACAATGCAATTTCTATTTGCACAGGACATTATATCATGTCCTGTCATGATATCGTGTGTCTTCAAGGACATGATGTCACACTTCAGAATCAATTTTTCTTAATGGACATTTCAACAGCTCTTCCGTAAGCCTGGGATATCTTCTGATGGGCAGCGCACAGCAGAGGAATTGGAAGGGATCTGCACCTCATGGGGGTAAATATCTGCTTCTCTTTGGATTCAGTCATGTTGAGAACATTCTTTAAATCCCATTTCCTCTCGGATTTCCAGTTCCTCCATCTATGAAACCGTACGAAAAAATAGATTTGTAAAAAAAAGAAAGATTTATGAAAATCAACAAACATTTCCCGTAAAGGTCCAGGTAGTAGACATTTTTTGCTTACAGGCTCAACCCCACCTTTGTAGCATGAAAAACAGTCACCGATGATGAATAAATGAATGAGGAAGGCTGTGTTCCAATAAAACTTTATTTATGAACACTGAAATTTGAATCCCATGTAATTTTCCTGTGTTGGGAAATATTCTTCCTTTGATTTTTGCAACCATTTAAAAATGGGAATGTAAATTTGTAGCTCACACAGGTCATACGAATACAGGCTATGGGCCAGATTTGGCCGGCAGTCTGTAGTTTGCTGACTGCTGCTTTAAGAAAAGAAATCTTTGTGTATTGAAAAATGCATAAACTATTTTCACTTCAGCTTAATTCTTGTGCAGTATGAATCACTCAAACTTTGATTTCTCTTTCATGATGTCACTAACAACCCAGTGAGGGAATCATAAAATGAGGGTGGAATTTTCTTTCTCTCTAGAGGCACAGACACCCTCCCAAAGGAAAGAAGTCCAATTTGCACATATGCACACACGTTGGTAGACACATGAGCTCAACATGTGTATAAGCCACAGTGCAACATGAGAAGAAGTTAGATTCAGGTAAGAGAGAGGGTTTTTAAAAAAATGACCAGAAGCAGCAGGATTACCCTCCCTATTTAATAATCACAAAACGGGACTTACAACGCTTATCAAGCCATTTCAGCGGGGCCTGCATCATTTCACCAATTTCAACAAACTGTCCCAGCAAGGAGAAAGATTAGACTGCGTATGTTTATTCTCTGTGGAGTTATGACTGTGTTCTCTTCAAGAGAATGAGATATGGAAATAAAAGTTTACTTAGTTCAGTCTCCGATGGATTCTCATGACAGAGAAAAGTCACGTCATTTGCGCCCATGTGCTCAGGTGACTGGAGGTGGAGCTCTGCACAGCGTCCTTCTCTCTGGAGATGCAGATTCTTAAGTGGAGCAGGAATGGATAGTGAGAAGGGGCCCCATGCTCTCTGCTCCGGTTGTAACTGGGGCTGGAGAGAGGCCTAGGGCAGCGTCTTGCAAAACAAGGAGGGACCTGGAGATCAGCACCACAAGAATCCCATGAGGTTGGAACTGGAAGAGGTCCTTACAATCATTCCTTCCCACCTAGAAGGAAAGAGACAGTACTCCTGAGGGAGGAGGGTGAATGCCAAAGGCCTCCCAGGATTAGGAGACCCTGCAGGGTCAGACGGAAAAACTGAAACAAGGCAGACCAGCCCAGGTACCCTCTGCACTTTACAGGGGGTGGGGGATGGTGGGGGGTCAGAAACCAGCATGGTCTCCCTTGGCCACTAACGGTGATGGAGGTGGCCCCTGACCCCACCCAGTGACCAGGCCCCGTAGTGGTGAAGGTATGGAATATGGCTGTTGAACCCATTCACCAGCCAGGACCCAAAGCCTGCCAGTGTGCAGCCACTCAGCTACAAGTCAAAGGGCATGGGGGCTTCTTTCAGACCCATGGCGTCTTTCCACAGAGGGCTATTTTAGCAAAAATCTTAGGCTCAACACTCTAGTGGAGGCCAAACTTTGATGAGAACAGGAAACTAGGGAAATATGGAGAAATTTTTTTGAACCCTCAAGAGGCCAAGTGTGAATGCTCTACAGCCTAGGCAGGATGGGGGCCGATTTGACACTGTGGCGTCCCCCTCATGGAGGAGAGCTGAGAGCAGGTCCATGCCCAGTTACCCAACTCCACCAACATGGGGTGCAGCCAGACATACATAGCAAATGATGAGGCTTGGGGCCAAGACCCTGAGCATCCAGTTGTACCCTCACTGTCCCTCTATAGGCCTCAAGCTCCTCACCTGTGAGAGGCCTATTGCTGGATGAGATGACACTGGGCGCCGTTTGCATTGCTTTGGATTTCAGACAGCTCTGCTAATAACCACACGGAATGGGAAGGTAATGCCAACGAAGGGGGAAAACTGGCCATCTAGACGTATATATCTATACATCTTCATGCACATTGATTTTTTTAAAAAGCTTGCACTTACCAAGAACCTACTCCAGACTGGGGATTTATGTAGGTTTTCTTATTATATCCTCACAAAGGCCACATGAGAAAATAGAAGCTGAGAGAGACAAATTTGCCCAAAGTTATAAAGCCAGCAGGGGCAGAGCCAGTGTTTGAAGCTGGGTCTATTTGTCCAAATTCCCCATTATGCTGTAAGACAAAGATAAGATAAATCAACCTTTCATTTATTAAGAAAAAGGCTCACAGACAACAAACTTCTGTGTACTCTCGCCTACTGATTATGTGTCTTTCCTCTAATCTCAGGGGTAGGGACCAATTTGGTAGCAAAAATTTCCTTTGCAATCATATTTGCAGGGCATGCCAAGGAAACTCAACACCTATTGGGTGGGTCAGTGGGCACTGGACGAGGCAGGAGATGGGCTTGCCTAGAGCCTCATTTCAGGCTCTTTCCTGCCATCTGGGCTCTTCCTGAGCATCTGTCCGCACCTTGGCCTGAGCTGGCCATCAGTGGCCAGGGTCCTTTGCTTCCTGGGTTCACAGGCCATCTCCAAGCACTGTTAATGAAATATGTTATCACAAGGAGCCTATTGCCAGGAAAGACCAGATGGACAATTTCAATGTTGATGTACAGTTTTGTAGGGGGAGTCACAAGAGAAGAGAGAGGGAGAGATGATCCCAGCCTCAGCGGTTCATGTGTGCACGTCCATTGACACCAGATGCCTGGTGCTTCCAATCTGTTTCCCGCTGTCACAGGGAGCTGGTGAAGAGCTACAGCTGCACCGCCGTCAACCTCAGCAAGGCCTGAGGAGCAGCCACATGGCTGGAATCAAGCACTCTGGGGACTGAGGAGGTGGGAGTTTGTGGGAGAATGTGGCTGTGGGGACCCTAGGGGAATGCTTCTAGCCCCAGATTCCAGTTTATCTTGGGTGGAAAAGGAGTTCCCCTCCAATGGCTCAGCCAAGAATGTTGATGTCACAGGGAAAGGGAATAGAGTTTGATTGTGTGTCACACAGAACTGGGAACAGGCTGCTTAGAAGGACGCCCTTATCAATTAGGTAATGTCTGCTAATGATTGAGAAACTGTGTTATGCAGTGCTCCAGCTGTTGATGTGTTAGCAAATATCTGCGAAGGGCAGGATACCTTGTGGGAAAATGTTTTCTTAGACAGGATCTTACTGGCTGGAGCCCTAAAACACTGTTGTATCCGACAGCATTACCAGGTATCCGAAACAGAGCAACATGGCAGACATGTGGACTGGGCATAGGAGGCAGCTGTGGTTGGGATTTTGGTTTCAATTCCAGGAAATAAAAATGTATTTGTGCAGAAATGATGCCTATAACCAAATTTTCTTCCCCCCTTGCCTTTCTTCCTTTTCCCTTTATTTACTCTTCTTTTCTCTCCCTCTCTTCCTTCCTCTTTTCCTCTTTCTTCTCTCTTCCCTCCTTCTCTTTCTCCATCCCTCCATCTCTCTCTCTTCCTCTCTTCCTCCTTTTCTTCCTCCCTCTTTTCCTCTTCCTCCCTTCCACTCTTTCTCCCCTTCATTTCTTCTCTCCCCTTTCCTCCCTCCCTGCCTTCATTTTTTTTTCCTGTTAACATACCAACATTTAATGATGTTCACAATGTATAAAACACTAGGTGAGGTGCTAGGCATACAAAGATAGTAACAGTGCTTGTCCTCAAGGGAATTATAGCTACAGAGACAAAAGGAACATGTAAATTGATGTATGTAAAACATGTGTGATAGAATACAATGGTAGAAGTATGTAGCTCTACTGTAGCCAATGCCTATACTTTAAAAATTGTTGTAATAGGTTTTATTTAATGTTTTCTGTCTTCTCTCCTATAAAAAATAACACATCATATTTCAGGGTGGAAAACTTAAAAGACAAACAAAGTGCTTCCAATCTCACCAATCAGTAATGGAAATGTCTGAAAGAAAATACATATGTACATGTCTACACATGTGTAGACATACACATATTTTTCAAAAATGAGTTATTGCTGTTTAGAGTGTAGTGTGCTGTTTTCACTGAACATATTGTTGGCATCTTTCAAGGTTAACAAATATAGATGTACCACATAAGTTTTATTGATTATATAGCAGTCCATCAAATAGAGGATTCATAATTAAGTTTACCAATCTCCTGTTGCCAAAAATCAGTGTTCTGTTCCCAATTTGGGGATATCATTTTTACAAAAACATGGCAAGCATCTTTGTAACTAAATATTTACATGTTTCTCAGATTATCTCCTTAGGATAATTCCTAGAAGTGTAATTCTAGTAGAATTATGTATACGTCTTATGACTTTTTGATACATAACCCCACTACACTCCAGAGAGTTTATATTAAAGAGTGATGTTATTCTTTAATGTTTTCCAATTCAATAGCTGAAAAAATATGTCATATATATGATATATATTTAAATAGGTATATGTTGAATGAATATATCTGCTACAACTAAAAAGCCTCAAATATTTTAAATTTTTGCATTTGACTTTTGAGATGACAATTTTATCAATTTTACTATTTATTGTTTTAGTCATATATTTTATATATTAGTCTTTAATATTTTATCACATATATTAGAAATATTTTCTTAATTTGTCATTTACCTTTTAGGGTTTTTCCCCCTGTATAGAAGTTTTAATGTGAGGCAGTCGATCAATTATTTTCTTTATGGTTGCTGCTTTTGATACCAGATTTATAGACTATTTTCTACTGTAAGGTAATATAAATGTTTACATATGCTTTATTCTTATACTTTATCTGAAATTAATTTAGAATTTGTTATCACTAAGGATGTAGCATTGATCTTTCCAAATCATTAACCAGTTGTGAGGTATTATGATCAAGTGTATACTTAAAATTTGAAAAATCTATAATTATATTATGTTTCCCATTTTTAATGTTATTTATTTAATTTTTTAAAAATTAGGTTTTTAAATATTTGTTGGTCTTTTCAAATAATCAGCTCAGAATTATTTCTCAACTTTATTATTCTAAAATTATTAATTTCTGCCTTGATCTTTATTAAATTTTCCTTTCTTTTATTCTATTTTTAAATTTGTATAGCTTAATTATTTGAATTCACTATTGTTTTATTTTAATCGTTTGGTTAATAATTTTAAAACTTCAGCTAAGAATATTCCTTTCATGTAGCTTTGACCAAATTCCAAACATTTCATATGGCATATTTTTACAGACATTACACTTTGAATAATTTGTATCACCATTTTTTTTGCTCTTTGAAGAATTTTAGAAAAAAAAGTTTTACCCTTTTTTTGGGTAATAAGTAGTTTGAGATTTAATTTAAATTTTTGGGTAATAAGTAGTTTGAGATTTAATTTAAATAGTTGTTTTTAATTTCTGGTTTACTACATTGTGGCCAACTGCATGGCCTATAGATTTTATTTTTTAATTTTTGGAAAATCATGAGGTTCTTTGAGAAATTCTAGTTCCTAGTTGGTGTTTCATTTACAAAAGAAAGTTTACAGTTCTAATTTTTACTTGTTTCTCTCTCAAATATTTAAAGGAGACATTGGAATCTATTTTTTAGAATTCTCAAATAGTCATTCTCCTATTTCAAAAGAACTCTCTCAGCAACACTGTCCTGTTTCTTTTATCTTTTTTAATTAAAAATTTTAATTAAAAAATTAACATATCCTAGAGTACTTTGAGGAAGCATATATTTAATAGAGATGTAAGAAGATATTGTGAAATCACAAAGTGTCAAATGATTAACAACTGCAAAATCATTAGATTCTAGGGAGATTCCAAGTTCTAGAACAAAGATTCTGGTGATGCCCCAGAGGGTTACTGCAGCTTACACTATGGGGTGAACTGGGAGGCTCTGAGCCATCCTAAAGTGGTGATGTGTGCACCAACAGACAATTTTATTTCCATGTGTTTGTATACTTTTCAAACACAAGTATCCTCTTGTCATTGATTTCTTTTTCTTTTTTCTTTTTTTTTTTTTTTTTTTGAGACGGAGTCTCGTTCTGTCCCCCAGGCTGGAGTGCAGTGGCATGATCTCGGCTCACTGCAACCTCCGCCTCCCAGGTTCAAGCAATTCTCCTGCCTCGGCCTCCCGAGTAGCTGGGATTACAGGCACCTGCCATCACACCTGGCAATTTTTTGTATTTTCAGTAGAGACAGGGTTTTGCCATGTTGGCCAGGTTGGTCTCAAACTCCTGACCTCAGGTGATCCGCCTGCCTCAGCCTCCCAAAGTGCTGGGATTACAGGCATGATTTCTAATTTTATTCCACTGTGGTCAGAAAAGATACTTGATCTGATTCCTACTTTTTTGAATTTATCAAGACTTATTTTGTGCCCTAAGCTATGCTAAGCTGTGGTCTATTCTGGAGAATGTTTGTTCTGTGTGCCGATGAAAACAATCTGTATTCTGCTGCAGTTGGGTGAAACATTCTGTGAAAGTCAGTTAGGCCTGTTCCTTTTATCTTGTTGCTTTTCTTCTCCTTCTTCTTTCTTTTTTATTGTGGTAAAAAATAACATAAAATTTACCTTCTTAAATATTTTTTTTTTTTTAGACGGAATTTCGCCCTTATTGCCCAGGCTGGTGTGCAGTGGCCTTATCCCGGCTCACCGCAACCTCCACCTCCCAGGTTCAAGCGATTCTCCTGCCTCAGCCTCACGAGTAGCTGGGATTACAGGCATGTGCCACCACGCCAAGCTAATTTTGTATTTCTAGTAGAGACGGGGGTTTCTCCATGTTGATCAGGCTGGTCTGGAACTCCTGACCTCAGGTGATCTGCCCGCCTTGGTCTCCCAAAGTGTTGGGATTATAGGTGTGAGCCACCACGCCCGGCCTCTTAAACATTTTTAAGTGTTCAGTTGAGTAGTGTTAAGTTCACTCACATCGTTGCGCAATAGATCTCTAGAACCTTTTAATCTTGCAACACTGAAACTCCAGACCTACTGAATACTAAATCACCCCAGCCCTTGGTAACCACCTTTCTACTTCCTATTTCTATGATTCTCACTGATTTCCATACTTCATATGAATAGAATCATATGGTGTTTGTCATTTTGTGACTAGCTTGTTTCTCAGCATAATGTCCTCGAGGTTCAACCATGTTGTTGCAAGAATTTCCTTCCTTTTTTCAAGGTTGCATAATGTTGTCTGTATATCCCACAATTTCTTTAGCCTTTATTCTTCTTGCCTCATATAATGTGGTGACATGTCATGTCTTACCAAGTTCCAACCCTTTGACCCCACATTCCCACTATGTAGAATATAGTGCTTTTTTGTCCTTAGCTCTGTCCTTGAAGCTGATCTCCATCTTCAGAAGGTGGAGGGAAAGGAAACTAAGTGGATGAAAGAGGAAGGGAAAGACTGCGTACCTCATCCACTGATAATTTTTGACACCTCACATTAAAACCTGGATTGCCATTTTCTGTTTGTTGGTAATTGTATGCTATACTTTTGATTAAAGTTTTATTTTAATGTATTTATGTGTCTGTGTCTGAGGTTGAAATTGATTTCTCCATGCTATATGAAACTCTTATCAGATAAGTGTAATCTATTTATATTTGTTGTTATAATTCATGTATTTTAATCTGAAATCTGTTTTATTCTTTTGTGGTTTCTAATTTTCATACTTCCTTGATTTTCCTTTATTTTTTATTTTTAAATAAAGAATATATATTTTTTTCTTTTATTATTCTTGGTATATGTTCCCTTTTAAATTCCAATACCTAGTACCATTAAATTGTTCAGAAGCATTACTCATTTTCAAAAAGGTGAATGCAGTTTAAGCCTAGTGTTATCAACACATAGCTTATGTGGATTGCCCCTGGCTATAGGCTTTATTTACCGGTGATAGTTGATTCCTATTCTCAGTTCTATGGCTGAAAGTTACATTAATATTCAGAGCTTTAAATCCAGTTTCCAGTAATTCCCACGTTTTCACCAATGTATTATTGCCTGGTTGAGGAGGCATTCTTTCCTATTTGGTTCTATAATACTCTGAAACAGTGGAATATGAAAAAGCCACAACTTCATCAATGCATTGTCTTCAAGATTCTTGCCACCATCATCCCAGCTCTCCCTGTTTCTGGAGATTGTCACCTTCCAGAATGTCATAAGCCATCACCAGTCCTCTTTTTTTGCTTTCTGCTATCTTCTTTCTAAGAGTTGGTGGAGGAAGGGACATTGGTTGAGAACACAACTCTGGCTGCTTCCCAGGTCAACAGTCAAATGGAAAGAGGAAGGTGCAGCCAAGGGTTTGCGAATGTGGGAACTCAGAAGCTAGGATGGCCCTTCGGAGTCATCCAGAGTGGGGCACAGGGTGAAATGACATGGAATGTGTACTACCCTGAGAAGGGGCCATGACCCTGGATGAGGCAGCTGTCTTCAGGTGAGGCAGTCCCCAAGAGGGTCCAGTGGAGGCTGTGTTCTGGCGGAACTCCCAGCAGCTGCAGAATGATTTCTCCTGTGCTAAATGGGGATCCAGGTGGCACACCACAGCATCACCTCTTAATTACATCCTCAGTCATGTAAGTTGACATATTTTCTGTCTCCTCACTAGACTGTGAGCTTCTTAAGAGCTAAAACCATGTCTGTCTTGTTCAGTATACATCCCCAGTTCCTAGCATGACTTCTAATACACTCTTACTGAACATTCATTGAATAAATAAATGAATTAATGACACACATCTTTAGGTATGGGAAGGGGCTGAGGCTGAGAGTAGAGAAAAAGCTATAAAGAGAGAAAGAATCCCCCATCTCACATAATAAAGATGTTATAAGATGCAAGAAAACTATTAAGTGATCTTCAAAACCACAGAAAAAGACAGGTTAAAGAACATAGAGTAATTCTCTACATCCCATTTGTGAAATACAGCTGGAAATTGTGGGAAGAATATTTATGACCTTCAAGTCCAAAGAGGGACATAAAATAGTTGTCTGGTGCGATGATTTCCACCTTTCTGGGGTTGCAGCACACTCTCATCATTTTCTGACAGACCCTGCATCCAAATAAACCCTATAGCTTAGCATGTGTGAGTGTGTTTATTATTATGAATCAAAGTGAATTTTGTATATATTGAACTCTGTCTCAGTATATCCCAACGTTTTGTGCTATTGAAATATTTGGAAACACCTTGGAGCATCTAGAAAATCAGACTTTGGGAGACTGTCCTAGAATTTTAATCAGATGAGCCTGTTTGATTAAGGTCCAAAGGGACTGTGTTTGGCTTTGCTGTCTTTTATTCCATAAGCAGAGCTGCTCTCTCTGCTGTGAGGGTCTATGGTATGCTCAGTTGCTGTTGGAACCTGGGTCCAAACACATTTGCTTCTTGCTTTCTCTGCTCCCAAACCTAGTCCTTTCTCCTGAAAGACAAATTCAATAAGCAAAACAAAAAGAGGCCATAAAACTGATAAAGATGGCAAAAGCCCAAGGAGATTCCCACCGCTCAGGGTGAGCTCTGGGCAGATCGCCCCTGCCTTACCAGCTGGGGACTGAGCTGTGAAATGCAGCACACACTCCATCTGAGCCTTCTGCAGAGGGAGATAGCACTGTGCCCCCCCCACCCCCACAGTGGGCCAAGGATGGAATGGCTTTTCCTGACTGGGAGTGTCCTCATCACAGACTTTTGCTCAGGCATCATTCTTCCTGGCTCCATGGCAAAGTGCAAAGTCCACAGATGCTCATCCTAAAGAGAAAGTCCCTTGTTTGCACTTCCCTGGGGTCCCCGCCACTTCTGAGAGGAAAGCCACTATTGTGCATCGAGTCTCTGGTTTGGTTTAACAACTAGTCCCCAAGCACACCTGTGGGTAGTTATGATTATCTCCATTTTATGCAGGAGGGAGTTAAGGTAAAGAAATGGTATGGACTTACCCAGGGGTATTAGCCAATAAGTCGCTGAGCTGGGATTTATTGTTATTTTTTGGTCATTTGTTCAGCAACTCTTTATTGGGCCGTCATTCTGTACCAGGCCAGGGAACTTTGGCATTGCTATGTAATCTCTCTGGAGGAGCAGCCATCACTACCTGCCCCCATGTGTTGATATAATAGCAGTAGCTGGGACCCTCCAGCCTGTGAACTTTAATGTTAGCCTGTAGAATCCCCTGAAACTTCTTCTGGGGGAGGGAGAGAGGGGAAAGACTGGCATTCTCAGAGGTCTTTGCAGCATCCTAAGCTAGGACTCTGAAGAAAATACCATTCAGCCATAGGGCCCCTCTGTGAGCTGGCCTTCTGCAGACCCAGTAGAGACCTGGCACTGGCACATCTCACAGTTTGTATCGTGGCAACTTGGTATCTAGGCCAGGCATCAGTTGGATGATAGCTAAGCCAAGTAAAGTCTGTCATCTCCCATGGAACCTTGATTGGAGATTCTGCCCCAGATTGTTCCTGAAGTTATGCATGTATGTACATGTGTATGCATATGGCGGCATGGATCAGTTCGTGTGTACACGTGTGTGTATACCTCTGTGTGCTTGGTACTTTCATGTGTGTGTTGTGTGTGCCTACCGTGCCTACTGTGCCTTAGGAGTTCCCTAACATGGCAACTGAGCATCAGATTTGGAAGGCCATTTGGAAAGCAATAAACGTTTCTGGGGCTCTACCACCCATTGACTCTCAAGCCATTTGGAAATAATAATCATAATAATAGTTAACCGAATAATAGCTAAGCTAATTGACCACTTAATCTTTTAAGTACTACTCTAAGCAACTTCACAAGTGTTAATCCTTAATTCTCAGGACAACCCTATGAGGCTTGAACTATTGTTACTACCCTCTCTTTAAAAATGAGGAAACTGAGTCCAGCAGATCCCATGCTCAAGGGCCCGCTGTGTGTAAGCTGCAGAGATGCATTGGAATTCAAGCCATCTGGACTCGGAACTTGCCCTCCTCATCAAGACTGCAGCCCCAAGCTTTACTGAGTTACCAAAGCCGTCTTCCTTTATTTGTTATGGCTCCAAGATGTGAGTTGAATGTTTGAGCTCAGAGATATTTTCCAGGTAAAGGAAAGGTGCCTGAGTAACCGTGGAAGACAATGCATGACAGTGGGTCCAGCCAGAGCCTCCAAGGCCACTGCTGCCTGCTTTGCTGCTGTCACCGGAGGAAGCAGGCAGCATTGGCTTCAGTGGCGGAGTTGAAGCATCTACAGGAGGTAGAAACCACAGAGGTGAGATGAAAACTGATCAAGAATGGCGGCATGGGAAACCTGGAGAACCGAAGACTCTGTGGAGGCCTGGGCACCCGCTGGTGCAAACCAAGTCAGGTTTCAGGCAGGCTGGGAGGCAGCACCGCGGTCTCTGCAGAGCCAGGACCTCTGGAGCCTCCGTCTTCCCTCATGGCCACACCTTCCTCTTGTAGTGGACAGTTGCTTCTGGAAGCTTCCTTTGGTCAGTTTGCAAGGAAAATCAGGACCCAAGAGAGGACCTCGGCTGCTGAGGGAATTGAAAAGGGGAAACTGCATAAACATTTTTGTACTTTAGTTTTAGAGAAAATCATACTGAGACTGAAAAAAAATTCTGGAATTTTTATTTCAATAAACAGGAACAGTTTTTCCATGAGCTCTGCTCAGTTCCCCTCACACTAGTAAAATGTAAATCTCTAAAAAGCACACACACATAGCCCCTAGCCTAACTAAATATACAAAAGGGCTTTTTGCTCAGAATGAACAGTGACTCCTTCTTCTGTCCCTCTCTGAGCCAGGTGGCTGGGGTGTCTTTTCCAGGCCCCTCCACCAGGCACTCTGGTACAGGCCACAGCCTGTGCAACTGTCCACAGCAGCCCCTCCTGATGCTCACTCTCTCAGACAGTCTGCAAGTGGAAAACACACATCCTGTCCATGTGGATTTATTCATGTTTCCCGTATCAGTAAGGAGATGGAGCTATAACACATTAAATATTTACAATTACCAGAGAAAAGGCAGTACACAGCACTGAACTGAGATAAGAATACAGTTTCAAAATATTTACAATGAACACGTCTTGCTTTTTCTGGTTCTTCTCTTTGGTCTGGCACTTTAGGTCTCTGATCTCTTTATTGTATTTTCTTTCCAGGTTCCCTGTAATTTTGAAAATGTTTGACAGAGCCTCCTAAGTCTGAGGAGGATTGCTGTGTAAGTGAGAGACATTTGGGGAGTCTGGTTCCTGTGTCTCCAAGCAAGAGGGCCTTTTTTGGAGCCCCCTTTATGCTGATGTGTGTGTCTCCTGCTTATGCCCGAATCAAGTTTGTGGCTGGTTCTATCTATGGCTCTACCAAAGACAGCACCAGCGAGAGGAAAGTGGCAGGCCCCTGAGCTTGTGCTAACCAAAATAACTTATTTACACTGGTCTCTTGAACATCTCAAGGTCTTTTAGACAGCCGCAGTTAACATGGAGCCAGGAATGCATTGGTTTATGTTTCCTTTAATTAATTCGACTTTAAAGTGTTCCACATTATTACATTCAAAAGTAGCTCCTTCGTTGTGTTTGATTTTAATCTCCATTCTTTGAAAGATCTCACTCTTTCCTTTTAGGCCTTGAAACAGCCAGTGACCAAAACCAACAGAGATTTGACCTGAATGTGTTACATTAGCAACACCAGGGAGAGAAAGACAGGAAAGGTATTAAAAATTTGGCTCCTTGTTTAATTATAAAGAATGCAAAAGAAGCATCAACTGTGAAATATTTGGCTATTCAGAGAGATTAAAGACCTCCAGCTTTTGGAATAGGGTGCCAGAGAATTATCAGGATCACAGGCGTTTTATTTGATGGGTGCCATATTTGACCTTGAAGCGTTGAGGCTGGCACTCCTTTGTGTCCTGGGGATCTCCTGATGTCCTTGCTCCCCGGCGGTATCTGCCCTGGGGCCTCTGGAGGCCTCACCGTGGAGTATGAGGTTGCGCACGTTGCTGGTGTATATTTATATCGAGGTGGCTGTGTTGCCAAGGAGCTCTGAGAGAAAGCAGAGCGGAGATAACTTCTAATCCACCTTTCTGTGATAATGTGGCGCAAAGTGAAGAGACCCAGGGCTCCATCCTCTGGTCTGGCATCGCCCTGGGAGGGGTGGGCCCTCGGGGTGTTTTTAGCAGCCCCAGTGCACTGGCGTGAGCTTCTGCATTGGAAACAATGCATTTCTGAACTCTGTGCAGCAAATAGAGAAGACTGGGATTGAAGAGGAGAATGAAAGCAAACCGTAATTCGTAGGTAACAAGAAATGTATTTCAGTGTCCATTCCCAAGATTTGGACAGTGGGAGATTAGAATCTGGGAGCATTGGAACTGGCAAGGAGCCAAGAGGGAATTGGGAGTAGAAGGAGAAAGTCACTTGCCCAAGATCACAGCGGGAGCTGGCAACAGGGGGGCTGTGGAGGCCAGCTGTATTAGTCTGTTTTCATGCTGCTGATAAAGACATACCGAGACTGGGTAATTTATAAAGGAGAGGGGTTTAATGGACTCACAGTTCCACGTGGTTGGGGAGGACTCACAATCATGGCTGAAGGCGAAAGGCACTTCTTACATGGCAGCAGGCAAAGAGAGAGCGAGAACCAAGTGAAAGGGGTTTCCCCTTATAAAACCATCAGATATCATGAGACTTATTCACTACCATGAGACAAATATGGGGGAAATCACCCCCATGATTGAAATATCTCCCACAGGGTCTTTCCCACAACATGTGGGAATCATGGGAGCTACAATTCAAGATGAGATTTGGGTGGAGACACAGCCAAACGGCATCACCAGCCTGGGGCTCTTTGTACCACATTCCGCATATTTAGGGGGCTCCTAAACAGGAGTGAGTTTCTTTTCCTGACACTTTGAAGCTGACCCACAAGGAGCCACTCCCTGAGGATCCTTTCTTGATGGGTCATGAGTTCCACCATTTTAGGATGGGTAGAAGGGTCTGGAGATCTGCATAGGAGTGAAGACAGAGGAGAAGGAAGAGGGGTTCAGTCCATCTTATGCACATAGGTTATGTACTAAGATGAAATGTGGTGGAGCCCATACAGCCATGTATCTGGTGTCAGATAGACTTGGCCTTGCATCCTAGGCTCGCCCATGCCTGAACTTGGGTGACTCATTTAAGTTTGCAGTACCTCTGCTTCCTCATCTTTAAGATGAGAATCAGGATACTGTTGTGATTTGAATGTTGTATGCCCCTGAAATTCATAGGGTGATATATAATCACCAATGTGATGATATTAGGAGGTGGGGCCTTTGGGAAGTGATTAGGTCATGAGGGTGGAGCCCTCATAAATGGGACTAGTGGCTTTATAAAAAGAGGCCCCAGAGAGCTGCCTTGTCTCTTCTGCCAAGTGAAGGCACAGCAAGAAGATGCCTTATTTGAACCAGAAGTGGGTCTTCACCAGACACCAAATCTGCTAGTGCCTTGATCTTGAACTTCCCAGCCTCCAGAACTATGAAAAATAAATGTCTGCTGTTTATAAGCTGCCAGTTTCTGGTATTTTTGTTATAGCACAGTTCTATACTACAGTAAAGCTAAGACAGTCACCTTCTTCACAGACTTGTGTAAACTCATATAAGAAAGTAGACATGAAAATCCATCGTGATAAAAAAATGTGCTTTATAACTGATTCCTGAGGAATTGGTCTTCCATTAATAAGCATCATGTAGTGATCACTGGTCATTTTGTATCCTTGCCATTCTTATCTTTTTCGACTTCCTCCAGATCATTTCTCCACTTCAGAAGTTGCCTGAGGTGTGAACAGGGGACATGGGCTGGGGTTGATTAAGGCAGAATCAACTGGTGAGACTGGCTGATCATGTGTGTTTTCCCACCATAGATGCTGCCTCTTGCGTTCATACAAAGTGCTGTGAGACAGTATCTTCCAGGGACAGACCTTCCTTATTGGGACCTAAACAGATGCCCTTCGAGGTGGAGTGGAGAAGAGCCAAGGAAGCCCCAGGCCTTTGGCTTGAATTTCTGGTGTCTTCATTTCTTCGTGGCACAAAAATCCCCTGGAACAGAATATCTTTTCACAAGGAATTTTAATCAAAGTCGGTGGAATAAGAAAAAAGAACACAGGAATTATTCACTACATAAAAGCAGCCACACCAGCAAATCAGCCCTGACTGGCACTGTCTCTTTCTACAGCACTGGGCCTGTAGGGACCTGTGGGGATAGGATTGATAACTCAGTTTAGTGCAGGCCCAGCAATTAGACAGGATCCTTCACAGGCCATGAAGTGGTTTTGTGTTTTGTATGGAGAATATACTCTGAGAGTTCCAGCTATGACATGACCCTATACTTAATCTGGCTGATGGCCAAGGTCAGACTGTGGTGTGAGCAGAATAACCCTCTTGATCTATGGAAATCAGCAGTATCTTCCCATGAGCAGGCAGACTAGGGGGTCTATCACTAGGGCCTCCTGAGTGACCAAGGGCCTCCTGGACTACCAAGGGCCCTGATGAGCTGTCCTGGAGACTGTTGGGCAATGGCGGTCTAAACTTGGCCATCAAGAGTGAAAGAAGAGAAACTGTTGTCCTCTGAACAATAAACAACAAGATGCTGACTCTGAGCTTTTGCCTTTAGGGAGAATGCCTTCGCACTTCTAGCCACTTGTCTAAAAGTCCCACGCTCAAGCCTCAATCAAGTTTTTCCTCCTCCATGGACCCAATTCAGCCAATAAATATTTAATGGGTGCATATTAGTTGCCCAGAAGGGTTTTAACTCAAGCTGACCTGCTCCGAGGCTGAGTAAAAGCCTTGGTTTGGGTGGATTCCCATGTAACAGGGAAATACTGGAAGAGCAGCAATGTCATGATCCCTGGTTATTGGTCCATTAGGAACAAGGCTTCAGGCAGTGTCTGGGGGGGCGGGGGGACAAGAGACAAAGTATGTGTGTCCCATCTCTTGCTATTCAGAGAAGAACTTGGATATCTAGGCAACTCGAGATGCCAGGACCACAGCCTGGCTCTAGTGCAGGATTTTCACACCAATGGAGGATGCAAGTGTGGGACCAGAAGCTGGGCAGGAGGTTTGCTGTGCAAATGGACCATCTCTGACGAGCTCTAAGAAGGCGCAGTGAACAAATCAGTACTCAGAGGACAAGATTCAGGCCTAGGGTCCAGGACCATCGTAGTCCCCACCAGGAATGACCCTGGACCAAAGTACAGCTGGGCTTACAAGTGGAAGCACTGAGGTCTTTAGCCACAAAGGAAATGTCTGGGTCTCTTCTCTTGGCCTTCCTAGATACCACCCTAGTCCAAGTTACAGCTCAAGGCCACCTCCTAAAAACGAAGTTTTCTTGGTGTCTCCCAATCACAGAGACCTCTTCCTCTCTTGATTCCCTAAAGAGATGTCCATCTATCTCACTCACATTGACCCAGAAGAATATCCTACTCAATTTCCTCTATCTCTGCATCTGACCTGAAGCTACTCAGGGAGGAGTCAGTATTTACTCCCAGTTATGGTGCCAAACACAGGCAGGTGCTAACTAGAACACCCATGAAAAATGTCGGCACATCACACCTCACCCCAAAGTTACTCCACATCAAGTGAAATACTTTCCAGCTCCTCACCACCACCTGCAACACAGTGCATGCATTGGAGGTCCTGGCTTGTCCAGACTCCAGCTCATGGGAGCTACCCTGGTGGGAGATTCACAGGCCTGCTTGGCCAAGAGATGTGCTGGACTGAGCTATTCCAGGCTAAAGAGCAGTGGAAATCTTGCTCTTTTATTAGAAAAATTCTTGCGAGTTGGCCTATTTTAAGAAATATGGTTTGCTTAATGACTTTTCAAAAGCCAGTTAAAAGGGATGGAAAATAATTCAGAAGCATTAAAAAAAAAAGACAGAGATTCTACTGGCAATATTGCTTATGATTGGCACTTGCCTTTCTTGCAGATTCGTTCTTGACTTTGCATCCTGTCCTCAGAGTGATATTCTGCCAACCAGACATTGTCACCTGCTAGGCGACTCACTCAGGGCTCCTTGGCTCTGTCTGGAAAATCTCTCCTTCTTTTGCCCATCCTTGCTTCCCATCCCCCTCTCCCAGCTCAGAGCCTTTGTTGATGTTGACAGCTCATCCCTGGGCCATCATTCATCCTGCCCATGGCAAACTTTGGAGAAAATAAAAAACCCTGCTCCCCTAATCTCATTAGAAGGGCTGCAAATTGAATTTAGCCCCTCTCAGTGTCCCCTCAGCTGGCTGTCATTAGGAGCAGAGGCTGGGCCTTGGCTGATACCCAAAGACCAGCTAACTGAATTTGAGATGCTGTGGTCTTGACAGGCCAAGAGAGGTAATTGAAGAGCCGTGGGGCTCCTGGTAACATTTCAGGCTGGGATTACACTGGGGATCTAAAACCCCCATCTGCATTGGTGTCGGGGGCACTAAAAAGTCACCCATTGGGCTTCCAGGGTCGGATTATTGATAAAGAGATCATTCCCAGTGGAAGGTAGGGTGGTGGTGGTGGGGGAGACTGCATTGGTTACAATGCAAAATGGGTGTCAGAGGTGGAGGGAAAGGGACAGTGTATCCAGTGAGAGTCAGCAAATTACTCAAAGTTAGAAACAATTTGCAGGAAGTGTTGTCTAATGAAAAGAAAAAGCAGTCTGGGGAGAGTAGGTGATGAACCTATAAAATACAAGGAAAAGAAATACTCGGTTTTAATCTGTGGGCATTATTGGTCTGTTTGTATAAATCTTAATTTTTAAATTCTTGAATCATCATAGCTTTATTTCTCATGTCAACATTAAACCCCAAGCAGAGAGGGGCTTTTTGTGGTCAAAAAACTATATTTTTATTTTTGAAAAATGTACCAAAAAACTGCATATAACATATATGCAAATAAGAAAGTATTTATATCCATATAACAAAAGTATATCCATATAACAAAGTATTTAACAGAGGTTCACGTGGAAGACATGTCTCTACTGATTTGGAGTTCTGAGGTTTCTTTAGTTCCCAGACCTATCGTAAGTGTCTCAGTGAGGCTGAAAATTCCATGAAATCCCGTCTTAAAGAGGAGGAAATGAGCAATAATTAACCACCTACTATGTGCAAGGCATGGTTCTAAGCCTATTATGCACATCGTCTAACTTAGCGTTCACAGCAACGGAACAAGACAGGCATTATCCTCCTAGTAGGGTTCCCCACCTTACTGACGAGGAGAGTGATTCTCACAAAGGTTAGTCAGTCTCTTGCCTAGCGTCATAAGGATAGGAAGGCCTGGGGCTGGGATTGGAACCTGGGACTGCCTGGTTCCATCACTCCCTAGGCCTTCCTGGCTTATAAGAGTGGTAGGTTTCCTATGCAGTGTTGTTTCCCTAAAAAAGCCAAAATGACAAAATCTGTCACTCAGATGTAGTGTAGTTGGGAACACAGGCTCTGGGGCCAGACGGGCTCAATTCCACTGCCTACTAGCTGTGTGATGTTGGACATTTCCAAATATCTCCGTGCCCTCCTGGAAAATGGTGATCATAGTAGGACTTGTCCCATCAGTTTACTGTGAGGATTAAAGAAATCAATGCACATCCAGAGTGCATGCATTGCATGGTGCCTGGCACATTGTAAGCATTCACTATGTAATACTGGATAATAATCAGCGTTGTAGTGGTGCAATGAAGAATGCCCATCCATTTGCATATTTGATGGTCTAAATTTGAGAGGTCACCAACCAAATATGAGGCCACAACATCATCAGACTCTGGTTTTCCTTGCCCGACATTGCCATATTTATGGTCAGAATGCCTCACATTTACATTCTTAGAACTTACTCATAGATGCAATTTCTGCTGAAGAGT
The DNA here is from genome assembly GCF_000001405.40 of Homo sapiens. Lineage (NCBI taxonomy): Eukaryota > Metazoa > Chordata > Mammalia > Primates > Hominidae > Homo > Homo sapiens. Next base: position 35,369,249 of record NC_000007.14, on the reverse strand, counting down.
AAAAGATGAACTTAAGGTTTTTCCTATGTTGATTCTATTCATGGATTTTTTTTCTCTCCAGCTTATATTCTTTGATGTGAGGTGAGGGAAGGGTGATGTGGTTGCAGCTCCCTGCCACAGAGGCCCTTGATGACCAAGATCTCACTATATGCTAGGTGTTTTACAAATTTTACCTCATTGAATGTCCACTTTTACGCATCTTTTGTAGGCAGGTATTATTCTCACTTTTTCAGATGAGAAAAGTGTATTTATTTTATATTTTCCATATTCTATCATGTCAACAGCATTCACTACAACCTTAAAGTTCCTCTAAAATGTCACAGACTATTAAAACATGGGCTCTGCTACCTTCAGCAGAAATTAGTTACATACCTAAAGGCCTTTCTGCCTGGCATTGTGTATCCCAATGGATTGTAGGTTTCAGATTTAATGAACATTGTTGATCCTTACTGCGTGCCTGGCTCTGGGTTGACAGGCTTGTCTATGTCATCTCATTTAAGTCACCCATCAATTCTATGAAGAAAAGCCTTATGATTTTTACTTTGCAGATGAAAAGGCCATAAATGGAGTTTCAAAGATCACAAAATTACTGAGTAGAGGATTTGGGATTTGAACCCAGGTGTCTCTCACTAACTCCATCTCCAGGGAGCTTCCTATCACATTGCATAGTTTCAGCACAGTCTGCAGACCCTGCGCACAGGCCTCTGGGAAGCCACTTGCAATCAGTTAAAGTTGGCACCAATGATGAAGCCCATTTTTCCTCCCACGTTTAGTCAAATTCTTTAATTTGCGGGTGAAGAAATTGGGCCTCAGGGAGGTTAAATGGCTTGCCTGAGGTCACATAGGCACTTTGTGCTGTGTGAGCCAGACTGTGTTCCCATTCTTGTCCTAGTCCCATCCACAAAACTACCAGCCCCGACAACTTCACTCCCCAGGGGCCTGATCCGCATGGGATTTTTGGCAGCCTAAAGCTGTCAAGACAATTTCTCCTTTGCGGAAAGGTTCCCTTTAGTGCTGGTTCCTTCTCTTAATCAGATGCTGGAAAAGTCCATGGGTAGAGTCCCACTCTAGAGACGTTTCAAGGTTGTAAATAAAGGCCTGATAGAGGCTGGGGAGCAGCCTCTGGCAGTGCATTCACTGCCCCTGAATTTATTCCAAAGGCCCAGACACCCCCTTACCATTGACTCCGGTTCTTACACCTCTTGATTTGACTTTTCTGAGGAATCTCTGGACACTTAAAAGGGACTTTTGAGAGAATATGGCCCAACCCCTTCACTTTATAGGAGCCAAAGCCTAAGGAGAGGAGTGAGTTACTCGAGGTCATAGAGTAGGTCTGTGGCAATTAAGGGCTCAAGAGCCAGACTGTCAGGGACCAAATTCTGGTACCACTTAGCTGTGTGACCTTGGGCAAGTTAGTTACTCTCTCCCTGGGCCTTGGTTTCTTGGTCTGTATTTGGAAATGATCATAGTATTTATGGAGAATTAGAAATGGCCTCAAATTCTTTGATACCTCTCCATTCAAGAGGTGTCACCTTTTCCCACTCTCCTTAAATCTGACCTGGCTGGTGATTGTGCTGGTTCCAGGGGTAGCCTTTAAAAGAATTGTCAGCTTCACCTTGGTCTCATGGAGTCCCGAATTATCACAGAAGAGGCACAACTACCCTGAGGCCAGCATGCTTGAGGAAGTCCAAGCTAGCCATTTGAAGAAGCTGTGTTTTTAGGGAGAGAGAGAGAGGCCCAGGCAGCCTCCAGCTATACCAACCTCCAGTCCTTCAAGTCATCCTGAGGCCTCAGACATAATAGAGCAGAGATAAGCCTCATCCAAATTCCTAGCCCGTGGAATAGTGAGACATAATAACAATAAGTTGTTGCTTTCAGACAGTAAGAGTGGTTAGTTGTACACAAAGGATAACCAGAACAATACCTCTCAGAAGGTTGTGAGAATTAAATGAGTTGATACAGTTGGATGTAGAGCAGTGTCTGGCACAGTGTTCAATAAAAAAGTGAGTTATTACTCATTCAACAAATATTTATTAACACCAAGTTGTTCTATACCTTGAACTAGCTGGAAGGGTCACAGTGGAAAGAGTGACCCAAAGAATTTGACCCTTGTGGAAATTAGGAGAACTGTAACCTAGTCATACACTTCCTATTGAGTGAAGAACATATTTTCCCCTACTTGGGCCCCCCACATCTTATCTGTCCCTAGCAGAGGTAGAAGTTACAGCCTCTCCTTCTAATGGGATACCCAAGACTGGGTGGGTCTGGAGGGGTTAAGCCCAGAGATGTTGTCCCAGGGCTGCTAATGAAAACTCAGCTGCTATTGATTCCAGCAAGCACTCCCTTTCCCAGGTCAGAAGAGAAACTCAAACCATTGTTGAGTAAATACAGTATTCTGTTCACTACATCAATTAGCCTGACCCCAGGGGCTCTAGGAGCCCCCTGGCTCCCCCATTTGCAATGACAGCTGCCATGCTAATGAATCCACATTGACATGATAATTAAACCATTACACAAAGTGGGGCTTTCCTAGTCACAGCAAATTCAGCAGGGGAGCCCGGGTGGCCGTGGCCCGGACAAGGCAATGGGGACCGTTCCAGAGCCAGGAGCTAACATGCAGTGCCTGGGTCATTCCCAGACTTGTCCACAGGGGCAGCTGGACTGGAGCACTGCAGCTGCTGCCTGTGGGGCTGGAGGCAGGGATGGAGCAGGCAGGCCAGGAGAAAGATGTCACCCGAATGATGCTCCTGCTCTCTCTTCAGAAATCCTTAATTGGGTGAAGCCTGAAAGGAAGGAATCCCTTGCCCCTTTGTGGAAGATGCAGGGCACCCTGTCAACTCTGGCCTAGCCCTTCCCCTCTGGAAGGCTTAGCCACACCCAAGGGAGAGTTGGACAATGGGGATTGCGAGGGCCAAGGAGCCTTGCATTCCTGGCATCATCAGGAAGAGCCATGTGACCATCTTTCTCACTATCTTTGGAGAAAATGACTCTTTCTGCAAGCAGATGATTATAAACTGCAGGAATGTCTGATTTCTTGGTACAACCTTACCAATAACTCATTTCTGAGACTCCAACCAACCACAGTCCTCTTTGCAAGAGCACAGACTTGGGAGTCAAGGGGACTGGACTTACATCTCGGCTCTGTAACTTATTAATTGTATGATCTCAAGAAATCACGTGGTGTTCTGAGCCTCTATTTCTTCAACTGTAAAATGGACTCAGAAAAACTGCTTGGCCTCTCTGTGCTTGGGATTAAACAAGACAGTTTATGTAAAAGGTTTAAGACAGAATTTTACTTAAATAGATGACAGAACCTTACTGGCCACAATAACACTCTCCATAAAGATGAGTTCCATTGACAGAAATAATCATTGTGATTGATTGGGTGGGAGCCTAGAAGGAACAGATTAAGACACTCCTAGAAAAACCTCTAGACAAAGTGAATGTGTTTTCCTCTTGATGACTGCATGCAGGTAAATCTGCATGTAGAGTGTGCTCAGTATAAATATGGGGAAAAAGAGGAACAGAAAATGACATGCTTGTGGCAGAGAAAGAGGCAAAAGGGGAGGGCTGTCCTGGCTCAGGATTATTAGGCATCACCCCATAAGAGGTGACTAATCAAATATTTTCCCACCCATCCATCCATCTCCGTTATTCATACAAGCACAAACACACATATTAGGGGACTTATCATGTAGAATTAAACACAGGCCAAACCAGTGCCTGTTTCTTATAAAAATCTGGTCAATAAATGAATGAATGTATAAGATGCAATCCCTACTCTCATAATACCCTGTAAAATGGAGTGTACTGTTCATCTCACCTCTTTTTCCCTTAACGTAATTCAATTCTAGCTGAGCTATGATTTATGGGCAGCAAAGAAAACACAGGTATGCAGTTTTACAAGAGAACTACAAGCAGGTGATAACCTGGCAAGAACATACTCAGACAAATTATGCTCAGAAACATAGGAGTTCAGCAGTGGGCAGGTGAAGAAACAACCAATGTTGGATTCAAAACTGAGGATTTTGAGATTATATCCATATTTAGCTGGGAAAGTGCTGTGATTGATTAGTAATGTCTGCCATGGGCATGGGAACGGAGAGAGACGGGTCTTTCTTCATGGCAGGTGTTTGTCATCTCAGGTCTAGGCAAGATCTAAGATACCTACCATTGTGAAACTCTGTGTGTGTGTGTGTGTGTGTGTGTGTGTGTGTGTGTGTGTGTCATATAGGATAAGCCAATTCTCTTCTCCTCATACTATGAGCAATTAGTATTACAGTTTGCTACATGAACCAGTTTTGGTATTTTTCTTCTTCCTGCCTCCCTGCCAGTTACCTTAAGTAAATCCACTCAAGCTCTCAAAACCTGTGCCGCCATGCAAAAGAAATTTGGCTGCCTTAAAAGAATCTAATTCGATTTGTCAAAGTAGCCAAAGAAAGTCAAACTTTTTGTTAACTAATTCAACAAACATTTACCAAACATCTATGTCAAAAGCCTTGGGAATAAATAAAGAAAGAACCCACAGTTTCCTCAGGTGCTCAATGTCTAGTGTTTATGTGCTGGGGGGTGGGGTGGGAAGAAAGAGGCAAAAACACCTGTAGACACTTTCTTGCATCCCTTGTTTAGAAGGCACAATAGCCAGTGAAATTTAATTTGATGTGGCTTAAGCGTTCTTTGGACAGAAGCCACCCCCATTTATGCTGTGGGAGCTGATGCAGCTCTGGGGAGCAAGTGAGAGGTTTGAAATTGAGCTCTTTGGATTTCCAACCCCCTTCAGTTTGGGCTTCCTGGAGGAGGCTGCCCTGTGCCTGGGAGAGTCCAGGCAGAGGGTGGAAGGTGAAAGGAGGGAATGTGGGACCAGAGGACCCCTTTGAACCCTGGGATGTTCAGAGTCCTTCCATTATTGTCAGGGTGACCCATTCACATCTTTTAAAAGATGAGATAAAACATGAGCAGAAGCTTTTTTAGTGCTTTCTCCACTAAACCCTTGCTACCCAAAGTGGGTTTCCCAACCAGAAGCATCAGCATCCCCTGGGAACTTATTAGAAAATGCAACATCTCAGGCCCTTCCCCAGACCCACCAAAACAGAATGCAAATTGAAACAAGAACCCCAGGTGATTCCTGTGCACATTGCAGTTTGAGAAGCCCTGGTTTATGTTACAGAAATGCCATTCACGCCCCTTACCTCATTGGGTAGTCATAGTGGACTCTACAATAATACCGTTTCTCTCTATGGCTTTTTTTTTTTCTTTTAATTTTAACTTTCCTAAATGCTCTTGTGAGTAGGCTCTACCCTTCACTTCCAGGCTCACATCAGATGTGCACCCTCTGATGCCACTCAGCTCCTCTGTTCCTTTGGTGTTAAGGAGGGCCTTCCATTGCCGTGACCCAGGCTCGGTGATGTAAGGGCACCACATTTACCCAGTGGAGTTACCCATGACCAGCGGGCTCCATTACCCTTCCCTTCTCTTTGTAGGCTTTCTAAGAGAAAAGAGATAAAGAAAAATCCATGCAATCATGGAAGGGTGGGAGATGGAGTGGGGGAGAACAAAGGGATGTGACGGGCAAGGTGTGTGCATGGAGGGAAGCCTGGTTGGGGACCCAGGAAAGCTACAAAAAGGAGAGAAGGTGTTGTGGATTGAGATACTGAAGAGTAGGCAGCAGTTACAGTTGACTGTGGGGTCATAATTTTTTTCCCTTCACTGTTTCTCTGTTTTCTGCCATTCATTCTTTCAATCAATCACTCATTCAGCAGATATTAATTGAGATGCAGCTTTGTGCCCGGCTCTGTTCTGGGTGCTGAGGATACTGACAGAAGACAAACCCAAGGCATGAAGTGGGTGGGGAAGACATCAACTGAGAAGCGGGGTGCCAGGCCAAGCAGAAGCCCTGGCCCTACACCGGCATGGCTGCCAGGCACCATAACTGGACTGGGCCTTCCTCTCCTCATGACTATGGCATCAAAGGATTCTACAGCTACCTGAGGCATGAGGACACATTATGTAAAGCAGATAAAATGACTCCAGAGTCTTCTGCCTCACCAGATCTTTTCCTTAGGATGAGTTTAATGAGGCACACACAGTCCTGGATGTTTTACATGCACCATCTGATTGATCCATCACAATCAGAATCCTGTGAAACTGGTAGCAGAATGAGGTGAAGACTGGGGTGACACAGTGCGTGAGTGGCCTGAACCCAGATCTTTCCTGGCAAAGCCTGTGATCCTGACCACTTAGTGAACAGAAGACAAAAGGGCAGCAGGTGGTCAGAGGGGTACAGATTGGACATTTCTGCTCTGAGGTAAATTTCTGGAACCAGGTTGAATTTATTTGAAACAGAAATACTTTGCTGGCCACTAAAGAGGAAATCTGCCCTGATGTCATCCCTTCCAGAAGGCATTCAACAAACACTGGCTGAAATGAATGGAGAGAGCCTGGAGACAGCCAGGATGTTGAGAGGTTCAACCAAGTCCTGGGGCCCCAAGAACAGCAAACTCCACACTTGAGGCTACTGGGAACACTCTGCTGGGGGCTTGGCTTTATTTGTCCCTCCCCCTCTGTGAAATCCTGGGGACTGTCAAATAAATGACAAGACTCATTTTACAAGTAGACTAGAAGTCTGCAGTGGCGAGTCGGAGCTGATTGCCTATCTTATCTTGAGTCATCAGTCTCTCATTCCGCCTTCCACAAACAACTCTCAGTTGTGAGATCTGTGCATGGGCCTGATGCAGTGGGCATTTCCCAGGGCCTTGGTCCATCATGAGCCGTAGGGAATGAGAAATCCACTTAGCCCCTTGCTGAGGGGACCTTGACCAGCTGGACCAGAGCAGCAGGAAGACCGAAGCCTTGAGGTGCTGCTGGTGGTGTCTAGGCACTAAAGTATGATGGTGACAGTGACCACGACACCCAGCACTTTGGGAGGCTGAGGTGGGTGGACTCAAAAGGGATTCAAAACCAGCCTGGCCAACATGGTGAAAACTCGTCTTTGCTAAAAATACAAAATTAGCTGTGCATGGTGGCACATGCTTGTAATCTCAGCTACTTGGGAGGCTGAGGCAGGAGAATTGTTTGAACCCCAAGAAGCGGAGGTTGTGGTGAGCCAAGTTTGTACCACTGCACTCCAGCCTGTGCAACAGTGCGAGACCCCATCTTAAAAAAAAAAAAAAATCAATGACCATGACAGTGATGATAATAGGTAAGTGATAACTCAGGCTTACCACCGGCTAAATTCTGTTATGTACTATTCATGAATTACCTCATATAACCTTGACAACCTTTTTTTTTGGATAAAGAAACTGAGGTCCAGGGAGGCTGAATAACTTTCCTAAGTTCATACACCTAATAAGTGGGAGAGCTGAGGTTTGAACCTCAGTGTGTTGGAGTCTACAGTTTCTTACCCCCTTGTTTGGAGCAGAATATCACCTGTCAATCAAAACTAAATCACAGGCCAGGCGTGATGATTCATGCCTGTAATCCTAGCACTTAGAAAGGCCGAGGCGGGAGGATCACTTGAGCCCAGGAGTTCGAAACCAGCCTGGACAATATAACGAGACCCTGTCTCTATAAAATATTTGAAAGTTAGCTGGGCATAGTGGTGTGAGCCTCTGGTCCCAACTACTCAGGAGTCTGAAGCGGGAGGATCCCTTGAGCCCAGGAAACGAAGGTTGCAGTGAGCCATGATGGCACCACTGCACTCCAGCATGGGCAGCAGAGCAAGATCCTGTCCTCCCCCACCAAAAAAAAATCCCACAAAACCCCCAAATCAAACAAACAAATCACAGAGCCTTCAAGGATTTTCTCCAGTAGCCAATTTTCCTGGTCAAGCATGGAGCACCCTCACTTTTTTTGCCCCAGACATATCTTCCCTCTTGGGGTCGTCTCACCTTGTTTCTGCCACCCCTATGTTGCTTAACTCCAAAGACACAGAATGGATCTTTAAAATTAGTTGAAAGCAGAACAGTAGACAGAAGAGAATGTGAGAAACACTGAATTAGTGAAGTTTATATTTGGCTGTATCTCCAGGACCTCACCTCACTTAAATGACAGAGGTTTTGCAGCACAGCAAAGATCCTTGGTTCTGGGGCCAGGCATTCCTGTGTTAAAATCTGACTCTATGGCTTCCTAATTCTCTGCTTCTGAACAGAGTTCTCAACCTTCTGTGGTGTTCTCATATGCAAAGCAGGAATGATGGTAATCCCTGCTTCGCTGGGTTATTGGAAGATTAAATGAGACAACGTGCGTGAAGTACTTTGCTGGATGTCTGGCATAAGTAAGTGCTTGATAAATGGAGTCTGTTATCCATTAGCACAACAAATATTAGCATCTATTCTATATATTGGGCTTTAGCATAAGATTTCATTTTAACTATCCTCTTTTAAGCTCTTCAGTAAGTGTTCTGGTTTTTTTCATAGCGATCTTACACATTTCTTATAAAGGTTATCTCTTGGTTTTTGAAGTCTCTGGCTGCTATTTCAAATGTAAGTTTTTCTGTTATAACTTCTTTAAAACTTTATCAATTATAAAATGTTTCAAATGTACTGAAAAAACTAAAAATCAGCATTTTAGCCCCAACTAAGTTGGTTAAGTCCACCTCTTTCTCCATGCAAAGCACATCTGCTATGTAAGAGACCTCCTCAGTGTCAAACCAAGGGAATCATTCTCCCTGCACAATTGATTGAGGTGCAGCCCACCCATTTCATTGACTGGGAGAGATAGGTAACCTCTTCCCAGTGGGGGAAAGGTTGTTGTGGTTGATAGGAGCTTGAGTTTTCATGGTTGACACCCTAAAATTCCTCATCCTGCAATCCTATACCCACACAAACAAAGGCCCACCATAAATACACAAACTTGCAATAGATTGATTATTGCCTTGTAGGCTTTCTTTTAAAAAATAGAAATAAACTTACTGATGTCAATAAATATCAATACTGAATAGTTTCCCATTTTAGGATGCACCAATACCTATTTAGATAAAAATATTCTGACATCTTTGTTTCTGATGTGTCTGCCATTAAAAATTGCACAGTGGGCTGGGCGCGGTGGCTCACGCCTGTAATTCCAGCACTTTGGGAGGCAGAGGTGGATGGATCACGAGGTCAGGAGTTCAGGACCAGCCTGGCCAAGATGGTGAAACCCAGTCTCAGTTCACCAGATGACTCCCAGCCTTCAATAAAGTCTGAATGACACAATGGACTTTGGGGACTTGGGGGAAAGAGTGGGAAGGGGGTGAGGGATAAGAGATTACAAATTGGGTACAGTGTATACTGCTCAGGTGATAGGGGCACGAAAATCTCACAGGTAACCACTAAAGAACTTACTCATATAACCAAGCACCACCTGTTCCCCCAGAAACCTATGGAAATAAAAATAAAATAAAATAATAAAATAAATAAAAAGAAATTATGCATGCTTCTAACCTTCCAACATTATTATACAATTCAAAATGTATGTTATACAAATTCAAAAACTTGCTTTAATGTCAAAAAAAAAAAAAAGTCTGCATTCCAGCCTACAAGAAGGGGGTGGGGAGAGTCCAAGTGCTGTGCAAACAGTGCCTTTTTCAAAATACCTGACTGGGAAATGCCCACATTACTTCCACTAACATCTGATTGGCCCAGATGTAGTCGTGTGGACACACCTAGCTACAAGGAAGCTGGAAAATGTAGTCTTTGGAAGGGCAGCCATTTGTAAGCAAAAACTCCAGGTGTTCTATTATCACATGGAATAAGAGGAAAAGGATACTAGAAGAAAGTTCACCATCTCTGCCACAATATTTTTTTGCCTACTTTTCTATAGAGTTTTTGTCTTGCATTTGTTAATAAGGAGTTCTTTATGATTTACATACTAATGTTTTGAAGGTTGTGTGCATACAAATATCATCACATTTTTAATTCCCTATATAAATAAAATATCATTCATTATATTCATGGTATCATTATCTATAACAATATTTTAATTTAACACATTTTCAAGATTAATCAAACTTTTTATAGTTTCTGCTAACTGTATTTTATTTAAGAAATTCTTTTCTGTACCTGTGTTAATATTTTTTTCTTCATTTTTCCCTCAATGTTTTACTTTTCATGTTTAGATCTCTAATTCATTTGGAATTTATTTTTGTGTATTCTTCTTTTTTTTTTTTTTTTTGAGACGGAGGCTTGCTCTGTTGCCCAGGCTGAAGTGCAGTGGCGCGATCTCAGCTCACTGCAAGCTCTGCCTCCCAGGTTCACACCATTCTCCTCCCTCAGCCTCCTGAGTAGCTGGGACTACAGGTGACCGCCACCATGCCTGGCTAATTGTTTTGTATTTTTAGTAGAGATGGGGTTTCACCATGTTAGCCAGGACGGTCTCCATCTCCTGACCCCGTGATCCGCCCGCCTCAGCCTCCCAAGGTGCTGGGATTACAGGCATTTTCGTGTATTCTTTAAGGTAAAGATCCAAGTTCTATTGGTACAGATAACCAACTGGCCTGGCACATTCAATAAACAGAAAACCCTTTCCCCAGTGACTGGTGATGCCATATCTTTCACAGGCAATGCTTCCATGCATTTGTGGGGGTCTGTTTGTAGCTCTCTAGTGTCATCCCTACCAATGCCACATTGTCTTTATTATGAGAGCTTTATATTAAGCCTTGATCACTCTTTAGGGAAAATTTCCACACTTTCTTCTTCAAAAGTGCCTGGCAATTCTAGGCCATTCTTTTTTCCATGTTACTTTTAGGATCAACTGGCATGTCACGGGAAAAATGTGTGGGTTTTTTACTTGTGATTTCATTGAATTCATAGATGAACTTGAGGGGAATTTACATCTTTATGAGATTTATTAATATTCTGTCTGTCCATGAAAATGGTATACCTCTTTATCTATTTATCTTCCATGTCATCCAGTACCATTTTATATTTTCTTCATAGATGATTTTCATGTCTTTTGTTAGATATACTTCTAGTCAACTTATAGTTTCGTGGGTATAAAGCCTATTTCTAGTCTATTTTCTAATTTGTTGTTTCATGTAAACATGGATACTGCTGATCGTTGTATATTGATCTTGCATCAATTGATCTTATTAAGATCTTAAAAGTGCTAATAGTTTATAATCCTCTTGGGTTTTCTATTTAATCTATGAATAGTAGTAATTTACCTCTTCCTACTGTTTTTTATATCTAAAATTTTTCCTTTGTTCTATTGCATTGGTGAGAAAATCCACTATAATGTGGAACAGAAGAGGTAATAACAGGCCTCCTTGTTTTTGCTGACTTTAATACAAATATGCCTACAGTTTCACCATCAAGTGTAATATTTGCCCTTGGTTTGTGACAGGTTAAGGAAGTTCTCTTGAATTTATGGCTTGCTAAGGATTTCATATCATAAATAGCTGTGAAATTTTATTACATTCTTTTTCTGTATTTACAGGGGAAATTATATAATTTTCTTCCATTACTCCATGAATTTTTGTTAAACCATATTTACATTCCTGAGATATTTTAAATTCATTACTCAATTTAATTTACTAATATTTTATGTAGAATTTTTTTCATATATGTTCATCATGATATCATTCTAAAATTATTTCTTGGTATTTTCTTTGTTCAGTGTTGTTAAGAAGACTATAAAATTAGTTGTCTATTTCCCCCTTTGCTTTCAATTATCAGTTTGTATACCAGTCCCACCATCTGATGTTCTTTTTGCCAAGGAGACTTTATCTATTAATTATTCATGATGTATCCAGATTTGCTATTTCTTTGTCAATTTCATTTCTATTTTTCTAGAAAACTGAGTACTTCATTTCATTTTCTCTTAAGATTTTTTAAGTCTCTACTCTCTGTAGTTATGGCCTCTTTTTCATTTTTTACATCTGCATAGTTGTCCACTTATTGTTTAAGCCTATTTAAGTTGGCTATTCTACAACTCAAAATTAAAGTCATTCTGATTGACAGAGACAAAGACACAGGGAAATGTGGTGTACGTTCATACCATGGCAGTGAACTCAGGACCTGTCTTCCACACCACCATGACGTCTTCATGCTCTCCTCTGCTCCTCACCTCTTGTCCTTCAGGACTCGACCAAGCTGATGCCTCCTCCGAGAAGCCTTCCCCAACCAACCCCACCCCAGTGAGCCCGGATGTTTTTCTTTTGCTTCCCTCCATAACACCACTTATCAGTCTGAATGGAAATGATCTGTCTCTCCTATTAACTTGGGCACTCATCCAGAGCAAGGAAACCATATTCATCATTCATCCCCAGAGGCAGGCAAGTGCCTTGCACATAACAAGTGTTCAACAAATACTTTCTCAACAAAGCTGTAAATGGAGCAGTGTGGTGCATGTCAGGAAGAGTAGACCAAGGCCAGGCCTGGAGAGAGGACTTTGCCCAGAACATAACATTCTCAAGCTATAAAAAGATAGCAGCCATAAAAGTACATGCACAGGGGGCTGCATGTGTAAAACCAAAGACCTCACCCCCTTGGGTAGGCAGCTTGCCCTCTGCCTGTCTGTTGCCTCTTCCTCTGTGTCAGCCTTATTTATACTGGGGACATGGCAGGGTGCCTCCTGGCCAGGAGCCTCTGGCTGGCAAGCTGGGTCGGCCACTGCTTACTCCAGTTTCCGTCTTCATCCACTCCCCTCCACTTCTCCACCCACCCTCACCCCTGCCATGAGGCAGAGAAATCATGGTAACCGTGGAGGATGCTGGGCTTTGGAGCCAAATAGTCTTCAGTGAAGTCTTGCTTCTGCCCCTTCCAGGCCACGCACTCCTGGGCAATTTGCTTCTCCTCTCTGCACCTCAGCTTCTCTCTTCCCCATCCTCAGTCCCAAGATTCTAACTTTTGAGCATGCAAGAAGCTGTATGAACTCATTTCTGAGTCCCACTGTAGTCAGCAACTGTATATTCGGCAGTGGGATAGGGGCCTTTGTCATTCAGGGCCAATTATCCTTTCTGCTCCTCACATCTCCCTCCACAATCTTATCTGCTGTTCGATCTCCCCCTCCCCCGATTTTTTCTTAAATTCTCTTTTTACTAGGCGGAGGAGGCTCCTGGTTAGGAAAAGCCCAGAAGCAATTTAATGGTACACTTAATCCTTTTGTTGTTGTCTAGCCCTTGGAGGGCAGAAAGCCAGGTGCTCCCATTGCTCCTCCTGGGTAACTCAATTAAAGGAATTAAAAGGCTTCGGTTACATTATTAATTTTGAAGCTGTGTGCTTCTCACTCAGTAAGGACCCAGGAGAGCTTCCAATGCAGATGTTCTGCAGACACTCTACCCCAGACAGTCACATGGCAGATCATCCCTAGAACCCCTCGCCTATTTGCTTAGCATGGAGCAAGACTCTCACACAACTCTCCCTCTCATGTGACATTCACAACAACCCTGTGACTTGGGAAGGACAGATTTCTTTATGTTTCAGGTGCTTTCCCAAGGCACCGAGGACACCAAGCACCTTTGCTTATGGGGCACACCTAACTGAGGGTAGCATACAGATAGGAAGGAGCTGTCTCATTTTACAAAACTGCTGGTGACCAAAGTGAATGGTCAGTACCCCAGGGTTAGGGGTACTGGGGGGCTCAGGGCCCCAGGGTCAGTAGAAGCCTGATATGCAGAGTTGGCAGGATTGTGGCTGTAGATGGCACTGGAGGCATCAATGGATTTGCAGCTTCACTGGTGGTGAAAAGGCAGTGCTATGACAAAGGAGGGGACAGCCAGCTCCAAGAAACAGCCTGCCAGACCACAGGGGCCTGGATCTGTAGCCTTGGCAGCCAATGTAAGAGCTTCATCCCCAAGCAGTCAGCATAGGATGGTTTATGTTTGGTCTCAAAAGGCCCCTAAATCAAAGTGGCTTAAAACAATACAGATGTTCTTGGGAGTCAGTAGGGAGCTGGGATGCGGCAGGGGAATGCTTTGCCCCATATAGTGGTCACTCAGAGACCCAGGCTGATGCAATTTCCATCTTCTCATGCTGCCCTCTCTACATGAGGCCCAGGACTCACAGTCTCAGCCGAGGAGAGAGCATGTAGAATTGTGCACCTGCTCTTAAATGCCTCCACCAGGAAGCAGCACATAACCTCTCATTTCATTGGCCAAAGCAAGTCAAACGGCCGTGTGTTATGTTACATTATGGTGGAGGCCAGAGTGTAATCCTCTCATATGCCTGAAAGGAAGGGCAGGCTGGATATATTGTTCTTAACTGCCACCATAGTACTACTTGGATGAGCTTGGGCCACCTTGCTGGAAGATCCCTTTTGAATGGGACAAAGATGGTACACTCATCACAAGTTCTCTTTATAAGCTTGGCACACAGCCCACCTGATGGGGCCTGACCACAGCTACAGATACCTCTGCCCACACAGAGCTCTTTAAGCTTTTGGGGGCCAGCCCTCTGCCATGCTGTTTTAGTCTTGTGTAGGAGAAAGAGCTGAGAAACAAGCCATGCGACATTTCTCCCAACCTGTGATCCTGAGCAAGGCATTTCCTGTTCTGTTCTTTTTCAATACTTCTGATTATTTCCAGGAGGAAAATTGTAGACTGGAGCCACTAGATCTCCCGTGTCTTTCTAACACTTATTAACCTCTCTTTGTAACAAGGAAGAAAAAGATCTGTATCTCAGATATAGGTAATCCTATTTTTTTCTTGTAATATTCATTTTCATAAACACCATCTATTTGAAATAAGAGATACTAGTTTTCAATCTATTTTTTGATGTGTTTCTTTTGAAATACAGTTATTTAAACTTTCAAAAACAGGTAGCTCACAGAAAGCTTTAAGAAAATCATAGTACTTGTTGAATGAGAGTTGGCCCAAGAATGTGAAGGTGTTAATAAATGACTGAGGTTTGGCAGAGAGGCATCTAGTAACACCTCGTTTTTCCAGTGAGAAAACCACAGCAGAGCAGGATTTGAACTCAGGCAGTCTGGGTCCCGAGTCTGTCTTCTGGATGTTTAACCAGTACTTGCCAGCAGTGTAACCTTAAGCACAAATGATGTGAAGTATATGGGCCTCAGTTTTATCATCTGGAAAATGGGGATAATAATTGTGCTTATCTCAGAGGATTTATGTGAAGATTAAATGGGTTCAAATATGCAGAACTCTTAGAATAGCGCTGATAACTTGATACTGATTATTTCTGTTATTACTGTTTCCACTATCAGTCTCCACCTCGAGTGCACTTCTCTCCAGCTGCTTTCCTTTTGCAAATCAGGCCTGGGACTGAAGCTCACTAAAAGGAGGCAGTTAAGTCTTGTGGTTTATTCTGTTTTTATTTATCGGAGCAAATGTTTTCCTTGAAAATTAAGTAATTGAGTTAGTGATCACCAAACTAGGCCAAACTGGGTCTGGCCTTTCCTGCAATCAGCGACTTCAAAAGCAGTTGTTGCTTAAAAACAGGCAATGTAGCTATTGGCCCCCTCCTCGCTCCCCAATTCTCTCAATTCATTTCTTTGTTCAGTAATCTATTTCACGTTCAGGTGGGAGTGGCTGACTGCCTGGCTGCAGCAGCTCCTCTCTATTAATCGGGGGGGAGCTGGAGGCAAGCGGGAAGATGAAGTACAACAAGCTAATTGCTGAGTCAGACATGTGATGTCCCAGACCCTAGAGCAGCCCACGCAGGAGCAGAGACAGATACTGGAGCTGGTGATGAGGAGCATGTCAATCACAAGGGGACTGGCAATCCACAAGAACAGCTCACAGGCTGGCCTCCCTCATCCTCTCCTAGGACTCCAGGCTGAGATCAGGCACAGTCTTTCAGGGGCCCAGGCTTCCACTGTTTTCTGCACAAAATCGTGTAATGGCTAAAGGGCCTGGACTCCTGAGTCACAAAGTGTGGGGTTGAGTTCTGGCTCATTAGCTGCACAAGTCTTAACAAATGACCAAATCTTCCTGAGTCCCTGTTTCTTCATCTGTAAAATGAGGATACTAATATCTACCTTAAAGATTTGCTGTAGAAATAAAATGAGATCACTAATGTAAACTAGTCCGTAGAAAATAGCCTCTGATCCCATTTTATGCTGCTTTGTGTTCATGAGTGTAAGGCTATGAGAAATGGCAATAGGTTAATGAAACAACTATTCTTCCATCCACTTTCCTATTGGTCAAACACTCCTGCCCAAACCAAATTATGACCCTTTTTTTCCCCTCACAGATTGCTTTTGTTTTCCCTTTTTGAGTGCTTTTTTTTTTTTCATTTTATAATATTGGTGCCCTTAAAATGGCAGTGCTGCTGTCATCTTAAGGGAATGATAAATAATTGATTACTAGATCAATCTTTGGTGCATTTCTTTCCATTATTTTTAGTGCACACACAAGCAGGGTTTCATCTGGCTAGTCTATGACCACATGTCAAACTTTTTTGTTAAATAGTAAATCCGTGGGATATGAGTAAATGCTATTCATACAGAATCCAGAGTCTATGTACAAGCAAATTTGGAAAACATCTGGTTGAGCAAAGTTTAAAAAATTTACTTTAGGACCCTTCCAAACCTTTAACGATGCTGATGTGTAAAAGAACAGGATAGGATTCAGTGTTTCCCAAACTTGTTTGCCTGTAGAACCCTTTCTGCCAGGTTGGAACACTTGGAAGGGCTGGTGCCTTGTCAAGCTTCTCAAACTTCACTGTGCACATGGATCCTAAGGTGTCTTGTTTAAATGCAGATGCAGATTTGGGAGCTCTGGGATTGGGCTGGACACTCTGTATTTGTGCCAAGCGCTCATGGGATGCTCATGCTACTAATCTGAAGACCACACTTGGAGACTCAAGACCCTAAGGGGCTATCACATGGCACAGATGTTTGGGGAAATTCTCTTTACTGGGAAACAGCAGAAGAATCTAGTCTCAAATCAAAATATGTTTGGGGCAGTGGAAAGAATACTTACCAGGAGTTGGAACATCCAATTCTAGGTGAAACAGAAGAACTGGCCCCAGCTGGGGGAACTTGGATAGGTCATTTCTCTTCTTCAGATCTCGGTTCCCTCATCTGTAAACATGAGTAGGAGATGCTGCACTAGTAATAGTAGCTAGCCCCATAGAGCTGCTGTGAAGATGAAATGAAATTTTGTGAACCAGCACTTAGCACAGTCTCCAGCAGTAGGCCAACACTGGTTAGAATGTTAAGCCACCTTCACACTGAAGCTAAAACTTTGTGTTGGAATCACACTTATGGTTGCCACAACCCTCTTAGTTTTCCACAAAATACATGGCTCAGCCATGTTGACCCAGACTTACCTGCCTTCCCTGCCATCCATTGCCCAGATTGGGTTGAGCAGATGTAGGTCTTCCCATGTACTGACAGACTGTCAGAGGCTGCCCAGAGCCCTGTGCTGAGAAGGATGCTGTCAGGGCTCTATGGGAAAGAGCTCCTTGACTGATTAGCCATGACTGCTATGGGTGTTGAGAGGAAGAGCATATGCCACCCACTCTTGCTCCCCTGGCCCAGCTCCCCACTTTGCTTATAATCACACAACTTTTATAAAATGATGGCAGCCTCCCTCCTCATGCTCAGCCCACACATAAAATCTCCTCTTTCTTCAGGGCACAAAGCCAACAGGTAGCCATGCAAGCAGCTATTGACCCCACGCTGCCCTGCCTTCCCCACATTTAAGTCTGGTCGGCGGGCTCAGGCCTATGTTCTAGGACCAAAAGGGGCGACTCTCCTGTAGGGAGGTTTCAAGAGGTTCCCTGAGCCTTAGGTTTTTGCTAATCTCACAGATGTCTGATTGTTCCCAAACTGGCCTTATCACCATTCTCTATTTTACTGGGGTTGAAAGGATCTTCAGGCCACTTCAAACATGGGTAAAGCCATCGATGCCATGCTCAGTGACCTCTGTCTTCAACTGCTTCTGCCCCAGCCCATATTGCTCTAGTTACAAAGGCTCCCACTTCAGTCTAGGCAACTTACCCCTGCATCCAGAGAAGTGGTGCTGCATCCTCTTCCTCAGACCAGAAGCCTCTGCATCATCATGGATGCTTTCCTCTCCCTTGCCAACTCATGCCTGGCAAATCCACATCCCGTTGCACAATGTTTGGAAACGACAGGCGCCCACAAGGCTAATGTACCTCACATCACCATTCTCAGATTCATAGAGGTGAGCCTGGGTGCCTGTGAACTGCCCCCGTCCCTCCTCCTGGGACCTGATTGATTGGCTCAGGGGTCAGCCTGAACCCCAGTTGGACCATGCAGCGTCCCTTCCATGGGAGTGAGAGAGAAGGCTATACAAACTCAAGAGCTGTCATGGCCTTGCTTCCACCCCCGACTTCTCCACTCCCCACACCCCACCTTCCCCGCCCCCTAGGCACATGGGGAGGCAGAGGAAGCCAATCTGTAGATACAAAGGAGAATGCAGAAGGTGAAGAAAAGAAAGGAAAGAGGAGAGACAGAGAGCCCTGGCAGTAATGCTCCTCTGCCCAGGGTTCTGTCAAACACCACTGTGCCTTAGTGATAGAGCCCCCATTCTGCTTAAATCAGCATATGGGTATTTCTGATTTAAGCAACTACAAAAATTCTAACCACAAGGTCCCCCAACTCTATCATAGTGATATGGCTCAATCTGAGAGTTTGTTTCCTTCTCAACTGGCCCCATCCAGGATACGACCCTTCACACTTAGATGGTTGCAGTAGCCATCTAGTCATCTGATTTGTCACTTTTATAAGATTATTGTTTTTCTAAAATTAATACAAAGGAAATAAACATGAAACATGGGTGTATTTTTCCTACTCAAAGACAGTCCCAATTCCCCATAGTTACATTCTTAACTCTTTTGCTCACTATTCGAAGTTCTTGTAGATTTCAAAAACATGATCAATAGTCACTACTCTTAAAGTAACAAAGAAGGTGATACAGCAGATGCTGCAAACTGGCTCATTCAATGCTCATTTCAGCCCCTTCTAGCACCTTCCAATCCCGAACAGGCTGGAAAGTCAAAGACTGCATTTCCCAGCTTCTAGGGTTCTGGGTGCATTTAGTTTCCACCGATCAGTACATATATGAGGATGATAAGGAACTGAGTCAGATAGAGGGAGAGAGGCAAGGAGCACGTTTCCTCTCCTGCATTCAGAAAGAAAAAGAATGACGGTTCTGGAAGTTCTCTCACAGAAGTAAGGAAACCCTTAGCCCATATCTTCTCCCTTCTCATTGGCCCACATTAGACCATGTAACCATAACTGCATCCATTGCTGGGATGAGTGGATGATATTATGTCGATTAGTGTAGGCCTGAGGCAGAGGTGTCCCCGCTCCTAGAGCCAAGAGTGGGGACATTTCCCTCACCACACATGTGAGGTGTATGGAAGAGGTGGACACTGAGATAAAATCCCAGATGACGACAAATAAAAGAAAAATGTTGGAATGGGAAATACAAAGACTACTTCTTCTCTGCTATGGTCTAGGTCCCTCCAGGGCAAGAATCTAGTCCAGCAGTTCTTCCAAAATGCCCTCAGTAATCATTCATGCACACATTTCTATTTCCACTGGGCTTAAAGTGACATTGGCTAGCAGGTATCTGTCACTTTGTTTTCCTCTTTAGTTCAAATTGCCTCTCATCTGTGGGGGCTATGAAAAGTGGACAGGGGCAATCTATGAAAGTGTTAATTAGAACCCAAGTTTGTGAATTCCATTTGGTGAGTAAAGCATCATCCATATTTTCTAAGTTGGTGAGAGTCTAGGAGTTGCTGTCTTCAGTGGAGTTAATGTTGCAAGCATATCTTATTATGATGCCAGCCATGTGCCCTCACTGGAAAATAGAAGTGAATAGCCTCCAGCAGCCCCTACCCTGGGTAAACTTATACTTTGATGAGGAAGAGAGTCATTTACCAAATAAACACATGTCATTACTTATATGCTAATTACAAGTGATCTGAGTGCCAGAAAGGAAAAGTATGGTCACTGGAAACACCTTATGCCTCAGTCCTTCCCTGTGAATATCACACTTCACTTCCTTGGCCCAGCCGCCCCCAACACATAGCTACCTTGGGCATCATTTCTGAGGCTGCATGGCCAAAGCCATAAATCTGTGCCCTTGTTTAGCGTGGCATGTCCTCTCCCTCTAATCCAATCTCCCCTCTGTGTGTTCTCGGTGCTCGCTGATTCGGTTTGACAGCTATTTAATAAACCGATCTGCTTGCCTTTGACATGAGGCAGAAGTGGTGGGTGTTGAAGAGCTGCGAGGCCCTCGTGGACAAGGAAGCCCTTTCCCACTCAACACTCTTCCAGCTCAGTACAGATAAATTGTGGAGAACTGGAAATTAACCCAAGCTATCTTCTTTTCTTAAGAAAAAAAAAAATCACTGGAGACCCAAGAAGCAGAGCAAGTACCATAAGTGAAAGAGATGGCAGAAGAAATCACATTTCCTGGCTCTCAGGGCAGGGGTGAACCCAGATCAGGAGCCTGGGAGCCTTCCTTCAATCTAGCTTTTATCACTTCAAAGCAGAAGGTCTTAAAGGAATGCCCTTTATGATGGATTCTGTCTTCAAAAACATGAAAGAAAAGGCATATTTTCTTAAGCCCAGTTGCTGGAAGCCAAGCAATTTATCCGAGGTGCTTGGGCTGCAAATCTCCGTAATCAGGATGCAGTTTAGTGTGGCAGAAACAGCACTGGTTCCACAATCAGCAAACCATACTGGGATTCTGGCTGCCTCTCACAAGCTTTATGACTTTGGGTCATTTTTCTCAGCTCTCTGACCCTCAGTTTCCTTCTTTATAAAATGGGCATGCCATTCACCTCACAGGGTGGTCATTAAGATTAGATGAGAAGGCATACGGGAACATTCGTGGTACATAGTAGTTGCTCAAAGAATGGTAGCTAATTTTATTGTTTATTGATAGTACTTAAAAAAAAGCACATCTGCTACCCATTCCATCTCCAAGTAACTATGTATCCCTGTTTTTTATTGGCGTATCATACAGAATATATTTACTTGCATTGCACTTGCATTGGTGGAGCCCAGGATCTATTTACTCTATGTTTTCAGCTTTGATCTTAGGGTATAATATCATTTCTCACATTCTAATATCTCTTTAAACAAAAAATGGAAGATGTACAAGCCAGGCCTGGGTTATTTTTGAATAGGAAGTTTAGACCATTGGCTTAAGAGTATGCAATCTCCCCTGAGAGTGGATATGTTTATCTGGCTGGGCCAGTCAGAGCAGATGTGGTTTCAAGACTAAATCTAGGTGTGTTCAACAGCTAAGACTGAGAAGAGCCAAGGGGTTTGAGTCCAAGCTGTTCTTCATGGACCAACAACAGTTCAAGGTAGAAAGTGAAGTTTGGGTGGCAAAATCCAGGAGCAATGGTTATGCCAACTACCAAGTATGACAATTCCAATTACATGTTCAGGAACTGGGAAAATGATACTGGGTGGTTCCAGGAGGCCAGTGAGCCTGCGGCAAGCTGGACTAGGTTCAGGGCTCCAATTATTATCTGTTCCTCATACACTCTAATTCTAAAAGGTAGGCCATGGTTGCTTTGGAGGCTCCTGGGCATCAGTGTCAACTCCCTAGGTCAAGACCTTATGTTATCCAACAATTTCTAAAATACCTATATATATTCTTCTTTCTTCATTGCACGGTTATCTGAATAAGTAGCCGAAAGGAAGGACTGGAAAAATTACTACTGAGTGACTGGGAGAATTACTACCGAGTGACTGGGAAAATTGCTGCTGAGTATGCATGCTGTGGCTTTGCAGAATTGTTCCTTCAAGGGACTTGGCCTGTACTTCGGTCAATGGTTTCCATGTCTGAGAATAGCCAGGAATCTTGAATTTTCACTGGGGCTGCTGTCCACAGGCATCTGACCATTCATCCTTGTCTTCTTTTGATTGCACATATTAAGCAATGCTTTTGTTTGTTGCCCAACTCTCTCAGCCCTAGGAGCACAAAATTCTGTCAACCACCTTCATCTCTCCGTTGGTCTGTCCTCAAGGCCACCACTCTGCCTTTGCTGCTTATTGTAATAATTGTGCCCACATTGCTTCTGATAGTTAAGCGCTGCCACCTGCCCTCTACGATTTTGGGATCCAGCCATCCCCATTGCTCTCAGGAGCTCAGTTTCGTATTCACATCTCCTGTTGGTAGCCCTGGTCTATGAAGACAATCACCGCTGAGCTGCATGACAATTTTAGTACATTCTTTGGGCCCTCGTCCCAAACTTGGTCAGTTGGTAAGTTTCCTGGCCTTATGAAATATACCTGTTCTAGCATACCCAATTCTTCGAGGCTTTTGATTCTTTCCTCCCTATCTGCCACAGCAGTTCTGCAGGTGCTCCTTCACTTAGTGGAGGCCATCACTTTTCTCAAGCTTCCAATAGCCATTCTAGCAACCCATTAGCCTGACTTCGGGATCCTTGCCAAGGAGTTAAATCCTAGGTACTGGAGAGTTCCCCATACCAATACACTCTTCTTTATCCAACTTTATTTCCTCCTCTTTTGATCCTGCACACGCAGGGACCCATCAGTACATACTAGCTAGATCCTAGCTTTAACACTTGTTATTGGTCTTATTGCCAGGAAGTAAGTGGGATGGTGTGAGAGGCAGTGAGATCCTGAGTGAGGACAAACACTGTTTTGTAATTATTTCACTTGTGCTTTTTGCATGTTCTTCAAGCAAGGGGAGGGCTACTATTTTCTAACAGGTAAGAGTGAGCCACTTGCACCAAGTGGGTTCAGGGTTATTTAGGCACTCAAGATTTTCATAGCAGATATTTCACACCCAATTATCAGGGTCTCCTTCCTTCTGAAACAGAGTTCTGGCCTTTGGGAGGGAGACCTGCTAGGCTGAGAAGTCAAACTTCTCTTAAACCCACTGCTTATGAACTGGTGATTAATCATCCTGAGCTGGTTATAATCTTCTAAGAATCCATGCATGCAGCAACAGCCACTTGGTGCCACAGTCTTTGTGGTTACAACTTTTCTCGTTCCACTCAAGCTCACCAACTAATGTATTCCCATCCACTGATGTCCTAACCACATCCACTGTCAGTACAGGTTGTAACCATCACACCACGCAGTCTGCTAAGGACCATTCATGCTCCACATCCCACTAAAAATGGGATCTCGTTGACAGCCCTGGCTGTTTATCCAGCTTTAAAATTCCATTTTAAATTTCACGTTCTAGGACCAATTGTAGTTCCATCTTCTAGAAACAAATGCTGAAGTGGAAAATTATGTGCAGAAAGTTTACTGGTATATACTCTCAACAATAAACCTGTAAATAAATGAAGAAAGCTGGATTGGAAAGAGGGAGAAGCTAATCCACAATGAAGCTGCAGCTAAGGCTTTAGCTAATTCTATGGGGAGCTTTGGAGAAGGAATGGCTCTTCAGAGTGTCTTAAAGTGAGGCAAGCAGGGCAGGTCTAGAAATCTCTGCACTGGACAGTCATTTGTTATGGCTCAGCCCTTGCAAGGGAAATGTCTGGGCAAGGCAGTTCCCTGTGACCAAGGGCAATGCTCAGTCGGAAATGCAGGTGTGGGTTATCCTAGCAGCTAGGGAATGGGCATGTCGGCCTTGAAGAGGGCAGCTGAGCAGAGCACCACAGTATCCACTTCATCATGTAACCAATATCTCACTTAAGATATAACACATTTCTGTCACCCTAGAAAGTTTCTCAGACCATTTGTCATCAACCTCCAGCCACTCAACCTCCCACCTCCCCACCACCAAGAGAAAACCACTGTTCTGATTCTATCACCATAGATGAGTTTTGCAAGTTCTTCAACTTCATATAAATGAAATCACAAAGAAAGTAATCTTTTGTATTTGGGATATATCTTTTTTAGATTTAATCAGACTTTTGTGAATGTCAGTTTTTGAAATGGTTAGTAATATTCCATTATACAAATGCACCACAAATTGTTTATCTATTTACTTGTTGATTGACATGTTAGTTATTTTCAGTTTCTTGCTAGTAAGAATAAAACTGTCATAAACCGTCTTGAACAAATCTTTGTATGAACAAATGCCTTCATTTCTTTCAGATAAATATCTAGGAATGAATTTGTGGCTCATGGAGAACATGTGTTCTCATTTTTGTTGTTGTTTTATTTCGAGTCACTTTAAACAAAGTGACTATTTTTTAAAAATATTAAATGTATTATATACCCTCTATATAATATACCAATAAACTATTTTATTGAGGTATAGTTGACATGCAACAAATGGCTCATATTTAAAATGAGCATTTTCGTCATCCTCTCAAAGTTCCCTGTATTCTTTGTAATCACTCCCGTGTATATCCCCATCCCCATCCCCCAAGCAACCACTGATCTGTTTTCCCTTACTATAGTTTGGATTTTCTAGAGTCTTAAATAAATGGAATCATATAATATGTACTCTTTTGGGGGGATGTTTGTCTTTTTCACTCAACATAATTGTTCTGAGATTCATCGATGTTGTTGTATGTATCAAAAGTTCCTTCCTTGGGAATGTGGTGTTTTTTTGTTTGTTTGTTTGTTTGTTTTTTGACAGAGTTTTGCTCTTTTGCCCAGGCTGGAGTGCAATGGCGTGATCTCAGCTCACTGCAATCTCCATCTCCCAGGTTCAAGTGATTCTCCTGCTTCAGCCTTCCAAGTAGCTGGAACTATAGGCACCCACGACCACGCCCAGCTAATTTTTGTATTTTTAGTAGAGACAGGGTTTCACCATGCTGGGCAGGCTGGTGTCGAACTCCTGACCTCAGGTGATCCACCCACCACGGCCTCCCAGGGAATGTGTATTCTTAACAGTTAAAGAACTGATCAACAGTCATCCAAATTATCCTCTTTTGCCCTCCCACCAGCAATATATGAGAGCTCAATTTTTCTACATCCAGTCGATATACTTTTGGTATTGCCAGTCTTTGTAATTATAGCCATCTTAGTGATTGTAAAGTGATAACACACTGTAATTTCTCATTTGTATTTTCCTGATGAATAATGAGCAGTTTGCATGTGTTCCTAGACCATTTGTGTGTTTGGAAAATGTCTACTCAAGTCTTTAGCTTTTTTATTGTATTGTTTGTCTTTTTATTATGATTTGTAGGTGTTCTTAATACACAAGCATACCTCAGAGATAGTGGGTTTGGTTCCAGATCACCACAATAAAGCAAATATCATAATAAAGCAAGTCACACAAATTTCTTGGTTTTCCAGTGCATATAAAAGTTATGTTTACATTGTAGTCTACTAAGTGTACAACAGCATTCTCTAACAAAACAATTTACATACCTTAATTTAAAAATACCTTATTGCTAAGAAAAGTTAACAATCATCTGAGGCTTCAGTTAGTTGTAATCTTTTTTATTTTTGCTTTTATTATTTTAAATTGACATGAAATAATTGTACATACTTATAGGGTACAGTGTGATATTTTAGTACATATATAGAATGTATTATGATCAATCAGAGTAATTAGCTTACCAATCACCTCAAAAATTTGAGTCATAATTTTTCTGCTGGTGGAGGGTCTTGCCTCAATATTGATAGCTACTGACTGATCAACTGACTGTGGCAACTTCTGAAAATAAGAGAATAAAGTTTGCTGCATTGATTTACTCTCCCGTTCATGAAAAATTTCTCTGTAACATGAGATGCTGTTTGGTAGCACTTTACCCACAGTAGAACTTCCATCTAAACTACAGTTAATCCTTTCAAAGCCTGCTGCTGCCTTACCAACTTAGTTTTGCATTTTAAATTCTTTGTTGTCATTTTAACAATGTTCACAGAATCTTCATCAGGAATGGATTCCACATCAAGAAACTACTTTATTTGCTCATCTGTAAGAAGCAGCTCCTCATCTGTTCAAGTTTTATCCTGGGACTGCAGCAATTCAGTCACATCTTCAGGCTCCATTTCTAGTTCTAGTTCTCTCGCTAGTTCCACATCTGCAGTTCCTTCCTCCATTTAAGTCTTGATCCCCTCAAAATCATCCATGAAGGCTGGAATCAACTTCTTCCAAACTCCTGTTAATGTTTGTGTGGTTAATATTAGGTGCCAACTTGATTGGATTGAAGGATGCCTAGATAGCTGGTAAGGTATTGTTTCTGGGTGTGTCTGTGAGGGTGTTGACAGAGGAGACTGACATTTGAGTCAGTGGACTGTGAGAGGAAGACCCACCCTCAATGTGGGTGGGCCCCATCCAATCAGCTGCCATTGCAGCTAGAACAAAACAGGCAGAAGGTGGGATGAGCTGGCTTGGTGAGTTCTGGCTTTCATCTTTCTCCCATGCTGGATGCCTCTTCCCATTCCTCCTGTCCTTGGACATCAGACTCCAGGTTCTTTGGCCTTTGGACTCTCGGACTTACACCAGTGGTTTGCTGGGGGCTGTCAAACCTTCAGCCACAGACTGAAGGCTGCACTGTTGGCTTCCCTGCTTTTGAGGCTTTTGGACTCAGACTGAGACACTACTGGCTTCTCTCTTCCCCAGCTTGCAGATGACCTATCATGGGCCTTCACTTTGCGATCGTGTGACCTAACTCTCCTTAATAAGCTCCCTTTTATATATACATATATCCTATCAGTTCTATCCCTCTGGAGAACCCTGACTAATACGATGTTGATATTTTGACCTCTTCCCCATGAATCACAAATATTCATGAATCACAAATGTTCTTAATGGCATCTAGAATGGTCAATCTTTTCCAGAAGGTTTTCAATTTACTTTGCCCAGATCCATCAGAAGAAATCACTCTCTATGGCAATTATAGCCTTACAAAATGTATTTCTTAAGTAATAAAACTTGAAAGTCAAAATATTTCCTTGGTCCATGGGTTCATTGGTTGCAGATGAATGTTGTGTTAGCAGGTGTGAAAACAACCTTAAAGTCTTTGTACATCTCCGTCAGAATTCTTGGGTGGCCAAGTACATTGTCAATGAGCAGTAAGATTTTGAAAATAATCTTTTTTTCTGTACCATAGGTTTCAACAGTGGGCCTAAAATATTCAATAAACTATGAAGAGATGTGCTGTGAACAGATGTGCTGTCATCCAGACTTTGCTATGCCATTTCTGGAGCCCAGACACAACAGACTTAGCATCATTCTTAAGGGCTCTAGGATTTTCAGCATGATAAATGAGCATCGGCTTGAACTTAAAATCACCAGCTGCATTAGCTTCTAACAGGACAGTCAGCCTGTCCTTTGCAGCTTTGAAGCCAGGCATTGACTTCTCCTTTCTAGCTATGAAAGTCCTAGCTGGCATCTTCTTCTAATATAAAGCTGTTTTGTCTATAGCAAGAACCTGTTGTTTAGTGTATTTATCTTCATCAATGATCTTAGCTAGATCTTCTGGATAACTTGTTACAAATTCTACATTAGTACTTGCTGCTTCATCTTGCACTTTTATGTAACAGAGATGGCTCCTTTCCTTAAACCTCAGGAACCAATCAACCTCTGCTAGCTTCCAACTTCTGCAGGTTCCTCACCTGTCTCAGCCTTCACAGAAGTGATGAGAGTTAGGGCCTTGCTCTGGATCAGGCTTTGGCTAAAGGGAATGTTGTGGCTGGTTTGATCTGCTATCCAAATCACTCAAATGTTCTCTATGTCAGCAATAAGGCTGTTTCACTTCCTTTTCATGTGTTCACTAGAGTAGCACTTTTAATTTCCTTCAATAGCTTTTCCTTTGTATTCAGAACTTGGCTAACTGTTTGGCACAAGAGGCCTAGCTTTGAGCCTATCTAGGCTTTTGAGATGCCTTCCTCCCTAAGTTTAACCTTTTCTAGCTTTTGATTGAAAGTGAGAGACGTGCAACTCTTCACTTGAATACTTAGAGGCCATTGTAGAGTTATTAATTGACCTAATTTCAATATTTTGTGTCTCAGGGAATAGAGAGGTCAGAAGAGAGGGAGGGAGAGAGAGAGAGAGAGAGAGACGGGGAAACATCTGGTTGGTGGAGAAGTCAAAACACACACAACATTTATCAATTAAGTTTGCCATCTTATATGGGCACAGTTTGTGGCACCCCAAGGCAATTAGAATGGTAACATCAAACATGATTGATCACATAGCACCAAACAGATATAATAATAACAATAACAATGAAGAAGTGTGAGATACTGCAAGAATTACCTAAATATGACAGAGACGCAAAATGAGCACATGCTGTTGGAAGCATGGTGCCAATAGACTTGCTCGATTCAGGGTTGCCAGAAACTTTCAATTTGTAAAAATCACAATATCTATGAAAGGCAATACAGCAAAGTGCACTAAAACAAGGTATGCCTGTATTCTGGATGCAAGTCCTTTATTAAGCATACACATTGGGATATTCCTCTCAGTCTTTGGCTTTCATTTCATGTTTTCAATGGTGTCTTTCAATGAGCAAAATCTTTTAATTTTGATAAAGTCCAAATTATTATTTTTATTATTTTATGGTTAGTGTTTTAGTGTCCTGTTTGTGGAATCCCTGCTCATCCCCAGGTTGTGCAAGTATTCTTTATTTTCTTCCAGAAGCTTTATTGAATTAGCTTTTAAGTCAAGTCACTCTTAATGCCACATATGGCTATTCAAACATAAGAAATCTTTGGTAAAAGTAGCCAAGCAGTGGAGTACAGAAAATGCGAAGGAGGTGGCAATGGGCAGGGGGCTTGAGGACCACAAAAGCAATGGGGTACCCAGCCCAGACAATCAAAGTCTCCCGATGCCAGGGAAACGTCCTCCTCTCTGGCTGTAAACTTGAAGCTGCTCTTCTCCATTAGAGCCAGGAAGGCCAGCTTTGCCTTTTAAAAAGGGAACCTGCAAATGGAATTCACACAGTGCCATGACCCTTGATGTGCAGTGTGGCAGGCTGTGGCCCGATTTACTTCCACAAGTACAGCGCACATTCACAGCTGAGAGCTTTCCTCTCCTGCCCTTTCACACCCGCCGCTTCCAGCAAGGCCTCAGCCTCCTCTCCCTGACAATGTTTTGATATGTTGGGCTGAGCCTCTACAAGGACTCCAGCTCATTTTTGGCTTCTGAACACACTTCTTTGGTCTTGTTTTCAAGGAGGTCAGCTTCAATTCTCTGTGACTCTGGCTTCACTCATTCTCACGTTTCAAGATTGAATCCAGGAGGCGGGCTGTACTTACTCTGTAGCTCTGTGTCCTGTGGCCTCCAATCCCCTGAAGCTCCTCATTTGGTTTTTATATCTAGATCCCTTTCAGGGTAAGATGAGGAAAGCCTGTACCCGGGAAATTGCCAGCCCCGTCTAAACTCTCTTCACAAGGAATCCGCCCAGCCCTCAGTCCTTTGCCGCCTGGGCCATGATTTGTACCTTGTGGTACCTGAGTCACAGATGATTGGGTCCATGAAAGTCACGTGACAAAGATCACATGATCTGGGAGCACCAATAAGAGGCTAGACAGCAATCTTCCATTGGTCCAATGAAAAGGTAAGGTACTCATATGATCAAATTCTTTCCGCTGAGAATTTGAACTAAAATACATGGAAAGAATTTGCCAAAATGCAGTTGGATGGAAGGCTACATATAGCAAGAAACAGGTTAGGTGGCTGGAAAGTGCCACGTGTAAGTCTAAGCAACAGAGGAGCAGAGACACTGAGCAAACAGAGGAAGCTGCAAGGTAGAAAAAGCAGAGCACGGAGCAGATAGAGCCAGAGGTACCAGGAGAAGACGCTGGTCCTACGTGTGCCTCCGTCCCCAGATCCCACAAGCAGACTCCTGCCCTGTTGTGTTCCTACTATCAGCCTTCACAGCTATTAGGTATTTTGTGAGGATCACTGTTTTCATCACCGAACAAGTTTGACAGAAACAGGAAGAGAAGAGGGGTGAGGCAGTGAAGAAAAACAAAATGAATCAAAGTAAAGTGAAGATGGTGGTTACTGATCACTCCGCAGCATAAACATTTGGGGACATGTTTAACATGACTTCACTCCATTTCCAGCAACACCCTTCCATTCCAACTTGCCTGTGAAGGTCAGTGAGGAGGCGCCTGCTAGACCTGTGAGGAAGGTAAATGCATTTTCGATGGGCTGGAAAATCTGTGTCATTGACGAGTGGCTCCTGCCTTATGCATTTTTTGGATATTTTGAAACCAAATCTTTTAAGTGCTTACTTCAAGGAGTGGAGTGTGGTTGGGCAATAAGAACAGAGGAACTGAATTGTGGCTTTTGAAAATGGCTGTCCGACTGGGATTATTGGACATTGTATAGCATCTTTGCAAAATTCTGCAGTGTCAATCCTGAGAGTAAGGTTTTTGTAAAAACCACGTATTAAGGGAGTGACATTCTGATAAAGACAGTGGTCACTTTATGCCCACAGAGAAACACCCACAGAAGATGGGTATTTTCTGGATTGTGCTAAAGGAACGCAGATTACAGCTACATGGTCTGGATGTAGTCAGCATTCCCACTCAGTTATGTGCACGAACCAACCACAGGGATGAAGTCAGTGAAGTTTATTACACACACACACACACACACACACACACTCCTTGAAAATAGAGGACAGATCAGAAAGACAACTAGTTCATGGGAATTAGCTATTCAGCAGAAAGCTTACCACTCATTGTGGCTACCTCAGCTGACTAGTAAGAAAAATCACAGCAGCAATGAGCAAGGAGTATTCTATCCCATCTAGGATACTTTATTTCCTTAGTGTAGGACAAAATGATGAGAAAGACTTCAAGGTTAAAGTAAAGGATGGTGTTTGAAGGCACAGGTAGTTAACTGAGACCCACAGAATCTTCTTTCTGGGTGTGAAAAGTATCCCATACTCAAAGAAAGTTTGAGCTGGAAGAAACTTAAGCAAAGCTAGTCCAAGTCCCTTGTTTAACAGGTAAGGAAGATGAGACACAGAGACCTTTGTGCAAAAGAAATTATTGGTTCTAAGTTTTGGGGCGGAGATCATAGATAATGGCATTCTATATAGCACTGAACACATCAGGACAACTACTGTGATAAAAACCACAAATAAGGGTAAAGAGCACAGAGGCCCAAGTCAAAATTGAATGTTAGCCAGTGGCTCCCAGCCGAACATAATTAAAATGTTCATTTGTTGTGCTTCTGTTTGAAAGTCGATTTCTCAAACTAGTTTTTGTGTGTTCAAAGCGTGTGGAACAGTCAGCAACATTTGTGTCATGGGAAATGTCTCAGCAATGTAGAATCTTAGACCCCAGCCTTGACCTGCTGTCTCACAGGCAGGTCCCCAGGTGATGTGTGCACAGGAGAGTTCGAGCATCCCTGTGTATTCAGTTTTTAGAGCTGCTCTAACAAATTACCACAAGCTTCAGTGGCTTCAAACAACAGAAATTTATTCCTTTAGTCTGAAATCAGGTGTCAGCTTCATCACACTCACTCTGAAGGCTCTAGGGTAGGGGTCCCCAACCCCAAAGCCACAAACTGGTCTGTGGCCTGTTAGGAACCGGGCCACACAGCAGGAGATGAGCAGCAGGTGAAGGAGCATTACTGCCTGAGGTCTGCTTCCTGTCAGATCAGCAGGGACATTAGATTATCACAGGAGTGGAAACCCTATTGTGAACTGAGCATGCGAGGGATCTAGGCTGCGTGCTCCTTATGAGAATCTCATGCCTCATGATCTGTCACTGTCTCCCATTCCCCAAAGAGATAAGACTGTCTAGTTGCAGGAAAACAAACTCAGGACTCCCACTGATTCTACATTATGGTGAGTTGTATAATTATTTCATTATATATTACAATTTAATAATAATAGAAATAAAGTTCACAATAAATGTAATGCATCTGAATCATCCAAAAACCATCCCCCTCCAACTCCCTGGTGTGTGGAAAAATTGTCTTCCCTGAAACCAGTCCCTGGTGCCAAAATGGTTGGAGACTACTGCTCTAAGCAACAATTCTTCCTTACCTCTTCCAGCTTCCGGTGGCTCCAGCAGTTCCTCAGTTTGGGCTGCATTTTTCCAATCTCTGTATCCATTCTCACTTGGCCTTCTCCGTGCCTCAAATCTCCCTCTGCCTTTCTTTTATATGGACTCTTGTCATTGGATTTAAGGCCTGCCTGGATTATCCAGGATGATCTTATTTTGAGATCCTTAATCACATCTGCAAAGACCCTTTTTCCAAATTAGGGAATAGGCACAGGTTCTAGGTGGACATATGTTTTGGGGTGCCACCATTGAATTCACTACAGTATTATAGGGGTCAGTGAGGTACACAGTCTCTAATATTCAAGGGCCTGTCACAGGGAAAGAGAAAGGGCTAGATGTCACATTGTGGGAGATGAAGTTCTGCTCTTAAGATTCCCCTACTTGTTATAAATCATTCAGCAAAGTCTTCGTGGGCTTTAATTATGGGAGAAAAAGAGAGGAGACAGAAAAGGACGGAGAAATTCTTTCGCAGAAGCCTCCCTGGGTCCTCATTGGAAGAAGTGCACAGAAGACAGTAAATTAAGTCAGCTTATCCTGAAAAGCACTGCTCTCTGACCACGAGATTAAAACCACACAAGCATTAGAAGTTGGTCTAAAACATATCTCTTTTCTGTCAGCAAAACATTCTCCTCTTGCCCTCTCTATCTAGGGCCTCCCTTTTCCTTCCAGCCCATGCCTCCCCACAGCTGGGTGCTCAGCCACTCCTAGCTGGGCTCAGCTTCAGCCTGGGAGCATATCCTGCAGAAGAGCCTCCTCTGGCTTCCTCCCCATCCCCACGTCTAAGGGCCCGGCCTGTCAGGCTGTCTGGACGCAGGTCTCTGTGCTAATTAGGAGCATTATCACTTTGCCAAGAACACAGACCCAGGAAAAAGCCTCTGTGAAATGTCCTGGACATCAGCGATCCTGACTGCAGGTGGCTGAACTCTGGCATCTGCCTGACAGCACGCTGCCTTGGTGCTAGCAAGACCTGAAAGCTACGGAGTTGTCCCAGTGCTGGGGAAAGGACAGCATCTCCCTTCAGAATCACATGAATCAGTCAAAGGATGATAAAACCCATATAACATAGTATATAGTTTTTTAATTGTGGTAACATTTGCATAAAATAAAATTTACCATCTTAACCATTTTTCTTTCTTTCTTTCTTTCTTTCTTTTTGAGATGGAGTTTCGCTCTTCTTGCCCAGGCTGGAGTGCAATGGTGCAATCTCAGCTCACTGCAACATCCACCTCCCAGCTACAAGCGATTCTTCTGCCTCAGCCTCCCAAGTAGCTGGGATTATAGGTGCCTGCCACCACGCCCAACTTATTTTTTTTGTATTTTTGGTAGAGATGGGGTTTCGCCATGTTGGCCAGTCTGGTCTCAAACTCCTGACCTCAGGTGATCTGCTCGCCTCTGCTTCCCAAAGTGCTGGGATTACAGGCTTGAGCCACCTTGCCTGGCCCCATCTTAACCATTTTTAAGTGTGCAGTGGCATGAAGTATATACCTACATTCTGTTGTGCAACCACTACCAGCATCCATTGCCAGAACTTTGTCACCTTCCCTAATGGACACGCCATACCTACTAAACATAACTTCCCATTCCCTTCTACCCCCAGCCCCTGGCAACCACCATTCAATTTTCTATCTCTATGAGTTTGACTAAGTACCTCATGTAAGTGCAATCATGTAGTATTTGTCGTTTTTGTGTGTGGCTTATTTTACTTAGCATGATGTCCTCAAGGTTTATGTTCTAGCATGTGTCAGAATTTCTCTCTTTTTTAAGGCTGAATAATACTCAGTTATATGTATAGGCCACATTTTGTTTATCCATTCATCCATTGATGGACACTTAGGTTGCTTAAGGCAAGGATTTTGTAAAATAAATACTTACTTTAAATTCTGAAGTCCCTTCAGCAGGAGGAAGGAAAAGTCTAAAAGGCCTAAAACTGAGCATTGCACAAAAATAAGCACATCTTTGACATCCACTGAAAATAACTTGGCAAATTTGGAAAAGGAAAAAAGAAATCACCTCCTTTTTAATTCTTGCAGAAAGCCCCTGGCTTTTCTAGAATGAAAGGAAATCTGAGAGCTCTAGGAAACTCAGTAGTTTGGTTGGCTGAGTTATGCCATTTGTCCAAAGAGTTAAATGATTCTCAGAGTTAAAAGGCAATAAACTGCATTTGCCATTCAAATGAGACTGAATTATTTGGATGGATTTTTGAGAATTCTGAAGTGTGCCTCAAGGTCTTGGTACAGTTCTGTAGAGATGACAGGGGCAGGGTAGGGTAGGGGTTTTCTAGAGTTTCCGATTTAGTGAAGTCGGGTCCTCCCTGAAGGGACCTCTGATGCCTGGTTGTCCCAGGTACTCAAATACTAATTTGAGTATTAAGTGGAAAGTATACTGCCCCTACTATTGTATATCTTGAAAGTCGCTCTAAAATTATTTTCTTAATAAAGTCTTACTTACTTTATTATTTTTCTTGCTTTTGTTAAAACAATCAATACGTTTTGAAAATATCGGGTTACTGAAATTCTCGTTGATTAGATAATGGATGAAAGGGACGCTATTGTGAAAAGAGAACAAGAGATGTCTTTCATTTAAGGAAAAAGAAAATTATACATTGTATTTATTTTTCCAATGGATACTTTCTATTGCTTAATTTTACTATTAAAAAAATACGTGAAAAGGAAGACTCATAAATGCTAGGACAAATAGTAACTCAAGTATGGGGATTCCCCAGGGGACGACTGGCTGCATTCCATCTTGGTGAGAGAGAGACCTGTGGGATAATGTACCATTAGCAAGGGAGGCGTGACTTCCAAGTGGCCAGTATGAGTGGTCAGGAGGGTACTGAGTCTCATACTGATGGGCCCTGGGAATACTAAAACCAGTGCCTTAGCATGTCCATGAGCCTGACTACCCACTGTGGAGCATAAAGCTGGGAAACACAGCCTCCCCACCCCATCCATCATGCTGTGCTAAATGCACAATGAGACAAACTTAGGCAGTGTAGTTTGCAGGATCCAGAACCTTCTAGGATTTAGATTCCTACAGCTCCATGTAACCTTCTCTCTTCTTCTATTTCCTCACCTATAAATAGACACACATAAGCTTACCACCCACCCTGGTAAATGAACCCAGATTTGCCAAGGGCTTGGCACTTTCTACAGACACCGAAGTACCTAATGACTCTGCCAGCTCTGTAATGAAAAGAAAAACCATTGATGTTATGAAATGATTCCTGAGGCCCCTTTAGTGGCAGAGTCTGTCTGCAAAGTTCAAAGGGCACATGGGGCCTCCAAACAACATTATGACCATTTCAGCTGGGCCCAAATTGCCTCTTTCAAAGTAAGCTGCCTGGGACCCAGCAGTATCCAGTGGCTAACAGCACTGACACCAGGAGCTGAGGCTGTTAGCACCTATTTTCCGCCTTCAAAATAAACCAGAAAACTCATGTTCCAGCATGGAATTTTACATAGAGGGTGAATAGTTGGTGGTCTTGCTGGTGGTCGCCTTGAGTTATCAAGTTCCAAAATAAAGGAAGCAGAACAGGAAGATAAATACTAATCTTGGGAACCTAATCTGAAGACCGCTTATTCTTTCTTCCAAGCGGAATGGAAAGGCATTTCTACCTATGCCTGTCTCCCCAGGGTTCAGGTTTCTCAAGAAAAATAAAAACCAGAAAGAAGAGTGTCCAAGCTTCAGCCATGGAGGAATGGAACTGCTGTCCTGCAATTGTATTTACACAGTGGGCTCACCAGCTACCAGTGTTTTTCTCTCTGTGACTGGTAGAGAGGCTTAAATAAGGCCCCATCATTTGTATTTGTCATTTTTACTTTGCTTATGTGTTCCTTTCATAGTAATGGCCCCAGTCCATTTTCACATCATTGCTACTTGCTAGAAATAATAATGATAATAATGACATTTACGGCTACCACTTATAGCCCTATTCCTGTCACCTTCCTACAGGCAGTACAAGCATCATCTTGCCAAAGTACATGAGCTAGACCCAGACTGCCTGCTCCACACCGTGGAATCTGAGCCACCTTAGCAAGATTATCATGTGAGTCAACATTGGAAAAAACATGCCAGCGTGTTTAACAGCATTGATAATAGTCTGAGTGTTAACTCTTGGAAAACTTCAATCCACAAAGGGAGTGGCCTTTTGGATGGCATATTATAAAATAACTCCACACTAGAGTAGCCAATCTGACACTGCTGCCAGCCTCTGTCACCCACCCACCAACACACACACCATTGTATTCTCGCCAAACCTCATGCTTTACTCTCAAATTTTCCCTAGCAAGCTACATTCTATATCTGCTCTTAGGGGTAATGACCAAGAAAAAACTAACAGTTAAAAAACTGAAAGCAACATGGGCTAGGTGCAGTGGCTCACACCTATGATCCCAACATTTTGGGGAGGCCAAGGTGGGCGGATTGCTTGAGTCCAGGAGCTTGAGACCAGCCTGGGTAAATAGCAAAACCCTGTCTCTACAAAAAATACAAAAATGTGCCGGGGCGTGGTGGTGCACGCCTGTAGTCCCAGCTACTAGGGAAGCTGAGGTGGGAAGATGGCATAAGCCCAGGAGTTTGAGGCTGCAGTGAGCTATAATTGCACCACTGCACTCCAGTCTGGGCGACAGAGCAAGACCTTATTTCAAAAAAAAAAAAAAAAAGGTGTCCAGAAAAGAGAAGTTTTCTGAGTCCTAGAAATAGGACCCTGTCTCGCATTTTCCAGCCAAGCACCTGACCCATCTCTTTGTGTTACTCTCTGCTCTTGCCCCACGTAGTTGGCAGGAAGACTCCGTCAAAGGGTCAGTCTGTGGTAGAATCTATAAACCATAGCCTGACGGATCTGAGTGACTGGGCTTTACACTGGAATTTTCTGTGGCAGCCCCTTTGCCCCTATCACCACAGCCTTCCTGCCTGGCAGCTGCAGACAGAATATTCTATTCGCAATAGTCAAAGCCCAATAAGACTCCGTTCTCTGAGGCTCTGGGCCTGCCCTGTCCGATTGCTTTAGGGCCAACCAGGAAGGGTTTACTTGGCTGGCTAGGGAGGAACTTTTACAATTAAAAAAAAAAAAAAGTTGTCAGTGACAAAGCCTTTAGAATTCTGGAGGATTCCTAAGGGTAGCTAATTGGAAAAACCATTTGCCCCCTTTAATGACTCCCCCGCCCTTCCCGGCCCCCAGCCTTATCCGAGAGCAGCCACCCTATCTGTAAATGGCGACCATGGAAAATGTACCCTGGCGACTTGGTGTGAAAGATAGGCAAGGCTCCTAAAAAATCTTCTCGGAGGCTTATCACCTTCTTCTGGCTCCACAGCGGGCTCGGGCTCTGGGGCTGGAGGAAACTGCCTGTCTGTGAGCCTAGACAGGGTCTCATCAACAACTGATAAGGCCCTCTGTGAACAAGCAGGCTCTGTGGGGCTTACTCTCCTCTCGAATGCCAGAGACATTTGTAGGAAAATCTACAGGGTCCAACGACCTCCGAGAAGGAGGCCGGGCAAGCCTGCAGTGTCAGCCGTGACGCAGGACCGCCCTGCCCCCACCTGGGAAGAGAGGAATACCTAGAGGTCATGCCACAGGCCAGGACACAAATGTCTGATGGCCAGCTGGACCATCCAGGCACTGACAATGCTGGTTTACCAGATGAATTAATCACAAAATAAATTCCAATCTGCTCAGACACAAAATAACCAAAAAGCTCCTATTATCAGAATTTCTACAATGAAAATGAATATTAAAATGATGCCCCTCATACTGCAAGATCTTGAGGTTCCTTCTAAATCAAACCAGTTAGTTCAACAAAAGGCACAGCATTGGGAAGGAAGAAATCAGATTTCATATTTCAGCTCTGCCCTCTGAATATCCATGTAGCATTAGATAAATCAGTTTCCCAGGAAACTGCAAATAAAAATATTTGCCCAGTCTGGCTCTCATTATGTGAAAGAGATTTATAAATAAATGGTAGAATGCTATATAAATAAAGTATTCTTCTGTTAAAAAATACAATATTTAGACTATTTTGTGGCCAGTGCACTTATACACTCTCATTCTTTGAAAATTGCTAATTCCATGCTATGCAGACATAAAAAAGGATGAGTTCATGTCCTTTGTAGGGACATAGATGAAGCTAGAAACCATCATTCTGAGCAAACTATCACAAGGACAGAAAACCAAACACCGCATGTTCTCACTCATATGTGGGAATTGAACAATGAGAACACATGGACACAGGAAGGGGAACATCACACACCAAGGCCTCTCGTGGGGTGGAAGGAGGGGGATAGCATTAGGAGATATACCTAATGCAAATGACGAGTTAATGGGTGCAGCACACCAACATGGCACATGTATACATATGTAACAAACCTGCATGTTGTGCACATGTACCCTAGAACTTAAAGTCTAATAATAAAAATAAATAAATAAATACAAAGAAAATTGCTAATTCTAATTTAGCATGGTGAATTCAGTGGGGAAAATGTGCACTGGGTTCCTGTGCACTCTGAGGACACAAAGAAAAGATACAGCTCTCATACAAAGAACTGCAATGTCAGGCAGAGACATGTGCCATAATACAGGTACAAACATATGCTAATGGGGAAACCTGGCAGGAAGACTGCTGAAAAAGTCTTGTGGCGAAAGTACGGTCTGAGCAGATGCCAATGAAGGGATGGCTTTGACCAGGCAGAGCATGAGCAAAACCACAGCACAGGGCAGGCCAGCAGGGCAGGCAGTGGTTGGGTTGGACTGCACTGAAAGGTGTAGGGATGATAACGAAGGGTGGTAGGCTGGGACCAGGCAGATGGGCTCTGAATGCCAGGCTGAAGATCTTGGATTGTATTAGGTAGCGTGGAAAGCATGAGACATAGGACAGATTGGAGGTGGGAAAACCAGCCTCAGGGAACCAGGTGGAAAGCGGCAGTGCGAGTAGACAGAAGGAGATGCTCAAAAGAAGCTTGGGCTGTGAGTTAAATCTCTGATAATCCAAATAGGTACCATTCTCCTTCCTTTCTGATAAATAGGAGGTTACTCTACTCAGCATGCATTTCTTTGCCTGCAAAGTTCCTCAGCCTCATTGTCTGTCTTGGGCCACTTTACTATTTCAGGTGAAATTCATTTCCTATTCTGGTTCTACATCAAGATATCACACTGGGAGAGAGGGGGAAATGGTTAAAGAATGTAAAAAGAAAAGGAGAGTAAAACAGGGAAATGATTTAAAAAATTAAGATTTGTATTCCTACAGAAGGAAATAAGTTTACTGTACAAAATTTAGAAATCATAATTAAAGTGTAAGAAATGAAAATCACATGTATTCAGAGATATCTACTATTAATAGTTTAGTGGATAGACTTCCAGTATTTTTTCTGTGTGTATGTGTTGTAATATATATTTCTGTGTGCATATAGTTTAAAAAATATGTCAGGGACTGTTATAGTACTACTTATGTGATCACTGCCACGGCACATTGAAACTTAACAAATATTTATTAAAGTAATTGATTACATGAATAACTGAAGACATTGTTTTATAAATTGATTTTTCACTTAATTACATTTTATATTGTGGACACCTTTCCATGTATTAAAATGCTCTTTTAATGGCTACATGATACTCCATGTCTGCATTTACCATGCTTTAATTACCAAAACATGATATGGTTGGGTACTTATTTTAAACAACACTGCGTTAAAAATTCTTATAGTTAAAGATGAACATTTATAATAATTTTCTTAGAAAAGGATACTAAGGGGAGATTTGCTATAGCAAATGATATGCACATTTTCAAGACTTTTGATATCTGGTGCTGGCTTTCGATATTTTACCCTTGCTGAATTGCCCTTTAAACACA
Source organism: Homo sapiens (assembly GCF_000001405.40). Taxonomy (NCBI): domain Eukaryota; kingdom Metazoa; phylum Chordata; class Mammalia; order Primates; family Hominidae; genus Homo; species Homo sapiens. Next base: position 35,329,620 of record NC_000007.14, on the reverse strand, counting down.
TGTATTACGTTGCTTCCCATGTCAGTAGATGTAGACTTCTTTCTCCGACAGACTGACAGATGACAGATGTTATTTTTCCCTTCATCTTTGCCCATTTGATGGGTTAAAAAAAGTATATCATTCTAATTCTCAGTTATTTGGTTACTGTGATCTCAAATTTATTTTATTTCTTTTTTTTCCTGGTCTTTAGTTATACTTTGGAGAGGGGTAGATTTGTTTGCTGTCTTATTCAGTTCAGGCTGCTATAACAAATATACCAAAGACTAGGTGGTTTGAACAACAGACATTTATTTCTCACAGTTCTGAGGACTGGGAAGTCCAATATCAAGGTGCCAGCAGACCTGAAGTCTAGTGAGGGCCATTTTCTGTCTGCAGGTGGCTATCTTCTTGCTGTGTCTTCACATGATAGAGGGGAGAGAGGGAAAGGCAAGCTCTTTCATGTCTCTTCTTACAAGAGAACTAATCCCACATGAGGGCTCCACCCTCACGACCTAATTACCTCCTAAAGGCCTCATCTCCAAATGCCATCACATTGGGGATTAGGATGTCAACATATGAATTTTGGGGACACAAATATTCAGTCCATAGCACTTGCTTGTACCTTTTAATTATCTTTCTATGTTCTTGTTTATTTGTAAAGAATTATGTATATTAAGAATATTAATCCTTCTTCAAAAATACTGTAAATGCTTTTTTCCAGTTTGTCATTTTGCTTGTAGGTTGTTGTTTGTTTCTTTGCTATACAGCTTTAAATTTTTAAATTTTTATCCATTGAATTCATTGATCTTTCCTTTATGATTTCTGCCTGTGACATCATGCTTTAAAAGGCCTTCCCCACCCCAAGATTCAGGGTTTGCAGCAACTTCATAGGATATAAATATGGCAAATAAAGAGAATTGACAATATAATGCAAAAAACCTTAAGACTAGATATCAAACAATTCAGATATTAAAAGTATCTCCATCATACCCACCATAGGGAACTTCTGGGAGACTGCTTTCTCTTCTGCTTTCAACCTCCAGCCACTCTTCTGGGCTGTCTCCCTCCACTCCGCCATCCTAGTCCTCCCTTTCCTATTCCAGGGCCAGCTCTCTTCCTTCTGGGGATTGCCCTGGGAACCCAAGCTTCAGCTTGTGAGGCAGAGCAGTTCATCACTCTCTGCCTTACTCGGCCCTTGGGCCATGCTCTTTGGGTTCTTTCTTCACTAAGATGATCTCATAAGTCGTTGCACAAGACAATGAGAGATATCCCCCCACAAATTCTTCTGCCAATTTTGAAATTAACCTTTGTTTCCCAGATGCACAGCCAGATGTATTTTCTGGTGCTTATTTGATGAGCCAACAGATGGTCCTGTGGGCACAACTGTGCCTTGGGTTTAGCTTGGAAATAAACTTTTCAGAAACACATTTGGCCAACTTTGTACTTTTTCCAGTGAGGGTAGCAAGAACTAAAGAGTATTGATCTGTACATCAACACCTATTTTCAAAGGAGGCAGAGGAAGGCTGTGGAGGTGATTTAGACAAGCCTCAACTCCATTTCTGCAAGTGGAGGAGGGGAGGAGTAGAGAGCTGATTGTATCATTCTTTGTTTGTTTGTTTGTTTTTCTGAACTGGTCTTGTCACCTAAGCAAAAGTTGACAGTTTCCTCTCAGGGGCCCTTTATGTCATCACCAACTCACCCCTACCTCCATTAGAAAAACGTTAGCAGAACTCCAAAATGCTGTGCAGACATGACCTCACAGGCTCTCAGATATAGGACCTCATTTTAGGTTCAATGATTTTTTTTTCCTTTCTTGTCTTGCCACATGAGAAAGCTGCTTTTAGAATGCATGGGACAGAACTGTCTGCTACTTATTAGTGTAACTTCTAAGAGACCTGAGAAAACATGATTACAGCCATTGTTCAAACAAAGAAAAACAGGGACCTAAAAACAGTAAAAACAGTGGTTTGGACCATGTTAACTGCCTTTTAAAAAACACATGCCAATAGAGGGCGAAGAAAATCAATCAGTAAGATGGCTGCTAAAAATGTTTTAAATGAAGAATGCATAACTATATACAGCCCATGTCTTCCTAGCTTTTTAAATTGAGCATTTTCCTGCCTTTGGTTCCATAGTTAATGCCATTCCGCAGCTATGCTTTTGCAATTAGGAAGGAAAGAAGTGTGGGACTAGTTGAGGCCAATGTGGAAAGCAGGATTATTGTAGATGATAAATCAGAGGTCTATGAGTTTTTCCTATATTTTGCAGTAATCTTTCTTGGGAGAAAAACACACATTTTTCTGCAATTTGTTTATCAGTTTTTCTTTTGAAAATAAATGATTTGACATTTAAGAATTGCAAAAGAATTCCTATGGGAAGAACCACAGGCTAGAGATAGATAATGTTGGATGTGGAACTCTGCAAGACACTATAAAAAATTGTTTAATGGGATACATAAGGATTTGCTAATTGGACTGGGAATTTGTGAGAGAGAGGAGTTGATAACTCTGAAGTGATTTGGAAAAGAATATTATGTCAGCATTATAATAAAATGAAAAAATAGGTCAACATAAAATGATTTTGAAGACCCTCAGTTGTGCATATACTTAAGTGGATGCTTTTTTTGACAACGGTTGCTATTATTTTACTTTAATAGATATTTATAAATTATCTCAAAAGTCCTTTATCAAGTGTCTGGAGTCAGTGTACAGTGTGAGTATTTAATTTTGGCATATTTACATATAAGAGTGTGTAGGAGGAGGTGTGTATGATAAGACAAACAGCAGTGTGTCTTCATTCAAAATAAATGCCTTAGATTTTGGCTGGATTTTACAACAAAACCTAATACTTTAAAAATATACTAGAAGTAGACTTCTGGCACAAAATGATGTTGGCTCATAGCTCTGTATTTAGTATCTTCTAACTTCACAATAAATGGGCATACAAAAAAAGAGATAAAATGTTGAATGATACTGTATTTACTGTATTTTGTACCACCACTGACTCAGAGATTCCAGTTTTACCACCCAGAACACTGGGCATAAGTCTTTCCTTCAACGACCAGACACAGCTGAACTACTGTTCCCATCTGCCTATAAACCTCTCTGATCTAATGACATCTTCTTACAGTCAAAGAGCGAATGCCAGGTAGAAAACTTTCATTTGAGCATTGTACATGGGGTTAGTAACCACCAAGAGAAACTTATTATAGGCATGTGCAGACATAGGAAGAAAGTTGATAGCCATGGGAATTATGCTTGTTCATGCATTCCATCACTATCAGACAGGTGGACATCAGATGTGGGAATAGATGCCATCTTAATAGAAAGACACATTAGTTGAAAGCCTGGGTATTAGATTGGAAACTGTGTAAATCAGTTAGCCTGCAGCTACAGATCTGAAAAGTGAATTCAACCATTACATAAGTAGAGTCAAAGAGAGGCCAAAGGTAATTCACATACCCAATATCTGGAAAAGATTTCACCTTTCTTACCCTCCTTATTCATTAAACAAATGTCCATTTAACCTCTGTTGCCTTTTAGGTAATAAAAAAAAAAAGAAAAATAACAATGTAACAAAGACTCAGAAGAAAAGTATAAGATTAGGAAATATTTACTACAAGATTTAGAAAACAATTTCAGAAAACTAATTGGTATATTTAGAAGAGTGCAAATAGAAATAATCTCAATAAATAGGTGCAAAAATCTGAAAATAAGAGAATAAAATGAGATTAAAAGGTAACAAAATAAGAACTGACTACAGAGAAAAACATACAATGAAAATTGAAAGTCAGTAGACATACAGAATAGGGAATGGCAAATCATTCTGATTTACAAAGGAGAGGCCTGAATTGTACATAACCAGAAATGCTACACAAAGAAATAATGAAATATATAATCTAATACAACTTTTCTGAGCTGAAGAAAGACCTGGAGACTTGATGAACTCACTACATTCCAGATAAAAATTATTGAAAATTGACCCACACTTGTAAACCTCTTGGCAAAACACTTGAATTGCAAAAATAAAGAAAATATTCTCATTTGCAGGAGGGAAAACCAGTTTCCTATGATGGAACAAGAATCAGGGTAGCCTCAGACATCTCTATATGTTGAATTTGCATCTCTATATGCTAGATGTCAGTGAAGCTACACCTACATTAAAAAAAAAATGTGTTGTCTTTGACACTGTGGTTCAAGGTTTTTTTTTCTTTTCTTTTTTTTTTTTTTTCAGAAAACAGAGGCAAGTATTCAAACTGTCATGAGAATAAGATGTGGCCAAAATTAAATGTGGTTCTATCTCTCATAAAAAGTCTTAGAATGATGCATCACACCAGCTGTCTGGGAACAAATGTATTTTGTTGGCATGGGAACAAAATAATTAGTCTGAATTTTGTAAATAAACTGCGGTTATTAAAATTACTCAAAACAAACCAGAATAGTAACCATTAAACATGAAAAGTCAATAGAAGTCTTTGAATTAGAAAAAAAAGATGTGTTATAACCTAAGAATTTTATACCTAGCTAAGTTGGCTTTCATGTATGACCACCAAAGGTAAATTTTCAGAGTCAAGGATTCAAAATATTATATGACACATATTTTTAAAGAATAATTGGTTGAAGACATACTACAACAATTTAAGAGTTGAAAGAAAATTAGGTGATTAAGTATTTAGATGTGATAGCATAATTAAAATAGAGATGCACAAGCAGAGGAAAGAAAAAAATAAAGACGAGCTGAAATCAATGAAATTGAAAAGAAGAAAACAATAGAGAATATTAATAAACCAAAAGTTGGTTCTTTGAAGTAATGATTATATTGGAAAATCTATAGACAGACTGACAAAAGAAAAAATAGAAATGATGTTAATTACCACCATCAGAAATGAAAGAGGGAGTAACAATACAAACATATATGTTAAAGAAATAATATGGGAATACTGCAATAATCCTATGAATAAAAGTTCAGCAACTTAGATAAAATGGCCTAATTCCTTGAAAGCCACAAACTGTCAAAACTCACCCACAAAGAGATAGATAATATGACTAGTCCTATACGTAGTAATGAAATTGGGTAGTTTAAACCCTTCCTCAAATGAAAGCTCCAGGCTTATGTAATTTCACTGGTAAATTCTAACATTTAAAGAAGTAATAATAGCAATTCTACACATTTTTTTCCACAAGATAGAAGAGAATAAAAACCTTCCCAAGTCACTTCATGCAGCCAACAGTAACCTGATATCAAACCAGACAAAGATAATACAAAAAAAAAGAAAACTAAGGACATGTATCCCTAATGAATATAGGCAAAAAAAGCCCTCAACAAAGCACTCTTGAATCAATTCCAGCAAATTATTAAGGGACTAATACATTACCAGGGTAATGTATTACCATAGGGTTTTTTTTCTTGTATGTTCCTCCAATGAAACAAGTGAGTTTTATTTTAGAAATACAAAGCTAGTTTAACATTCAAAAATCAATCAATGTAATCTACCATACAAACCTACTAACGAATGAAAATTACATGATCATCCATAAACTGCTGCAGAAAAAGCATTTGATAAAATTAAACACACAAAAAAACCTAAGACTAATAAGTGAGTTTAGTAAGATCACAGGATAAAAGGTTAACATACACAAATCAATTGTATTTCCATATATTAGCAATCAACAATTGGAGACTGAAAAAAAAATTAAATGCCATTTAAATAGTTCAAATGAAAGAGAAATACTTATGTATAAAACTAACAAAACATGTGCAGGACCTGTATATTGAAAACTGCCAAATCCTTCTGAAATATCGAGGAAGACCTATATAAATGGAGACACCTACCATATTCATGAATTGGAACACTCAACACAGTCAAGGTGCCCATTCTCTCCAAATTGATCTGTAAGTTTAGCTCCATTGCAATCAAAATCTCTGGGGGATTTTTGTAGATATAGATGGGCTGACTCTAAAATTAATATAGAAAGGCAAATGAACTAGAAAAACCAAAGCAATTTTGAAAAAGAAGAACAAAGTTGGAGGACTCACACAGAAAAATAGACCCATATAAACATGGTCAATTTATTTATTTTTATTTTTTGAAATGGGGTCTTGCTCTGTCACCCAGGCTGGAGTGCAGTGGCACAATCTCGACTCACTGGAACCTCCGCCTCCTGGGTTCAAGCAATTCTCCCACAATTTACACAGATTTATACATGTGTTAAAATTCATAGATTTTCTCAAAAAAATGTTAATTTTACAGTACTATTAATCTTATTCAATGTTAAAAATTAAAACACTAGCAGGTACTATGCAAGTGAATTAATAAATAAAATTCATACATCGTTTTCTAAGTTTAGAATGCAGGCATGTTTCAATGTTAGGATATCTCTAAGTGTAATCCATTTACATTAATTTAAAAATAAAAAATGCTTAAAATATATATGATAGAATGTAAAACCCATTCTTCATAAAATTCTTAATAAATATAATCACTCTTAAAAATAGTAATAAACTTATTTAAAGAGACAAGGAACTTAAAATCAACAACAAGTATTTTATATAGCAATGAACAAGAGTCATGTCTCTCCAAGTTAGAAATAAGATATAGAGCCTACGTGAGAGAGTGAGACCCTGTCTCAAAAAAGAAAAGAAGAAAGAAAAAGAAAGAGAGAGAGAGAAGAAAGAAAGAAAGAAAGAAAGAAAGAAAGAAAGAAAGAAAGAGAGAGAGAGAGAAAGGTAGGAAGGAAGGAAGGAAGGAAGGAAGGAAGGAAGGAAGGAAGGAAGGAAAGAAGGAAAGGAAGAAAGGAAGGAAGGAGATAGGTTTGTTGTTATCAGGATTATTAATATTGTACTCAACAGCACAGCCTGCCAAAGGTTGGTTTTCCGAAAGCAGATGTCAAGGAAGGGCTTGGGGTAGAAGATGTTCATTATGGATCAAAACCTGTGAAGGGCAGGAGTGGGAAGCAGGACTTCTTAAAGAAAGAAGTTCGACCGTGACTCAGCCCAGCAAAGCCTTGGCCAAGCTGATGGTAGCTCTGGAGCAAGTGCTCCTTGCCTGGCCTTTCTACCCCATCTTACTTGGAGAGCCATTACGAGATGCCTAGGAGGGTTTCCTCTGAGTGAGCTGGCCCACCCTGGAGGAGTCCTCACCAGCTGGAGACACTTTACTGACCGAACTCTCTGCAGCTGCACAGCACGGGGGTTCTGGGTGGTACCTTTCTTAGTCTACAACAGGAACCATCCCACTTTTTTAGGAAGGAGCCATATAGCAAATATTTTAGGCTTTGCTGGCCAAGAGACACCATGGAAGATATAAAGAAAGTTCTTCATAAAAACCATTTTGAAATGTGAAAATGATTCATGGGTCATACAAAAAGAGTAGACGGATGGATTTGGACTGTGCCTCATAGTTTACCAATCCCTGATCTACTTACTACACAGCCATTGCAATAAGAAGAAATAACAATCATAGAAACTGAAAAGAGGAGGAAAAATGATTACTTCTGATGACATGACTGTCTTTCAGAAAAACCCAAGGAATTTATTCAACTATTAAAATTCAGAAATATGGATAACTACAGAATAATGCAATACCACTAAACATGAACCTTAATTCATTTAAAGCTAGTGGTTCTCAAATTTTTAATTTTAAATCAAATTTTAAAGTACATCTTCTGGGAAGATTTTCAGATGCAGATTCTGGGATCCCACCCCAGATTTTCTAATTCAAGAGTTGTGTCCTAGAGGTCCCAGGAATCTGCAAGAAGCCCTAGTTGATCCTAACGTCAGTGGTCCATAATTTAAGAAGTTCTGTTTTAATTCTTTATAGTAATCTCCTCTAAATGGATGTTTCTTAAACTTTGAGAATTTTAAATACCTGTGAGAATTATATAAAAGTTATGAATTCCCCCAAATTTACCTATTTATCAGGGAAACAAATCTTCTTACTGCAATGTAATCTTTAGAGGATAGGTGTTAGCATAGCTTCACTTGAATAGAGGACTTAGGCTAAATAAAAATACTGAATTATATTTGCTCAAATTTTGAAAATCAGTTGGGAGAAGCTGGGGTAGGAGCAGTAAAATAAAATAGAGAATTAATGCCCAGTGGTTGAGTTCAAGTCTTTTTGTGTAGACAAGTTTGGGTTTTCTGGAGGCAGCTTCCCCTACTTTTTCTCCTCAACATACCCTGTCATGCCACCACCATTCATAACCACATTCATATCTCCATCCCATCTTATGCCTTGTAATTACTTTCCCAGGATTATTTGCATTTTAAAAGAAATCTCTGGAAAAAGCTAATGAACTACTGAAAAGGATTAAGTTCCAATGGTAGAGCTTGGAAGAGAGAGATGGGTGCATATCTCACGGGCAAGGGCAGTTTGTCAATGCTTTTTAAATTCCAGCGTACAGGAGGGTCTACATTCTCCCTGTTCTACCTATTTTTAAGGCCAAGCATGATCCAGTTTGCAAAATTTTTCTCCTTGGACTAAATGGAATCCCATTTGATACTTCAATGATCCAGCTCATGGATGTTGACTTCCAATGAGATAATGCATGTAGAGCAGAAAATGTGATTTTAAGCAGTTAGGACATATTCAATAAATGTTAGGTACTATTATTGTGGATGTTGTTGATTCAACTGAACATCAGTTCAGCAGCCCACATTTAGATGTAGATCATATTCTTGGTGGTTACCCAATTTTGATGGAGACAGGTATTCTGGTGTTAGGGCACAGAATTCATACTCCGTGGAACTCGTGGTCTAGAAGGGGAGAGGGCCAGTAAACACATAGGAGCTGGGCAGTGACAGGTGCTCTACTGGGGGATTATTCTACTGACAGGGTGGCCCAACGAGAGAATGGACAACTCAGCCTACAAGGAGTCCTGGGGGAATTTGTCATCAGAATAATAGAGCTGGTTTTCTGACATAATACAGAGTTACATTTAATTGTCAAATAAATTATACAATAATTTACCATAACTTATTTCCACTACTTTAGTAAAAATAAATTACATTTTAATTCTAAAAGTATAATGTTAGAATAAAAGAGAGTCTAGTAAATTGACTAGATTAAGCTTTTTGAAGAATTCATCATGTTTTTCTCACTTTTCCCCAGACAGAAAAACCTCCTTGGGAGGTGGCACAGGCTTTGAGCCACCACCTGGGAAGGCTAGTCAATGATGCGACAAGAGAGGCAAGGGCTGCAGTCTGAGTTCTAGGCTCCAGCCCTGGCTCTTCACCTGGTGTCTGTGTGGCTTTGGACAATAACACTGAATTCTCTCTTGGTCTCGGTGCATTTATCTTTCCCCACAGCTAACTCTTAAAGCTGTAGGGAGGTGTAGAAGAGATTATATAAGTGAAATTGTGTTGTTAACTGGTATTTTAATTGAACGGATGATTAAGAAGAGGTAGCATGTTGCTAAGTCTGAATAGGTAGCTCATATTTGGACAGCCCAAGGGGAGGCTGGAGTATAGTTCAGCCTGAGCTCCATGTACCTGGGGTCACATTTGACCAGTGGGCAGGTGCTCCAGGGCAAGGAGTAAGTGACAAATACAACTGGAAATTTTCATTGGCGGCAGAAAGTCAGGGGAAAGGCTTTGGATTTTATCCTAAAAATAATGGGAAACATTGAAATGATGGGAAGATTGAGGAGAGTAAAATGACAAAAAGAGAGTTTTAATGTCAGTATAATGTATTTTTAAATATGTAAAGGTACATTTGGATTTTTTATGATTATTACTTGGGACTGTGTTCACATAATCTCACAGTTGACTGAACACTCCCCTTTGACCTCTCCCTCCTTGGGGACCAACTCAGGTTTAATTGAAGCTTTTGTCTCTATCTCTGCCTTTGACAGCTGGGAGAGTAGCGGGGGTTTGGCTAATTAGTATTTAACTGTTCGCTAGTGTTCCCGTGGGTTTGTCAATCACAATCTAGTTTAAAATGGATTCAGACTTTTCGAAATCTTAAAAAAGGATGCTGTGTTAGAGCTGATTCCATTTTTTGAAAGGAATAAAGCAAGAATCAAATCCACCTTTATAAGCTTTTCAGTCACATCTCCCAACAAAATGATATTTTGAATTGGAAATATGCTGCAATCATCTTTAGATGCAGGGGCTGTGGAATGAGAGTTAAAAATGAGCTGAAAGGTCTCCATCCACGGAGACCTGAGATCTTAGATCTTCATTTAAAGTAACCCACCAGGGACATACTTCTCTTTGCTTCCCAGGTGGCTTTAGAGACATGAAGAGATAAACCTCAATATGCTAGAGTAAGCCCCTGAAGTTTACTATTAATAAAAGGTATCATTGAACATAACTGCCTACTTTTATTCATTCAGGCAGTTAGTCATTCAATGAATATTTACTTTTTTGGTGTCAAGCAGTGAACTAATGCTGAGAATAGAGATGGAAAGATCTTGCCTCTAAGGAAGCTGACGTTTTATTACCTACTAGGCACAATGTCCAATATTTGGGAGATAGGTACATGAAACCCAGTCCCCACCATTATTCATGTAATATCCATGTAACGAAAAAGCACATGTATCCCCTGAATCTAAAATTTTAACAAAGAAGAAGCTGGCCAGGCACGGTGGCTCACGCCTGTAATCCCAACACTTCGGAAGGCCCAGGTGGGGGGGGATCACCTGAGGTCAGGAGTTCGAGGCCAGCCTGGTCAATGGTGAAACCCCATCTCTACTAAAAATACAAAAATTAGCTGGGCGTGGTGGTGGGTGCCTGTAATCCCAGCTACTTGGGTGGCTGAGGCAGGAGAATCGCTTGAACCTGGGAGGCAGAGGTTGCAGCGAGCTGAGATCAAGCCACTGCACTCCAGCCTGGGTGACAGAGCAAGACTCCATCTCAAAAAAAACAAAAAAACAAAAAAAAAAAAAAAAAAAAAAAAGAAGAAGAAGCTGACATTTTAGAGAGGAGACAGGCATCTAAACAATTATCATACTGTGCAATATAATGTACGTGTCTTATGCAACGCAACATCTTAATAAGGTTCAGCATGCGGCAACAGGAGCACAGAAGAAAGATGTGTCCTGAGACAGCTGTTTAGCAAAGACTGCAAAGAGGAGGTAGCACTTCGACTGGGTCATGAAGGATGACTGGGAGTCTTCCAGATGAAAAGTAGAGGCAGAGAATTCTAGGCAGAGGGAAGAACATTTTCAAAAGCCTAAAACAAAATGGAAGACCACAGGTATTTTACATGTCATGTTCAGGAATTTAGATTTATATTATACTAGAGCAATATGTCAAATCATGCCACTTAACTGGCTGTGTGATGTTAGGTCAATTACCTGAGCTTTCTGAAACAGGATTCTCATCTGGAATAGAGGCAATGAAACATTAAAGTGCTAGCATACCGTCTGACATAGAGAAGGTGCTTGAGTCCTACTGCATATAAAAGTAGCTTAAACAAAATAGGCATTTATAGCTCTTCCACATACAACAGTACAGAAGCAGGGAGCCCAGAGCCAATATGGCAGCATTGAAGACCTCAGGGACCCTGTCTCCATTATTCTAGACTATGGATGCTCTCTTCAGGATATCCTCATATCCAAAGTGGTCATTAGAGCTCTCTAGAAGCAAGAAGAAAGGGCACAGGAGAGAACTTATCAACTAGAGCAACTATAAGCTCTTAGCAGCCTTTCTGGAACCTCCCTCCCACCACCACCACGCCTTAACCCTTCCATCTCATCATACCAGCTTTGCATGGGCATACTTTGCTTCAGGAAGCCTGGGGTATAGAGTCTTTTAGGGGGTACATTTCCATACCAAAACAAACCAGGGCTTTGCAATTAAGAAAAAAGGAGAACATGAACATTGGGGGACAACTTAAAGTCACTGCCATAGTGCTCAACAAATGTTGGTTTATTTAATCCCTTGGCAAGTCAGCACAGTTTAAAAGTGAAAGATGAGTTTTGAAGTCAAATCCACCTGGGTTCATACCCCAGATCTGGCACTCATTCACTATATAAACTTAGGCAAGTTACTTTTAGCTCTCTGAGCTTCAGGTTTATCAACTATAAAATGAAGGCAAGAATGCTGATCTCCCAAGTCATAGAACACCTGGCACATGGATGGTATGCAGTAGAGAAGGGTTCTCTCTAGGCTTCCACCCCTCTCTCCCAACCCAGCAGAAGACTAGGGCATCAGGCCCAAGTCCAGCTCATCCATCAGCTGTGCTTCATTGTCTGTGGGAGGGAGACACCAGAGTCAGCATCTTATGAGTGAACCAAACCAAAGTCAGATGGAGAGTTCCAGTTAGGCATCTGAAGGAGGCAGGCAGAGAAGGATCAAGGTGTAAGTCACGAGGATGCAAACCAGAGAAACAAGATCATAGCAAGAGGGTATGGGAGACACAATCTAGAGACATTCCCACAACTAGAGGAGCAGGATGTGATGTCCCATTGGGGGAGGGAACTCTAATTTGGAAATACTAATGGGGAATTATTAAGTACTAGATTATGTTAAGTAAAGCTTGGACCCTGTGAGAAATGGACATGGTCTTAAATAAAATTCTTAGGCTTGTGGTCTGTCTGGGAGAGGGCTGAAGGACCCAAGCACAAATGCATCTAATAGTGGTATCTAGGGTCTAGTGACCTTTGAAGAAGTCTGCAAAAAGCATGGAAAATGAGCAATTTACTTCATGAACATCTTAGTCCCTCGTATTTCACTGTGAGAAACAGAAACCCATACATACTAAGTAATTCAAATAAAAGGGAAGTTTATGGAGTAGATACAACTGGCAAGCTCATGGACATGCAAGACCAGAACAGACATGGATGGGTCTCTGGGAACACAAGGGGCCTGGACATTGTCAGGCGGGATGAAGGCTGGCTCTTACTCATTCTGCTTCTCTCTACCCACCTGCTTCCTCTGCTGTTTCTCTTGGCACATTGGCCTTTTCTCATTACTCATGGCTTGTGAGCTATTTCTTAACCCTGACTCTATGCACCATTCCATTGCCATGGTGATGACTGAAGTTCTGACTCCACAAGTCTCTTAAGTTTAAATGTTCACACCTTACAATATAATTTCCAAGCCTTTAGCTAAATCCTAGAGGTTGAAATTCTTCTTAACTTGGCCAGGCATCGTGGCTCATACCTGTAGTCCTAGCACTTTGGGAGGCTGAGGCGGGCGGATCACCTGAGGTCAGGAGTTCGAGACCAGCCTGACCAACATGAGAAACCCCATCTCTACTAAAAATACAAAATTAGCCAGGTGTGGTGGCACATGCCTGTAATCCCAGCTACTCAGGAGGCTGAGGAAGGAGAATCGCTTGAACCCGGGAGGTGGAGGTTGCAGTGAGCCGAGATCACGCCTTTGCACTCCAGCCTGGGCAACAAGAGCAAAACTCCGTCTCAAACAAACAAAGAAAAAAAAATTGACTGAGGCTGGGTGCAGTGGCTCATGCCTGTAACCCCAGCACTTTGGGAGGCCTTGTCCCTAAAAAAAAAAAAAGAAAGAAAGAAGATCTTCTTAACTCGGATTAAAGATTGGCTCCCCTGAGTCAGCTTTCCATTCCTCATCTAATCACCTGGGGCTAGAGAATAGAGCAGGGTCTCATAGTTCTGTGGAGAGCCACATTCCTTTTCGTCCTAAAGTCCTTATATATATAAAGAGTAAGATCCTATTCCTATTCCTTTTTCTCCCAAAGTCCTTATATGTAGAAAGAGTAAGATCCTATTCCTTTTTCTCCTAAAGTCCCTATGTGTATAAAGAGTAAGATCAAGACTTAAAGTTACAGTTGCATAGCTAAGATGTGCCCAATAGCAGCACCACACCCAACCACAATCACAAGGACTATTACCATCACCACCACCCACAGAGTCACCACTGTGATTCCCTCCATCACTACAACACCCACAGCACAATCACTATTATAGCAACCAGTACTACCATCACCACCACCTCCATCATCATTACCACCATTATCAATATCACCACTTATAATCACCACAACCACTCTCACTACTACCCTGCCCACCACCATCCCCACCACAATCATCTGTCACTATTATCATCACCAGCGCCATTACCACCACTAATACCACTTCCTCCATTTCTGAAATCATCCACACCTCTAACATCGCCACCACTACCCCTACCAACACCATCCCCTACCAACACAATTACCACCACCACCTCGATCATCATCACTACCGCCATCCAACTATCTCTGCTACCATCACCATTATCACTACTACCAAGGTCATCTCCGTCACCACCGTCATCACCATCACCACCTTCCTCATAACTATCACAAGCCCCCTTTATAATTACCATCATTGTCACCACCACCACCATTAATCTCAATTACCTCCATTAGTACAATCACCACCACAATCACCTCCACTATTTCACCTCACATTCCTCATAATTATCACCACTCTCACCATTACTACCACCACTACCACCACCTTGAACATTCACATCACTACTGTTAACACCACCTTTGCCATCACTACTGCCATATCTACCACCACCTCCATTATCACTACCTCCATCATCACTACTATCTCCACCATCATCACTACCACCAGGCGTCTCTGCTACCACTACCTATGAAATGTAGGCTGGAAAACAAGATTTCTACTATGGGTAAACTAATCTTGAAGAGAGAGGAGGTGGAAGTCAGATGGGTGCCTGTGAATTTTCTAAGTACATCAATGTCAATAATTCTTTATAGTTATCTAGTCCTGAAAACTTAGCATCATCTTGTCCTCCATATCCAATCAGTCACTGAGTACCATACATAGTCATTTCTGATTTGCCTACATCGCTTCCTACTTTTCTATTTCTGCTGCCACCATCCCTCATTTCACAAATGGATGATCACAATTTTTTCCTAGCTGGCTCTCTGCCTCCAGTCTACCTACTCTCAAAGCATTTTTCATGTCCTGCCAAATTAATCTTTCTAAAATCTTGATTTCATTGCTTTTTTGCTTTGCTCAAAATCTATTGGCCAAATTTTCCCATCTAGAACGAAAAGCTCTAGATCCAGATTCCTTTGCCAGCCCTATTTCCTGTGACTCTCCTCCTGGAACTTTGGGCTCCTACTAGGTTGGTGTCCTCATTAGTCTTTCAAACCTAGCATGGTCAAACCTATCTCCACACCACGGCTCAAACATGTCCTCTATTTGGTCTGTCTTCTACAATCCTCTGTTTCTATACACATTCTACTTATTTCTCAAAGCTTGACTTAAAATGGGGAGATATATGTTAAAGAATCCAAAGTAGCAGATTTGTAGGATGAACAATTCTAGAGATCTAATATACAGCATGAAGATTATGGTTAATAAAATTGTATGTATTTGGGAATTTTGTTAAATAAGTAGATTTTAGCTGCTCTTGTCACAGATGTACACACATACGAGTAACTATGTGAGATGATAAATACATTAATTTGCTTCACTGTAAGTGAACATTTTACTATCTAAATGTATTCCATACCGTCACATTGTAAACCTCAAATATAAACAATAAAATGTGTTTAAAAACAACCAAACAAACAAATCTGGGCTTAAATCATATATGTATGAAATTTAAGGGATTCCTCTTAAGCATATTAGGGGACTCAGCTTTAAGATTACAGACAAAGTCCCCACGTTAGACTCTGTATCTCTTGAGTCCTAAGATGATTAAAAATCAATAAAGACATAAGCATGTAGCAGCCAAGAGAATGGGAGGATACTCACCAACATACAAGAAGTTTTAATGAATTTTCAGAAGACAGGAAGTAAATGGAGAAGCATTAGTGGCTTGCAGCAGAACAGAAGAAAGAGCAGCCTTGAAAAAGCTGCAGGAATTTGAAAGCAGCAGAACCATGTAACCCCTGGACACAGAGTCAATGCACTCAAGAATGGAAACAAGGAGCAGGGCCAAAAACCAGGGAGAGTGAGAGGACTGTCAACGAAATAGTAAACACCTCCACTCTTGCACAAAGCTCAGGCCAACAGGCATTTATTCCCAGCCAAAACACAAGGGCATTTTTCTAAAAAAAAAAAAAAAAAAAAAGAAAAAAAAGAAAAAAAGAAAAAAAAAAGAGAATAACCACAGGATACTGCTGTGGTTTGAATGTGGCCCTCGAAGTTCATGTGTTGAAAGCTTAATCCCCAATGCATCGATATTAAGAGGTGATTCGGTTATGAGGTCTTCACCCTCATGAATGGAGTTAAACGGTTACTGCGGGAGTGGTTAGTTATCATGGAAGTGGACTCCCAATAAAAGGATGAGTTCAGCCCTATTTCGTCTTCTGTCTCCTCTGGATGCCTCCTTGCCATGAGATTCCTCCAGCCCCATTAAGATGCAACGAGAAGAACTTCATCAGACGTGGCCCCTCCATCTTGAACTTCTCTGCCTCCAGATTCAAGAGCCAAATAAACTTCTGTGGCATTCTGTTACAGCAGCAAAAACATTCTAAGACAATACCTAAGGTGAATTAAGGCAGCTCCCATAGATGTTAGCACCTAGAAGTAATGCAGTCCTCATTCTGGCTTTAGGGAGGCCATCAACATGGTGATTAGCTCCTCATCTGCTCACCTTAAAAAGATGCCTGCCAGTTCAACAGGCCAAACCCAGAGAGTTCTTCATTAGCCTTCCCATTTCCCATTCTTAAATACCTATAAACACTCAAAGGCATCCCGACAGTTCAGGAAAAATAGCAGTTTGAAAGAGGAAGCCCAAGAGAAACTGAATAGGAGCATCATTCAAGTTCAGTGATTTGTTTTTTTTTTGTTTGTTTGTTTGTTTTTTTTTGAGACGGAGTCTCGCTCTGTCGCCCAGGCTGGAGTGCAGTGGCGGGATCTCGGCTCACTGCAAGCTCCGCCTCCCGGGTTCACGCCATTCTCCTGCCTCAGCCTCCCAAGTAGCTGGGACTACAGGCGCCCGCCACTACGCCCGGCTAATTTTTTGTATTTTTAGTAGAGACGGGGTTTCACCGTTTTAGCCGGGATGGTCTCGATCTCCTGACCTCGTGATCCGCCCGCCTCGGCCTCCCAAAGTGCTGGGATTACAGGCGTGAGCCACCGTGCCCGGCCGTGATTTGTTTTTAAGAACAAAATCTAATTAGTAGGCACACTGGGATTTAAAGAGCTATTTAATCCATAGATCAAGAATAGGAAACAATCAAAGAAATGACTAGTGTACATAAGACATTAGTTTTGGAAATTAAAAATATGATTGCTGAAATAAATATTTTAATAGAAGAGTTGGGGAGCAGAGATCTAGAAAACCTCTCAGAGCATAAAAGCAAAAAGTTGAAGGGATTAAAAACTATGAGCAATAAAAATAAGAGATAACAGGAGCATCAAACCAGGAAGTCCAACACCCAACCAACAGAAGTGCAAAATGAAAGATGCCAAATGAATTCAGAGGAGACAATTGTCAAAGAAACAACCAAAGACATTTCCCAGAGCTAAAGGGAGAAGTGAATTTCAAATTGAAAATACAAAATGGATGGAATAACAACGACTTGCACCTAGACATGTTATTGCTAAAAATGATTCTTTTCATTTATAAAGTCTTTATAAAACACATTAAAATAAAACTGAAGTTTACAGGAAAAGAAGTGGAGGTTTAAACATAACATAGTTATGTATAATTTTGATATGTATGTATAAATTTGATATATAATATATAAAGAATATATTATATCTTATATAAAATATATAATATATAATTATATATTATATATTTATATTATATATAATGTATAATTATATATTATATATAATATATAACACATATATAATATATTATATATAATATATATTTTACGATATATAATATGTATACTATATATAAAATATAAAATTATAATATAATATATTTTATATATAAAATATATTATATTATATATAATTATATTATAATTTTATATTTTATATATATTTTATATATAACGTATAATATATATTATTATATGTTATATATAAAATATATAATTATATATATTATATATTATATATGTTAATATTATATATGTATTATATAATATTATATGATATATGTATTATATAATATTATATTATATATGATATATTAATATCATATGATGTATTATATATTATATTATATATTAATATTATATTATGTATTATATAATATATTATATATTATATATTAATATTATATTTTAATATTATATTATATTATATATTACATAATTATATAATATATGATATAATTATATAATATATAGTATAACAATTATATATTTTATTATATATTATATATTATGTTACATAAAGATATATTATATAAAAATGTAATTATATATTATATATAAATCTTATATATAATATATAATATACTATATATGTTTTTATTTAGTATATTTAATTTAAATATATAATATATTAATTAATATTAATATATTTATATAATATATTAATTAATATTAATATATTAATATAATATTTAAATATAATATAATATAGTATATGCTAATATGTTATATATTTATATATTTATAATTTATATATTTTTATTTCTATATTTATTTCTATATAATATATATGATATTTATATATTATTTTGTTTTTATTTATATATAAA
The DNA here is from genome assembly GCF_000001405.40 of Homo sapiens. NCBI lineage: Eukaryota > Metazoa > Chordata > Mammalia > Primates > Hominidae > Homo > Homo sapiens. Next base: position 35,311,080 of record NC_000007.14, on the reverse strand, counting down.
CGTATATTATTTATATATAAAATATATAATTTATAATTTATATATAAAATATATAATTTATAATTTATATATAATTTATAATTTATATATTATATTTATAGTATATTAATATTATTTATATATTATATTTATATAAATATATAATAAATATATTTTATACATATAATGAAACGACACAGGCATATTGTTTGTAAAAGAAACCTGCTTGGCTGGGCGCGGTGGCTCACGCCTGTAATCCCAGCACTTTGGGAGACCGAGGCGGGCGGATCACAAGGTCAGGAGATCGAGACCATCCTGGCTAACACGGTGAAACCCCGTCTCTACTAAACAATACAAAAAAAAATTAGCCGGGCATCGTGGCGGGCGCCTGTAGTCCCAGCTACTCGGGAGGCTGAGGCAAGAGAATGGCATGAGCCCGGGAGGCGGAGCTTGCAGTGAGCTGAGATCGCGCCACTGCACTCCAGCCTGGGCGACAGAGCGAGACTCCGTCTCAAAAAAACAAAAAGAAAAGAAAAAAAAAAGAAACCTGCTTGCTTGAGCATTCTAACTGGATGTAATTAGCAGTGATCGCTTCCAGGGAGTGAGGTCTGGGTGTGGGAGGCATGGGGCAGTTAAGACATTCATGAGCATTGAGTGAAAATGATTATACCAGTGTAACCATCTCCCAGGTCAAGCAATGCACATCGCCCGTAGCCCAGAAGTTCTGTTCATGTCTATATCCAATCAGGACTCTCTCTCTTCTCCTCTAATCTGACTTCCAAATTTTAAAGAATTTGCTTCCAAATTTTAAATTTCCACAAAGGAAAAAAAATCTTCTGAAATTTTGTTTGGTATTGCATTGGATCTATAGATCAGTTGCATGGTCTAACACTAACTAACATTTTAATAATATTTAATTGTATAATCCATGAACATGATATAGTTCCATTTATTAGGTCTTAATTTCTTTCAATATTTTATAGTTTTCTATGTAATAACCCTACACTTTCTGCATTAGCCATAATTCTAGGTATTTGGTATTATTTTATTCTATTACAAATGACATTTTTAATTTAATTTTTTGACAATCTATGCAATTGATTTTTAAAATATTGACATTGTATCCAGCCACCTTACTAAACTACTGTTTAATTTAAACATTTTATCCGTAGATTGTTTTGCATTTTCTATACACATTAACACAGCATCTGCAAATAAAGGCAGTTGTAAACCACTTTACCTTTTATTTCATTTTCTTCCTGGTTATACTGACTAGAACACCTTGAACAATGTTGAATAGAGGTAAGATTAGTAGCATTTTTATTTCCTTTTCAAGTTAAAGGGAAAAAAATTCAACATTTCACTGGTAGGTTTGATTTTTGCTGCAGTTTTATGTAGATATCATTTATCGGATTAAGGAAGTTTTTTGTTCTTAGCTTGCTGTATTAGTTCATTCTCACACTGCTATGAAGAAATACCAGCGACTGGGTAATTCACAGTTCCACATGGCTAGGGAGCCCTCAGGAAACTTACAATCATGGCAGAAGGCACCTCTTCGCAGGGTGGAAGGAGACAGAATGAGAGCTGACCAAACAGAAAGCCCCTTATAAAACCATCACCCCCATGATTCAATTACCTGTCACTGGGTTCCTCCTATAACATGTGGGGATTATGGGAACTAAGATTCAAGATGAGATTTAGATGGGGACACAGCCAAACCATATCACTTGCTAAAAGATTTTGTGTGTTGTTGTTGTTTATCATAAAATGGTGGTGAACTTGTAACTTTTTTTCTGTTTGTTGAAACGATTGTGTGGTTTTTCTCCTTTATTCTATGAATTGATTTTGGAGTGTTCACTAATCTTGCATTCCTAGAACAAACCCAATTTGGTTGGAACGTATGATTCATTTTTTTTTATCACCAGGTCCAGTGTGCTAATATTTAGTTACCATCTATTTTTAATTTTTGTATCTATTTTCAAGGATGAGATTAGCCTATAATTTTCTCTTTTTGTACCAATTTTGTCTAGTTTTGCTATGAAAGTAATGCCTCATAAAATGACTTGGGAAGTGTCCACTCTTTTTCTCTTCCCTGGAAATGTCTGGGTACATTGGTCTCACATCCTCTTTAAATGGGTGGGTAGAAGTCTTCAGTAAAGCCATGATGAAGCTGAAGTTTTATTTGTGGAAAAATTTAAATTATGGTTTCCATTTCTTTAATATTTATCTGGCCATTCAACAGCTAAGCTAAGACTATTTCACTTGTCTGCTAACATTTTAAATCTTGTCTTTAATTTCCTTTAACATATCAGCTAAATTATCTTAAAGTCTGTATCTAATAACTCTATAATCTGGATATCCTGTGGATTTGTCTCTATTGTTGTTTTTCCTCTTAATTGTTTGTATTCAGATATGCTGCACCTGGTTGGTTGTAATTGCATGCTGGATGTTATATGTGGAGAACTGTAAAGATAAAGTCTAAAATGATGCTATTATCTTCCAGAAAGGTGTTTTGGTTTGCCTTTAGTACACAGCTGTGCTAGGGGAAATCCTGCCCTCCTCACTTTACCCTCACCACTTAATGAAGTTGTTTGCACCCAGCCGTCAGTGTTCTGCTTTCTGATGGACTTACTCCCACAGGTACCCACTCCAGATCTCATCGCAAAGCTTTTTTGGTGGGATCTAAACTTCAACTTAATCCCCTGGCCACGTGACTGTCTCGAAAGTTCTACTAAGCTTGACAAATTTTAGCTGCCTCTTCTGAATCTGCAAATACCTCCAGGGAAAATGTGGCCCTAACTGCCAGGTCACCTCTCTGAGCTTCCTTCTTCTTCCATCATCTAGCTCCATAATTCTTCACTGAGAACTTCAGACTATTTTTCTTTTACATTTTGTCTAGTTTTTCTAGTTGTTATCAGGAGGAGCATGGTTCTGAATCTAGACTGCTATCATTGCAAGCAGAACGCTGTCATCCAGTATTATCTGATTTTTAACTATGCACATGTACTATTTTGATTTAAATCAAAACCAAACAAAATTAGGAGTAAGAATTAAAGAATCAGAATTCCTGTGGACAAAGGCTTACAAATTTGCCTTTTTAAAACATCCTGAGATGTTTTAAATTTGAGAAGCAATACAATTTGAGAAGCATGATCTTACACCATTACTATTCACCAATAACTACACACTGAAATTGTCTATCAGTTAAACGAGCTAGGAGTACAGTTCCAAAAGTGTCTAGGTCACAAAAGAAAGTTAGTTGGGGGTGTAGGTGAGGTGAGAGGACTGTACTCCTTTCAGGAAAAGTGGGGGTGAGTGAGAGGGGTCATGTAAAAGGCCCTAGTCAGGAGGAAGGGCCTAGTGCTTGGCAGGTGTGTGGATGTGTGGATGTGCGTGTAGACGGATGGAAAGAACTGGATTTCTATGGCAGTGGCTAAAAGGATCGAGATCACAGGATCAGGTCTTGTCCCTAATGAAATGAAATCGACTCCCTGCTACACTAAATACAAAAGTCTGTAGGGAAGCAGTTTGCATAGCAATCTATACTGAAAAGAGATTCCTCTCCGGTTAGATTGAATTCCAAAAGAAAACACATCCATGATGGGTGAAAATAGAAAAACATCACAGTCAAATGAGAGTGGCTCCTACATCACAGATGAGACCCTATCATAATGATGTCTGGTATGGAACGGGAGCCACCAGAAACCAAACCAAAACAAAGAGTGTGAACCCCAAGTTTTGGACACTCAATGAATGGAATAGAATATTTATGCTGGTAGCACCCAGAACAAAGCCGGTGGCTGCAGAGACGGGAGTGACTGTTCATTCACTGCTTCGTGGGCTCTGTGTTATATTTGGAGTCAGCGCACCCATTCCTCTGCCTTTTATTTAAAAGAATTAAAACCATAAACCAAGAGTCCCGCTCTCCTGTGTGTTTGTTTTTGCTCTGACTCTGTGTTTGACTGCTTGAGAGAGGCAGGCCATGGCTGGAGCGTCACTCACAAGCACATGGTTTCTCTGACTCGGCTCCTTCCTTACCAGCTTGGGAACTGGGAGTAGAGGGAAGAACTGGTTTAATGTTGGCACCAGTGGGTATTAGGTGCCATCACATTTGCCTTTCTTTTGACTTTTTCTTTTTTTTTCTCCAGGGTTCTATAGGGGAGAGCTATGGGGATAGGATGAATATCATGTTGGGTGTTTTGACTTCTATTTTTCTCCATTTGCAAGTTACATTCTCTCCCCCAGTGACTGAGAGGGAAGGAGCTTGCTCCACATGGCACATGGACACGGGCCGCTCTGGCAGCTCACCCTGAGAACAAAGGGATTTGCGTAGGCCTCAAGGGGCTACCTGAGAGTAATAGACCCAGGACGGTGACTGATTTCACAGTTGATCTATGGTGACAATCCTAAGATAAGGGTTAGAACACTTGGGTGCATCTTGGGGCAAACCCCTTTACCTCTCCATTTTAATTAGCTAATATACCTGTGTTGCCTCCCTAAACAGAATTGTGAAGGTAAATAGGATTACAATGCTAAAGCAGTGACTTACACTCTATCAAAAGCCAGACTGAGAGGAGCAATGCTTCTGGAGTACAGTGTACTGCATCATGAATATACTCTCTTTTTCTTTTCCCAGACATTCTTTAATTTATTCTTCAATTAAGTCATCTCATTAAAGAAAGCACCTGGGCATTACAATATTGCTCCCCCACTTCCACCTACCCCCTATAGAGTCATTCTTGCTGAAGGATCCTTTGGCTTGGCACACAATGAAGAAAGAGTATCAAAAATGGTACATAAAGCATGGTGTGGTCTCTACTCCAGTTCTAAGTAACACTGCATTCTAGTTATGTGGTGTTCAGAAGAGATTTTTTCTCTTAGTGTCAGGAATCGCTTATACTAAATCATTTTATTCTCCTGTTATTAACCTTGACTCAAGGAAGTGATCTGGCTTTCACTTTCATGTTGGTTGCTAGAAAGCTTAGAGCTAACTCTGGAGTTGTACCGCATAGAAGATGCAAGCGAGGACATCCAAGCTGGATTGCAGAGCGAGGACTGGGGCTCTACCACTTACCAGCTGCATGATTTGTGGCTGGTTACCTAACCTGTCTGTACTCTTTCTCCAACCAAAAATGGGGATTACTATAGAACTAACCTCATGGGATTGTTAGGAAGTTTAAATAGCTTCATATGAGCTTAGAACAGTGGCTGATATGTATTAGAGCTTGTAAAGAAAATAAACTCTTCAATATGCATTTCTGTATTCACCCTACTTGGAGCTCCATTATATGTCCTTATCTTTGCTTTATATTTTTTGTTTCTTCTCTATTTTACTATTTCCATGGCTAATATGCCATTATAGATGTACACTGAGATTTTAAAAAATAATTCCTCTACTGTTAGATAAGTTGTAATGCCTTCTTATTATATTTCATTGCAATTAGCATCTTTGCACATAATGCCTCTATATTCCTGGTAATTTCCTTGGAATAGATGCTCAGGATTAGAATGACTGCATCAAAGGGTATAAATGCATTTGTATCAGTATATGTATTATTCTTCTATAAGCAGTAAGTAAAAGTACTGATTCTTCACAGTTGCATAACATCAAGAATTAGCTTTAGAAAATAACATAAAATCAGAGGCTATTTTAAAATGAGAGTTTCTTCTAGTGTGGCCCTCAATTTTGGAAATTCCAAGGACCCAAGGGGTTCAGAACTTTTGTTTCCTCATTGAAGATGATAAGTGTGATGAATGCAACAGTATTTTCCAAGTGCTAGAAACTCAATGTTACCAACTGGCTCGTTAAATATACTGCTTATGTCACTTTTGTGAGCTGCTATTTTGTGATATTAGTATATTCGCATTTTCCCACATTATTATAAGCAGTTTGTAAAAACTTCATTGTCTCTAATGGTATAATATTCCACAATATGAATATGTCATGTTTTACTTAGTCATTCCTATGTTGTCATTAAAGCCTATCCAATTTTTGGTTATTATATATGATGCTTCAATAGACATCTTTGTGCATAAAGTCCTTCCATGATCTAGTCATTTTTGTTATACTAGATTGCAAAATAGAGTTACTGGGCTAAAGCATGAATATTATCAGGCTCTTGATTCATATTGTCAAATTGTATGAAGAACATTAGAGAGGCAATTTTAGAAACATAAAGTAATGTGATTGGGGAGGAGGAAAGGGTGTTTCATTTATCTAAGAGGAAAGCATCCCTGCAGAAACTGACTTACAGTGAAGCGGATGAAGTATGAGCTGCGGGCCCTCACTGGCATGCCCCTGCCTGGGCTTTGGGCGGAACCCCAACAACATGCTCATCTGATCATAAATTGTTAGTTTATTTAAGCTGATGAAGTAAGACATTTTAACTCAATTTTCAAGACTGTTGTCTCTTCCCACTCCATCTTCTACTTCAACACACCCCCGATCAGGTCAGTGATATAGAAAAGTTCATGGGCATTTTGGGGATATGCGTAAGAGGAAGTTGAGTACCCAATTTTGTTTTTATGATTTTTCTTAAAAAGAATCCCTAAAAATTATGTGAGATTTCAGGCCCCACAAAACTTGGATCTGCATCTGCATTTCCATTTAAGATAGACAAGTTGAAAAAATGCCAGGATCTGTTTATCAAACCCTATGGAGTACATATTTCCAGCCAAGCATAACTGGTTTTAAGAAAAGCCAGGAGTTCTTCTCTGGGCCAACCTTTGCATACCAGAGCAGGATGAAACCTCTTGAAATCCTGTGCTGTTGAAAGCTGGCTTTCCTGGGCAAATGAAGAAGAAGTCTGCCAGAGACTGGCCATTGAGAGGAGAGGAAAGATTCCACCAGCATCCTTGCTCTGGATTCTAGAAATAGGACCCAAATTTCTTTCATCTGGGTGGCTGTGTCCACAGCTCTTGGCACCATCCCAATGATCACCCTAGGGGCAGGGCTGGCCAAAGCACCAGGTCAGGGCCAGTGTTCAGTGGCACTCATTGTGCCAAATGGAGATCAGAAACTACCTGGAAGTGGCCAGGTTGCTCAAAATCCAAGATCTGGTCTACTGGAGCCGGCCAACTCCATCTTTTAGGGCTTGGTTAGAAACACAGAGTGGAGAAAGACGAAAAAGCAATTGCATCATCACATACTACTCTTTTTCCCCATCCAAAGTCTTTTGTTTTTCCTTTACTCTTAAAGGAAAATGTGCACTTGCAATGGGACAAAAATAGATTGAGGAAGAAAAAGAGATGGTGGTAGGGACATTCAAGGCCCATTGGACATGGAGGGTAAGGGAGAGACATGTAAAGCTGGCCAAAGGGCAGGCATATGTCCTTGATTTGGGGTAGCAGTCTCCATTCTTAACGTTCCTTCCTGTTGTCTTGATTTGGGATTCTGAATGGATGAGACAGATCTCTCTCCTTCACAGCCCCATCTTTGCCATTGTAAAGAAGGGCTATAAAGAGAGAAGACAAGAGCTGAGTTTGAGAGTGAAGCATGGTGAGGGAAATAATAGGAGGCCAGGGGCTTGGGAAGAAGAGATCACAAACTTCACTGAGTGCAGGGAGAAAGCCACAACTTTCATTTTTGAATTTCAGTTACATGCAAAGTTTTGATACATTCAAGCAAAAATAAATTTCAAGTTTAAGTCAAAACTCTGCTTACACAATAATAAAAAAGTAAACAATAAATATACAAGCTAAAGCTTTCTAAGAATTGATTTAAAAACCCTATCAGAAAGCAGTGTCTCCTTCAACTCACCCCACCCCTGCCCCCAGCACCGGGTTCCAAAGCTCCAACGCCATGTCAAAGGGAATATCTAACCCCAGACTTGAAGGAGAGGGAAAATCTCTCCTAGTCCTTGGAATGTAATTACCATTAAGGTTGAAAAACGAGGGCGATGAACAGTAGTGGCAGGTTTTTTCAAGTTTATGTAAACACTGGCTGCAGGGAGAGGGCTGAGACGTTGGAATCAAAGCATCCTTGTCACATCAGTGCTTTAAATCTCTAAGCAACTCCTTGAAGATCATCTGTCCTCTGTGAGCATAAGCAGCTGATAAAAGATGCTGCTAAGCTCACTTCTTATCTACTCTCACAGGCAGACTGCCCCAAAGTTGCATCTTAGGGAAACCAGCCACTGAATGGTGCTTGGAGATGCCTTCAAGCCACAGGATGGGGCAGGCTTCTGGGGTGCTTCCCGCAGGTGTACTGGGCTCAGGAAGGACCTAGTTCTCCTAGGGTGAATCATACTTGCTTCCTTAAATCTCCTCCAGGGCCACATTTGTTATCTTTGGTAAAATGAACTCCTAGGGTTACCAAAAAAAAAAGAAAAGAAAAAGCAAGAGGGATACAAGCTACCTGTGGAGAGTGAATGGGTCTGCATCCTTGACTTAAAGATCAGGAATCTGTGACTTGAGCACAAAGCAAAAGCTTGGCCCAGGTCTCCCCCTGACCTTGTCCACCAGAGAACACACTGAAGTACCCTTTTATTTTATTTATTGAAGTGAGCTCAGTACCCCTTGTGGGCCTGATTTGGTGGCTTAGTTTTCTGGCACTGCTCTTCAGTATTAATATTAAACCATCAAGACAAACCTGAAAGGGGAGGAACAGTCCCTTAATCTCAAGTCAGAAAGCAACCAATGACCATTAACCATGCAGATCTTTCAACTGAATGATTTCAGCCAGTTAATCCAATTTCCCCTCAATTGAAGGAGATTTGAGACAAAAACAACCAATGTAAACTACCTAGCATAGTGTCAAGTCATCAATAGATGTTGGTTCCTACTTAACACCTGTCTGAGTTTCTTTTGTGTGAATGGCTCTTGGATCACCTAAGCTCAAAGGAAAGCATGGCATGTAGGGTAGCTGGGGCAAGATGCAAGATTTCACTTCAGCTATTGAGATAGGTATTGTTAGATCAGTTACTAAAATTAACCTTGGAAAACTTTTAAAAATGAGTGTATTAGTCCATTTTCACACTTCTGGAAAGAATACCTGAGACTGGAAAATTTATAAAGGAAAGAAGTTTAATTTCCTCACAGTTCTGCATGGCTTGGGAGGCCTCAGGAAACTTACAATCATGGAGAAGGCAAAGGGGTAGCAAGACACCTTCTTCACAAGGCAGCAGGAGCAAGAGAGAGCACGGGAGAAACTGCCACTTTTAGAGCATCAGATCTCATGAGAACTCCCTCCCTATCATGAGAATAGCATGGGGGAAACCCCCCCATGATCTAATCCCCTCCCACCAGGTCCCTCCCTCTACACATGGGGATTACAATTTGAGATGAGATTTGGGTGGTGACACAGGACCAAACCATATCAATGAGGAAAAGTGAAAATCAGAAACAATTTCTTTACAATGGCATGGGGTCTATTATTCCTAATGAAAAAAAAATATATATATATGTATATTTATAAAGTTTCTGATGACACTGGCAAAGCAAAACAGGCAACATTAGGTTTGGCCATGAGCCTGAGATTATGATCTGATAGATTCATTCCATTCTTTCAGTATTATCTATTCTGGATGTTGAGTGTTAAACCTGGAATCATGTAAAGAGTCTCACATGGGCCATCTTTTTACTTTCTTTAAACATGATGCCAAAACCATACCAACTGTGTAGACTACAAACACTCTTAGGCAAAGCAATCATTCTAATTTAATCTACCAAGTCAAAATGCGATGATCACAAAAACAGTTTTGAACTGATTTGTCTATTCTAGTCAAGCAAGCATTGATTCCTTTGTTCATCCACTGATTATTCACTTAATATATTCCAGGAACTGTTTTAGCACTTGAATACAGAGATAAATAAGACCTAGCCACTAACCCACTGTTCCCCACAAGTGCACATGTAAACACGCAGACACATACGTGCATAGTATACTATAGTCAGAAGGGGAGATGTTCATATAAAGGAAGAATCACACCAGTCTGATGACTAGCTTAACAGAGTGTCCTGCTGGGCCCCTGTTAACTTCAATAGAGATGGCACCAGGTTCAAGAGGTGAAAGGAGAGAACCCAGAGCCAGTGAATGAAACATAGAGTTTATTTGGGGGAACTTACAGGGCAGTCCAGTGGTGCCGGGCTGGACAGGAGAACTGCAACTTCTTATCTACTCTTATAAGAAGCATGCAGTTTATATAGCATTTTCACTTAGCACCCTCCTGTCAGCAACCTTCATGTGGCAATCCTCATTTCTTAAGTTATTGCTGTCAAGTGCATCTACTATGCACAGAGATGTGCCTGAAGTTTCTGAGACCACAGGAGAAAGGATTGCCAACCCATCTGGCCAAGTCTTTATAGAAGAGTTGACCTTCAGCTGGCCCTTAAAGCAGCCGGTTTGGTTTGCATGTCTAAACTTCCACCCTAGCCAGCCAAGCAAGGACAGCCCTGGTATCCAGAGAGAAGCTCACCTCTTGCTGGTATGAGAATGTGATGACAGAAAGAAAGAAGAGTGGAAAGGAAGTCAGAGAATATGGACTGACATTTTAAAAATATCTTCTAAAGTACACTAATATATGTAACTTCCTTGGAAATACATAAAAAGGGAAAAAAGAATTTTTGAATGGATAGAGGGATAGATAGATGTAATATAAACCACATAAAGTTAAATGTATTGTAGAATCTGAGTGAGTATACGGGTGTTTGTTGTACAAGTCTTTCAACTTTTCTGTATGTTTAAAATTGTTCATAGTAAAATGCTGGAGACAATCACCTTGTATAAAGCTTCCCTGAAGAATATATGTGATTTTAGATCTTATTTATCTCTCATTAGTTGTCCATAGCCATTTTAAGATGTCCATGAAGAAATACTTTTAAAGGGTTTTATTCTAATTCTTTCTTCTGAAAGCCCTCCAGAGAATAGATTGGGACTTCTTTGATATCTAGGGAATCCATGGACTCTAGAACAAGAACTCCTGATATAAACATTTCATTTAGAAATTAAAAGAAATTTAAATTAAAGAACTCCTGATATGGACATTTCATTAGAAATTAAAAGACAATTAAAATCAGAATCTAGATACTGGTGACAGCTTCCAATTGCTAAGCCTGTAGAACCTTACTTATGGATTAAAACTAGGTGAAGACTTCCAGTTCAATGTGACAGACTGATGACAAATATTTACCTCCTCTCTCTCCCAAAATTCATCTGAAATGACACAAATGATATAATTAAAAAATAAATTTGCTACACCTTGGGGAACAGGAAAGGATACCGCCAGTAGACCATATGTTTGGGAGAATTTCTGGAAGTTAGAAATCTAGTAAGATCAAACTGATAGAGAAATCAGAATGAAACAAACTGCAACAATAAAAAGGGGCTGTTGCAGGGAACAGAGCTGCTCTTCCCAAGGATTCTAGAACCTCCAAACTCAGAGAATACTAGCACAGGAAGGTGGAGTAGTCCCTGGCTACAGGGCAATCCTCAGAAAAATTAAGTAAAAGACTGCTGGTAGAGCAGTGGGGCTGCTGTCCCCATGCACCTCTGCATGTAGATGAGAGGCCTGCCTTGGTGTCTGCCAGCTTCCCGTGGAGGCAAGACCTCTCTGTTGGGAGGAGGGGATGGAGAGGAAATTTTTGAGTTTGGAAAAAAGAGAAAACTAGAGCAGAGCTCCAGGAAATTCTAGTCCTTTATAATGGACCACGCAGCGTAGGTGGATAGGTAAGAAATGGGGCTCTTTCAGGAATGAAAGCCCTAAAAAGTTTTCTAATAGCAGGGTAAAGTCTTCCTTGTTTTGGCAAGGTTATAAGACCCTGACTTCCCTCCCTCTTTCACTCTAAAAGAGAAATATGCCCATTATGAGGCCCAACCTTTAGTCATTCCTTCCATTCGGAGAGAAATCTAGTATGAATACAAATATGCCCAAGAAAAATGCAATCTATGCATTTATAAATAAAAACGGTCAATTAAAGATTACTAGACCTTTGAGAAACACCAACACCAACGAAAAGAGCCAAAATGAACAAGCAGAAAAAATGTTGAAGAAATTGAAAAAAGCAAAAGTTACAAAAAACAGAAGAGAAATTTCTAAATAGCATCCTCAGAAGCTCTCAGGAGGATGTTTTATTCATGGAAAAAGAGCAAGGTGCTATTTTTAAAGTAGTAATAAAAAAAGAAGAAGTAATTGGTCAAAAGAAATGCTAAAATGTAAAGTAATAAAATGGACCATCCAAGGACCAAATTAGAGATCTGGAATATAAAGAAAAGAAATTTCCCAGAAAATAGAATAATAAACAAAGAAATTTAAAAAATTACAAAAAAGGCTTAGGGAATATATTTAGAAGATTCACTTAATAGAAATTCACTAAACTATCTACTTAACAGAAAGAGAAGAAAGAAAAGGCAGACTGGAGAAGGGGGACCAAATTAAAGAAATAATAGAGGACAATTTTACTGAAATGAATAAAGATTTAAGACCTCACTATTGACTACTGAACAAAAGTGATGAATAAAGAAATTTACCTAATTGTATATTATATTTCTAAACTAATCTTGAAGATGAAAGAATGAGTTATTTACAAAGGAAATAGTATTTGACCAAGGCCCAACTTCATTTTTGCAACACAGAATGCTGGAAGACAATGAAATTATTACTTAGCATGTAGGCTAAAATTAACATGTTTAAAGAAAGGCAAGGGCTTTAAAAGTTCATCATACATGTGCCCCTTCTGAAAAAAAAAATGAAAGAGAATTCCTCAGCAAAACAATAAGTAAAATCAACAAAGAGGAAGACTTCAAATAAAAGCCTTGCTGGTAAGTAAACATAATGGCAGAAGATTAACTAGGGCTAAAGAATTGTAATGTGGCTGTGATTTTGATGCCATTGTTAGTAATATTAAGGCAAAATATTTTTAAAAGGTGAGCAGTCTTGAAATAAATTAGATATGATTTCAACTACACACAAAATTTGTAGGGGCAGAGACTAAATATATTATACCATATATGGTATAGTCATATTTATATGGAAAATTATGTGTATACTTATTTATGCATCAGTAAGTTTGGAAGTATATTTATTAATGATTGTCCCAGGGGTGTGCAGACTTCCACTTTTACTGTTTAGACTTCTATATTAATAGATTTTTAAACAAGTTTGTGCTGCTTTTATAATTTAAGTACCCAACAAATACATTTCCATGTTTATAAAAATGTTAAGAACAGTCACTCAAGTAATTAAAAGATAGTGCTCACCAAAGAAGATTTACAGATGGCAAAGAAGCATATGAAAAGATGCCCCACATCATATGTCATTAAGGAAATACCAATTAAAACAATACATACCTATTAGAATTGCCCAAATCAGAACACTGACAACACCAAATACTGGCAGGGATGTGGAGCAACAGGAACTCTCATTCATTGCTGGTGGGAATGCAAAATGGTGCGTCTACATTGGAAGACAGTTTGACAGTTTTTTTTCAAAATTAAACATACTCACTTACCACAATAAGTTTCCTTGGTATTTACTCAAATGAGTTGAAAATTTATGTCCACACAAAAAACTATAAACATGGATGTTTATAGCAGTTTTATTCATAAATGCCAAAACCTGAAAGTCACCAAGATGTCCTCCAGCTGGTGAATGGACAATATAAACTGTAGTGCATTCAGGCAATGGAATATTATTCAGGCTAAAAAAAAATGCACTATCAGGCCATGGAAAGACTTGGAGGAAACTTAAAGGCATATTACTGAGTAAAAGAAGTCAATCTGGCAATCCGAAAAGGCTACATCTGTTTGATTTCAATTGTATGACATTTGGGAAAATGCAAAACTACAGAGACAGTATAAAAAAAAAATTCAGTGGTTGCTGGGGACTAAGGAGCAGAGAGGGATACATAGGTGGTGGAGCACAGAAGGTTTTTAGGGCAGTGAAATTATTCGGTGTAATACTACAATGGTGGATAGCTGTCATTGTGCATTTGTCAAAGCCCACAGAATGTATATCAAGAGTGAGCCCTAATATAAACTATGGACTTTGGATGATAATGATGCATCAGTGTAGGTTCGTCGGTTGTAATAAATGCAGTACTCTGGTGGGAGTTGTTGATAGTGAGGGCTGTGCATGTGTGCAGGCAGAGGGCATACAGGGACTCCGTACTTTCTGTTCAATTCTGCCAGGAACCTAACACTGCTCTAAAAAGTAAAGTCTGTTTTTAAGGAAAGCAAATAGTGCAAATTTTCAACTCGCCTAAGGGGGAAGAAAAAGAAAAAGAAAACTCCATACAACCAGTAAACACAGGAAAATGTGAAAATGGTAGAGACACATGGTAAATAGAATATATAAAATAACATCGAAGTAATTAAGTCCAAGTACATTAAAGATCAAAATAAATGAGAGTAGATCAAATTCCTATTTTAGAAAACTGTCTTATGCTATAATACAACTAAAATTAACTCATATAGAGGAACTGAAAGTAAAATGATAATCAAAGAGATGCCAAGCCAACATTAACACAAAGAAAACAGAAATGACTATTTTAGTGGTAGGCAAAATAGATTTAGAGGCAAATGGCTTTAAATAAGAAAATGAGATTTTTTTACAATGCTAAAAGACAAAAATTCAAAATATAGATAAAATAGTTGTGTACAAAAAAAGTATTGCATTGAAATATATAATGATGCTGATGATAGTATTAGCACTAATTCACAAAATTACAATAGTAGTGGGAAAACTTTGAAAGACTTTTTAAAAGTAAGTATACAGAGGATTGAACAATTTAGTTTGATATTTGAATATATATCTGCATATATATAGAATTTTCTATCTCCAAATTAGAAAATTCTTTGCAAATATCTATGGGAATAAAAATTGATTGTGTAGTAGGCCACAAGAAATCCCTATAAACTCCACTAACAGAAGTCACTCAGGCCACATTCTTTGACTACAAAGTAATGACATCAGGATTATTTTAAGTTTTGACACACAAAAAAACTATCCACTTGCAAATTTTTAAAAACTTCTAAATGAGGCCGGGCGCAGTGGCTCACGCCTGTAGTCCCAGCACTTTGGGAGGCCGAGGCGGACGGATCACGAGGTCAGGAGATCGAGACCATCCCGGCTAACATGGTGAAACCCCGTCTCTACTAAAAATGCAAAAAATTAGCCGGGCGAGGTGGCGGGCGCCTGTAGTCCCAGCTACTCGGGAGGCTGAGGCAGGAGAATGGCGTGAACCCTGCGGGGGCGAAGCCTGCAGTGAGACAAGATCGCGCCACTGCACTCCACTGGGCGACAGCGAGACTCCGTCTCAAAAATAAAACAATTTAAAAAAATTAAAAAAAAAACCTTCTAAATGATTCTTGCATTAAAGACAAAAACAAAATTGAAACTTTAAACTATTTAGATAATGAAAACATAATATTTTGATATCTATGAAATGTGTCCAAAGAGTGCTCAAAGAAAAATCAATAGCCTGAAAACAAATAAACTAAACATTCAATAAATGAAGCTAAAAAATTAAATGAGGAGGCGTTTTGTTTCTGTTTTTGTTTTTGTTTTTTGAGATAAAGTCTCACTCTGTCACCCAGGCTGGAGGGTGCTAGCATGATCATGACTCACTGAAGCCTCAAACTCCTGGGCTCAAGTGAGCCCACCTCAGCCTCCAGAATCGCGGGGGACTACAGGCTCACACCAAAACGCTCAGCTAATTTTTAAAAATTTTTTATAGAGGCAGAATCTTGCTATTCTGCCCAGGCTGGTCTTAAACTCCTGTCTTCAAAGGATCCTCCTGCCTAGGCCTCCCAAAGTGCTGGGATTATAGGTGTGAGCTACCACAGCCAGCCTAAAGAAGAAATTAACTAAAAATAAGAACATAAATTAATAAAATAAAAAATCTACAGAAAGAATAGATCATCATAAAATTAAAGGCCATTATTTCTAAGGTCAGTTAAAAAGTTAAAGTTCTGATGTGTCCAGTCAGGAGAGAGACAGAAGAGTGAGCACACAGTTGCAAAAATTACAAGTGAAAAAGAAATACAACTACAGGTAGGTAGGAGGTTAATTTTACCAGTAAATACTATGTACAAATACCATGTAAAGCTTTAAATTACTAAAATTGTTGTAAAGATTTGAGAGGCATTAGAAAATGCACAAATATCTAAAAAGTGTATCAAGTTGGGAGTTGGAGAGAGACCACAGTGTTTTGTTTTGTTTTTTGAGACAGAGTTTCACTCTTGTTGCCCAGGCTGGAGTGCAATGCACGATCTTGGCTCACCACAACCTCCGCCTCCCAGGTTCAAGTGATTCTCTTGCCTCAGCCTCCCGAGCAGCTGGGATTACAGGCATGCACCACCACGCCCAGCTAATTTTTGTATTTTTAATAGAGAGGGGATTTCTCCATGTTAGTAAGGCTGGTCATGAACTCTCGATCTCAGGTGATCTGCCCACCTCGGCCTCCCAAAGTGCTGCGATTACAGGCATGAGCCACCGCACCCGGCCCCAAAGTGTTTTTGTAAACAAAAGTTATAATTGTCTAACAATTGTCTACCTAGAACATTCAAGAAACCACTTTAAAAAGTATTAGAATTAAAACACAATTTCAAGGAGCTGGCTGACATAGAACAATATGGAAAAATTAATAGCTTTACTATACACCAGCTCAAAAATGTAACATTTAAATTTTTTAAATCTCAATACTGAAATCAAAGATATTATGAGAAAACTACAGATCAATATCTCCCATGAAGGTAGATTTAAAAATTCTCAGCAAAGTATTAACAAATCAAATCTTGCAATATGTAAAAAGAATAATACAGCACAACCAAGTGGAGTTCTTCCCAATAATGCAAATGTAGATTCACATTTAAAAACCAATTAATGCATTTCACTATATTAGCAAACTAAATAAGGAAAAGCTTATGCTCATATCAATAGATGCAAAAAAACCATTAGACAAAATCAACATCCATTTATGATAAAAAGCTCTCAGCAAACCAGAAATCAAGAAGGATTTTCTCAATTTGATAAAGAATATCTACAAAAATTGTGCAACTAACATTATACTTAATAGTAAAAAACTGAATGCTTTCTCCCTAAGATTGGAAACATAGCAAGGATGTTGGTTGTTTTGTATTCTTTTATGAGATTTTCAGATAGGTATGAAAGACAAAGGAGAGATTGAGAAAGGCAAAGTTTATTATACTCTCAGGTCCTAGAGATAGGAGGCATGGCAATCCACACAGGGTCACATGGGAAAGTCATTGGAATAATCAGGAGGCAGAAGACAGGAGAAGGGGAAAGGTTTAGGCCACTGCCTTCATTGGGGTTTTTGAGACGAAGGCAAGACAGAGCAGGGTGAACAGTTTAGGACTGGCTACCTTAAATAATTTTGGCAGGCTTTAAGCCACAGAGGTGGTCCCTAGTTGCCTGGCACCTGGCTCTCAGATGGTTAAAACAGAGGAATATTGCCATCTGGGGTGTACAGCCAGTTAGAGGAGATGTGGCTGTGAATTAGTGAGTTTGCATATTAAAGGCATGCTCCTGACTAAATTGGCTAGCCCCAGGAGGGGCAGTCTGGCCCTGGTCAAAAAGGGTTTTTTGTTTGTTTTAGGATATGAAAACATTATGATAATATACAGGAAATTAAAAAATATTTACAATACATCAACTTTTGGCACTCTTATTCAATATAATACTAGAAGTCCTAGCCAGCACAATAAGGTAAGAAAAGGAAATAAAAGACATATGAGTTGGAAATGAAGAAATAAAACTTTCCCTATTTGCAGATGAAATGATTGTCTACATAGAAAATCCCAAGAATTCACTGACAAAAATCCTCGAATTAATAAGTGAGGTTAGCAAAGTTGCAAAACTCCAGAACAACAAACAAAAATCAACCATGTTTCTATAGAAATGAATATGTAAAAACAAAAATTAGGAAATGCAATACCAGTTATAATTACTCCAAAAAATGAAGTAGTTACATATAAATCTAACAAGATATGTACAGGATTGGTATTTTGAAAATTACGAAAAGCTGATGAAAGAAATCAAAGATTGAAATAAAGAGACATACCATTTTCATGGATTGGAAAACTAAACATAGTGAAGATGTTATTTCTCCCCAAATTGGTCCATAGATTGAATGCAATTTCTATAAAAATCCCAGTAAGGTAATAAGACAAACTTATTCTAAAATTTCTGTGAAAAGACAAAGGAACTAAAACTTGAAATAGAAGAAAAAAGGGAAAAAAAATCCACTTTACAGACTTCCTACATGGCTACAGTAATCAATAGTGTTTTTCTCTGAAGATAATTTTGAGGATTATAAAAGATAATATATGTTAAGAATGTAGATGGGTACCTTGCACACAATAAGTGCTTAACACATGGTATGTATTAATCAATATTTTATAGCTCAGGAAGTGACATTTGAAAGATGTAAAGTAAAACGTCCACTCTAGATAGTCAGTGTTAGGGCCAGAATTTGAGCTAAGACCTCTTGATTCCAAATCCCAGGCTACTTACCACCATACTGTAAACATTACCAAAAAGAAATTACCATTCTAAACACCACTCTAACCTTCCCACTCATTGAGTCTTATTTGTCCATGGATGATAGAAGTCCAAGATCTCTTCAGATATCCCAATTTGCAAATAGTGGAATCATTTGTGGTCCCAATTTTTCTGGCTATTCAAGTTATTTTATTTTTATTAGTGTTTTTTCTTGCCAGGAAGTCAATCCAGTGGTCATACTTGACTCCTTCAATAATGGTACTCTGATACATATTTAAGGAGCCAAAAATCCCATTCTGTAAAACATAAAATGCCTTGTCCCTTTCCTATAAATGATTCATCACAAGTATTATTATCCCAACAAGCCCATGATCAATAGGAACATCTTCATTTGTGTGTAAATGACGCCCGTCTTCTCGGGCCAGTGCTTTCTCTCACTCCTGCACCTGCAGAGACTAAAAGAGATTAAATGGGTCTCCTCAATACATCCAATGAAATATTGATTAAAGGTCTAGTTAAATAAGTGTATTAATGTGGACTTAAAGCACTCAAGTGAGTAAGAACACCCCAAGGGGAAACGTTTCTACCAAGAAAGTGAGACAAAAATTGGATACTTTGAAAATGGTGAGAATGTTCCTGGGTACACAGATCCTTTTTGCAATCTCACACAGCAAAGCAGGACTTTTATCAAATGATCCCAGTGATAAAAGCCTGGCCCTTGGAGGGAGGGCTAAGGTGGAAGAGGGGAGATGTTAAAAATGAAATGAACAGTAGGCTAGCAATGACATTATAAATTATTTCTCATCCAGCTCACTTAAAATTATACAACTTTTTACTCTCCCCTTTTATTTGATCTCCTTCGCATTCCCACCCAATACAAATAGAAATGAGTCACTATTCAGGGAAGGAAAAAAAATAAGAAGAAAAAAGATTCTCATCAGCCCTGAAGGAGCCACAGTGCCTACAATTCACTAAACATTACTACTCATATTTAGTTTCTTTGATAATCATCTCAGACTTAAATTTTTCTTATGATTTTTGGGGGTGCACTTAGTCTTCTTTTTAGAATCCAGAGAGCCCATTACTATTTCTTTTACTCAGATATTAAAGAGCCAAGGGACATAAGAGCTGAAAGAAATCTTATAGAACTTTCAATCCTTTTAACTTTCCAGATGAAGAAATAAAGGTCTACGTAGGTAACATGATTTGTCTAGAAACTCACAGTCTATTACTAGCAAAGCCCAGTCAGGTACAGGATTCTTGAACACCTACCAGTGGCCCTAGATGGAGGACAGCATCACCCCCCAGAGAGCACTGTTAAACAGTGACTAAGGGGGTGCTACTGCCCTAACCACTAGGCATGCTAAATGTCTTGCATTGTTCAGGGCACTCCTCGGAAGAAGAGTTGTCCTCCCAAAGATGCCAACACAGTTCCCATGGAGAAACACTGACATTAGTATCCCTCCCTCCACCATACCATGCTGATTTCTTATGACCGTTTTCCCCTGGTATTTCTGTGGGCACTACTATTATCAGTTTTTTTAATATAATCTTGCAGCTTCTTAGTAAAGCTCTGCTAACATCTCAGTGCCCAAGATCAATTTCCCTTTCTTCTCTAACTCCAGAATGAATTCCTTTCCTCTAAATGCCAGAAAAGGAGGACCTCCCAAATAGTGTCTGTGGCTGAGACAGCCTCAGTTCCATACCAGGGAGGAAGGCCTTGAGAGTATCCCAAAACTGTATCAAATATGTGGTAGTTTCTGTCCTGTCTCTTGTGCCTGGCTTTAAAACATATAAGAACTTTCCAGATTTATTTTTTGTTTCAACCATGGGGATGTGATATCAACCTATATTCTACTAAAACTAAGTCCTGAACATCTACCAGCACTCTATGAACTGAAAACTTAGAATGAATCATTTTATACACCCAAAGCCCAGAGCACATCCCAAATGATGACCAATGATATCATGATTCTCTCAGAGGCCATTATTCAGAAAGAGCTGCCTTTGTCCATTCGGTTTCCAATAGTCCTTCCCCATTTGCGAAGCAGCTATCTTCATCAGGGCAGAGTCCTCATGGATACTATGATTGTTTTGGTTGAAGGGGCACAGATCTCACTTTATAATTTAAATGCTTGGAGGAGATGTTGAGCTTCTTTCACGTTCAAAACAATGTCAGCCAATAGCTGGACAGCTTGCAGTGTTATTGTAGATGATATAATCTTGCTTTAAAGCATCTTATGTCTTGAAAGATATTTATCTCCTACCTGGCAGGAAGAATCGAGCCACAAGGGCTTAAGATTCTTGGTGACACATCGTTCTACTGAAACCTGAACATCATGGAGACAGTTAGATTTTAACAGACAAAAACCAGGTAACTGCCATGTTGAGTAATTATCAGTGCCAACTCCTCTCAGAAGGAAGAAAAACACCAAGAGCTGCTGAGAAGAATTTAATGAAAAAATAGGGATTTGCACTACAAACTGAGATAAAAAGAAGACATAGTTTTAAACTTGAAGTTATAAATAATAATTAAGCCTGTCTTACCTCTTAATAGAAATAAATTCCCAAAGAAAAGTCTGTGAATAGATGTGAAAGAATCTTTTATCTCATATTACTGAACTCTTCCATACTACCAATAAAATACCTATTGCCTAGATTATTTATTCAATTTTCATATCACCATCATTTGATGGCATGCCGGGATACAAGGGAGATCAAAGATCAACAAGAGGCAGTCTTCTTCATCTGCTCAGAGTCCACATGGAAGAAATAAACAGGTAAAAGCTCATAAAAATAGTATAGTCAGGACTACACAGGGAACTTTATCACCCCAACCTTGAATAGGCTACAGAAAGAACTGGAATCATGTCAGCAGATTTTTAAAATCTGGGATAGAAGTGGGGAAAAGGTTGTCATCCTTCAGAAGTAAATTATCCTTAGATAAAGCCCAAACAGAAAAAAAACTCTCTCCCACATCACAGTCCCAAATGTGCATAGAAGGTTGAGAATCCACACATGGCCACTTTGCTGCCAGTCACTGGGGACTACAGAAGGAACGGAACAGCCCTCGGGGCATTCCGGGTGTGAGGGCAATCTGGCCTGACATTTCTCGTGTGTTAGGAGTCAGGGTGAATAGGGCTGATCTGGCTGACTAGGCGGGTCTCCCCTGCCTGCCATCTTCTGTGCTCCGTCTGATAAGATGACTGTCTCAGAAGCAAAAAGCAATGCCCCAGAGGACCCTGTCTTGTCTCTGACTTGTGTGGGTACCATCCAGAGACACAGGAAGGGCTTTTCCAGCCAGTAGGTCAAATAAATCTTACTGTCTACAACCCCAAGCCAAGCTACTAACTGGGGTCTAACTTTTTTTTCACAAGTTTAGTTTTATTTCTCTAACATAATACCTTTCACTGCATAAATGGGTCAAATGTTCCAATTAATGGACAAAGATGGTCATATTGGGTTTAAGAAGAAAAAGATACAGTATGTAATTTATAACACGCATGTCTAAAACATAAGGAATAAAAAAGACAAAGTAAAAGATAGTTATATACAATATATATAACATCTTATATATAGTATTTACATATATTCTATGAAAACAATAACCAAAGGAGTGTTGGTGTGACTAGTATATCAATATTAAACTAGGTAAACTTTAGGGCAAAAATTGTTACTAGAGATTAAAAATATGCTATATGACAATAAAAGGTTTGTTTGACCAACATGTATACACCTAAAAATATGGCCTCAAAATATGTAGAGAAATGTTTACAAAGCAAAGAGGAGAACCAGACAAATCTATAGTCATCTCTCTCAGAAACTGATTGTTATTTGTGATTATGTTATTGAAATCTTCTGTTTTCTTACAGACAGATAAACATTAGGAAGAACATAAAAGACATTAACAACATGATTATATACTTATATCAATAGGCATATAAAGAACTCTACCAAATTCAAGTCTTTTGATCACAAACGAAATATTTTTTAAAAAGGAATATATGACAGGTCAAAAAGAAACTCTCATCAAATTTGAAATGATTGAAATCATATGGAAAATAAGAAAACACCCATATATTAGGAAATTAAGAAATATACTCCTAAAAAATCTGTAGGCCAAAGAAGAAATCATAATGGAATTGGAAATTAAGTCTGAATGTAATGCTAACAAAAAATGTACTTTTAAAACTTGTGGGCTGCAGCCAAAGTAGTTGTAAGAGGGAAAATTATAGCCTTAAGTGAATATAGTAGAAAATAAGAGCAACCTGCTGTTTTTCTGATCAGTTTTGCCAACTGATTTCTTGATCAATTTTGTTAGTATTTTCAAATAGCAAACTTTGGTTTTGTTTATCCTTTTTATTTTATGTGTGTTTTCTATCTTAATAATTTCTACCCTCATCTTCATTATTTCTTTCCTTCTACTTTATTTGGATTTATTTTGCTGTCCTTTTTCTAACTTCTTAAAATAGATATTGGTTTAAGTCAAACTGCTTCTCAATCTCCCCTGAAAATTATGCTGCAGTCCCTGGAGGAAGCCAATTACAACTCATCTGTCTGGGAACTGAACAACATGTCAATTGGCTCAATTCAAGTTAAAAATGTTCATCAAGAATTTCATCTTTCTGGCCAGGCTCGGTGGCTCATGCCTGTAATCCCAGCACTTTGGGAGGCTGAAGCGGGCGGATCATGCGGTCAAGAGATTGAGACCATACTGGCCAACATGGTGAAACCCCATCTCTACTAAAAATACAAAAATTAGCTGGGCATGGTGGCACGCAGCTGTAGTCCCAGCTACTCAGGAGGCTGGGGCAGGAGAATCTCTTGAATCCAGGTGGCAGAAGTTGCAGTGAGCCAAGTTTGTACCATTGCTCTCCAGCCTGGCAAGAGAGTGAGACTCTGTCTCAAAAAAAAAAAAAAGCAAACAAAAAAAAAAAAACCATTCATCTTTCAAAACAATTCCAATTTTTCCAACAAAACAATGTAAAATAAATGACATGAGAAGGCTAACAGCAAATCATACTGTGTCCCAGTCCGAAATTTTTTTAAATCAGAAATACATATCAGAAAAATATAACAAGGACCAAAAAAAATTTTACAGGAGACCTTATTAAAAACCTCAGTATTTGAAACTATGAAACAGGATTCACTCTTTCTGGCACAGTAGGGTATATCAATGAGTCTACCACAGTGGCTGGAAGAGTAGCAAATATTTTCTTCACCTCTCCATGAAGATAAAGTGATACGGCTGTAGGACTCATTCATGATTTTATAGAGAGATGCCATCCGGATCTGAATATGAGATCAACACTCATTCCACAGGCCAGAGTCGTGTGGAATATTCCCCTCAATCATTAATCATTTCTTAATCATTTTTCAAGCTAATAATAAGTATAAAAGCAATCACTAGAAACAAATGAACCTATCTCCCCCAAGCAGACTGAGTCATTTCCCTTGATTCCTGAGAAGTGTCCAGAGGCATCTAAATATTGCTAAGTTTCTCCATGTCTTCTAAGCAATAAAAAAAAAAAAGAAATCACAGTTCATTTCACATTGAGTAATTGCCCAACTATCCATCAGCTCTATCTGAAAGAATAAAAATACACGCAACTGTGACATTCCTGCCTTGCTAATGTTAAATTTTCCCTCTTCTGGAAGGTTTTCAATTAAAAAAAAAATCCCTTGGGGTCTTTGGAGGTAAATAATTCTGCCTAAAGGATGATATGTACTTGGGATCAAGGACAGGATGTTAGAAGTGTTGGGTTTAGCTTTGTCACCACCAAATTATGTGACCATAACACTGTAAATGTATATTTTTCACTCATGTGTCTAGCCTTCCATGTAGTATTTCAGGGATGCCAGTTCTTTTCATCTTGTGCTACCATCTTCTAGGATTTCCTGAGTCTTCCCCAGGATCCTTTGCATTCAGCTAATGAGTGAGAGAAGAGAACTGTGCTGAGCTTAAAATGACTCACTTCACCTTTGCCCACATCCCATGGGCAGTCATGTACTCTAATCTAACCACATGTTTGGGAAATGTAGTTTTCCTGGGCTCCCAAGACAAAGAAATGAGACAGATGAGCATCTAGGCTGTCTGCCATAGTGAGGAAGCATGTCAGTCAAGCCCTCTGGCACCCAGTGTCATTATCTAAGATGAGCTAGTGGAACAAAAGGATCTTTAAGTTCACACCCATTTCTTGCATTCTGTGATTCTCAAAGATGAGAATATCCCTAGCCTGGGTTCATACATCTGCTAGTTGTCATAAAAAGGGTATTACTACTCTGCTATTATCACAGACTTTTCTTCAACTTCTTGATATGGCATTTGTCTTCAACTGCCATTCAAAAAATTAAGAGAATACCGGTGATAAAGCCAGCTGGGCTATCACCAGCAAACCAAGAGTCCCTCTTAGCCCTAGTATTCTATCATCCATTGAATCATGCTCCTCATTTAGCAGAGAAGTTATGTAAGAATTCCTGGGATTAGAAAAATCATGTAGGTTTTTTCCCATGGTCTTGGTAGCAGTGATTTTACACAGGCTGAGCTCCATGGTTACTGCTATGGTTGCAGGAGAAAAGAGGTTAATGATGTTACCAGACTTAATGTGTGTGTTTTTCTGAAGATCTCCAAAGCCTGATTATCTCCATGGCTGAGTAACATTGCTGAGATGAGCATAAATTAATAATTTGACATTGATGTGTATCTGAAAATTACTATCAAGATATGAATAAGCATTTAAATCAAAAATAAATGTGAAATAAACTGGTTAACTAGAAAATAAATCAGCCCTATGCAATTTCCCCTCGTGTTTTATTTTCTTTATTTGTTTTACATTATTAAGATAAGAGATAGAGAGTATCAGTCCTAATGATTTTTTCCACTTTACTTTATCATAATAATTAGCCCAGCTCTCTTGTTTACATATTCTAAAAGTCAATCTGAGAAAAGGTTTAGATAAGATAACACATTTTTTACCTAGGATCATGTGAAAAGAAACAGGTAAGTGCATTTTTTAATAGATATCAGATGTGGTGTTTTCACAGCTAGAACTGCAACTGTGTATCAGAAAAAGATTTTTTATATATCAGTATTTTATGAAACTTAGTTAATAAAGGAGAATTTGCAAAAGAAAAATGTTAACATATGCTTTTAAAGCGCCTTTTTTTGGTCTCATTTTATAATTTAACCTTAAAAAAACAACTGTTTCCATAATATTTGTTTGTGTACAAACTGAAATTTGTATGACAGAATTTTCCTTAGAAGTGCCTCTCTGGAGATTATTAAATTCTATGCATGCATTACTGAATATTCAAATAGATTATCAGTTGACTAATGTCACCTTGAACCAGAGCCGGGCAGTTTGATTATCTAATGGGAACTAAAGCACCCTGATAGGATATGGTGAAATTCTCATTAGCACAAATCTGTTTTCTTTTAAGTGTTTTTTGTAATATATACATCTAACTAGTCAGCTGAAAGCCAGTAAGTGTATTAGGCTGAAATTCTGAAACCAGTTAATGCATCACACTATACCATGACCACATTACAATTATCCTAAAAATGTAAGGGTCATTTTATCAATTAATATAATTTTTAAATTAAAAATTCAAAGGAGAAAAGATCATGTAATTATCCCCATAAAAGACAAAAAGAATTTTGTTAACAGTCATCAACGATTCCTGTTTTAAGCTCTTTCAACACTAGAAATAGGAAGATATTTTCTTAATGTAGTAAAGGAAAGCTTTCCAGATCAGCAGCAAACAACAAATTGAGGCGAAACACTGTAGTATTTGTATTAAAGTCAGAAGCAAGCCAAGGATTCCCACTCTCACCACTGTTATTCAACACTGTCCAGTGACTTTTGGCCAAAGAAGTAAGTCAAGAAAAAACTAAGTGTAAATGTTAGAAACAAAAAGAATCAGGCAGTAGAGCATAGTCCAAATTAATATCATCTCCTTTTTGTTTGTCCTTGTTGTTATAACTACTTCTCTGGGTTCCTAGTTTAAGTCACAGGTCTAACCCCTAGCCTCTGACTATTTTATACTTGAGATTTTTTTAAATGTTTTCTTTCTTTTTAAGTCACTTAGTGTTGGAGTTGGAAAATAAAGACATAATGCACTTGAGCTTAAGTCTCCCAAATGGAGTTTCTTGGAATGCAAGTATTGAGTATGCCATGGAAATGAGGTTCTATGGCTAAATAAGTTGAGCAAATTCTACATAAAACAGGATTCTTTCCCTGCAGGACTTTTCAGAACCTATAATATGCAACTCTCTATTCTGAATATCTCAGAGTGAATATCCCAAATATATCGGATCACAGAGCCACCAATCCCTTTTTTGAGAAGTGTCTCAAGGGGTCAGTGTTCCAAGAAACACATACTGGGAAACATGCTTCAAGGCTCATCCCCCCATTTCACAGACAGAAAACTGAGGTCCAGGGAGAGGCCGTGCCTTGCTACAGGATTTTCTGTCCATCGATAGCGAGGCAGAGACTAAAAGCCTGCTCACTCCTCTCAGTCCCATGCTGTCTCTACCACATCCCGCTGCCTCTCTGTTTGGGAGGCTCCTGTGTCAGCTTGCGGTCCCCAACCCCACCCGGTATACTTAGGTGCTGAATTAGTCTGCTCTGGCTGCTGTAACAAAACACTACAGACTGGGTGTCTTATGCCATAGAAGCTTTGGTTCTCACAGTTCGGAGGGCTAGAAGTCCAAGTTCAAGGTGTTGACAGGGTTGGCTTGTTAGGTGGGTTCTTCCTTGCTTGCAGATTACTGTCTTCTTGCTGTGTCCTCACGTGGTCATTCCTCAGTGCACACACCTGTCTGTGTCCCACTCTTCTCTTCAATAGGACACCAGTCATATGAATTAGGGTCCAACCATGTGGCCTCATTTTACCTTAATTACCTCTTTAAAGGCCCTATCTCCAAATACAGCCACATTGTGAGGTACTGGGGGACTTAGGGTTCTTCATTTGAATTTGGAGGAATACGATTCAGCTTGTAACAGGTGTCATTTCTCAGTGTCTGAAGTGCCCTGTGCTTCTCTCAGATAAAGCACAGAGCTCAGTGAGTATGTGTGAATATGATATCTGTCTCCCCTAGTAATCTATGAGCAATTCAAGAACAGAAACTGTGTTGATATCACTATCAACAATTCTAGTACAGATCCTAGAATTTGCTAGACGCTCAAGCATGTTTGTCGAATACTGAGTACATAAATTGTGAAGTCAGAAGACCTGACTCCATCCAATCTGTGTTCTACAACAGTGTGATCACCAAGGCAAATGGAGATAATAAGTACCTCCCATAGTTTTGGTGAGAATTC
The DNA here is from genome assembly GCF_000001405.40 of Homo sapiens. Lineage (NCBI taxonomy): Eukaryota > Metazoa > Chordata > Mammalia > Primates > Hominidae > Homo > Homo sapiens. The sequence continues at coordinate 35,283,320 of NC_000007.14, read as the reverse complement.
AATAAAATATACCCCTGGCAAAGTGCCTAGCACATAAATAGAGCTCCATAAATGTTAATTGAATCTGAGGTTGTATCTTCTTCCCAGAAGTCTATAAAAAACTAATTAATAATAGTAATTGCAAATGCTTAGTAATTAAATTGCTTTACGAAAACAGTAATATTGAGGCATGCTAATCCAGGCCACACAGATACATAAAGGATTTGTCATCAACAACAATATTTCATAAATTTTATCTCACAGGTTGAAGCCAATTTCAAAACTGGGTAATGAAAAGCCTCTTAGCCAAGGACTCTGTTTCCTCCTGACACGCTGTGGAGGACACCATGCGACACCTTTTTAGGCAAAATGATGAACAACTTGCATATTTCTCTGCCTCCTAGGGAAGTGGAATGTTGGGTCTGTGGCATTTTTGTTAGGATATTTCCAGTTTAGGGACTGTAGTCAGCAGAGAACTTTTTAAAACTTTAATGTTATTCAAGGAAAAGATTCTGCTGTAGTTTTAATCAAAGAGGCATGCTTGGTGAAAAGAGATCAAGCACAGGACACAACAAAAATCCCTGGAGGCTCAGAAACCTATTTGCTCTACAGAGCAGTTCTCTATTGCCCCAATAATGCTGCATGGCAAACTGCCCTGTGCTGCTCAGATCTTCTGCTGAGGGGACTAATGGTCTAAGCTGCTACCCTTCTTTATTCATCCCCAATTTCCCGTGGAGGCCATGCTTCCCCCAGGCTGCTACCAGCCAGAGACTGAGCCCAGTGAGGCCAACATCTGTGATACGCAGGGTTCCTCAGACAGTGACTTCCGCTCAAGGACTACCCATCAGGCTGACCAGAATTTTCCTAGAACTGTGCTACAGTCTGAGACTCTTCTATTCAATCCTTCCTTTCCTCTCTTTCGTCACGGAAATAAGACCTGCATCTCAGGCTGAAGTTTCTCCTCACCTCTCTCTCTTTTTCTGCTTTATCCTCCACAGGCATTTCATCCAAAAAATCTCTTGCACATCTAATTCCATGTTGGCTGGCATCTGCTTCTCAGATGATCTAAATTAACGCTTTCCCCAAAGTTAAATCACTTAAAGCAATAAGCATTGCCTTTTCTTTCCCCAGAGACAGGATGGTGCTCTGCCACCCAGGCTGGAGTGCAGTGACACAATCACTGCTCACCGCTGCCCCAACCTTGCAGGCTCGAGCAATCCTCCTGCCTCAGCCTCCTAAATAGTTGGGATCACAGGCACGCACCACCATATGGCTATTTTTCCTTTTTCTTTTTTGTAGAGATGGGGTCTTACTATGTTGCCCAGGTTAGTCTTGAACTCCTGGGCTCAAGCAGTCCTCCCACGTTGGCCTCCCAAAGTGTTGAGATTATAGGCATGGGCCACCTCACCCAGCCAGCATTTCTTTTTTTTTTTTTTTTTTTTTTTTTGGTAAGTCTATAGGTTGGCTGGGCAGTTGATGTTGGCTGGGCTTGCTCATGCATCACAGTCAGATGGTGGGTCAACTGGGCACAGAATGGTTGTAGATGACCTCAGTTGGGAGACTTCAGCCTTTCTGCATGTGATCTCTCATCCTCTGGTTTGTACACATGGCATTATCTCAAGAGATAGACTATAAGTGCTCAGGCCTCTCAAGATCTGGGCTTGGAACTTACATAAAATTACTTCTACTGCACTCAAGTGGCCAAAACAGGAGGCCAGCCCAGAAATAAGAGTAAGGAAACATCCCACCACTTACTAGGAAGAGCTACAAGGCCACATTGCAAAGGGCATGGCTATAGGGAGGGAATTGCAGCCATTCTTGCAATCAGTTCCTCACACCCCATTTTCTGGCATTATTCCCAAACACGTTGACCATGTCCGTTGCTAATAACTGCCTTGCCCTTTGGAGAACTGTCCAAGTGGACTTGCCCAGTAAGCTTCTCTGGTCTCTTCGCTTGGGCTTGGGTGCTCATCACAGGGGCTAGCCATCTCCTGGGCAGAACTCCCAGCTGATGTAAGCCACGTTAAGTGATAAACACAGCCCTTAGGAGCTGTTTCTAGTGTTCCAGTCTTCCTTGTGGGGAACTTGAAAAGGTTTACTCTGAGTGCAATGAGTCTCTTTCCCGTCTGTTCCCTGTCACCCCGCATCAGTTTCAGGTCAGGAATGCTAAGAGAAAACAGGCCACATTGGCATTTGAACTCAACCTTACTTTCCAGAGGAGCAAACTGACAATTAGGACCAGGACCTGCATCAAAAAAGAGCAACACAGCATGAAGTCTGTCTAATTAGTCATATGAACAGAGAGCTTCCCCTCCACTTCCTCAAGAACATACGCTTGTCAGATCTTGTAAGGGAGGCTTTGCTCCCTGACGTGCTATTGAAAGGGGATTGGGAACAGGTAGTTTCATGTTAATACCATCAGTGCCTCTCTCTGAGCCACAAAATATTCCTCTAAAAATTACTTTCAGATTTTTCGGGGGGCTTCTTGAGTTGCAAAGGAATTTGTGAAGTGAGGCTTTAAATTACACTGCAAAAATGGACCTATGAAGAAAACCGAGCACACTGTTCAAAACCCCAAACTTTTGAATACCTTGTCTCATGTTAATGGGAAACTGAGCAAGATGAAGGATTCAAGACGAAGGCTGGACATGGGCTGCTAATCCTGGGGACTGGATTGTTTAAGCTTCTGCACTTTATATATTTTTTCCCTTAAAAAGTTTAAGTGCCATTAAAGGTCACCAGACCTGTCGTCAGAAAAGATTAGAGAAGATGTCCATGCAGCACCTTGCTGAGGCAGCTCCAGGCATTGCAGAAACAACTCTCCTAGTTTGGAGGGGCCATTGAGACCCAGACCTCAAGGAAGATAAGCTCGGAGTGGGTATGATGATATCTAGTTGCTGCCTCAATTCTCACAGTGGGATGGCTTGGCATTCCACAGTGCGTTTGTGTTTTATTTCTTTCAAGCCTCAGCTTTCTGGGCAAGCCATATCTCTCTCTGCAGGCAGCTCCTGACCCAAGCACATTGTGACCACACGACTGTTACTGCAACTTTAGTCACTAAAGTCACTTATTTTCTTATTTGGAATTCATGCTCATCATGTATAAAATGACTCTCTTTCCTAGAGCCACAAGCAGACAGACACAGTTTATGTTTGCATTAAATTGCTAAGCAGAGATGCATACAGGGTGTCCCATAGTGTGAAGAATGAGAGGCAGAGCATAAGAGTCCCTTCCTCAGGGACCTCCCTTCACTTTCCCAACTCTCTCTTTCACAGCTGGATAAAGCCACTCAATAAAGAAATTCTTGCCTCACCAATTCTAGCTGGCTTTGTGGGTTAGTTAGCTAGGTTGCAAACTCCTAGGAAACCTTCCCAGGCAACATTTCCACACCTTCCCCATGTCTCTAGTGCATAGTACCTTGAGGTGACCATTTCCTTCCATGTCAAATTCACCTGTGGGTCCAGAAGTAGGAGCCTCTGTTGTACCAGCTGTGCAGCCTGGGACACCTGGAGGCAGTCACTACATTTGCCCAAGGAAGGAAAAGAGGGAAGCACAGATACACATATGTGGACCTAATCATTGCTACAAAAGAACAGAAACTGTACACTCTGAAGCTCTTCCATTGCACTGCCCAGATATTTAGTTTTGATGGGGCCACCATGGGCCTGCCCAAAGAGGCTGACTTGCCCAAGTGCTGAAAGGTTCTCCTCTTAAAGTAGCCTGGCAAAAGGGCCTCTTGGGACAACATTAAAATGGAGCTCCAGGGCCTCAGCATGGCTCTCTATACTCCAACCCTGCTGTCTCACCTGCTCCCAGAGAATGGTTTGTGATTGGGATGAAGCTTCTCACAGAGGGGGGTCACACCTGCCACTTCCACTTGCTGGCAAACCCCACACTCACTCCCATCATCTGACTTCAGCCTGTTCTCTCTAAGGTCACCAATTGCCTCCCTAATCTCCAAATCTTTGACTCTTTTCTTTGAGTGTTTGCTGCTAGTAGGCACCCTTGACTGTCTTGAAATGCTCTCTTTCCATTAATGTGTCCTTCCCCTAGGACTCTTTCCCTCAAATGTCTCACCAGCTCATGTGGTTTCCAGCTTTTGTCTCTTTGAGCCTGCCTCTCTGTGTAGTAACTTACTTTAAAATATTTCTGTATGTATGTGTCTATGAGGCATATGCATGTGGTTAGCTAGCAGTTGAAAAGCTCAAATGAAGAATTCACACCCTTAGTGAAGGGAATGGAGTGAGTGCATGACAAACACTTCTAACGTTGTTATTAAACCCACATTAGAGGGAGTACTGTTTTGCACAAGTGCCTTTAAAAATCATTTTAAATCTGTGGAAAAAGTGGCATATAAGATTAATGGTTGGCTAGAGAGATTTTATGGGCTCCACTACCCTTGCAGGGATGAAGTACAATGAACACTTTGGCTGACCCTCAGTTTACCTCTCTGCCCACCCTGCATCCATCTCCACACACATTTAATAGATGACTTTGTTGCCTGCAAAAACAGAGTCCAGAGGGTGGCTGCTCCTAGCATCAGAATATCATTGCATCTACCTCATAAAGAATTTTTTTAGTGCCTAAGGATAGAACAGGGCTTCTCCAAGCTTTCAGGAAAAGCCTTTATAATTGTTTTGCACCTGCTTAAATGTTGAGATAAGCCTATCTGAGACTTTACTTTTGTTGTACCATTTGTACCATACCATCTTAAAGAAGGATGGGGGGAATAAGGAGAGGACTGTAATAGCCTTTTCCCACCACTGATCCACAGAGGTTACCCCAAAACACTGACAACTCTTATTTCTACTCTGTTTATATGGCTTCACTGCAGTACCACTCTAGCTTGTGGTTCATTTATGTACAGATGTTCTGATTAACACACATTCACAAACTTTCATACCACACTTGCCATTTTTCCCACAAATGGCTCTCTATCCTGACTTCATGTTTCTATGCATGGTAAAGCCATTCTTCTATTCAATGAGGTACAAATACTGGGAATTGTCTGGACATTCACCTCTCCACCTTCCCTTCCCTTCCAGACCTCACCCCACTCCCCCAAAAAACATCTTTGTAACCAAAGGTTTGTTAGGCCTTCTTTAGAGACTTCTCCCTCATCTGCTTCTTGTGTGGCCCCACGTCCTGAAATCTAGACCACCAAACAGCCACCCTGTTCCCCACCCACAGTTCCCACTCTGTCTATCCCTCTTTTCACCTGTGCTGGGTTAAAACCCGCAAAGTTCACAACTCTATTCCAACAGGATAAAACTCTCTATAAAACACCTTCCTTCCTTGATTATCTTCAACCTGACTTTTTTGCCTTTTGATGCTTATGTCCTCCTCTAGAATTTCTCCTTATTTCTCTTCACCCATAAATCCTATTTATCTGTCACTTCCAACTTAAGTCCACTTGTGATCTCCCCAGCCTCACTTTTAGAATTTAATCACATTCTACTTTTATATTACTAGGTGTTCAATGATACATCCACCAAGGGCAGGAGCAAAGTCCTACCCTTCTTTCATTTCCAGATGCCTAGTACATCTATCAATTATGTAACATTCACTCAGCAAACTTTTACTGAATACATCCACATGCTGGCACCTGAGGTGCAGCATCTGAGATGGGGTTTGATTTCATGTAACTCATGTAATTCCAGATTTATATAATTCATATTTGTGTTCATATAATTCCTCAAATGCTGACACTGCACAACTCTGGATTATCCAGAGGGCATGCCTTATAGAGTAACAAGTTTCATGCTCTAGGGCTGCTATCATTTTCCTCACTTATTAATAAGCCACTGCTATTCATCTGACAGAGAGGTGGAGGCATTTCACTGTGATGAGTGTCCTGTGGCTAACTTGTCACCACAAATCCAAGAGCCAAGCACATTCAGGAGAACTTCCTTAGCACTAATTTTCTCTCCGCAGCATTTGCAGGATTACATTGACTGTCCTGAGAGAGTATTATTCAAAGGAATGTGAAATAAAAGGAAGGGAAAAATCATGGCAGAAATTCATCCTGAAGCATAGCTGGGCTGCCGCATTATTAGATAGTATCTATAAAACCACAAAGGACATTAATAAAACATTTCAGATACTGTAAAAATATTTCATGTGTATTAAAGAGTATAAACCATAATTATGAATAATATTATGACAATTATTATCATTATTAACGGTTACCATTTATTGTCTTTTGGATGTCGGAGACTGTATATATATTAAATAGTTTTATTCATCACACAACTCTACAAGGTAAGTTCTAGTATCCCCAATGTACGGGTAAGACAACTGAAGTTCAGAGAGACTAAGTAACTGAGTCACAGACTTTCCACAGCTAGCAAGAGAGGGAGCGAGGATTCACACTCTGTTATGTCTGATTTCATGTTCTTTTGAATGTGTTGCTTATCATGGCTAGTTATTGTATTTTTACATTATAGTATGAGGATATATTGAATGTAAGGGTGATCTATCTGGAGCATATATTGCCCTGTTGATTAATAAGATTGATTCATACAAGTAAATTATATTATCACTTAACACAAACTTGTTTTACAAAATACCTTTCTTGACCACCAGAGTTGATTTACATAAGAACATTTTAGATATTATATTCCTTATTTACCAAGATCACGATATTAAGCAAAGTATACCAATCTGCATTAGATCAGTTTATAAGTCACATACGCAAACAATTGATTCCTTTAATTTATAATTATATCTCCTTTTCGATTTATTAAATATGTATTGCTGGTTACAGAAAGAAGGTCTGGATACAAATTAAGTGGACTCATTTTATTAGCAAAACTTGTCTAACTTTTCATCAGAAACTTTAGATATTAAAAGACAACAGAATTGCATTATCATTGATATTCCACTTTCTAATTTCATCCAACATTGCAATGGAATGTTGAATGAAAAAACATACCCTGACCAACCTAGAATTTTACAGTTGGTGGAAATCACCTTCAAAAATAACAATGAAACTGTCACAGTCACGTGAAGACTAAGAATTAGGTTTAAATGTAATGTGATATCCCAGACAGAATCATGGAAGAGAAAAAAACTAAAAGCTGAAGAAATCTGAATAAAACATAGACTCCAGTTAATAACATAATAATGTTTTAATAATGGTTAATTATTTTTAATAAAATTTACCATACTAACATGAGATGTAATAATAGAGGAAACTGGGTATGGTATATTTGAGAACTCTGCACTTTCTTTGCAAGTTTTCTGTAAATCTAAAATCTGTTCTGAAAGCTAAAGTTTGTTTTAAAAAATAAAGATGCCATAAAGACAATGTCAGACAAACAAAAGCTGAAAAAATACATTGTCATCAGACCTGAACTAGAAAATTACTAAAGGAAGTTCTTCAGACTAAAAGAAAGAAACCTCAGATGAAAGCATGGGACTTGGGGGAAGAATTACGAGCACTGGAAAAGGTAAATGTGTAGGAAATTGAAAAATAATGATTGTTTAAAACAATATCAATAATATTGTCTTGGGTCTGTGACACATGTAAAGACAGATCCAGTCTTTGGCTTGAGGGGAAAGCAGGTCCCACTGCCATAAGTATATATTGTAACTCTTTCTTCACACCTTTCCCAAAGGGACCTATGACTACTTAATTTAGTGACAGTGCACCAGGAATGGAAAAAGTAACAATAATACCAAGACCTTTCAGAAGTTATTAGACCTTGAGTTTACATTAATTTCTGGTGACCCAAAATTTCACTGTGGTCCACTGGTCCAAGTGAGAGGTATATGAAAGTTACCCCTAAGGTGATAAATGAAGTTTGGGCCCTAGTCAACCTTAGAATAGACCTAGAGGATCCACCGCTTCACCCATATTGCGTAGTTGGAGGACACATAATACTAGGGAATTGGAGACTATCCTTGTTGGCTCCCTAAATAATGTAAGGGCTATTGTGGTAAGAAGGGCCAAGTTGAAGACCCTGAGACTATCCCTTTCTGCCAAAATAGTAAACCAAAGTAATAGTACATACCTGGAAGACTTGCAGAGATTAATGTCAACATCAAAGAGTTAATAGATGCAGAGATGGTGATTCGTTATACATCCCCATTTTAACCCATCATTTTTTTGGCTTCAGCAAAGGCCAGAGACAGAATGACTCCATTTGGATTGAGATTATCCTTAAATTAATAAAGTGGTGTATTAATTACAATGTAATTCCAGATGTGTGTATACATCTACACTACCCCTGTTGGATGAGCAGTTTGCAAGTATTTTCTCCCATTCAGGATGTTGTGTCTTCATTCTGTTGATTGTTTCTTTTGCTATGCAGGAGCATTTTAGTTCAATATAGTTTCAATGTCTATTTGTTGTGTTGCCTATGCTTTGAGGTCTTAGTGATAAAATATTTGCCTGGACCAATGCCTTTAAGAGTTTTCGCTATGTTTGCTTCTAGTAGTTTTATAATTTTGGGTATTACATTTAAGTCTTTATCCATCTTGAGTTGATTTTTGTATTGGTGAGAGACAGGTCTAGTTTCATTTTTCTGCATACAATTATCCAGTGTTCCCAGTACCATTTATTGTAGAAGATGTCATTTTCCCAGTGAATGTTCATGATGACTTTGTCGAAGATCAATTGGTTGTAAATATGTGTATTTATTTCTGGGTTCTCTATTCTGTTCCATTGGCCAATATGTCTTTTTTTTTTTTTTTTTTTTTTTTTTTTTTTTTTTTTTTACCAATACAATGCTGCTTTTGGTTATTATGGCCCTGCAATATATTTTAAAGTCAGGTAATGTTATGCTTCCAGCTGTGTTCTTTTTGTTCAGGATTATTTTGGCTATTCTGGCTTTTTTGTTCCATATTAACCTTAGGATGATTTGTTTTTTATTTCTCTGAAAAATTATATTGGTATTTTAATAGGGATTGCATTGAATTTAGATTTCTATTTCTATTGGCAATATGATTGTTTTATCATGGGTTGGAAGAATATTCATTCTTGGAATGTCTTTTCATTGGTTTGTGTCATCTATAATTTTGTTCATCAGTGTTTTGTAGTTCTCTTTATAGAGATCTTCCATCTCCTTGGTTAACTGTATTCCTAGATATTTTTTGTAGCTATTGTAACTGGGATTGAGTTCTTTATTACATCAATCACTTGTATTAATCAGTATTTGTGTACAGAAATCTTACTAATTTTTGTACATTGATTTTGCATCCTGAAACTTTATCGAAGTCATTTATCAAATCATATCTAGAAAACTTTTGAAGATGCCTAATATAAGTTTTCTAGGTATAAGATTCTATCATCAGCAAACAGATAATTGACTTCCTCTTTTCCAATTTGGATGTCTTTTATTTCTTTCTCTTGCCTGAGTGCTCTGGCTAAGACTTCCAATACTATGTTAAATAAGAGTGGTGAAAATGGGCATCTTTGTATTGTTACAGTTCTTAGGAGGAATGCTTGCAATTTAGGAGGAATTTTGCCAATTTAGTATGATGTTGGCTGTGAGTATGTTATAAATGGCCTTTATTATGTTGAGGTAGGTTCTTTCTATGTCTAATTTGTTGAGTGTTTTTACCAAGAGATGCTGAATTTTATCAAATGCTTTTTCTGCATCTGTTAAGATGATTGTATTTTTTCCCCTTCATTCTGTTGAATCATGTTTATGATTTATATATTGAACCATCCTTACATCCCTGGTATGAATCCCATTTGATCATGGTGTATTATCTTTTTGATATGCTGTTGGATTTTGGTTTGCTAGTATTTTGTTGAAGATTATTACATCTATGTTCATCAGGAGTATTAGTCTGCAGTTTTCTTTTTTTGTAGTTTCCTTGTCTGGTTTTGGTATCAGAGCAAGACACAATTAGCTTTCACTTGGTAGGAGCAAGAGTATAACTTCACTGTCTTTCCTCAGGGCCATGAGAACTCTCCTGCTCTCCATCATAATATTGTCCACTAGGTCCCTGATCATTTTGACACTCCAGAGAACATCATGCTGCCCCATGATATTGATAATACCAAGTTGACTGGACCTGGCGGGCAATAAGTGTAAGTATCTTAGCTGCCTTAGTAAGACATAGACATTCTAGCAGGTGGAAGATAAATCCCATGAAAATTCATAATTCCTGCCAGTTTCAGATGTTCAGGAACATGCTGGTGAAAAACAGTAGAACATTTTGGTGTAAATGAAAGACAAGTTCATTCACCTTGTTTGGTAGTAAAAATGCTTAGTGGCCATATTTACATCTTGAAGGCAGCAGGTCCCACATTTAAATTTGATGCTTCAAGTCTTTTACTGAGTTACTTGTAAGACTGCTAGTTTTGAGAAGCCTCTTTAGTTTGTCCAAGCTGGAGTGTAAGCTGCTCTGCAATTCAGATCTTCTGAACTTCCAGAGAAAATAATGCTTTAAGTGTCTGTTGCAAATTAGGATGCTATGTGGCCCTTTGGCAAGCCACAATAGAAGGATCCTATACAGATCCTAAATCTTGGAACATAGCCATAGTCCTATTCTGCTGATATATATATTTTTCCTTTTGAAAATAGCTTCTCACTTGCTAATGGGTATTGGAAGAGACTGAATGCTTAAGTATAGGACACAAATGACTATGCTACAGAGCCACTCACATTGAACTGAAGTGTTGTGTATCCCATGAAGCCATAAATTGGGGAGGGCACAAATGTAGTGCACCATTAAGTGGGAATGGTATATATAGATTTGGACTTGAACAGGTCTGGAAAGCTCAAGTAAAATGCTTGAACAGGTAGGTGTCTTAGAGTACCTGGGCACTTTTTCAGTGAATCACCACTTCTTCTTTAGTACATTTTATGGTTGCATGAAGAGTTCCCTATGGCCAGTCATTGAAGGAAGAAAACGCTTGACCCTGGTCTACATATAAATCTGCATGATCAGCTGTTTCCAACTGTGAGTTCCAGCTAAGACATTAATGTTCCACTCTAAGGAGGCCTTACAGACAGTGAAGAAGGGAACTCTCAGTGGAAAAACAAATTTAAGCAGTATATTCTGTTGTTTACTTTGCTTAAGAGATGTCCTGAGGTATAGATCTACACTTATTCAAAGGCAATGGCAATATTGCCCAATTAATCAAAGGCTTAGAAAGAATGAGGTTGACTGCAGGAGGCATATGGGAGAGGTGGTTGCATTACTTAGAATGACTATAGAATATATCACCTGGTGATTCTACACTTTGAAATGAGTAGTCATGGACTTTGAAATGACTGATGGGGCTTTGTGTTTCCCTTTCAAGGATGGGTAAGAGTCATCATTGGTATGAATGATGGAAGCATGCCTGGGAAATAAATGTAGGTAGGAATGTGAGAACAGATGCTGAGTAGCAAAAGAGGCAGATGGTGATGCTCATTTGTTTGCCCTCTGATCCATTTCCCACCCTTCTCCTGCTCTGTTTCATAAGGGGGCAAATTTGGCAGGTTACATTTCCAAGGTTCTCTTTATAAACGGATTCTGGTTAGTTGACCAATGGTGGAGACAGGCAGAAGATCAGGCCACCTGTAGAAGAATTTCTCTCCGTCTCTCTCCAATTAGGACAGCATCTCCAGCAGTGGCTGCTTCTCTGTGCATTCATCTCTAGTCTCATAGCTTTCATTGTCATTCCAGTCCCTGTCACATGGCTCACCTAATTTCTCCAGTTATAGAAGTGATAGAAGCTTCTTGGTATTACTAATCTGGGTTGCCTCCCCATTCCCTATTTGGCTTTTGCCTTTTTCAGTCTCTGTGGCTGGATCCCCATGTTAAATTCCCTCTATTGAGCTATTGTATGAGCTCTGTTTTCCTGACTAGAACATAGCTAAAACATGTAAATATGTTGCTCCTCAGTGAATTCCATTTCTCATGCTGCACAGTAGCCTCAGCTGTGTGCTATGATTCATCAGGGGCAATAGCAACATCAAAACATGTCATTAGTTTAAACTACTATATATTGACATTTTGCCTCTAAATCCTTATCATAGCTAAACTGATGAGTAAAGAAATATATGCCCAACAGGCTTTCTTGGTCAAGTTCTTTCTGGTCAAAAGAATTTATCATCTGCATTTCTGCCATTTTCTTTCCCTGATAGAACCTATACAAGTTATCTATTGCTGTGTAACAAATTATAACAAAACTTAGCAGCTTAAAATAATAAACATTTATTATTTCATACTGTGTCTTAGGGTCAGGAACCTGGGTACAATTTGCCTGGTTGGTTCTAGCTCAGGATCTCTCATGAGGTTGCAGTCAAGCTGATTGGCAAGATTGAAATCATCTAGAAGCTTGACTTGGGCTAGACGATCTGCTTCTAAGCTAGGTTACTGGCAGGAGACTTCCATTTCTAGCCACGTGGGCCTCTGCATAGAGCTGCTCATAATATGGCAGATTGCTTCCCAACAGAGGTAGAGATGAGAGAGGGAGGGAGATATATATACATATATATTGCAGTATTTTATAACCTAATCCTGGAAGTGACATGCCATCATCTCTACTGTATTTATTTATTTATTTATCTATTTATTTTTTGAGATGGAGTCTCGCTCTGTCGCCCAGGCTGGAGCGCAGTGGCGCAATCTTGGCTCACTGCAAGTTCCGCCTCCCGGGTTCATGCCATTCTCCTGCCTCAGCCTCCCGAGTAGCTGGGACAACAGGCGCTCGCCACCACACCCGACTAATTTTTTGTATTTATAGTAGAGACGGGGTTTCACTGTGTTAGCCAGGATGGTCTCAATCTCCTGACCTCGTGATCCACCCGCCTCGGCCTCCCAAAGTGCTGGGATTACAGGCGTGAGCCACCGCGCCCGACCAACCCCTACTGTATTGTTTTGGTCACACAAGCCAATCCTGGTATAATGTAGGGATGAGGAGGCTGCACAAGGATGTCATACCAGGAAGTGAGTTCATTGGAGCTATCTTGGAGGCTGGCAACTACAGAACCTATAATTAGTCATCAAGAAAGATCCATCTCTAAGCCTTTTTGACATTATATATAATTTTTTATATCAAGAAAGCTGAGGCTAGTAGGAGAAAGAGAAATGAAACATGCTTTGATGTCAAAATAGTCATGCAAATTCTGTTAACTAAAGTTTCTATATGCCTATTGTAACCTTCCAAAATATCCTTTGTTAGCATCTGTAATTTTCAAAGGGGAACTTTATATCTGTTATTTCATTTGTGCGTCACAAAAGTGCCATGAACTTTAACTACAATTAATTTTTAAAATACCATGAGGAAGGCTATGCAGATGTTTTTCTCTGCCTCTTACAGATGAAAAAGACTAAGGCTCCCAGACCTACTCAGGTCACTCAGAAGGAGCCAGGAGAATCCCAGTTTTCTGACTCCTAGTCTGGCAGCCTCTTCACTACACTTTGCTACTTTATCTTTTAAATGTAAACAGATTTCAAATTTGTTAGGTTTTTGTTTTAAAACAACACTCCACAAAGGACTCAAGGTGGTTCTATTTATTGGTGTAAAATCACTAATGTAAAATAAGACTCATAATTGGTCTCCTGGATTATCTTTCCAAAGCAACAGTTAAACTGGTTATCTCCCTTTTAAGAGGGCCAGTCTGTGTACTTAGCAAATCCACATAATTTATTCTAAGAGGTCTAAGGGGATTTTCATTTTCAGGTTTCTTTTACTCTGAGGCCTTTTAAGTTAGAAGGCTAATCATTTTGCATTGTGGTTAGCATCAAGTGAAGAATAGAAGGCTCTCTGTACTCGCCATTCCCAGCCCTGACAAGATAGGGGTGTGTGTGTGTAGGAGAATATTACTTTTTTTTGCTATCACCAACTATTTGAGAACATTCAAGATAGTCCTCCCTTTCCAAAGAAAGACTGTCATCATTAAATTCCATCTACTTGACTTTTTCTTTTCCAAATAAATTCTGCTAATTTAAATGAAAATAAAAATGCCTATGAAGACCTCATCTGAAGCAACTAGAACCTAGAATAATGGTAGATTGGTAATTCCTCAACATGCCCTGAACTTCCATGTAACCTCTAAATAAAATGTTTCCCTCCACTCACCTTCTGTCGTGTAAGAAGCAGATGGTCCTTATGGTCCTGGCTTACACAATCAAGTGCACAGATCAATGAGAGAGCTGGCTTTCTGTCATTAACAAGCATAAAAAAAAGAAAACGGGTAGTGCTTTTCCAGTCATGTGATCCACAGCGTCACGAATGTGGTTTGAACAGGGTGTCTGACACATCACACGTCACAGTGCAGATTCCCCACTCAATTAGGGACATGAGTGTTCTATTTCCACAGCTGCTCAATTCTCCATCTTTCCAGGCTCTCAGGCTGTCTGCTCCTTGCTGTAACTGAAACCAAAGTTTTGATTCACATTCTGTAAGCCCCAAGCCCCATGTTCACTAACAGCCCTTCATTCCTCTCTTTCTTAGTTCTAATATAAGAGTTGCATGTTTTTGAAAGGTTAATTCTTCAGAAGTTTTCCACAGTTGGAAATAAAGATAAAAAATCTGAGATAATTGTCCATCAAAGAAAGGACACAATGGGGGGAGGAAGGAAAAAGAAATGAAACAGTAAAAGGGCTTAATGGAGTTTTATAGAAAGGATTGGTTTGCTACTACATGGAGGATATAAAACCCAATCTGTCCTCTTTAAACCTATCTGTACATGAGTAGATCTGGCAGGTCCTAAATGCACAATTCAAATGGGAAAGACGGCATCAATTTGCTTGCAATCAGCATGCCTAAGTCACTGCCTTCATGTAAAGTCAAGATGCTATAAGCAGCATTCATTCTCTGGAGATTAACCAAAAAATAAATAATCCTTCAGCCATAATAATTAGATGATTAATGACTTTTTAAAATATGCTGTTAATTCTTTGTCAAATAAAAGTTACCTGAATCCCATCAGCACCAAGGTTAACTGTCTGGCTAATAATACCCAGTCCTCCATGAATTTGTCATTGAATCTCTGTTAAAGCATCTAGATCAGCCGGGCGTGGTGGCTCACGCCTGTAATCCCAGCACTTTGGGAGGCCAAGACAGGTGGATCATAAGGTCAGAAGTTTGAGACCAGCCTGACCAACATGGTGAAACCCTGTCTCTACTAAAAAAATACAAAAATTAGCCGGGCGTGCTGGCGCAAGCCTGTAATCCCAGCTACGCAGGAGACTGAGGCAGGAGAATCCCTTGAACCCGGGAGGTGGAGGTTGCAGTGAGCCGAGATCGTGCCACTGCACTCCAGCCTGGGTGACAGAGCAAAACTCCATCTCAAAAACAAACAACAAACAACAACAACAACAAAAACAAAATCTAGATCAATGGATCAATGGTTCTCAAAAGAATCAGAGGAGAACTTATTTCACATGCAGATTCTCATCCCCCTGCAAAAATGATTCTAATTCAAGTGGGGGAATGATCAGAGAGGAGATCCTCTGAGGCATTTTACAACAGGATATTAGAAGAGTAAATGAAAAATCCTCCAAATGTGGTCCATGGACCAATAACTCAACATCACCTGAGAACTTGTTGAAATGCAGAATCTCTGGACTGACCCAGACTTAGTCTACATTTTAACAAGATCCCCAGGTGCTTTGCATGTAAATTACAGTTTAAAAGAACCCTTCTAGAGTCAGAGTCAGCAAACATTTTCTGTAAAAGGCCAACTAGTAAATATTTAAATATTTCAGGCTTTGTAGGCCATGTGGTCTCTGTCACAGCTACTCAGCTTTGCCACTGTGTTGCCAAGGCAGGCAATACAACAGGAGTCTGCAAAGCATGGCCCATGCAGGCCAAGTCTGGCCACTCACCTGTTTTTGTGCAGGTTACTAGCCAAGAAATGTTGTTGCATTTTTAAATGGCTGAAAAAACATCAAAAGAAGACTAATACCTTGTAATATTTGAATGTTATATGAAATTTACATTTCTATGTGACAAATTAAATTTTATCAGAACACAGCTATATTCATTTGTTTACATATTGTCTATGGCTGCTTTTATGTTACAAAGACAGAGGCAGACAATAGTGACAGAAATCATATGGCTTGCAAAACCTAAATATTTACTATCCGGCCCTTTAAAGAAAAGGTTTGCCAATCCCTCCCATAAAATTTTATTTTTGGACACTGATGTTTGAATTTTGTATAATTATTATATGTCACAAAATATTAGTCTTCTTTGGATTCTTTTCCTAACCATTAGAGAATGTAAAAATCATTTTTAGCTCTTGAGCGGTACAGAAACAGGCAACATCTGAAGCAACCCATGTTCTGCAAAGGTTCATTTGAGAAATACAATCCAGGTTTCCTGAAAAGAAAAAAAAATATTTTTATGCAAAGTTTCTCAATCTTGGATATGGTTGTCACATTCCAGAGCCTCAGATTCTTCTAAAACGAGTTTGACATTAGATTATCTCTTATTTATTTATTTATTGAGATGGAGTCTCGTTGAGTCACCCAAGCTGGAGTACAGTGGCATGGTCTCAGCTCACTGCAGCCTCTGCCTCCCAGGTTCAAGCGATTGTCCTGCCTCAGCCTCCTGAGTAGCTGGGATTACATGCACGCACCACCACACCTTGCTAATTTTTGTATTTTTAGTAGAGATGGGGTTTCACCATGTTGGCCAGGCTGGTCTCAAACTCCAGGCCTCAGGTGATCCACCCACCTGGGCCTCCCACAGTGCTGGTATTACAGGTGTGAGCCACTGTGCACCCCCCACCCCGCCCCCCCCCCCCACCCTTACTACATTATCTCTGAGATCCCTTTTCGGCACAGACTTTTTCTCTTCCTACCACTTCCCCCACCTTGCTTTAATTCTCAGCCTCCTAATTTCTCTCCTGCTAGCAAAGGGCCATTTAAATTGTTCCGGAAAGAAATAAGGTTTGGAGGACAGAATCTGCTGTGACAAATCCTCACTGACTGCCATTTTTGGTCATTGTGGGGATTTGCATTGTGTCTGTTACTCCAGTCTTTTTTAAATTATGCTGGTGAATAAAGATATTCCTTCCTGCCTTTCCCACCTCCCTTGCACATGCTGGTGAACCACTATCGATGGTCTCCCCAAGGCCACTGTCCCTTCTCTTGTCAACAGTGATCTCATTTCTCCTAAATGAATTCAGCCCTTGTCTGGTCTCAGTCCTGTGGTTTTGGAGGACTTCCCCTGCCCCAGATTCTAGGTGCAGGCACTGATTTGATTTGATCCCAAATCAGGGTCAATAAGATGTAAAGATATATTTCTTGGACTCCTTTCTCTGCATGTGCTTCTGTGAGAGAGAAACTATTTTCTAATGGGTACAAACAAGGAGAAATATGGCCATGAGACCTGCTGAAGCCATCTTGTGACCCCAGAGAGAAGTCTGACTAAAAATAGCACCAACTCCAAGATGCCAGAGATGAGAAATAGAGAGGATTTCCTTTGATCCTTGGATCACATTTCACCTGAAGCTATTTTTAAACTAAGTGGATGGGCCAACAAATTTATTGTGTTATTCAAACCAGATTGAAAATAATTTCTCGCTATTCACAGTATAGAATCCTAATTGATGTACACATTATCTCAACTAACTCCTCTTCCTTAAAAGTTTTGTTTCAAATACTTACATTTTATCTGATCATATGTAAGTGTTGCCCCATTTTCTCCCCTCCAAAAGAGTGAATTCCAGGTGGAGTTCTGTCAAACTTAAAATACAAAGATGACTGTGGTGCAACCCAGATGAGAAGAAGCTCCACCAGAAGTTGAATCCTTGAAGGCAAGCAAGGACAAGACTCCAAATTTTTTTCCCTGCTCAAGGCCAAATAAAACCATGGTGCGAAATTCAGTTTCAGTTCTCAGAGCAGTTTTTCCATCTTCACGATCATCACTAAAAAGCCCAATATGTGTGAGCCACCACACAGGAGAGGTATAGTTGCACAAATTAGGAAACCAGAGGTAGAAAACGAGAGAGCTTTCTGCTTTTCCCAAGGAGTGTTCATGTAGAAGGGCTTATGTCAAGCATTAATTTGAAGTCAGGATTCAAAGACCTGACCAACCGTGTGGCTCTGGACTTGTTACTTCCTGACCTAGGCTTCAATTTGCAATTTCTTCATCCATAAGATGAGAGGTGGGGTGGATTTTACTGACCCTTCTGGTCTTTTCAAACATTCTGAAATGTCTTGGTCCTTGCTCTGTAGCAAGACAAGCTAAGGAGAGTCACCTCAACGGTGCCCTCTATGTAGAGTGTATATGGGGGCAGGGAGTGGGGTGTTGTTGGTAGCTTTTCTGCAGTCATGCATGCTCCTGCAGTATCCATTCTTGAGAGAAACAACAGACTTATCAGAACCAGAAGCCACCTTTTTGGGTTAAGGGTGTGATAAGAAATGATGAAAGTTACAAATTGCAATGTGGTATTTTCTGTGTCATCCCAAAAGCTTCTCAGCAGAGATGGGGAGTTCCTGTTTCTTTTTCTCTAGTCAAGTAAAAAACTAAATGTGGCCAATAGAAAGAATGTAGTGCCATAAGGAAGACTCAGAGTTCAGCAGCCTCTTTTTTTTTTTTTTTTTTTTTTGAGATGGAGTCTTGCTCTGTCACCTAGGCTGGAGTGCAGTGGCACAATCTCGGCTCACTGCAGCCCCCGCCTCCTGGGTTCAAGCAATTCTCCTGCCTCAGCCTCCTGAGTAGCTGGGGCTACAGGTGCTCACTACCATGCCCGGCTAATTTTTGTGTATTTTTAGTAGAGGCGGGGTTTCACCATATCGGTCAGGCTGGTCTTGAACCCCTGACCTCAGACGATCCGCCCACCTTAGCCTCCCAAAGTGCTGGGATTACAGGTGTGAGCCACCACGCCCGGCCAGAGTTCAGCAGCCTCTTAGGGGTGCTTGGTTAAAATGTAAATTCCCCCCACTCTTCACTTCAACTCCTAGGGCCCACAGTCCAGGGTCTCTGGGTGGAGCCAAGAAATACACACAATTCTTAGGTGCATTGGATTCAGATAGACCTTGAATCATGCATTGAAAAATCACTGTCCTAAGAAATGTATTTCTTCAGAATTTTAAGAATAAACAATAGTCATTTCTAATAAATTCTGTTCTAAATACTTACAAAAGTGTGGCTCATTGGATCATCCTTGCAAAGCAGACAGTATTTATTATAAAATAAAATTTATGAAATTTATTTGAAAATGAAACGATGTATATAAAAACCCCTCCTACAGGCTTTGACACACATTAGGTCTCACCAGATGTTAGTTATAGGATATATTTAACAGTTATACAACATAAGAAGTGACCCAAAGGTAAATGACAAGAAGTCATGCTGATTAGCAAATGTACTCAGACCCCTACCAGGTATGGTATCCTCCACCCCTAGGTGCCTCGTTAGATGCAGAGGAATGTTCTGAGGTTTTCTGTCTGTTTTCCTCCCAAGTAGTTGAGTTGCCATCAGTGTCAAAGTATTTTCAGGGTGCAGAAGAGTAGGGGCTAATAGAGCTGGGGGGTAGGAACATAAGAACCTTGGGAGAAAGGCAGACATTAGTTTCAGTCTGTGCTCCACCACATATTTGCTGTGTAATTTACAGTAAGTTACATGACATCTCTGTGCTTAATTTCTTTATCCGTAAAATGAGGAGCATCAGATGACATAATCCAAGTAAGTTGCTTAGGCTACTTCCTGACACATACAAGCTCTTATTATTATAAGTCACTTGCTTTACATGTCAGAAGGAGAGAGTCAATCCAAAAACAGGGCTAGGCTTTCAGGGACACTGGAGAGCTGGAGCCAGTCCTGGCTCAAGCTGAGCATGATAAGAATCCCCAGGCAGTTCATAGGGTTGGGCCCTGTGCCCAGCACATCCCACTTAACGACCATTCACAAACATTCACTACTTAGAAGGTCACTTTAATAATTAGCCCTGCTTTGCTAATTACACTTTACTGATTAGAAGCTATGCTGACAATACTGGAGTTGCTGTGAGTGCTTCTTTCTTTTTTTCCAGACATCTGAAAACAATAGTGACTGATTTTGATGCTGAGCTTTTATCTTTAAGTGGGGCATCAATAGGGCATTGCGCTGGAAATGCAAAGAAAAAAATGGGGACCAGAAGATGCTGTTATGAATCGCACCCCCTTTCCTCTAAGCCTAAACCTGGATGATCTCCCCTTCCTGACATAAATATCCTTTAGGATTAGGAGACAAGTTGCCTGCTTGTAGATCTTTTAAAAGTCTGATGTTGGCCTGGAGCAGTGGCTCATGCCTGTAATCCCAGCACTTTGGGAGGCTGAGGTGGGTGGATCACCTGAGGTCATGAGTTGGAGACCACCTGGCCAACTAGGTGAAACACCGTCTGTATCAAAAGTACGAGAAATTAGGCGGGCGTGGTGGTGTGCGCCTGTAATCCCAGCTACAGGAGAATAACTTGAACCCGGGAGGCAGAGGTGGTAGTGAGCCGACATTGTGCCACTGCACTCCAGCCTGGGCGACAAGGTGAGACACCATCTAAAAAAAAAAAAAAATCTGATGTTTGTGGTTTGCATAAACGTTTTGCTAATAACACACATGGAGAGCCCAATCTGTGCTCAGCATTCTACTGTTCTACTGGCACCGCTGTGAATCGTGCATGACGGTCCAATGAAGTTCTAGTGCTCATCCTTTGAAATGCCTTGCCCAAAGTCACATAGGTAGTGGATGCTGGGGGTGAAACTTGAACCCGGTCAGTTGCGGGGAAAACCAGCAAATCCTTAACCACTGGACCTCTTTGAAACATTTGACCGTGGTCTTTCTCTTCCCTTCCTTTTTAATGAAAAAGGGGGACTTAAAAAAAAAAGCAGATACAATTCTAGTGCGTTGGTAGTAATAACACCATTTAGCGCGCCAGGTCCCTGCATTACACTTCAGATGCCTCATCTTATTTAATGTCTACAACCTCGAGTTATGTATCTATCTGGACCAATTTTACAGATGAGGAAACCGAGATTCAGACAAGTTCAGTGATTTGCTCCAATGGCACAGAAGTTGGTCAGGGTCAGATGGGAAGCTAGAAAATAAAATTCTAATAACTCGTCAGCCTGAGAGTGGCCGGGTAGAGAAGGCCGGAGCCACCAGGCCTGCCTTTCTCATAGCTCCCCAGAAAAGCTGCAGCTGGCCGGGACCGGCGGTGGCCTCAGGACCCAGCCCCCAGCCTGCCCTGTGCTAATGGGGGTAAAGCTCGGCCGGCGCCATCCTGCAAGCCCTGTCTGATAATAGCTCTGATTAAATGGCCGGGCAGCCAAAGGAAGGCCCCCGCCGCCGCCAGCGACACCGTCACCGCGCCGACCAAGCAGGGACCTGCAGCGGCGGGGCTTCTAACTCGGCGTCTGTGTCCCGACCCCACTGCAGCGGCTGGAGCCCAGAGCACTGTCCTGGGTGAGAGGCTGGAGCGCCGCGGGCAGAGCAAAGGTTTTGGTTCTGCCTCCGCCACAGTCAACCGCTTGCAGGGACCCTGATAGCGTTGGCTTGGGAGGGGTCTTTAGAAGTCAGAATCCACTTCTGGATCCTGGCGTACCGCGCAGTAGTCTCCTGGGCTCTGGGCCGCCTTGGTCTCTCCAAGGTAGAGGTCTGGGACCGACGACAGCTGCTAAGGATGGAGTGGGTAAGCGGGATAGAGAACCCACGGATCCCCGACCCCAGTGGCGAGAGCGCGCCTTGCAAGCCTTCGGGCTCGGGGTGTCGGCGTCTCTCCATTGCAGAGGAAAGTGCTTCCCGCCATCGCATCGACCTAACTGGAGCAGCCTGCATCGAGCGCTTGGCCAGCACCTGGCATCATAGAAGACGCGCTCCACATCCCGCCACCGAGCAATCCGCACAGCCTTTCGGAGAGCTCCGGGCCATGGTCACACCCTCCCTCTTCACAACTAGGGAAACTAAGGCTCCGAGCAGCCCAGATAGCCTAGGGTCACACGGCCCGCAGAGGACACAGCTGGCTTCGAACTCTGACAGTCTGCCTACAAAATTTGGGGTAACGCGGGAGGCCATGGGTGCTCCGGTAAGGGGCGCACTGACCTGAGCGCAGGCCAAGTGAAAGCACAGACCTGCACTGAGCGATGCGCGACCCCCCTCACCACCTTCTCCCCCGCCCCGCGGCAGTCTCTGTTGCACCAGAGGAACCTGCAGAATACTAGGTAATTATCTTCAGAAAAGAAAAAATAACATTACAAAGGCCGCCCGGGCCCGTTGTCCACGTGCGGCAGAAAGACCTTTACTTGGCCCGCCTTCTTCTTCCCCTTTGCTCGCCTGGAGAGTGAAGGGCTGGACTTGCGGGTCACAGCTGCCTGTGTTCTTCTAAAGCCCAGAGTCCCTATGGGCCGACAACAAAGAAATGCACATGTTTCTGGGCTCTGGGGCTGCTAATATTATTTACAAACTCACCAAGAAAATCCAGCCCTCTCCTCCGAACAGCTTCTTCTAGAACAGAGATCTGACCAAGTTAGTGCTAGAAACCGAGAATAAGATTAATTGAGGTTAAGATAGAAATGGAGGTGAAGATTGAGAAGTGAACAGGGTTGGGTCACATAGACCAGGGTCGCTTCCCGCTCCACCCTGATTTGAGCAAGTGAGTTCCTTAGCCTTCTGAGCTTCATTTTCTGCAATTTAAAAATGTACACAATAATGGTACCCGACTTATATTATTATCAGCATCATCATATATTTCATGGAAAGCCTCTAGTGCAGTGCCTGGCACATGCTAAGCGTGGCTCAATGCTCTCTGTAATGCACTGAAAAGCTGGCATCAGGGCTTGAAATGTACGCAGACACCCTCAAAGTACATGAGTTAAAGAAGGAAAATCCAGCCCTGAGGCCTGTTGTGGGCCTCCAGCAGTTCTAGCCAGGGCATTCACAGAAAACAGCCCCACTGTCTGTGCATCTGCATAAAGCCGCTCTTCTACTTAGTGGTACACGGTTTTCTTCCCCCACTGCAGAGCTTCTGAGACCAACCTACAGACCCCAGAGAAGGCTGCTTCTCAAACTCCTTGAGCGCAGGGTTGACACTGGGGCTCTTGAACACACCTCCCTGATCAGATCGAATTTATATCATCCCTAAATCGAAAAGGGAGCTTTCCCCAGTTCCAGGGCTGGCAGGCAGTAGTGTCTGTGAAGTCCTCTGCCCTTACACGGAGACATTGTTTCATTTAATTTTCACAACAAACTCTTTGATATAAGGACATATGACTATCAGCAAACATATTTGACAGATGTAAAAACAGAGGCAGCATAGCCTGGTGCTAGACCCCAACATCTTCCTCCACAACTTTTATTCAAGTTGTTTATTTCCATTAAGCCATTACACCCCTACAGTCTAAGAGTTCTTTAGCAAAAATATTGAGGGAAATGTAATGTATGATTGCTATACGGACACTTTTTAAAATACATCTCCCAGCTAGGCTTTGAACACTTGAGGGGCATGGATTATATGCAAATTGTCCAACTCTGTCCCCACTCCCAACAAGCCAGTGCCTGATGAATGAATACCAACAAATGTGAATTTTTCCTTAAGTCTTCATCACAATTTGTACTTCTTGTATTTGTTTATATGTTTATTATCAGTGTTTCCTACCAGACTGTGAGTTGCACAATGCAGGAATTTTAGGGTCCAGATCACTACTCTATTCTACTCCCAGAGCCTAGCACAGTATCCAGCTCAGAGTAGGTGCTGTGTAATGCTGGATGACTGAACAAATCCTCTACATTCGTTATCTTTTATTACACGCATACATCTTTGTTTCCTTGCATACGACATGTTTCAAGTCGTCTGGAGCACGTCGACATTTGGGAATAGGCATCCAAGTGCTTACAGTATGAATTTTGCCACTGTTGGGAGTAAGATGAGGTTCAATCAACTGCTTCTGGAATGACTTACTGTGGGAGCTAGCAGCAGAGACCTTGCGGGGCTGCTTCCTGCCTGGGTCTTCCCCACCTTGATCTCTCAAAACTCCTTACAAAAACAGCTGACTCTGGCTCCCGGAAAGCGAAGGTGAGAGGTGAGTGCAGGATGTGTGGGGATGCTCTAGCAGTCACCAGAGGGGACAGTGCACAGTTGCTGGTGGAAGGCTGGATCATTTTCCCAAGTGAAGCGATTCCAAAGAGAAACTCTCACTTAGTTTGAGTTTGTTTTTAAACACCGGAGGAACTGCGCTCAGGAAGAGCCCTCGGGCAGCCTGTTTGGCTGCAGCGTGCGCCATCCACGCAGGTCCCACGCGTCCGCCCGGGCAGGCCAGGGCACCCAGCCAACAAGACCTTCATCTCGAAGCAGGAAACGTGTCCCTTGTCCGCTTTTCTCCCCCTCTTGGGGTTCCAGGTTAATAGTCCCGTGCGCGATGCAACGGTAGGAACAACGCTTTCGAAGCCACAGATTTGCATTGGAAGCCCGGTTCTACTGCTTATGATCTGTGCAATTTCGATGAAATTCTTAACTTTCCTGACAGGCCCGGGACCGGGGTGAGAACCCACAATTTAGATGTCAACAAACTCAGTTGTCAAGAAAAATATATTTTAATGCAGTAATTCTAAAAGTCAAAATTCATACAAAAATCATGATATACAAAATAAATAGTATACGTCAGCAGCCGGGCCCTTGGGAAGGCGGCGATTGCCCAAGAGGAAGGTTGCAGAAGGAAGGTGGGAGCACGCGTGGAGGAGGAGAAGGAGGGGAAGGAGGAGAAAGGAGGGTGCAGGAGTGTGAGGAGAGTAGGCCTGGCTTCCAAGCCCACAGGATCAGAAGAGATTTTTCTTTTCTGTTTTCTTTTGCAGTTCTTGATCACGCTGCGAGTTTTGCACACAATGTTAGCACGCTGATTCTTCCACTGCCGGGAGGAGGCCCGGGGCTCTGAGGGCCGGTCCCTGCGGTAGTGAGCTCGTGGGGGATGAACGGGGAGCGAGTGGCCGCGGGGAGGAGCGAGAGGGTCGCAGCCCCGAGGGCTGTCCTGTGAGCAGGCTGCGGGGCCTGGCGCGCGGGGACCCGGGGAAGACGCTACAAGGCCTGGAGGCGCCGCGCCTTGGGACCCGGAGGAGGCCCAGGGCGGACACGTGGGGTGGCCTGGGGTCCCCCGCCCACGTAGCGCGGCTGCTGAAACTACATGTGCCCTGGGCTGCCCGCCGCCCTGAGCCTGAGGCCAGGCGGGTCAACGTCGCAGCACCGCGGGCTTCTGCCAGAAGGACATTTCCCCTCACCTCCTGACCACATCGGCCTTGGAGATGGGCGCGAAGCGCCTTACGCCCACAAGACATCCCTTTATCGGCTCTATAGCTGGGCGAGACTGAGGTCTCGGACGGAACGCGCGCACTCACACCCCATCCAGGAACTTCAGTGACACTCAGGGGTGCTGGCTCTTTGCTTTGCCCTTCGAGCAAGACTTGGGTAAGGGCTCCTCGAGCTTTCTGGTGCGGAGGCTTCCTGGGTCGGCCCGAGGCCTGTAGGTTCCCGGCCACTTCTTGCAGCTTGGCTGCGAGGGAGCGCTTCTCCGGGACCACTTTGGCTCGATAAACTAAAACCCGCGGGGTGTTCGTCGGAAGGATCCTGGGAGGCAAGGCTCAGACCCGCCCTCCCGACTCGCGGTGAAATCCAAGGCCGCGCCGCGCGCTCCCCACGGGGCACGGAGCCGCGCGCTGCTCTCGGCGCGCCCCGGGAACGCGCCGCAGCGGCCTTGGAGGGGCTGCAGTTCCTCTTCTCACTGTTCTTGGGAAGTCTTTCCTTTTCCGTAAACCTAATTTAGGAATCCAAAGGCACCGAAGCCCGTTAATGTCGCTTTTAAAGTGTCTACCAGAAAGAGCTGGAGGGAGGCTGTGGACAGGAATCTCCGGCCATGTTCGGGAGTAGACAGATGCCCTTGTGCTGAGAAGCGGGTCTCCCTTCTCCCATTCTCTCCTGCCGCCAACGGTGGCTGCCAGGCTGTGCCCTCCGCTTGGCACCCTGCCCCGCCGTCTCGGCTCTGCTCTCGACCACGGCGCCTGCGGACGGTTGGTTAGACCTGCCGGGACCGGTCCCTGCAGCTCCCAGCTAAGGGAGCATTCGTTAGCATTCGTTAAGCGAGGGACCATTGTCCAAAAGCCGGAAACCGATTACTTCCTGGACAGTTTTGGGGGTCGACTGTCTTCTGAGTTCCGGGAGCTACAAATGAGAATTTGAAAGAGTGGTGTATATAAGGAGACATCTTCCAGTCTTCCATATAATCAAATTCCATATAAACAAACTCAGATGTATAACAAAATTTTACATTCTTAGGCGCCAAAGTTTAAACGGGATGTAAATAACAATCCAATACCCTCCTGTGGCCCCAATGCTCTTTGTACATTCCAAAACTATCTACATTATATATGAGCACCCGAGAGACATGTTTCTCCAATCGCGAATTTGCAGTTCAAAATTAAATATGATTAAAATTCTGTATTATGCTTTACTTATGTTGGGTTTATTGTGAGTGTTAGGCTTTTTATACACATTAGGGCATTAATCCAAAGAGCTATCTTCCAGGTAGGAATGAACTATTGGCCCTATTCTAACGCAGATGAAGAAACTGAAGCTTTGAGAGGTTTAGTAACCTACACAAAGTCTCCGGGCTAATGCGTGTGTTAAAGTTAACATTAAGACTTCAGCAGCTTCCGCTGCCAGCAGTCAGCCTGAGAAGGGCCTAGAGAGATGTGTTAACGTGCTTGTTTTGTTCCAACCCCCGGGTGGTTTTACCTGTTAACCTGCGCTATCAGTGGCGTTTTGAAGGGACCTCAGAACTCCCCACTCTCCGCTTTGGGAAGGCTTTGAATCATCCTTCGACAGCACCTCTCTGCCCAGAACCGGTTCCCCGTTTTTATGGCATCATATTGATTTGCAAAGGCAATAAATCTAGGAGGAGGGACGGTGTGCCCCCGATAATAATGTTGCAGCATATGTTTTACTGCCGAGGTTTCAACACCAACAAGATGCATAGCCTAGAGATCCCCAAACGGGTCACCCGGATTTGTTTAAAGTGGCCTTTTCAATACCTCTCGTTTGCCGCCTGCCTCCTAACGATCACTCATCTTTTCTTGTATAGTATTTTACCTGTAGTAGGATGCGCAGTCGGGGTTTCCTGCACACAAGAGACACAGAGCTGGGCTAAGGCCGCGTAGGCACTTGGAAAGGAGGAGGAAACAGATTTGTGGCAATTCAGTTTTTCCCTTGCTTCATCAAATTTTCTGAAAATGTTCCTCTCATGATATTATTCATATTCCAGTCAAAATCATTGAGGTAATTAAGAAAAGACACAGTTGTTTTCCTCTGTGTAGAAAAACAATCAAAAGGGTTTTTTTATGAAGTATAATTTTGCGGCAAGTTTTTGAAAACTAAATTCAGCTAACAAGGTTTGCCACACCCTGTTGAAGCATATATCAAGGTCTAGACTAACCATAACATTCCCCGACCTTCCAAAATCCCCACTTCTTGAGGGAAATCTTTCTTTCTGGACAAATCCTAAGCATTTGATATAGGAAAGGAATCAGTGTGTGCCTTCCACTCAATACAAAGAAATGTCACTTACATTGAGAAGGTGTGTCTGGGGAGAGACAGGTTGGGGCGGGGGACTTTAATAACCAAAAAAGGGGTCTGGATTGGGTCTGGGTTGTCCAAAACCAGCAAAAAATTTAAGAATAGAAACGGATCCTCAGATGCATCCTGCGGTTTAATCTGAAAGCCCTCTGCTTGCCAGCCGTCGTTAACTCTACTCTGGCTCTTCAGCTAACAGCCCAGCCACAGCTGCAGGGCCAGGGGCTGATGAGGGTCGGGGCCCGGAGTGTGAGTCCTGCCCTTCCGTCTGCTTCTAGCCGCTGAGGTGGACTGGGGGGAGATGCGCGCTCTGCCACGTCGGGCCCTGTTTTTCTCTCTCAAACGCACATGGAGACCGGCTAGAAGACAGCGTAAATTCCTTCCAGCACCAAAGTCTATGGTTTTACGAATTTCCTCAAACATTTATAAATCGACACTTCGAACTTCGATAGTGATATGAGAATGCATTTTTTAGTCACCTTCATCCAGCACCTTGTTAAAAACTATTGACACACGATGACCAAGACAGGCTGAAATCACGACTCTTCCAGATGTCATCATTTTGTTCACACAAACGTTTTCGACAGCTATTTTAACTTGCCGTTTTCCCTCACAAATTTATTTCAGGAGTAGGGGGTGGTGCAGTGAAAAGTTGGAGTTTTAAAAATTATTATTATTATTTTAATTTTAAGACCCACGAAGAGGCTTCTAATAGCCAGACCGACTGGCTGGAAAAGAGAACAAATATTTACATATACAGCTTGAGTGTGTATGTCAGCCTGAGTTTACACGGCTCCAAGCGAAGCGGATTACCCTGCGAATTCGGAGAATTTGAGTTATTCAGGCTGAGCAGGGCTAACAGGACGCCCTCCAACAAGGCCGTGGGAAGTCCTCGTCACAGCCGCCTTTGTAAAACCAGAGGGGTCTGTGTCCGCTTAGTCCGGGCGCTACCATAAGGTTCGCACTCTCCCACTACGCGTCGCGTGGTTACCGTAGAGCTCCGCGCCCTGACCTTCGCCTTCTCTTCGGCAGCCGTCCCATTTTCCAGGGTCCCTCTAGGGAAAATAGGAGCCCCAGGCTAGAGACGCACTGGTGAGGAGCAGAAGCCACGGTTCTGAGAGCAGCATCCTTTGCCAAATGCCCGCAGCTCTCGCTAAGCTTATCTTTTTCAGGGCTGCATTTGCTCAGCCCCACTGTCAAAGAGATCAAATTTGGGACCATCGAATGAGAGTCCCAGCCCTGGGATCTGCCCCGAGTATGGACCTGGCCAGTTGGCGCCGGCTCAGAGGCGCCGGATTCTACTGAGCGCTTCCCTACTTTCTTTTGGAACTTTGAGCGCAGGTAAGAAAAAGAATGGAAAAAGCGAGAACTCCCGAGGCTTCCACTGGTCTGGTCATAGCTTCCCCAACTGGGCCATGCCCGGATCTCGGGCGTTAGGCCGCGGTGATGTGTCCTCTCCCGACAGCGCGCACCGCCCTCCCGCCCGGGGCTGTGAGACCAGGTGGGGATGTCCATGGCTGCTGCGTCAGCCTAGTGGTGGCACCCTTTTCCCTGAACCTGTGCTGGGGTACCGAACAGCCGGGGCGACAGGCCACGCGGGCGCCGCACCCTGGGCGCGCCCTCCGCGCCCGGCCCGCGGCCCCGCCCCCGGCGGCGGAATCAGGAAGCGGTGACGTGAGACGGCGCTGACTGGCTGCGGGCCTCCGGGATCGCCGCCGCCAGCAAATTAAGGCGCAGGGCAGCGAGCGCCAGGGCTCACTGTCCGTAGTTCCGCGCCGCGCTCCCCACGCCAGCGTCCTAGCAGCCGCGCTCGGCTGGTGGCCACCTCAGCCTGGGACATCCCGGCTGTCCCCAGCCCCAGAGGGAGGAAGGACGCGGAGGGGATGCTCCAGGACCCCAGGACTTTGTGCAGTTGATGCTCGTTTCCGCCTTCGGGCTGTGCAGACTGTCGTCCTGCCGAGCGCCCCGGGGCGTGCGCACCCGCCGTAGTGCTCGGTGGGCCCTCTCCTCTCCGGCTGCCTTCGAAGTCTCTGCGGCTCTGGGGCTTTGCGGTGGGGAATAGAGGCCAGTGTGCAGCTCTGGAGTCGTTGGAGCTGACACTTCTGGAGTCCCTGGCCCCGCTGTGACTGCTCTCGGAAACTTTGAGCTGTGTTTCGGGTCTTTGTCTCCCTTGGGGAATCTGGACGGCAGTTCGGACGACCCCGTCCCTGGCCAGGACCGCGTGCTGGGGACCATGGAGTTCACGGCGTCCCCCAAGCCCCAACTCTCCTCTCGGGCCAACGCCTTCTCCATTGCCGCGCTCATGTCGAGCGGCGGCTCTAAGGAGAAGGAGGCGACGGAGAACACAATCAAACCCCTGGGTAAGTTGGGCTACCCGGCTGTCCGCCGAGGACTGGGGATGCTGCGCATCCGTCTGTGCCCCTGGCTGCAGGCGGCTCGCAGCAACGTCTGATGCTCAAGCCATGAGCCATACATCGCGGGTGGGAGATCTTTTTCTTTTGGGTCCAAGTTTTCTTTGGAGGCTTCAGTCTGTTGAATGCTGTGAATGTGCATCTTATATCTGGGCCCGTCGGTCTCCTAAGTTGTCTAGAATCCATATATCAGATCAGACATATGGTGTGTGTGTATGTTTGTTGGGTTAAAAACATTCATGGAAAAATAATAATAAAACCCCTTTTAAGGCTCAACAGGATTTACTGTGCATGTAACACCTGCTTGTGCGTTTGAAACGGAGACGCTAAAGGACTTCATAAGAAACCAGTTTAATTTTGGTTTTCCTCTGACTTGAATAGACAAAACAGAGCAAGCTCTTTGAAACCACTGTAAAGCAGAATAAGCCAGTTCTCCCTACACGAACCATTTTATTCACTGAAGCTCTAGACTTATCACCAAGACATCATTTTATAACTGTCGTCATTTTCAGTTGAGGTTGGCAAAAACACTAACCAGTAACCATTTCTCAAATTCCTCTACTTTTAGTTATGTTGTTTGTTTAACAACCTTTACCATTTATAGAAGACACTAGGCTAGGAGTAAAGGGAGAACAGGGATTATGTTCTTCTTAACACTAGTGAATTACATGGAAAAGAACCACCCCAAGATAAATATTTAAGAATCTCTTTACAACTGAGGGAAAAAGAAGTGTTCTCATCATTGCCTCGTGGATCCCCAGGAAATAATTGTTACACAGCCTGATCGTCTGGTATCACTACAATGTGAAAATCAGATAGCAAACTTAAGTTAATTTTTCTTTTTTAACCCTCCCCAATTTTTCCTTTCTTCTCTCTGTCCTTCCCACACTTAACATATCACATCCAAAATAATGATAACATGAAAAAAAGGAAGTGTTAGAGATCAAAAATAAGGTGTTTGGGCTTAAAGATGAGAGAAGTAAAATTCCTGTAGCTACTTGAAACCAAGGAAAAAGAAACTAGTAGATCTGTAGAAAACAGAATGTCAAAAAAAAAAAAAAATCTGTCCTCTAAGTTTTCACCCCCTTCCCCTGGTTCTTCCCACCCACCTCCCATCTAAATCTAAACCTGCCAAAGAATGGAGACAATCAATCAAACAAAATCCAATTGTTTAGAAAAATATAACTAACAATTTCAAAGTTATATTGTGCGACTTCTCAACATTATACATTGCTGTTTAGGGGCCCCTGAATTCTTTGTAAACATCTCAGCTTGTTACATAGCAGGAAAAGAGGATTCCCGACAGAAGTGTAGACAGCAAATTGGGAAACATGCCAGCCCCAGCTGCACTGTCATTTCAACATTGCTTCCTTCTCTCTTTATTTTTCTGAGAAAAGCCACCTTATATCGAAAATTCTAAATCTTGAACTTTAAAGCCATGCCCAGCTCACAACTCCAACCCTACCCCCATGCCCACACACACATATAGGCACTAGTATAAAATGCATGTCCCTCTCCTGGCTTTTGAGATGGGCTCTGAAAGAACTAGCAGGCGTTCTTGTCGCTTACACTGGCCAGTTCAACAGAGGTGACTGCAAGCCAAGGACTCTATCAAGAGAAACACCTAAAAGTTCTGTTAAGAGAGAATGTGGGACTTTTGTTGAAGCAAACTATAGAGTGGGGAGGGGGATTCCAGTGTGTCCCAGGATTGCCCTTTTAAACATACAAAGTCTATTTAAAGGAACAGCTTCAGTCTGCTGAAGCATTTCTATTTCATTTTCTTCCTCTCCTACTTCCCATCCTGATGCATTGGTCAGTCTGGGGCTTAGGGAGTTTGCCTCTTTCAGTTGTCAGAAAAAAAAGTCATTAACACTACTTCTTAATTCCCTCCGAAGACATTATGTGAATGTGTTTCTGAAAATATTAGTAGAAAATAAGATTTTGTTATGGTATGGTTTCCTTTCGTTAATCTGAAAAAAATCAGGATGGCATTTAATTTGATTATTCTTAAGTTAAAACATTTTCATGGGTTGGATTATCATTGCATGAGAAGTAAAAGTAAAACCACTCTGTTTCCTGTTTTCTTCATGTACGGATGTGTAGGAAATAAAACACCTTATGATCTGTGCGTGTCCCATATGCCCACACACATCATGTACATGTACATACATACATTTAGAACTGGCTTTGATTTCTTGAGGGCACTTAAGAGATCAACTTCACATTGCAAATTCAAGTAGTTTCTTTTTTAAGGGATGGAAGATAATTGGGACAATTACAGAAGTCTCCCTGTATTCCATCAAAGTGACTGGTGTAGTCCCAGGCCCTTATCAGCTGTGGGGGAGAATGTTTGGTTCATAGGCAGCAGTATTCCAACCTGGTGGTGGATGGCAGAGCATTCTTCTCACTTTAATACACTGCTGGTCTGGATTTGAGGTTGTTGTCCTCACTTCTAGGACCTTTCTGGGAGAAAGAAAAATTTTATACCTCACCCCTCAAGTAATTGTTCTAAGCCTCTTCTGAAAATGGCCCACAGAACCTGCTCCTGTGATTTAGCAAGCTGTATGCTAGCATCTTTCATAAGATCTCAGGCTGGGAAGAATATTATAAAAATGTTCTAACTCTCATCATAAAGCCTAGAAAACTGAAAGTCAGGCACAGAGGTGAAGTAACTGATTTTTTGTAAACCACATTCCCCATTTTTCTTTTACCCTCCTATCCTCCTTTCCTTTTCTCTTATGGAGAGAGGGCTCCAGGAAGGAAGGAAAGTTCCTCTCCAGGTGAGGAAGGTGCTGATCTCTTCACTCCCTTTGTCTCCGTTGAGAAAAAGTTCTCCTGGTTGTCAAAGAGGCAGGACTGGCATCAGTTCCATGAGCTACGAAGTCTAGAATTTGGGAGGGGTGACAATAGGAATATTTGCTTTTCATCCCTCATGATCATCACCCTTCCCTTCTTCCACTCTTACATTTTTATTTCCCAAAGTGGGCTGCAGTACTGGTGGTGAAAAGCAGTCATTCTAGAACTCACTAGCTTGGTCAGGAAACACTGGGCATGCTACTCCGTGGGAATCCCAGGTAATTTTATACAGTGATGATGGGTCATCCCTACAGCCTGCCTGGAGTTTCTGAGCTTAACTTTTCCTGAGTCAAATCCAAGTGACCATTTGGTTATGCTGTTCTTTCCAGATCTTTCCTTGTTGAACAGTGTCAGCTGTCATTCACAATTCTCTTTACCTCCAGAGCAATTTGTGGAGAAGTCGTCCTGTGCCCAGCCCCTGGGTGAGCTGACCAGCCTGGATGCTCATGGGGAGTTTGGTGGAGGCAGTGGCAGCAGCCCGTCCTCCTCCTCTCTGTGCACTGAGCCACTGATCCCCACCACCCCCATCATCCCCAGTGAGGAAATGGCCAAAATTGCCTGCAGCCTGGAGACCAAGGAGCTTTGGGACAAATTCCATGAGCTGGGCACCGAGATGATCATCACCAAGTCGGGCAGGTAGTTGGGACTTGGGGGTTGGGGGTTGGGGGTGGAGAGTCAGGACACTCCCTGGGTAGTTGAGGGTGCTTCCAGGAACTAGATGAGAGCTGGCTGGTCATGGAGCGGAGAGACAGCTTGGCTCCAGGGCAGCTGCTTTCCACCAGCTTGCATTAGGAGCTACAGGATGTCTAGTCATTTGCGTTCTCAGGATTTGGTCATGGGAAGCCCCACCCTGGCTTTGTTGAGAAGGGCACAGGGACCAGGGAGACACACTAACCCCGAAGGGTGTGGTCTGCTTTCCCTGGAGCTGGAGAAGGTTTGGCGGGTGGAGGGTCGGGATCTGGAAGGAGGAGGAATTTGTGCCTGGGTGCCTGGTGAGCTGCTGGGTGCTTCTAGGTAGGTGAGTAGCTTCCCTTTTATCAGCCTCAATTTGCAAAAGCTGCCAGCTCCCATTAAAAACTAAAATTAAAACCTGGGCGGAAGAATGAAATTTGAAACGATAAAATTCCCTGTAGGAAGGAGCACTGCTCGGGGCCTCTTGGCGCCAGAGCCGGGCGGGCTTTGGCCAGGCAGGAAGCTGCAGGGCTGCAGGGAGGTTGGGATGGGGCAGAGGCTGGCAAAACTTGGTGGCTCTAGCTCTTGGGACTACAGAAAATACCTGCAGGGCATCTGAGAAATCCTTCCCAGAAACCTCTGCTTTTGGCTTTTATTTTGCAAGAGCAGAGTTTTCTGGCTGGGATGCGGGTGAGTTGTGTGACTGGGTCAGCTCCAGGGACTTCGGGTCCTGGGACACTTAATGTGCTTGATCGTTAAAATGCATGGGATTTTCCCTAATCACAGACCTTCTGGAGTTAACACATACCCCCACCCCCACCCCCACCTTTTCACCTAGCAATTAACACCTGCTTAAAGGTGACACTTAAAATTATCTAGGCTTGGAAGAAAACCCTGTCTCTGTATTCACTTCTCTGAGGCTTTAAACAAAACAAAAGAGGGGTTTGTGGACCGGATAGAGAGGGGAGTCAGACCCTTTCCCTCCTTCCCTCCCTCCCTTCCTCTCTTCCTAATTCAGGTCAGTTTATTAGGCAGCATAAACAGGGCCCATTCTCTCTCTCTCTCTCTGTCAGGAGGATGTTTCCAACCATCCGGGTGTCCTTTTCGGGGGTGGATCCTGAGGCCAAGTACATAGTCCTGATGGACATCGTCCCTGTGGACAACAAGAGGTACCGCTACGCCTACCACCGGTCCTCCTGGCTGGTGGCTGGCAAGGCCGACCCGCCGTTGCCAGCCAGGTTCGTGCCTCCAGATTTTTCACTGAGAAAACTGTTAGTGCATCTGTCAGAATGTTTCTGGCTTGTGTGAATTTTAAGCAAGTGTATTTTTAAAGCAGCGGGCTCTGGCAAGAGAGCATTCCAAGCCTGGACACTCCAGGATTGACTACACAAAACATGGGCTAGGCTCTGAGAAAGGTAGTTTGTGCATAGAGAAAACACTGTCTTTAAGTTTATGTTTCGTTAGGCAGTAATTCATTTCAAAGTTTTTCTTAAATTTCAATTTGAGTATTCATTAGAAATGTGGACCCATTTTGTATAAATATAAATATAGACATCCTCTCTAATTGCTGCTTAAAACCAGAGTGAATAAACCTACTGATGAAATGGTTGTCCTAAAATCCTTTTTAGAAGAGTGTATTTTAGTAAAATCGTTGCTTACAGTAAGTATTTGTTAATCATATGGTTATAACTGCATATAATAAACAACATTTAGGTAAAATTCAGTTGTTTTTGACCAATAAAGGTTCAGAGATTTTTAAGTAAAAAAATAAAGCCAAGTCTTATTTTCTCCCTTTATAATTTTAGTGGATGAATGTAATTCAATAACTGGTTCTTTTACATGAAACATTCCTCAGTTAACATATTAGGGATCATGCATATTTACTCTTGTGAAATTCATTGCTAATAATACAGTTTTTCCAGGAGTACCATCCTTAAAAAAGCACATGCAAACCTTTACTGTTATTATTTTAACTAAATGAGAGTTCTAACAGGAAAACATATACTTGCTTATATGAAGAATAATAGATGAAGTTACAGGAATGTAACTGCCTACTTTAATACAAAACAAAACATATTAGCTGACTTTATGTTTGGGATTTTAAAACCCAGCCTCATAGCTTTTCTTTAATGACTAATTTTTGTTGTTTATGTTTAATGACTAATTTTTGTTGTTTAATGACTAATTTTTTGTGATTGATTGAAAGTTTGTATCAGAGCTAAGAACTTATTTAAATGTACAGATTTGGGAACTGTTAAGTTACGGCTGGTACTTTGTGTCTAGTCTGGAGTCATAGTCAAGGCAGAGAATCAACAGACAATTACACATATGGTTCAGATAGAATATTCAGCTTAATTAGTAGTTTATTATATTATTGAGTTTATCGTATGCTAAGTGCACTAGAAAAGAGATTAAAAGCAATCTCTCAGAGTTTTCCATTCTCGGAAGAGACCAGAAAGGGCGTCTTCCCAGCCCTTTCAAATCAGTATATTAAATAACAGTCAAGACTAAGAAAATCTAAAAAACAATTGCTATTAGTTTTTTTTTAGTTGAGCAAGATTCACCAGTTTATAATAGATATTAAAATTAATAAAATTAGTGTTCTCTTCTATTTACTGTTAAATAGTTTACTATTATTCTTTAGCTACCTTCCAAACTTTTCAATACCGTTTTAAACCTGAGAGAGTATTTTGGCAGATTCCTAACCATTTTCTACAAGCAAACCCTCTTTTTTTTTTTTTTTTTTTTTGCCCTCCAGTCTTTCCTCTAAGAAGTTAATCACTCTTATTAAACATACATTTTCTTCCTATCTGAAGGTATGGGGAGCTGATGCAGGCCAGCAGGACTTTGGAAATATGACATGCCTTGTTTATGTTACTAATCTGTTCTGGTTGGAGAAAAAAAGTGTGTACCAATACACTATCTTAACTGAAGCATGTTTAAGCTATTGCTGGAATTTTAAGTCTCTGGGGGACTTGAGAGGAGGGGCTTCCTGTATATTTTTTCATTAATCCTAGTTCAGCTTTTTTAGATTGATATTAAATAAAAATGTTTAGCTTATTATGGGATAAAAAATAGATAATTTAGCAACTATTCTTTATTATTATTAAAATAAATAGTTTGCTACTTATCTATCTCCATAAGAGAAAAACGAAGAACTTGGGAGATGATAATTTTTATACTGATGGCAAAAATTTCCCATGGTTTTAGGACTTTGAAGCATTTTAGTTCAGGCTGAAGTTCATTGGTCAGTCATTCCTAATCGGAAGAAATAATGCTTGACAGTATCACTTGATTGTAATAATAAGCAAGATATTACTTATGATCTAAAATAATGTTACCTTTTCATATAGGACATCTCCTTTTCTTTAAAGTACATAATATTTAATTACATTAATATTTTATTAATAGCCATTACATGTGGTGAATGTGATCCTTAGAGAGGGAACATTTCATCAACTTTAGGACTTTAAATAATTTTGGACTTTTTTAGAGGGAGGAATGTGGTTCTGATCAGTAAAACAATTGCACCTATAAAGCTACAGTCTTGGAAGGATGGTACTTGAAAAGTGGTTGTGTTATCAAAGAATAATTGAAAGGCAACTGTGAGCAATCCTCCTAAAAACAGTGGAATTAACAGGCAGACAAATGCCTGAAGCCTTTACAGTTCCTCTGTAGGTCTGGTAAGAGTCTTTGGTGCTGTCAACCTTTTTTGTGCATTGCTCCTGGTGGGCTTTGTAAGTTTCAGCATTTGTACAGAATTCTTCTATTCGTAGTCCTCTGTGTGACAAACCATGGAACAGATTTCTTGTTCTTTACATGAATAATGCAAGAAAAATTTTATGACTTCTTATCCCTTGCTTTTGCCCTAGTAAAAATATTTATGTTTAATTGTAGTTATAAGGATCCTATATAAAATTTAGGTGTAAATAACCTTTTACGTGGATAAAGGAATTTGTCCTATTAAATCAAGGATTTTGCTTCCCCTTCATTAGTTCTGTAGTCTCTCTCTGACTTCAGAAAGACTTAAGTCAAGAAGATACCAGGATGGGGACTTACAAAGAGCTGCATTTAAGGCGTTGTCACAGGTAGAAAAAGTGACCTGCATTTAACTGTGAGTGCGTAAAAGATGTGAGAGCTTTTTTTTGGCTTACACTGTTTACAGATAAATAAATTGAATAATGTGAAGTGTGTCTAGCTTGTTTTAACTCTCATTTAGTGAGCACATAAACAGATAATGATGAAAGCAGTAGTGTTTAATGTAACAGGAAGAACAGAATCCTAGCTGATCGGTGGACTACTGGGAGTTCTCCATGTCCCTATATTAAAATTGCTCCATCTTATATTTACAAAGAACACAAACTTTAAAACTTTAAGTTTAAATAAATGGATTCTCTAAAATTATTTTCTCTTTTAAATTATTTATGTTTTCACTGTTATTTAAGAGATGTTTATAATAGGAACTCATGCGATTAGTGTAAGCTAGTTTTTCTTTTGAAAGCACCTTCAACAAGAAGATTTTGCGTTTGATCGAAGCAGACCAGTAGTTGACTAGATAGATGAAAACACACACACACACACACACACACACACACCCCTTTAAACAATGCCTTGCTCAGCTTTTAATAGAAAATTTGTTAAGTATTATCTCATTTAGATAATTGGTACATGAAGAAATAATTAGACATTTTTCAGTTGTTTTGACATTGCAATAGTAATAAATTTGAGGTATATAGGGCAATAAAATTTCCCACTTATATATGGTTTATGTGTTCCCTTAGAATTAGAACATTTTATAACCTACAGAGACAGACTTTTTAAAGAAGTCTCAATAAAGTTTTCTCCTAATTTTCTTAGGCTCTATGTGCATCCAGATTCTCCTTTTACCGGTGAGCAACTACTCAAACAGATGGTGTCTTTTGAAAAGGTGAAACTCACCAACAATGAACTGGATCAACATGGCCATGTAAGTACCATGCCTTGGACTGTGCAGGTTCCCTGAGGTAGAATGGACAGGTCGCACAAAACTGTCTCTCTCTGAGTCCCTTCCTGCCTTCCCTATCCCCTTCCCACCTTCTATCTCTGAGTCATTTTATGGGAACATTTATGTGTTCTTCAGGGGACCTTGACTGATTTTGTAATAGGTCATTTACGGGAATGCTGTGTGCCATTTCTATGCAAGAAGGTCAGGGATCTTCTGTTCCATGGAATTCCTAAGGCTTCTGAAATTGCTGTACCACCCGAGCCAACTAAACTAAGGGAATATACATTTTTGGAGGCTGCTACAGCCTGTTGTTGGGTTAAGCATCTAATTTCTGTCAGCAGCATAGCAGATAATAAAACTTAGAGAGAATAGGGCTAGGACCTCTGATGGGGGTTTCCCAAAGTGTAGTCTATAGAACATATGTATGTGAGATGAAATAACAAAAGGATTTTATGTCCAAATCAGTTTGGGAAAGTGCTGTTTACTCATTATGTAACCATTTTTTTTTGGAGAGTTTCATGAATATTAAAGCATAAAGAAGCCCTGTAATTAAAAACAAAACAATTTGATTTTGTGTCAGTATAAAGTTTATGAAAATGTGGAAAAAAGAAAAATTAACTCTGTGTTCTTATCAGTAGTTTAATAGAACAAATAGTCAATGATGCAGGTCCTTACATATTTGATAAAATGCCTTTTTAAGGCATTGCTGGGATGTTACTTCATGCTGTTAAATAAAGATACACATAAAAATTCTGTCTTAGATTTTATGCTAAGAAAACTTTAGATGGACTTCCATAATTTTTTTCTTCTTTTAATAATTTTTAATTGATACATAATAATTGTACATATTTATGGGGTACATGTGATATTTGGATACATATATACAATGTGTAAGGATCAAATCTATGCAATTTAGAGGAAGTGTTTGAAGACCTTTCTCAACAAAGATGGTCATAAGGAGATAATAAGAAAGTTCTAGGTTTGGTTTCATATGGTTGGATTAAACCTGGAACTAAATAAATCACTTTAGGCGCTAGCACTATCCCTCTGCCCACAGGAGACTGTGTTTATTACAACCAAGTCAGGGTACCCACTTAACTCACGACTCTACTGGTGGTGCTGTTGGGATATTGGAAGTAACTTAATATGCTTCTGTTTTTTTGTGTATTGAAAAAGAAAGATAGTTGATCTTTATCTTTAAGGTTATTGGCATAATTTTCTTTTGTTTTTTTTAACATGCTTCCACTGATAAATTTTTTTTCAGTTTAGAATTTATGAAGTATGGAGTGATTTTTTTGTAGGTCAGTGATCATTCTTAATGTCATTTATATTAAAATTTCTTGAACTTTAATGGAAATTTTTGCAGGGAAAGATGGAATTCTTTTATGATTCTAGAATTTTCTATAAGTGAAGCTTTTAGAGGAATTATTTGAGTCTTTCCAAAAAGACTTCAGAGTCATTTTGAGATCCATTGTCCATAATTGAAATGCTTTCCTTTTAGCATCAGCTTCGTTGGGTAGTAATAGCTCTAAACCAGATTTCAGAAGCTCTAGGGTCTAGCCTGATTATACCAAGATTATACCTTAAAAAACTGGTTAGTCTTAGATGGTTTCTTATATGCATTTTAGCTTTAAAACTTTTATACTGGCCAGGCACGGTGGCTCACACCTGCAATCCAGCACTTTGAGAGGCTGACCTGGGAAGATTGCTTGATCTGAGGAGTTTGAAACCAGCCAGAGCAACGTAGAGAGACCCCATCTCTATGAAAACAAAACAAAACAAAAAATTAGCTGGATGTGGTGGCATGCACTTGTAGTCCCAGCCACTTGGGTGGCTGAGGTGGGAGGATCACTTGAGCCTGGGAGGTCGAGGCTGCAGTGAGTTGTGGTTGTGCCACTGCAATTCAGCCTGGGTGACAGAGCAAGACCCTGTCTCAAAAAAAAATTATATTTAATATAACCCTTTGTCACCAGAATTAGTGTGTTCTGAAACCTATTAATACAAGGAAAGATTTTTAGATCTTGTGTTGTTAAGCTAGCTTCTTTGAATAGGTTCTGAAGAAGCCTCTCTTATAGATGCAGTTTTAGTTTCAGAAAAGGAAACTTTCATATTCTCAAGAATTATTTCTTGAGTGAAGCAGAGTCCACGTTTCTATTAGTGTTCCTTAGTCTTCAAGTCACAGGAGGGCTTGAGCAGAGATTCAGGGAGCTCTGGGGTCTTAGAGGCTCAGTCTGGGGTCTGAGTCTGTCCAGTAACCTTTCCCAAAGGAAATTAACCTTCAGGTGGTAGAAGTGGGGAAAGAAGCAGCTTATTTAAAGCTTAGGGCTTGTTCCATTTTGGTATGTGTACGTATGGGTGGGTGGGTGTGATTTGAAAATTCTTCCTATCTTCCCAGTAGAATATATGATGAATGTTAATTTTTTTTTCTTATAT
This sequence comes from Homo sapiens, assembly GCF_000001405.40. Taxonomy (NCBI): domain Eukaryota; kingdom Metazoa; phylum Chordata; class Mammalia; order Primates; family Hominidae; genus Homo; species Homo sapiens. The sequence continues at coordinate 35,242,497 of NC_000007.14, read as the reverse complement.
TAGTGATAGGAGGAAAATGTTTGGTTTTGCTGCTTCAACTTTATTCAAGTATTTGGCTGAGGATCAATCGCTTGAAATCCTTTGAATAAATGTATTATGCAAACAGATCATATTATCATTCAAAAACATTATTTTGATTCATTTAAAGATCTCCTTTGTTTCAGTTATTCCTGTTCCAGTTTGAGATCATAAAAAGGCAGCATGTTCAAAATTCAATCGCAGTTAAAACCCCGTAACTTTAGGCTGGCTTACATCTCAGCACAGAGAGCGAGCGATTATATATCAGTTATCCCACAGTGACTAGTATTCAACTCTGCTAAAGTCAATCGGCAGAAACACTCATGCCCCTTGCCCAGGTTAGCCAAGAAAGCTGGGGAGCCATCAGTTGCATGACTAGCAGCAGCAACCAGCAGAGAGTGCCATTGCTCCTGCCAGGCTGTTTATAGTCAGATGTCTCCTGAGAGTCCCGCTTTCTGCTAGCTCCTTGGAGAGGAGGGCATGCAATGTGAGCCCTCTCATCCCCGGAAAGACATACCCCCAAATTTTGCAGACTTAGATAGCTGTCTGGGTGACAGGAGGGAAGATGTGGGAAACCTTTTATATCTGAAATTGAATTTTATTGCCCTGATTCATAATGGCTAGCTTTTATATTTTATTTAAAAGATATATGAAAAATACTACCTATTGGCTGCCTTGTTAACAAGGGTGTGTTTATGATTTCTGAGTACTTGGCAACTTTTACTAGCTGCAGAATGGAAGATGGCTATCATGATTCAAGTTTGGTTTAATAACTAGAAGTTAGAAATCAAGGAAGCTGTCATAAATACTCCTTCTATTACTAATAATAATACAGTTCACATTTACTGAGCACTTCCTGTTTCCTCTGTGCCAGCCCTACAAGGTTAGTACTGTTTCTGCATATGAGAAAACTAGGAATTGGGGAGATGAGATCACCTGGCTAAGGATTAAAGGACTAGAAACTGACAGATTCAAAATTTTTACCCAAGTCTGTCTAACACCCCACTGCTTTTCTAAACTCTTTTATTTTTTTCTCCATAAATAATAATCTGGCCTCTTAGAATATGTGATTTCTTATTTTAGAAAATTTAGACATGCGTCCTTTGGTCTAACTAGACTAGCAAACCAAAAGTATTTAAAAGACGTGATTTTTAAAAATAGGTAAAACTTATCCTTCAGATGACCTCTCCCCTTACCATTTTAGAAAGGACACTTGAAACAACCTGTGTGGTTTGCAGTTGTTTTGGTAAAATGTGATTCACAACAATGACTCTGCAGTATCTTGTGAAAATGATTTGCCTTAAGGCTGGAAAGGGTAGATCCATATCTTAAAATTGACTTTGAAATTGTAGACCATTTGGTTCTTTCTTGCCTCACTGTAATTTGGCCTGTTTAGCAGTATAAGTATGTAAAATTCAGTACTTCCCATCTTTTTGTTGTAGATAATTTTGAACTCAATGCATAAGTACCAGCCAAGGGTGCACATCATTAAGAAGAAAGACCACACAGCCTCATTGCTCAACCTGAAGTCTGAAGAATTTAGAACTTTCATCTTTCCAGAAACAGTTTTTACGGCAGTCACTGCCTACCAGAATCAACTGGTGAGTGTACAGTTCACAATTTAGTTCCTGCATAAGAGAAGGATTTAGGAGGTTCTTATATTTTCTTGGAGAGAAGAGATATCCCAGTACTCAAAATGGATGTTCACTTTGCAGAGAGCTATTGAGTTTCAGGGCTAGGAACTCTAAGAGTGTGTTGAGTGACTGTGTATTACACTATAGTTTCTAGAATCTCTACATTATGGGTCAGGTTTTTAACTGCCCACTTCCCCACCCACACCTACCCCAATCTGCCTTCTCACATTTTCTTCTCCAGAAAGTTACTTGCCTCCTTTTCCTCCTCCTGGTAACATGTATAACCATGTTCTTGTTGCTTCATAAAATTTAAAAGTTCAGTTTCTCTGCTCAATTAAACACACCTATTCTATCCAACTGCCCAAACTGCTGATACTTTAGATATTTTGTAAGGTTTATTCAGCTATAATTTAGGGTGAGATAATTCTGGTAAAATGATTTTAAATGTCTTTTTAGATAGTAAACCATAGTATGTAACATCAAGATATCTAATTTATATTATTGAGTTATATGCAGGGTGAGTATCCCTAATCCAAAAACCCAAAATCTGAATGCTCCAAAATCTGAAACGTTTTTGAACATTGACATGACACTCAAAGGAAA